>NC_000004.12:107046381-107671381 GCF_000001405.40 Homo sapiens | reverse complement strand
TCACTTCTTTGGGGCCCTATTTAGAATAGTGTCCTTTGGGTTTGACACTTTTCCTACGTGTAGGCTCTTTTTTTTTCTTCAGGGAGGAAGATAATTTTAAGTTTTTCTTGAAAAAAAAAAACTTGATTTTGAGAAAATTTTGCAGCTCTTCACTTATTTTTTCACTAATGTTTTTCCTGTTCCAGGATTCAGTCCAGGATTCCGCACTGTATTCAGGGTTCAGTTGGTTTTTAACTATAATTCTGTATAATGAAAATACAGATTCCTGTGGTATTTATGATGCACAGGACTTTGCATCTTGCTTTTATTCCCTGATGGTTAAAAACTGAAGGTAAATTGACACTGTATGATTTTAGGATCACACTATCCCATATTCCCCTAACTGGTTACCACAACTCCAGTTCTGTGTGCCCTTTAGTCTGTCCTATAATATTCACAAAGTAATCTTTCTAAAGTGTAGTCTAAGCATTTCCTTTTTTTCGCTCTAAAACACTTACTGATTTTTCCATTGTTTATAGAATTGAGATGATTTATACCTGGCATATGCCAGGTGTGGTGGTTCACACTTGTAATCCCAGCACTTTGGGAAACTGAAGCAGGAAGATTGCTTGAGGCCAGGAGTTCAAGACCAGCCTGGGCAACATAGTGAGATCCTGTCCTTGTCTCCAAAAATTTTTTTTAAAAAGTAGTCAGGTGTGGTGGCACATCCCAGATACTCAGGAGGCAGAGGCACGAGGATCTCTTGAGCCCAGGAGTTTGAGGCTGCAGAGAGCTATGATTCTGCCACTGCCCTCCAGCCTGGATGACAGAGTGAGACCCTGTCTGAAATAAAAAATAAATAAAATAAAATGCATCAATAAAAATCAAATAAAGAGGAAAGATGATTTGTGTTCACAGTTCTTCATAGTTTGGTTCCATGCTGCATATTTTCTTATTTATTGTCCTTATGAAGTTCACCGTAGTATTTTCTTTCTTTCTTTGGTGCTATTGCTTGTCTTATCTCTGTAGTCTTAGTTAATGCCTTCCTCCTAATTTATTTGTACCTAATTAATGACTATGCTAATTGCTCTTCCTTGTATATGGATACTAATCTGTATTATGCTTGCTAGACAATCTGATGATTGGACAGTTTCATTCAAGGATATTATCCTTGAAAAAGAAGGATAGATAAGAAATTAACATTTGCTGAGTCCTTATTATAAGGGACATATTTATAGTATGTTGTCTTTTAAAATAACTTGTTCTGTTTATTTCAATTGGAGGAAAGTGACCTTTTTTCCTAATTTAGCTTCCAACTGTCTCTCACCTGAATTACTGTGGTAGTTTTCCAAGTGGTCCTTGTGCTAAGCTCTTTTCATATGTTGTTTGATTTTATTCATACAGTAAACCTTTGAAGTATTTCAGAGAAATGAAGAAACTTGTTCATGGACATGTTGGATTCTGCATCTAGAATTTCAGTAATTTTCTTATACCTCTGGCTTTTACTTTCAGGAGTGTTCTCCTTACACTTAAGTGAGATGTAATTAAATCTACATCCAGAAAGGGATTCTGGTTATGTTCATTTAGGAGAGAGAAATTTTCTTTTGAAAAACTGTTAATTTTTATCTTAAAGGTGGGTGGTGACAAAAGAAGAAATGCAAATGCCTCCTTAATTTGATAGCTTTCTTTTGGTATCACCCTCCTTTTCAATATTTGTTACATGCTTTTCTGAATAAATGACTTCACTTCCCAATGAAAGCACGCATATTTCTCTGTTGTACTTAGTTGATCTTTTTAGTTAATTTAACAGATAGTTAATGCTATATGTGGTAGGCACTTTTGTGGACACTGCGGATGTGGCAGTGAATTAAGCAATAAACATTCCAGCCTCATGGACCTTAATTTTTGGTCTTCACCACTGTTATTTTGTTTATAGTGTATAGACTAGAATGAGCATATATAGATTCATTTATTTCTCTTCTTTTATACTATGATGTAGAATTTAAAAATGCAATTGAGGAAGAAATACACATAGACACACAACTATATCTGTCTTTTATTTTCTTTTGGTTGTTTTTCTCACTAAGTTGAATCCCAGTGGGCATTAGGGCACATGGAGAAACCAGTGAATACCTGACATTCAGCTCAAAGTTCATCCTTAGAAATGCCAGTTGTGCATTTGCCCACTGTACTTCATTGCAAAGTGACTTGCTATAATGTGTACTTTTCATATCAAACTCCCTCTATCCAGGGGTAGCAAATTCAGTTCATTTAACTTCATTGTTATCACAAAGACATTTGTTAGGTTTTCCAAAGGTGGGCTATGGGAGGACACATAGTACAATCTAAATATAGATTGGGAGGTGAAGGGGATGAATATATCAAGTACCATGTTGCTTTAAAGCAAGGAATAATAACCAAATTTATGTAGCTTTAGAGTATGTGTTTGGAGTAGGGAGGTGAAGGTTAGGGGTCCTACATTAACCAGCATTATGTAAAAGAATATATAAATGTGTGTGCTGAAAGCGAATGCCATGGGCAGTATATTAGGGTTCTCTAGAGGGACAGAACTAATGGAATATACGTACATATATATGTGTGTGTGTATATATATTTTATATATATATGAGTTTATTAAGTATTAACTTGCATGATCACAAGGTCCCACAGTTGGCCATCTGCAGGCTGAGGATCCAGGAGAGCCAGTCTGAGTTCCAAAACTGAAGAACTTGGAGTCTGATGTTCGAGGGCAGGAAGCATCCAGCACCGGAGAAAGATGTAGGCTGGGAGGCTAGGCCAGTCTCTCTTTTCACATTTTCCTGCCTGCTTATATTCTAGTGATGCTTGTAGTTGATTAGATGGTGCCTACCCAGATTAAGAATGGGTCTGGGTTTCCTAGCCCACTGACTCAAATGTTAATCTCCTTTGGCAACGCCCTCACAGATGCACCCAGGATCAATGCTTTGTATCCTTTCCATCCAATCAAGTTGACACACAGTATTAACCATCACAGGCAGAGATGGAGACCATCAACAGTAACTTACCAGTTGAACTCTTACTGTGTGCTAGGCCCTGTGTTAGGTACTGCAGTGGCATTATTGCATCTAATTTACATTGAAATTGAGAAGTATTTATAATTATCTTCATTTTGCTGATAAGGAAACAGATTCCAGAGGTGAAGTTATTTGTCCCAGATAGTTCAGTTAGGGAGAGGTTTGCACACAGTTCTGATTGATTCTGCAGCCTACACACTCAATGTTTCTACTACTCTGCCTTTACTAGTATTTAGATTCTTTCCATTTCTAGTTTATTTCTGAAATATGAATCTTTTCTCTGACTCTCTTTCACATTCCTTGATCAGTTGTTCCCTAACTGTAGTTGGGATTAAGAAATGGGAGAGGCATGGGCATTTCATTGACCTTAGAAAGATTTATTATTTCTTGAATACTTTTAAAATACTTGAGCAGATCAAAGACAACACTATCTGGGTTGGAAAGAATGTTTATTAAAGAAATAAACTGCTCATACCTGTGTCCAGCTAGTGTGAAATGCTTGTTCTATGTAAGTGCAATAAGAATAGTGTTTGTAGGTTATCTAATTTACCTTGGAAAGAGGCACATTTTGCCTAATGAATTATGATTTATGTAAGTCCTAAAACCTGAATTGGAGTGGTAAAAGGTTATACTATATATAATGACAACTTTATTTCTAAAATAAACTAAGTAAATTTTATCCCCTCTTCAAGCTTAGTTTTGTAATACTTTTGAAGACTTTTTTTCTCACAATAACCAGTTTTTTGTTTGATCTCTGATATCATCTGGTATCCAGTGATTCAATTTAATTTTGACCCTAGCTATGTGGAGTTAGTTCAGACCTCACAGGTTAAGGGCTCACTCCTATACACTGCCCTGTTTTAGACGCCAGCCCAAATGGGGTGCCCAGGCTACCCACTTTCTTGCCTGGCTGATTATAAATCCAAGGTTTCCCACCTCCCTACCCTGTCCCCACACCAGGTTTGATCATTGGCTAGGACAACTCACAGAACTCAGTAAAGTGCTTTATTTGCTACTTCCAGTTTCTTATAGACTCAGTAACAGCCAGATGGAAGAGATGTGCAGGGAAGGGGTGGCAGAGCTTCCGTGCTTTCTCTATGAACTTCAACCCCCAGCCCCCAGTACCTCCGTGTGCTCACCAACTGGGAAGCTCTCTGAACCCCATCATTTAGAAGTTTTTATGTAGGCTTTACGTCGCACATTTGATTAAATCATTGGCCATTGGTGATTGAACTCAATCTCTCTAATGCCTTTCTGCTCCCCAGAGGTCAGGGGAGTAGAGTGAGGCTGAAAGTTGCAACCCTGTGATGGTGACTTGGACTTTCTGGTCCCAGTTCCCATCATGAAGCTGTCTAGGAGCCCTTCAGCCAAGAGTCCTCTCCTCAGCACTCCAAAGGCACATTGATCACTTAGGGGATTTCAAGGGTGTTAGGAGCTCTGTGCCAAGAACTGAGGACAAAGACCAAACACTGTATGTATTTCCAATTGTATACCAGTTTTTATTAGAGAGAAGAAAGTACTATGGTCTGGGACTTCCCAGAGAATGAAGGTGTTTGAAAAGCACTGTCTTCATGGAAAAATAGTGGTAAGTAGAGTTTGCTTTTATCTGTTCCTCTGTATTCCTTTGGAGAGACTCTTCTGAAGTGAATTGTACCTGGAATTGTTTAATGGTCTTCAGTAAGATACAGTATTTATTTCATTGTCCAAGAAAAATGTTTTTAGTATGCTGTACAACGGGTAATATAGGATGATGGGTCCTTTGGTTACCATGGGTACTTTACATAAAGTTAAGAATTCTCTGTCATTTTCTGGGTTGCCTTCTCTTTCACTGTGGCTATGTAATATAATCAGGATAGATAAAGTGGTCATTCATATAAAGACTGCATTTCTTAGCGTTTTCTCACAGCATCTTCATTTTCTTTGTTTGGTATGTATTTAAGAAAATAGAAAACACTAACAAATCAGGATTTTTTTATTTTCCTAGACCCTAAATTGGTCACTAGATGGCCTGCTAGTATTGCATTTTAACTTGGCTTGTTATGACATAAGGAAGTAGACTTCTTGCTGCTGGTTTTAATCTAAAGTGATATTTTAAATACTGTTTTAAAATCTACCAGGAACTCTAGATTTACTAGTGCTATAAATTATTTAAAGGTTTGTCTTTTTAAGAAATGGTGGTTTAGTGCTCTAAATGGGTTTTATGCTACACATAAAAGCCAGACTTTGCAGCTCAGTTTTAAAGTGTTGCCGGAATGTCGTTTGGTGTTCATGCTTTGGATGCATGTAGTTTAGATAACAGAAATTTAATAGTTACATAAAAATATGAATGTGCCCTTGTGTTCAAATCTGTTGAGCAGATTTGGCTCAAGAAAAAAGTACAGAAAGTATTTAAAGGAAAACTTAAAATGTGGAATCATTGTATTAACATGTTCAGAGTTCTTTAGGAAGATTAAAATGAGAGGCGAGAGCTACCACTTTCATGTAGCGCATGTTGTTTGCCCTGCCTGCCAGTGTCCAGGTAAAAACAAAAACAGTTGTCTGTTTTTGGATACAACATATGTTAGATGTTAGACTGTCAAAGTCAAACAACGTTCTGGGTACCCCGTGTTACATTTTAAAATTAAATTAATACTTATAAATTTATAATATCTCTAGACTTACAGGTTACGGAATTCACCTCTCATTAATAGTAGAGTGTGGGTCATTTACTGATCCCCTGCTCAGGAGGACTCCTAGGGCCTCCCTGAGCCCCCTTTACCCTTCAGTGCTGGGTGACTGGAGCCTTTCAGATTGGAGGTGAGATGTCCAGGTGTGTGCAGACTTTTTCCTGGCCTGGCTTGTGATCTCTTTGTGTTTTAAAGGACATTTCATGAAGCAAAGGGTTTTATATGTACAAATTGAAGAAGAGCACGTTGTTTCTAATAGCTGTGTCTGTGGAAATCCTAATGAATCCCAAATAAAGTGGATAGCTCATGTGGCAGGGACCAACTTTCTGTTGTCCAGATATCTTGTGTCACTTTGAGGTGGTTTTGCTCCTTTCAGATGTTTAGTAGTGGTTTTGGAAACTGAGATTTGTCACTGGAATGTGCTAGAAGCTGGCAGCATCTGCATGTTTAAGATTCTTTTTATATTCCTGTAAGAGACTGAGTCCTTTTGTCTTTACACATAGAATCTGTGTATAACTCATTTCCACAGACTGAGCAGATGCTCCCAGTTCCTCTTGATTCATGCTATTTTTGCATTAATTCCCAAAACATTCACTCTCTGTATCTTTTTTAGAAGAGAAAAACAGTAGCAACCTTTCGAATGTTTATTTTGGCATTGGTTAGGTATCAGAAGAATTTTGTATTGAAGTTGTGAGGCTAAAATCCATTTAAAAATATTGTTGGGTGTGAATTTTGAAGAGGGAAGAGTTTTATGAAATGCTTCTAATGAAAAAGTTATTTTGACTCAAAAACAAAATATGAAAAAATTTCCCTTCTTGAAAAGAAAGTGGTTATAGCCTTTGTTAATACATGTAAAGTAGCACATTGATAAAATTATGCTCAATTATGAATAACTTTATTAGTGCACAAAATATTTCAGTAATTTGATGGGGCTTACAGTATAGATATTGCCCTTTACATGTTCAAACTAGTTACCTTGGAGACAGATTTGATCACAAATTATTTGTACAGTTTTTTTTTTTTAACTTGGGGATATGGTTGGAAGGAAATGGTAGACATCATCTATAGAAACATTCGTTAGTGCAGAGTTCTTATTTGGACCATCTCTTCAGAGGAAGCAGAGATGCACCTGAGTGTGCCCTCAGTGTTGTGGGGTCTCCAGGGTGGAGGGAAGAGAACAGTCCCAGCCCTGTGCCTGGAGCATTGCAGTGGACTGTGCACACTGCTCCTGGTCTTCAGTCTTTGTGAGCTGAACTAGGGATGCTGGATTAGGAAACCAGCTAAACATGCCTTGTTGTAGCCAGTAAAAATCAGAAGATGTGTCTGCTGCATGCTTTCTTCTGCTTCTCTAGGATTGTGACAATTTTCAGCAGTAAACCTGGGGGAGAGTAGTCAAGCCCCATCACAGCATACAAAAAGATATCCCATCCTTACAATAATATACATTTCAGAGATGGCAAAGAAAGCTTTATATAGAGTTTTTCTTACCATTGAAGTTGAGAATGAGATTCTTCTCTTCTCTGGAGTCCTTTGTCATTTGTTCCCAGACTGCATATCCTGCTAAGGGATCCTCAGCATTGGAAATGGAGGCTCATGATTTATTCACAGTGGCAGGGTTTGGAACAGTTGGTTGCAAATTGCTTACTTGTCTTTAATAGAACTATTTAGGCTCAACTGAAATGCTGAATATCTTTTATTTTTCTCTAGAACCTTACCAACGCATTGGAAGATCACATGCTGACTAAAAACTTGGGAATTATGTTTAATAAAATCATGAAAATAAGAAAAATTTGTGTGACAAAATACTTAATACCTTAGTTTTCAATACTTCTCAACTATATGACCTTGGAAGATATAGTCTAATTTCTTGGACTTCAATTCGCTCATCTATGAAATGGGAAATAATTAAAGTGCCTGCCTCAGGATTGTGCAGAGGATTCTATGAGTTGATACATGCAGAGTGCTTAAACAGTTCCTGGCATGTAGCAAGCATACTCTAATTACTGAGTATTCTTTTTATGTTAAGTCCATTGAAAGACAGTATTGCAGGGATTTGGGTCAAGTTGTTGACCTCTCTTAGGCCTCGATTTCCTCTGTAAAGAAGGGATAGCAGTAGTTTCTTCTGCCTTCATTAGTAGGACTGTGTGAAGATTAATGGACTAAAATTCACATGAAGCTCTTAGAACAATGAGTGGTGTTATAGTCAGTTCTCACTAATATTATCCTCCACTCTTCAGGTACTTTAAGTCACTAGTTTGTCAAAACAGCCCTGTAACATATATGTGTGTATCTTTTTTGTACTTTTTTTTAAACAACTGGGGAGACACGTTGTAAGATGCTCAAGATTGCACTGTTAGAATTGGAACTCAGATCTTAAATATAAAAAGACTTTGCCCTCTTTTTTTACTTCATATTCTTAGTGATAAGAACATTGGAAATAACTGACCTATAGACTCCTGTTGCTTTTTGTATCTCGTTGGTTTTGAAGATGTTATGCCCCTAAAGCTTTGTGATTATGTAAATATTTAATTTTAAGTGTCTCGTGAAAGTGTATCATACTCTTCCTCACAGAAGTCCTAATGAGTGCCTGACTTTTTGTGTAACTTGTTATGTTTAGTGTTTTCTCCCCCTAGCATAGAAGATTTCAATTCTTTACTTTGTAGCTGCAAAGAATCTGTATGCCTCAAGGCATCTTTGGAGGCTTTACATATCGAAGAAGCTAATTGAACATACAAAATGTATGTGTAGTTCACTTAATGCACATCGTATTGTCCTTCCAGGAAAAATTGACTCTGAACTTTTATTTTCTACTTGATGAAGTAATAGGCTTTGCACAGACTGCTAAACTATCATTTGTCGTGTAATGTACCTATGGATGGAGACCAGATCAAAGGGAAGACAGAAAAATGACAGTGATAACCATATCTGGGATACAGGGTGATTTGGTTTTCTCATAAAGAGAATCTCCCAGATTCTTTTTACTGCTATTTTATAATTTAAAATACATATATTAAAATAATTCTGGAGTTGGAAGATAAGCTATATCTCATGCTAGATTTAAGGAAGAGTCCTTTTTTTTTTTTCTATATGTGGTTTCCCCTCCTGGTATTATGTATAAACTATGTATATTTAGTTGTCACTGCTTTGAACTCCTTGGCAAAATTTAAGATATGCCCTCTTTAGTGTGGGTTCATTAGAAATAATCTGCCCCATTAGTGCATCTACAGAGAGAACATAGAAGCAGCTGGTGGAGCTTTCTTCCTTCACCATTATTTTTTAATGCCCTCCTGTATTATTTACCCTCAGTAAACACAATAGATAGCTTTTGGCTATGGGTGCCTGCTGGAAGCTTAATTGCAGAAGATTTGGAAGGTATACAAAGTGTCTAATGCTGTGCCGGGTTTGTGCCTCACACACTTTTCTGCTTTCCTCCTATGAACAGTGAGACCCTAGAGGGACAAGAGGCTTCCAGAAAGTGCCGTTCATGTCTACACCCCAAGAGCAGCGCAGCTGGCTGAATTTGCTGTTGTAGCTAGCGGTGTTTATTTCTTGTCTGTCTTTTGATTTTTAATATTACGTTTTCTTTTCCTTGATGTTTATTCTTCTTGTTTATTTATTTATTTTTTTAATTATTAGAAAGGTCAGAGACTTTGAATTTACCAGTAGGAGGAGCCTGATTTTGGCACATATTTAGCCATTGCTGAACTGTCTCTTGTTCCATCTTTGAGGAAACAGGGTGTGTGAGAAAGTAGGAGAAATGTAAGAGAATAGTTCTTAGATTTTCAGAACCCATAGTTGTTGATTGATTGAGTGGTAGCACCTAGGTCTTTCATGAAGTCATCTGGCTTTGATTGACATATCTGCCTTTTTTTTCTACTGAACATGTCATGTAAGACCAAATATAAATTGAAGTTTCTTTCTAGAGGTCATCTATTCCTCAGGAAAAATAGTGGAGAGTGTCCTTAAAAATCCAGTTCTTTCATCTTGAATTACATTTTTTGTTGTTTTGTATTGTTTTAAAAAAACAGACTTTTTTTTAGAGAAGTTTCAGATTCACAGCAAAATTGGCATCATGTAGTTGGAATCATATAGTCTGTACCCTTTTCAGATTGGCTATTTTCACTTAGCAGTTCTCACTTAAGGTTCTTCCATGTTTTCATGGAGCTCATTTCTTCTTAGAGTTGACTAATATAGCATTGTCTAGATGTTCTACAGTTTGTTTATTCACCTACTAAAGACACATTGTGGCTGTCAACTTTTGGCAATTCTGAATAGAGCTGCTTTAAACACCCTGTGCAGGTTTTTGAGTGGAGGTACGTTTTCAACTCATTGGGGTGAATATGAAGGAGTGAAATTGCTGATAAGAGTATGTTTAGTTTTGTAACAAACTGGCAAAATGTTTTCCAAAGTAGCTGTACCATTTTGCATCCCCACCAGCTATGAATGAGGGTTCCTATTGCTCCACATCTTTGGCAACATTAGATGTTGTCAGTGTTTCGGATTTTGGCTATCCTGATAGGTATGTTGTGCTATCTTGTTTTGATTTGCAATTTCCTAATGACATATGATGTTGAACATCTTTTCATATGCTTATTTATAATCTATGTGTCTTCTTTGATGAGATGTCTATTCAGGTCTTTTGCCCATTTTTAAAATTGGGTTCATTTTCTTATTGGTGAGTTTTAATTGTTTATTTTGTATATTTTTGGATAACATTTATCTAAAGATATAACTTTTGAGTGTATTTTTCTCCCAGTCTGGCTTATCTTCTCAATCTTTTGAGAATTACTTTATTTTGAATAACAAAGTATTGGACACATGTATGAAAAGCCCTCCATCAGTGCCAATTTTGCATGGTTGTAGAGGTTACCTGACAGATTTGGCTTAAAACAAATTAAAGTGATTAAACACATTTAGTAATTATTCTTAGGGATATGTCAAGTGTTGTGAACAAGCCTTGTAAAGAGCTCCTAATGAGCAGTATGTAAATGGTTATGTTGTTATCACAAATATGTACTTGTAGTATAAATGGGGAAAAACACCATCCCAGTGTTTTATAAATGAGTATATGGAGCTTGGATAAAAATTCCAGGCTGCATTTCGTGTGGGATCAAAAAGTTCTGATTTTCAAACCACAGTGGTGGAAGTAAAGCTGACATTCTAGAATACCGTGTTGCTTGGGTAAAAGGTGGCTTTCCTGACAGTGGTGATAAAGGTATATATAAAAGCTGGAATAAAATGGTTTCGTGATATGGTAAAGATAATAAGGATGATGGTTCAGGTGGTTTTTGTTTGCTTGTTTCCAAATTCTTTTTGTTGTTACCTCTTATTTGAGGCCACCTCTCATTTGTAGTTGCCTGACTTTGACATATGTAGTATATTTTAGGAATTTATTCTTTCCCACTAGATAATGGGACATTGGGCTTAATTACTTCTTGGATGTGGGATACTATCTGCTTGAGAGTATTGGTTGAGGGGAACATAGCACTCACAGCCTTCTTTTATGCTACTTTTTGGTTTTATTTTGAGAGATTTTCTTCATTAAGATACCCTTTGGTGAACTCTAAATTCTTGAATCAAACATTTAAATTGTACTCCTGTTGTTATATAGGATATTGTACCTGTGGATGCATCTTATGAAGTAAAAGAACTATATGTGCCAGAAAATAAACTTCATTTGGCAAAAACAGATGCGGAAACATTACCAGCACTGAAAATTAATAAAGTAAGTTCTTCGTTGCTTTTCACACTAAGTGATACAGCCTTATATACAGTAGTTTGTTAAATTTGTGACTTATAGCAGTATTTGAGGCCAGGGGTGGTATTAGCTGGGGGGGCAAAGATGTTGTGGTATATGTCACAATTTCTAAGGATGGGGAATGTGTTTAATTTGTGCAACCATGTTCCCAAGTTACCATGGCTTTGATTTGCTTTGAGTAATAATACTTATTTATTTTGAACTATCAAAGAACAAATATTACATGAGATCCTTAGGCTTATCAGAAATAATGGGTTCTAAAAGGTCAAGGAATACTAATCCATAGTAATTAAGTAAACATTCTCCCCTTCAGACATGTTTTCTAATCCCTTGCCAAAACTTGACTCTCTCTGTCTTATATTGTTAAGAATAATTTTATTGTGTATCTTAGCTCTGATGATATCATTAGCTGTCTTTCCCAATACAACTGCGTAGTTAAGCATGATGAGAATGGAAATTATAATTTATCATTTTCGAGTCTTAGAGAATTTTAAGTTGTATCATTTATGTATACTTTAAAAAAAGGGAGATTAAAAATAAGTATTTGGACTAGAAGTTAGATTCCCCATCCTTTCTTTTAATATAGTAAAAATCCAAAATACCCAAGGAAGTGCCACATCTGAAAGTAAGGAGAAAGGAAAACAAAACAAAACTTCTAGGCTTGATGAAAGACTCTTTAAGTTGTTACCAAATCCCTGATGGGAGTAAATTATATTGGTACACTTTCTGTGTGTGATTGGGTCTCTGACCAGAAACCAAGACATGCCAGGGAGTGACAAGAAGGGAGAACTACAGAGCAGAGCAGCTCAGGAAGTGAACTGTTACATAAGAACAACAGAATTTGTTGCTTACAGACTGCATGGAGTGAATACACGCAGACAAAGGCAGAGAGAAGAAGAATGAGAATGAATGACTATGAATTTACATGTCAGATTCTAGAATCCAGAAAGACAGTAGCTTTTTCTAAATGGAATGTATTTTCAATTCATTGGTTTTCAAATTTCTTCAATTGGCAGAGCATCTGGAAGGCACACTGCTATTCTTTGCACCTCCTCACATGCCTATTTCTAAGTATGGTAGCATTGGGGTTAGGCCTTCAGTATAGGAATTTTGAGAGGACACAGACATTCAATCCCTAACAGATACCATCTAGAATTGAATTCCAGTAGAGACAAGTAGTAGCCACCATCAAAGGTTTTGGAAAAAAAAAAATTTCTTCATGAATCCAATTTTTTTTCCTGTGAATTGATTTTGCAGTGGAACACATTGGCAAACATACTCTGGGAATAAATAGTAGGCTGCATTTTACTGTACTCCACTCAGCCAGGTGCTTTATCTTTCTCATTGGAGAGCCACTGCTGTATGCTTAGTTAAAAAATGAGCATATCCAGCTTACATTAACGATAAGTACATTGTTCATCGGTCCTTTGACGTTCTAATGGGATATGCTAGAAATCTCAAAGTTCAAGAAATAATAGTCTTTGTAAAATGAAGAGTACTCTGTCATGGGTAAGAGACTTTTCTTGGAAAATATTTTATTTAATGTTTCTTCCTTTCTTTTTTTTTTTTTTTAAATGGAGTCTCGCTGTGTTGCCCAGGCTGGAGTGCAGTGGCTTCCCTTTTTTTTTTTTTTTCCTAACAAGACCACAGAACAGAAGGTACTTAATTCTATACACCTTTTTTTTTTAGAATACAGTACTTTATGGTCACTTTTTTTGTGAGTCACTTGATGGACCAAGGCTCTTCTTATTTATTGTGTATCAAGTGACCTCAGCCAGTATTTTCCTTTTGAAGTTTAAATGGTCTTAGCTGGCCAGTGGGGTGATTCCTGTGTCTTTCCAGCAAGATTTTGTTAATCTTGGAAAGATTCCTTGCTTCCTGGCTCAGCAAGATGTTCCAGGCTCACCTTATACCTTCTAGCCCTATGATTGGATTCAGCCTTTTCTCCAGCCAGCCCTAGTTCCTTTTTGGAGACCATAAGCTGTGTGCTTGGGTGCACTGTAAAGGTACCAAACTGTCAGATAAAATGCAGCTTTACAGATAAAGGTGAAGTCTTCTCTATGAAATGATTATGCCATCATTTTACATTTCCCTGATGATTTATGAGAATAACCATTTTTTCAATACATTTATTGGTCATTTGAGTTTCCTTGTCTCCCAATGACTTCTTTTTTTTTTTTTGAGACATGGTCTCACTCTACTGCCCAGGCTGCCAGGCTGGAGTGCAGTGGCATGATCTCAGTTCACTGCAACCTCTGCCTCCTGGGCTCAAGCGATTCCTGGCCCAAGCAATCCTCATGCCTCAGCCTCCTGTAGCTGGGACTACAGGAATGCGCCACCACATCTGGCTAATTTTTTGTATTTTTAGTAGAGACTGGGTTTCACCATGTTGGCCAGGCTGGTCTTGAGCTCCTGAGGTCAGGTGATCTGCCTGCTTTGTTTTGGCCTCCAAAGTGCTGGAATTTCAGGCGTGAGCCACCTCCTCTGGCCGTAAAGTTTCTCTTGGTTAAGGAGAGTGGTTATCAAAGTATTAGATCATCACTGTTATCATTTTCTGGGAACATTTTAGAAATACAGATTCATGGGCCCCACAGCAAACTGACTGAATTTGAAACTCTGCAGATGAAGCAGTCTCATTTTAGCAAGCTTTCCAGGGGTTTGAGGTAAAGTTTGAGAACCACTAGTTTAGGAGAGGCTGTCTTTATTAGAAATACTTGGAGGCCTAATGTTATTTAAATTTAATAGGAGAAGGAAATATTTTCCTAGTGCCCTTATTCTTTGTTAGTTTGGTATAATCTATACTCATCCTTACACTGTTTGTTTCCATTGCTTTCAAAATTAAATTCCTAAAGGTCATCACTGCTTTTGCTCATATATACATGCAATAGAAAATTTTGCTTTACTTTCAAATTTACTAGGTGGATATGCAGTGGGTGCAGGTTTTGGCAGAAGGTTGGGCAACCCCATTGAATGGCTTTATGAGAGAGAGGGAGTACTTGCAGTGCCTTCATTTTGATTGTCTTCTGGATGGTAAGACATTTTACATTCAAAATTATATTGTATGTGGAAGAGAAATTACATAGTTGCAGAGATTTGTCACTGTTTACAAAAAGTAGTAGGGTAACGTCTTAATAGAGGTAGCATTATAAGACTAAGTTATATCAGTACCGAACACTTTATTTAAGTGAATCATGAGATCTCATTTTCGTTTTTCCGTGTCCTGACTCTTATTTATTGCAAAGAGAGAGGGAAAATCTGGGAATCAGGGCTGAGGATGGATTGTAAAACACATACAGTTATTCTGTGCTGTTTTTGCCTGATCACTGTGGAAAGCTGCTTCCCACCCAGGGCATGTACGTGCTGCGTTTTGCAGTACTGAAGCCCATGCTTGAGCTTTCTAATGAGGAATTGTGGAGTCTTAGTTAAGGAATTCTGAAATATGTGGCTAAAAATGTGGTCCTTCCTATTCTTTTAAAACATTAACAAAAAATTGTCAAAGAAATTGATGTTGGCCAGGCGCAGTGGCTCACGCCTGTAATCTCAGCACTTTGGGAGGCTGAGGGAAGTGGATCACCTGAGGTCAGGAGTTCAAGACCAACTTGGCCAACATGGTGAAACCCCATCTCTACTAAGAATACAAAACTTAGCTAGGTGTGGTGGTGTGTGCCTCTAATCCCAGCTACTCGGGAGGCTGAGGCAGGAGAATCGCTTGAACCTAGGAAGTGGAGGGTGTGGTGAGCCAAGATCATGGCACCACTATACTCTAGCCTGGGCGAAAGGATGAGACTCTGTCTCAAAAAAACAAATAAATAAATAAAAAATGATGTCCAACATATAATCATTATAATGCAGCAGCCTTTAATTTTGTGTTGTATATTGTTGGTAAGATTAATTTACTACCTTATGAAAATATTTTTAAATGTCACAGAACCCTACTATAATTGCTACCAAGTTTTTTGTTTTGTGACTTATTTTAACTGGGTGGTGAAATAGATATTAGAAAACATAATTCCTAATCATTCTTCTCAAGAAACTTTATCACAAGAACATAAGGATTAAATAATGCATTTTGATTTTCTTCCTTGGAGCTAATTGCAAAGTCTTGTGGACTACCTCCTTTACGATGATTTAGTCTTGGGCTTGGTGCAAATCTACCTATTCATTTTCCATGTTACACTTTACCTAGTGGTAGTAATTTAAAAAGCAGCCAAGCAGTTATCATTACTCTCGTTGACATCTTTTGTTCAAAGAAGATATGCCATGATGTCCAAAAAATATGATTTCTTTAGTATATAAATAGTCCAAATATGAATGTGAGAGCACACTTTATTTTTCTAACCCATAGATGATGAGTAGAAAAAAGATTTTTATAGCTTGCAAGGTTGCATGCTGAGACTGTGCCTTTAGTATCACTGACAACACATTTTGGTTTAAATACAGTCATTACTGTCTTTATTTCTTGGTTAGTGATAGCTGGTATCAGTTTGAATTTGACTGTATTTAAAAAAACTTTTTGGATAGTTCTGTCTTCCTATCTCAAGGATACTCAAGTATACTTAATCAACTTGCCACATAAATTGTAGTTATTATGTCATCCTGTTATCAACAAGGATTTAAGTTTTTCCTGAAAAGGCCCAGAAACGTAGTTCTTTGTCTCTTTCATATATTGGAAGTGCACAGTATGTATTTGGTGATGTTAGGCTTAACCAGCTGATTCTTTCTTGTTAAACAGTTTGTTTTACTTATGTAATTCTATACCAAAATGTTGTACCCAAAAACAGTTTGATTCTTTTAATTTTTCCTTTTTTTTTTTTTTTTTTAACTTGGGAGATCGTTGCTCATTCTCCCTGACCTTATAGCTTGTTCTGTCTTTCGTTTTTCTGTGCCAGGTACCAGTTGAATACTGTCACTGGATCTACAGCCTTTTATTATTTGAAAAGTGTCCCCTGAAGTGAAAGGTGGGTGTTAAGTAAAGCGTGTTGAGTAATTCAAGCTGTGTGCTTCATGTTCTTTTGTGCTCTGCAGGAGGTGTCATTAACTTGTCAGTACCTATAGTTCTGACTGCGACTCATGAAGATAAAGAGAGGCTGGACGGCTGTACAGCATTTGCTCTGATGTATGAGGGCCGCCGTGTGGCCATTCTTCGCAATCCAGAGTTTTTTGAGCACAGGAAAGAGGAGCGCTGTGCCAGACAGTGGGGAACGACATGCAAGAACCACCCCTATATTAAGGTGCTGAAAAAACCTCGCTGCATTTTATCTTGATTTGCCAATGATGTTTGTGCTGAAATGTGGGCATTTTCTGTGTATTGACTTTTCATTGGAATTGTTAATATTTTGCATAGTAGAGATTGGACCTTAGATTATTGTGATGAGTGTTTATGCTCTTGTCATTTTGGTCCAGATAAATATTTATTCAACAAACATATTTTAAATCTCTATTGTATACATGGCACTGAGCTAGGTGCTGATGCTAGGAATGCAGGGCCAGGGACACCACCGGCACAGTGTTTCAGCTCTTGGAGTATACAATCTCGTCGTGTGCTTAGGCATGTACTTATAATGAGCGTGTGAGGTAGAGGCTAAGGGAGCCCTCACCAGGGTGGTTTGATGTGAAAGCAGTGAAATATAATTTCTCTTCAAAGTACCTCATTTATTATATATATATGTTGTATGTGGAATGTTATTGAAGTCAAATTTCTGTCAGTTGTTAGGTGTGTTAAGGTAGACTGAGAAAGAAGCTGGGCACATTGTTGGCACATAAGCCAAAGCCTCATGGGGAAAAGGAGGGCTGGAGCTGCCTTGTGAATATGAACAGGTCCTGGAGGGTAATAGCTCCTCCTTTCGGATGCAGGGAAAGGAAGTAGTAAAATTGTAAGAAATTTGAGGTGGTGTGGAGATTGGAAGGCATGAATTTGTATCGAACTCGATGATCATTAATTCTTCAAAAGGTTAGGATTGGAGAACACAGTGTGGGGTGACCCAGAGCTACAAATTGTTCTGTTAATAAATGTATGATAATAACGAAAAGAATGTTTTTGTTACTTGAAAAGGTGTAATTATTCGCATTGCTTTTGTTTGCCTTTCATATGTAAAGATAGTTATTTCACAAGTTTTCTGGGAAATCACAAAATCGATTCTAATTTTATAGCATCTCTAATGTCAATTTAGTTGATAAGTCAGATTTACCTCATTTAAGATGAGAGTAGCTTACAACGACTGTATTTAGCTTATATGAGAGAAATGTTTTTACTTATTTTGATCTCGGTTTCCATTAAAAAAATTTGTTTTTCCTATTAGATGGTGATGGAACAAGGAGATTGGCTGATTGGAGGAGATCTTCAAGTCTTGGATCGAGTTTATTGGAATGATGGTCTTGATCAGTATCGTCTTACTCCTACTGAGCTAAAGCAGAAATTTAAAGATATGAATGCTGGTAAGACATGGATTTAATTACCTAATATAGGCCGGCTTGGAGAGAAAGTTCTAGACGATTTTTTCCAGTGCTTACGAAAATGTAAAACGATGAGTACAGGTAAATATAGCAGTGGAATATGTAAAGAAAGGTAGTCAATCAAAACTAGCCTGGGTAGTTTCATTATATTGGTATAATTTGATTTGACATTATTTTGAATACTCTGGAAGCTAGATGCTAATGCAGAATTTACCTTTTATTTATTATAAAACTCGCATGTTAAAGCTGAATGGAACTATAGAATATTATTTGAATAATTCACTCATATAAATATGCTTTATATGTCAGAGTGTTTTACATGAGAGAGATATATATTCATATATATTCATGTATATATTCATATATATTCATATGTATTCATATATATTCATATATGTATTCATATATATATTCATATATATATGAATGTCATGTATCTCAGAATGTTTTACTTGACATTCATATATTGGAAGTGCACAGTGTGTATTTGGTGATGTGTCACAGCAAATAATGATACATGACCATTGTATCATACCATTGTACCAATGATACACGACCATGATTTAAACAATAGAGAAAGTTGTTTAAAGCAAAAATTAAAAGAAACAACACTGCGCATAGAAATACTTCTCAAAACAATTCATCAAACTGTCTTTGGGTACAAATTTTTGGTATAGAATTACAGAAGTAAAAGAAACTTAACAAGGAAGAATCAGCTGGTTAAGCCTAACATCACCAAATATATACTGTGTACTTCCAATATATCAATGTCATTTATCGCAGCAAATAATGGAACAACGGAACTTTTATCATGTTCACTTCATTTAAAAAATGTTTCTGGATCTTTATATGCCAGTATGCCATGTGCTGAGGATCCATAAATAAATACTCTAGGAGCTTATGGTATAGAAGAGAGAGACATTAAACAATAACAGAAAAAGTTATTTAAGAGCGGAATAGAGAAGCTACAGATGCTGTTCTTTATAATACTGCTTTCTATATTATAAAGCACTCCAGGACAGGATTTTTATATCATATTTCCTGCTATTAGGTCTTTGACACAGAGGTGGGTAAATGATGTGCTTACCTTGGTGCACCCATACTCTTTCTATACCTGCAAATTCAAGGTTCTGTATCAGGGAACAGCATTCACTGTAGATTTGGGGAGGCTTTTTTAAGCCTTAAAATTGGAAGCATCCTGCAGTTGTGCTCCTAATTAATTCCCACCCACTGCAGAGATGGTTTGGCCCTAAGCACTGGTGCTGCTCTCTTTTATATTTTCTGTGTAGAAATCAGATGGATGTGGTTGAGAAAGGGCAGGTGAATGTGTTTGCCTTTTTGGGGTATATAGCTGGCCACCAAACCATGTTTGTGAACCAGAGGCCCTCGTTCCAAGCAACTACAGAACAACTGGGAAAGAGCAGGCATTTCATTTGTGTTTGTCTTAGTGTCGGTGAACTCCAGAATGCTCCTGGTAGGCATTCAGAGTTCTGTGTTCAGACTCTGCCTCACCACCTAGCAGTTGTGTTTGTGGGGAAATTACTTTTCTCTCTAAGGCTCATGGACAATTGTTGAGGATATTGATGGTACCTAAAGCATAACATTTTACTTTAAAAAGTGAAATAAGATGTGTAAGGCACTTTAAACTGTACTGCTATGTAGTAAGAGATTAAGTTGTTGATACGGTTTGGCTGTGTCCTCCCAAATCTCATCTTGAATTGTAGTTCCTATAATCCCCACCTGTCATGGAAAGGACCCAGTGGGAGGTAATTGAATCATGGGGGTGGCTTCCCCCATGCTATTCTCGTGACAGTAAGTTCTCACAAGGTGTGATGGTTTTATAAGGGGCTTCCCCTTTTGCTTGGTTCTCATTCTCTCTCCTGCCACCATGTGAAGAAGGATGTGTTCACTTCCCCTTCCACCATGATTGTAAGTTTCCTGAGGCCTCCCCAGCTGTGTGGAACTGTGAGTCAATTAAACCTCTTTTCTTTATAAATTACCTGGTCTCGGGCATTTCTTCATAGCAACATGGTAATACAGGTGCCTTAATTTTTGTTGTGTGAACTGAAGCTAGACTTTATTCATGTGAAGGTTAGAGCAAGAATTATCTATTTATACCTAAGTTCTGCTGTAGACTGCTGTAGACTGTGTTATGAACTTAATAAAATGGGTTAAGAACTGGAGGCCTCAGATGGGCCACCCACTCTTCAGTGCTCCATAGTTCCTACCTAGTCTGCTTAACTCATTCACATTTCTTTCGTGGCTTCTTTAGGGTTTTTGAGTGTGGGATCCCTTTTCTCCTTTTATACTTTACTCCTGATTTTGAAGCAAATATTTGGCTTAAATTACTGATACAGAAACTTCTTTGAGTGCTATACTTGGTACTGCCTGTATAACAGCTCATTTCTCTTCTTTTTTGCTAACATGTTTTAGGCCCAGTATACAGGAATGAATAATGATTGATACAAGTTAATAATGATGCCCCACTCTTTTTTGTCAGTGTGTGATTTAAGGGTCAATGCATTAAGTCATTTCTGGCCATTGAGATCTAAGGAAGAGGGTTTTCAGGAAAGATTTTCTTTCTGACAGTGTGGCTTATGCCAGACAAATTCTGTTTTTTTTTCACCCTTCTCTTCCTGTTTTGGATGTTTGGAGTTCCTGCAACCATTTTGTATTCATGAAAATTCCAAATATGCTAACTTTTGTCCTTATACTGTGAGTTTCTCATCCAACCATGGAGTCATTTATCTCCAGATTTCTTATTCAAAGAGATAACATATATTCAAATTATTTAAGATACTTTTAGTTGGGTTTTCTGTGATTTGCAACCAGAAACATCTGGTAGTTTATTATATGTACACTTCCCTTTTCTGCTGGTGAACAGAAACATGTTTAATGGAGGACTTGCTGTGACCATGTTATTTAAATTTTTGCCAAAATTTGAATTCATATCTGGAACTGATGTTAGTAAATTAATTGTTGGCACTGTTGAAAGGGTCTTATCAAGGACTTATTCATAATTAGGGACTTTCATATTACATCTGTTTTTCACTCTTCTTTGTGAGCCAAACATTTTAAGTCATTTAGAGAATGTGTTGCATAATGAATGATTGCAACTTTGTTTAAAGTAGCTGAGAGCCAGTTATTAGCCTTACATCAAACAACAAAAATTGGAGTGTTATTTTATTTTTTCCATTTTTATACTGAGGCAAATAAGCAACAGACCGAGGAGTTTACTTTGTAGTTCTTGTTCACTCTTTTAGGAAGCCAATAACAAGTCAGTTCTGATGTGTTCAGGGGAGAGAAAGCAGGGAATTTATTTATTTATTTTCTTAATCTAGGATTTCTTTTCTTACCTCTTCCTCCTTCTCCTCCCCTCATCTTAGAAGTACTTTGATTACCCCATGTGAGCTATTGTCCTGTGCACAGCACTATCAGTTTGGCTGTTCTTAGACCATTCTGTAGCTGGGAAGGATTGAGAAATCTTTAATACACACATCGGTGATTGCAAGGTGATACATTTCCAGATGGCAAGTTCTTTGAATTACCGATGATTGACCAGTATCCTGGAGGGGAAGAATGCATTTCACTTAAGCCAAGTAAGAGCCTGTTAGTGTTTATTAAACATAGAATATTGGTGTCCTGCTGATTGCAAAGGGAAGAGTTGACATAATTTCTTTCAGAATAGTGTGTGGTAGTACAGTGTTAATAAATCTGAGAAAGCTTTATAGCGTTGCTGAATTACAAACTACATTTTAAGTGTGTAAGTGGAGACATCAGAAGAATGTTTTAAGTAAAGTTGAGGATGGTACATGAGAAAGCTGAGGCAGAAGCAGATCTATGTTTGGCTCTGAAGTGGATAGTGGATCTCGATGATAAGTGACAGCAAGCCAGAGAGCTGAGATTGGGTGAGGGAACCTGTGTCAGTCAGCTCCCAGCAGGAAGCAGAAGGCACACTCAGATGAGGCTTTGAGCATAATTCAGTGAAGCGAGTATTTAAAGAAAGGTGGTCAGAGTTAAGGGAACCTACAAGGATTTGCTGAGGTTCCAGGGACTAGTGGCATTGGGTAGTGTTAGCCAGTCCCAAAGGGGTGAGAGCAGGAAGCAGTGTTTCTGAAGCCAGGTGGGAGCTGCAGCTGTGGGAAGGCCACTGGGCAGAAGCTGGTTGCAGGGTCACTGGCACAGCCAGAATCACGCGCTGAGGCAGATGATAGTGGGGAGAAGAGCTCCCCGAAAACTTTTCTCCGTCCATCCTCTGGTTGCCTGCTAATGCCACCACCCTCAAGGCAGGAGGACAACAGCCCCTTCTAGGGGAAGCCCTGAGGGACACCTGTGCTCCCTGCCCCAGGACATCAGAGAATAGATGGGGAGGGGAATGGCAAATAAGCGGCACAGAACCCAGTTGGCACAAAGCTTTGTAGTCAACATCTTACTTTAATTTGGAAGTGTTTTTAGTCATGAGAATAGAAAGTAGTTCATTGCTGCCATACTTTAGAATATGAATTTACCAGTTTTGTGAAAAATTCTAATATCTTTATATTTGTTCAAGGGGCCCATCTCTTATTCCTTTATTTCCACCCCCCACCTTCTTAAGCAGTTTGAGTAAAAGAAAGACTGTTAGTTTATGATAATCCCAAGGGAGGAGGGGAGATCAAACTGCTTTGTTATTCCAGGTCCCTTCACAAAAACCCACAAAAACAAACATTAAGCACACACACAACTCTAGTAACCCTAGAACCATTGTCTTGTTTAGCTGCTATATTGATTTAGGAAAATCAGAAATGTCTGTTCTTGGAGCTTTACCGTAGAGAGGCAGATAGAAACCTTGGGTGGGAGGGAAGAAAGGAATTACTAATTACTGCTCTATGTAGCGCAGTCTTACAGTGAAGTTAAGAGGAAAGAAGCAAGAAGATGTTGTAATTCTATGTTCAGTGGTTGGGGTGGATACTGGGGCTCTGGCTGTGGGCTGGGATGTGAAGCACAGTTCTGGGAAGTCTGAGGAAGATTGACTAGGATTTAGAAGCACTGCCCTGCTTATCACCTCATTCATTTATTTGCTGAGTTTGCAGTTGTCTTTGGATACTCAGCTTGGAAAGAGTAGAGTCTGGGTCGCTCTGCACTGTGCCACGACACGACAGTCCTTGCTGGCAACGCCTCTAGATGAAGCGGCCTGTGGCTTGTCCTACATGTGTTCACGGAATGCTGATATCTTCATTTCCTTCCTTGTCACACATATATGCTCAGAAAAACTTTCTTAACTTTCTTCTTCCTCTTCTACCTGCTGGAAGGAAAGGGATCAGACTTCACTTGTTTCCTTAGTGTATTGGCTCCTGGACTAGGTGATAGGAAATCCAGAGGAAAGGGAGAGAACTTGCTCTGCTGGGAAGTTCCTTCACATAGACATGCAGTACAGGAGAAGGAATAGGCTTTGGGGGCCAGACCCAAATTTGGCTTGAGATGTGACAGTAATAGGAAAGGTAGAAGAATTGAGGGAAAGAGGTAGGTAATGAGCAATGTATATTGAAATAGTTTTTGTAATGCATCTGTCCGGTGAACTGGAAGGAAGGACTTAGAGATGTGGCTAAGAGAAGCCATCTGTATGTGTGCGGTAATTGAACCCAGGTGTAGGGGTAAGCTTCCAGTGAGTCTGTCAAGAAGGAATTTCATAGGGCCCAGCAGTAAGCCTTGTGGCTCCAAGAGGACCACAAGATGTCAGAAACAGGTGGTTAGACTGGAATGGCCAAGCGGAATAGAAATGTCATATGTTTGATTATAGCTGTGTAAAAATGTATGCAACAAAGAGAAAAACTGGAAGATTGCACAAAACAAAACAAAAGACCATGCTTTCAGGACAGTGCGTTTATGGATGATTTTCTCATCAAATTTTATTGGGTTTCGTGGTTTTTACTTTAAAAAAAAGCATAGAGAGGCAGATGACATATAAAAGGTTGGTGCCACAGTTAGAAGGCCTTAAGTGGTGTAGATTTTTATGTCAGTCAGTAGAGAGGTAAGGACCACTTAAATCAGGAAAGTGCCATTTGAATTTGGCTCTCATTTCATCCTCACTGTTGATGGAACAGGAAGGAATTGGTTCAATCAATGAATCCAGTCCAGCAGTGTCATGTATAGGTGAAGACGCCCATTCTTTCCTTCCCTCACTCTGTCCTCCACACTGTGGTAGTGCTGTCACCAGTCTTGTGGTAATAGTGTGGAGGAGTAAGTGAAGGAATATTGTCATGTCCTGCTGGAGTTGAAGGAACTATATTCCTTTTAACATGTATTTATTCTCTTAGGGAACGTCTTTGCTCCCCTGCTCTGACTAGACTGTAAGCCCCTGGAGGGTAGGCCAGTTTTACTACTCCCTCAGGCTCAGCATGTCTCCAGCTGCATTTGCATCCTGTCCCTGGCGGGTTTCTTCCCTGTCACTGGCTGTCGTGTAAAGTTGGGTAGGGGAGGAAGACCTATTTGAAGACAGATCTTGTGAAGAGATGATGAAGGCTGAGTGTGCTGGTAATTAGTGTGCTGCAAATGAGATGTAGGGAACAGAAGGGACTCATTACATGTGGAGGACAGGGCAAGAAGGGAAACTGAGCCTCTGAGGTAGGTAATGGTGAATTGCTGGTGAGGTGCCTGTGGAGCACTTAGAGGCAGTTGGGGAGACAGTAGTCTGAGCTTGGGTAGAGTTCTGGTCAGAAGACACAGGTTTGTAAATCACTAGTACCTAGGGCTCTGCTCAGTGACCTCAGGCACCTGAGAGCAGGGTTGGGAGGGGCTTGACGGGGAGGGCGGTGCCTGTTCTTGCTGTTGTCATAGTGTGGCTTTATTCACCAGTGTGTAGACTGTGGTCTGTCAGATGAGCCTTCATCAGATGTCCCCATTATTCTTTGAGCACTTCCCTTCTTAATGGTGCAAAAAGGTGTTCCAGCTCATGTTGTACTTTTCTTGCCCCAGCTCTAAAAGCTGCCATTTGCCAAGGAGCTCTGGTTTATTTAACTGGGGAATGGTATTTAGAATGTATGGGCTTTTGTTTTGCTTCTTGCCACTGGGTAGTCATTGTTTGTAGGACCAAACAACGGTGCTACAAAAAAAAAAAAAGTGGACAAAACTAAGAGATGTGTGTGTGTGTATGTGTGTATGTGTGTGTATGTGTGTGTGTGTGTGTATATATATATATATATATCTGTAGTTCTAGTGGTCAAAAGGGATATTTTGGCATCTTTTATGTCCATATGTAAAACCAAATTTGAAGTACATTGAGAAGGATAGAAAAATGTTAGGTCTATATTTCCCTCCTCCCATCCCAAAGCAAAATAATTTTAAATGCTTGTATATCAAGACTTTTCTGTTTTTTGTACCTAATGTCATATCAGCTATTTCCTTTGTGAAAACCAGCCCTGTTCTGTTCATGTATAAAGGTAACGTGAGGAACTTCCAAGAGTAATGATCATGCTGTAAATCTTGGATTTTACATGATGTGGCAAAACAAAAACAAAAAATCCCAGTTAAGTAGGATGCCACAGTCTTCCTGTGGTACCTTTTGTTACAGTGATAGAAGAGGGTCAGAATTGAGAACAGATTGGAGATGATGTACTATTTGGCTTACAGATTGTTAGAAGAGAGAGGCTGTTCCTCTCCCTGAGTCGAGCTGGGATCAGCATGGCATGATGCTTTGTCAGGTATTGTGAGGGCGGCAAAATACAGAGCTCCTCTAACTGGATTGGAAAGGTCTCCTGCTAGCAAGCACCACGTAGGAATGAACCCAGGGTTGTAAGCAGGAGATAAGGAGTTAACCAGTTTCGTCTGTCTAGCAGTTTTCATTGTTTTAAGGGATATTGTTGTTGCTAAACTATAATCCAAAATTCAGACCTTTGATCATAAAACAAAATATGGTTCTAGTCGAGCAAAGTAATTGTAAGTGAGCATATTTGGACAGTAAGTAAATTTTTGAAACTACAAATATATTTCTCTAACTTTCTGTCTCCCTTAGTAAAGCATTATATTAGGTCGTTTGGAGGGATTGATCTGGTGGGTAACTGAGGCACAGACCAAAAATGTTTATCTATGGTAAGCAGTGGATCCAGGATATTAGGACCAGAAAGTCTGATGATTGCTCTCATTTCCCATGAATGCAAGAAAGTAATTCTTATAAATCCATGATTGTTATAGTACATATCCTCAGATAAGTATGATTTACTTAATATTGTATAGTAGAAGTATAGGTCATGTTATCCTAAATGGTCAAAGCAGTACTTTTTTTTTTTTTTTTTACCAGTTTTCTGATTTCTGAGTTTGCATATGTTTTGCTTAATCCTAAGTATCAAGTTTTAAGAAAAATTGCGTATCCTTTGGAAAGTAATCTGTTAGAAACATGCTATTCTTAACTCTGGAAATTCTCTTTTCAGATGCTGTCTTTGCATTTCAACTACGCAACCCAGTGCACAATGGACATGCCCTGTTAATGCAGGATACCCATAAGCAACTTCTAGAGAGGGGCTACCGGCGCCCTGTCCTCCTCCTCCACCCTCTGGGTGGCTGGACAAAGGATGACGATGTTCCTTTGATGTGGCGTATGAAGCAGCATGCTGCAGTGTTGGAGGAAGGAGTTCTGAATCCTGAGACGACAGTGGTGGCCATCTTCCCATCTCCCATGATGTATGCTGGACCAACTGAGGTAGACTGCTTGTAAGATTTTCACTGCAGCAGTGTTAAAGCCACTCTTACTAACACAGCTAGTGTCACCATCCGATTGCTTTTTCTGTGCTCTGTAGGCCTGTTCCAAACATTTGTTATACATGACATTCTTTCCTGCTCGTTAGGGATATTCCCTGGATGCTAGGGGCAGCCTTGAGAAAGGAAAGGTGGGGAGAGGTTTCACTTGCTCTTCTGGGTCTTGGTCCCAGTTGTGAAGGAGGGGATGTTCCCTGCAGACAGGGCTGGGTGTGGTTGGGAAGGTATGCCACAAGCTCCTCTTGTAACTGCTGGCCACATTGCAGACACAACAACAACACTGATCTTGTCCCGTTACCAGAGTTCTAGGTCTTTGTTAAAGAGGGGAGCTGGGCAAAGCCTGTTTGTTTAAATTCTTCTCTGTGTCCTTGTGTTTTCAGAGATAGGCACGTTCCTTTCCTCTAGGTATAGGGAGGGCACCTCTGGAATGAGAGTCTTTTGACCTACTTCAGGGGAAGATCTGCTAGGTTTTATGACTGCCTTAGGGGAAGGTGAGAGTGGCTTGCTTTCTTCTGCTGTTTTCTCAAATGCCAAGGTGCCATATTTTGGAGTAGTGTGTCCTGAACCGTGTCAATATGCTAGCTGCAGCAAGTCCTTCCCTGGCCTCAGATTCAACTCTCCTCACTACCCGAAAGAGCATGGTCTAGTGGAAATAATACAAGACGGTTGTCGAGGAGTCCAGGCACAGTTTGGGTTCTGGGTTGCCACCAGCTGGTTTGCCATCTCACATTAGACTTCTTGAGACCTCTCTATACTATGTTTGAGTGCACAGTAGGTGGTGTAGGTAGGACTAAGTGTTCTTCAAGATTCTGTCCCATTCTGATCGTTTCCTAATTTGTCTTATTTTCTTTTAACTTCACATTGAAATATAATATATATATGAGAAAGTATATATGAAAAAGTACATATTATTTGAGTTACAGAAGCATTAAAAGAAAAAGTGCATCTTTCATAGATGCAAGTAAATGAATTTTTCCCATTGGAACAGAGGCATACAATCAGCTTCCAGATTAAAAAAAATTTTTTATCATCACCCAGAAGTTTTTCTTCTTGCCCCTTTCTATTCACTACTTGTCCTCCCCCTAGGAGTCATCGGTACCCTCACATTAACATCATAGGCCCAGTTAGCTTGTGTTTAAGATTGGATACCCTGAGAGCAGACTCTGAGAGTGAGGTGCGGTTCAGGAAGTCTCTTAGGGAGAACTCTTGGGATCAACACCTCTGGAAGGGAAGAGAAAGGAAGGGAGCAGGATTCTATAGAGAGGGAGGTCGAGCTACAGTTCAGTCTCAGTGGAGGCTTTAATTGAGTCCATGGAGAGCTCTGGAAAGGCCCTTCAGAGATGTCCAAAGTTGCATGGGAAATAGGCATTATACCTCCGTGTTTCCAGGGGTTGGCTGCCCATGGGAGGGGGCATACCTTTGGGTGCTGCTGCTCCTTTCAACAGAAGCAGTTTCTGAGCGGGGCGACAGCTGCTGGAGAGCCCGCTCCCTTCTTGCAGGAGGCCTGAGTATTGCATCACAGCATTAAATCCAGCTGGTTTTTAGTATTTCTGTAATTCAGATCATACCGCATATACTCTTTCGTGTCTGGCTTCTTTCACTTTACATTGTGCTTGTGAAACTCACCTTTATTGTTATGTAATTAGTGGCAGATTGTTCATTCTTGGTGCTGTGTGGTGTTTCGCTGTGTGATTTTACCCAATATTGTTGATGGATGTTTGGGCACTTTACAGATTTTTGCTCTTAAGAATAGCGCTGGCGTGAAGGTTTTAGTGCATGTCTTTTTGTGGACATTCCTGTTGGCTATACCAGGGAGGAGAATTGCTAGGTCCTTGGATATGTATTTGTTGAGCATTAGTAGATTCGACCAGTCAGTTTTTTGATGTGGTTGTACCATTTTACACTCCCATCAGCAGTGTATTGCCTCACCAGTACTTGAGTGTCCTTTTCATTTTAGCCATTTTGGTCCTTTAGTGCTGATTACTTAGCCAAGCACTCTGTAATACTTTTCCTATTTCTTAACCAGCCTCAAAAAATCTCCTCATTGAACCAGTTTCACTGAAATGGAGTCTTAGTAAATGAGTTGTAGTTATAAAGCATTGAGAAATAGAATATAATAGTCCATATTTTATTGATTTCTTACTGTATTTTTCAGACAATATTCTGAATGCTTTACATATGTTAACTAAATCCTTATAAAGATTGCTAGTTAATGTATAACTTATGTTATAAGTTATTTGTTGTAAGTTTTATGTTAGGTTTTATAACTTATGTTATAAGGATTAATCCTTATAATACTAAGAGGGTAGGTACTATTGTTATTCACAGTTCACAGGTGAGGAACCTGAAGTAGGGAGGTTAAACTGTGTTCAAGATCACATAGTATTAGTAAATGGTAGAGATAAAATCTGAACCTAAGTAATCTGGCTCCAGAGCTATGTACTATAATTTCACATAATTTTTAATATTATATAACGTTAAAATATTTTTAAAAATATGTAGCCACATCTTTTTTAAAATACTAGAAATAAATTCTTATAATATCCTATAAGAGTTCCAAAATAGTGAGTTAGGATGGCCCTGGCAACATTCGTTAGAGGTGGAATCTCCAAATAAACTTATTTTTTTATCAGAGCCTAGAGTTGTGGGTTGTGATATTCTTTGTATAATATGTATTCTTAATCTTTGTATTCTTACAATACCTGACTCATGATATTGGTAATATCTGTCTATGTTTCTATTGTTGAGAGGAGAAAATAGGATCAATGTAAATCATTTAACACATTGCCTGGCTCATGACAAGATGTGGTAATTAATATAATTGGTGTCCTTTAAAAAACTACTTTGCTGCAAATTCTCTGCATTTCTAGGATTCTAGCCCCACATCCAAGGAACTGTCTATATCTCTAGGCTGCTTCATAAGTCTATGAAGTCCTAGAGTTTGATTATGGCAGGGAGCCTGGTATGACCTACTGCCTAACAGGCTTCATGTCAGAGCGTGTGTCCTAGCCCTGATTTGGGATATCCTTTGGTGTTTAATATAATATAAAGCTAATATAAAGAAATTGAAAGTACCTATTTTATGAGTGCCTATGCATGTGTCACTCAATGAATAGCTGCTTTGCATGCATGCGTTAGGTTACCCCACAACTTGGTGAGGAAGGTTTTATTCTTGTTTTACCAGTGAGATTACTGAAGCTCAGAGAGGATAAGGGACTTAACTGTAGTCTGTCAAAGAAGACCAGAGCTGTACAGTGATTAAAGTAATAAAAACAGAACTTTATTCAGGAAATATTGCAACAGGAGAATAAAGCCCTCAGTATAGAACTGGGCTCAACTCTGAATATAGCATGGACAGGTGGGGATTGATAGCAAAGGACAGGGTGGAGGTAAGTGGATGGAAAATTACTGAGAGGAAACATTGGAAGTAGGGGATTCTGGGATAAACTGGATTCTTGCTGAAGGCAGGCCAGGATCATCAGATACCTGGGAAGTGGGTGGAAGATAAGGAATTTGATCAGATAATGAGGGTGAGCAGATACTGAGAGTAGAGGATTCTCAATAAACAAACTTAGCAAGATTTTTGCTACAGTTGGGCAATGCAGGCCTGGTAAGGATGGACACTGAAGGTCAAGGCTTAGAGGGCTCAGGGGAGCCTGACTAGTTAGTGTTCTGTCTAGGAGAGACACAGAACTGGGACTGAAACTTGGGCCTGTTTTTTTTCCTTCTAGGGCTCCTTGCTGCCAAGAAGCCTCAAAGTAGCTTTGTGCTTTGGCATTTGGAGGGAAGGCCAAGAAGTTAGTTGTTCTGGGTGCCTGCAGAGCTCCCAGGTTTTCTAGGGAGACTAAGAGGCACGTTAAAGCTGTGTCTGCCTCTACATCTCTGTCTGGAGTGTGAATTGTGAGCGTAAGAGATGTGGTTCTTTTCAGGAAGGCCCAGCTCTGATGCCTGAGCAAAAGGCGGTTTTTTAACTTCTGAACTTGTAAAGAATAAGCTTTGGAAATTCTAGTAAACATCTTAATATTTCAGACCATGAAGTGTTTTAATGTTTTTGGCCTGACAGTATTTAGGCTGTTGGATTGAGCTGCTTAGGAAAAGTATCTTTCTCGAGGACCTAACTTGTGTGTTTGACTTGTTTGACTTATTTGCAGCCATAAGTGAAGAATTTTTTTGTAATAAAAAAAAACCCTCTCATTTTTGTAGCTTTTCCAGTGACATCAGGAAAAAGTCTGTCAGTAATGCTTATTTGCCAACTAATAATAATAAAATAAAAACAACGACTCTTCCTTTAATCATTTTCTGTAGGTCATTTAGAAGGCATTGGTACCAGATTTGTTTCCTTAGCACAAATGCTTTTCAGAACCATGGGCAGCTGTTAAGCCTATTTGGTTATCAACAGGATGTTCCTGATTTTATAGTCTATAAAGATTTTATGGCTTGAATCCTAAATTCCATTTCAGGAATGGAGGAGGCGAGGATGTGAAGGGAGTGTTAACTTTCTAATGCTAAAATGGTGTTATAGATACACATTTTGTCTTTGTGAGGTATTAATTGACTATGTAGGAAATTCTATTTGTCTCATCTCACTAAATACTGAATCTATTTTTGTGAAGGATAAATAATGCTAAGACCTGTGACGTGAAAGTGTCAAAGGTAAGATGTTTTTGAGAATGTGGATATATGTTACTAACAGCTATACCCTCGGTTTATGAAGTTTTAATGAGGATTATCAGTTGAATTTGGGGGAAAATGCAGTTGGAGGTAGAGATTATCCTTTGCTATGAAAATTACCCATGCACTGTTAATTGACTCTTTAAGAGAAACTGATTCTGTGTAAGCGAGTGGATACCCTTCACCAGGGACAGTAGAACATACTATGACATGGATGCCAGTGTGCTTGTTTAATTAGTCTGTGCTTTACACCAGTATCTGGAGCAGTGAGTAGGGTGTCTGTTAGGATATAAACTTGTTCTTCCCTCTACACACTTCCAAGAGCTCTAGCAACTGATGTTACTTCTTGAGATCTGAGTCTAATTATACAAGCCATAGACACCTAAGTTTTACTTGTACCTTTGACTCTCTTTGGGGGTCTTTGATAATTTTGTCTTCTCATTTATCTTGTTCCAAAGTTTATTGAGTAGTATGACACAGTTCACAGTCTCTTTTCCAAAATCCTTAGGATTATGTATTACTTATTTCTCCTGATGGGTCTGGGATGGTACCCCCATATTAAAGCACATTAATATTCCTGTAGCAAAGTAAATGATTTTTCTCACAAATAGGATCGGCAAAAAGGCTGGTAGAAACTTCCTCAGTTTTGATCAGGTTTTGCTACCAAGTGAGTTACAAAACTGAGTTTTAGATTTCAGAATTTTAGATAAGCAATTGTGGACCTGTACCACAAATGTATTTAGAGTGTGTTGATTTACTTTGAAAGTAATTTTGGGGATCCCTGTAGTCTGTTTTATATACTTTTAGCTTATATATGTCTTGAAAACTGAACTTATTTCATTAGGAAGCATCAGATTTTGCAGGTGTTTATAGGTTGCTTTTCATAGGGAAAAAATGTCATTTTTTTTCTCTTAATAGAGTTTCAGTTCAGAATTTGTTCTTGCTTGTTTCTTACTAAAGCAGTATCAAATTCAGATTTGTCTGTTAGTCTGATTTTTCAGGTTTTCCTGATTTCCCAGCTAGGTAATCTATACAGTTTCCTCCCTAAATGTCCTTGACACAGCGTCAGTAGCTCAGTATGAATAGGAATGTGTGGGTTTTGGGGTCACACAGACCCAGGTCCAAAGACTTGATCCTTCACTAGTTCATTTTGCAGCTAGGATATGTTATTTGAATTCTCCAAGTCCCTGTTTTCTTATTTGTAAAACAGGAATAATAACTATCTTATTGATTTGCTGTAAACATTAAATAATATTTATAAAACATTTTGTACAGTGACTGGTATATTAGGAAGAGCTTGGTAAGTGTTACCTATTTTAATTTCTTCTTCTCACCCTGTTGAAGGACCTCATGAAATACTTTCCAGTGCTTTATCACCATGGTTGCCTTCCTCTGTTTTCTTAGAATAATAATCAGTGGGAGGGCAGAGAGCCTCTTGAGGGTCCCTGGGTTTGGGAGGCAGGAAGAGGAGGTGGAGGCTGAGCATTTCCAGGCTTGTTGTCTCCACTCTGAGCCCCCACTCTGGGAGGGCTGATACTGTTCTCACCTGACTAGGGGTCTGGGGTCAGCCAGGGCAAGGTCACTTCCAAGAATAAAATTAGTTTGGTTGCTGGTTGTTCTGAAAAAAATGCAGCTCTTACATTTGAGGTATATCTTTTTGGAGATTGAGAGATTATCCTTAAAGGAAATTTTGGGGAAATTCTGTGTATCTTGTATTGGGCCTCATATACGAAATGAAGAATTCAGACTCCATGATGTAGACTGCCTTTCAGCTCTTAAAATTGTATGAGAGTTTTTGTAAGGTATGTTTAATTCTTTCCTACAAGATGAAGAATGAAATGTCCAAGTATATTTCATAATTTTTGCATTGCAAACTAGAAATGTGACTCTCATGAGACTACTGTTCAGTACCAGTACAGAGTAATAGAACTTAATTGAAACACTTAGAATATCAGTTTTATTAATACAAAGAAGACCAAAAGCCACAGTATCAGGAATCTGTATGATGGGAGGATGAGCCTCACCTTTCACTTGCCTGTGTAGATTGTTCCAGTCAGCTTGAAGAGTTTAAAATAATTCCTATCTCTGGAAAATCAAGAGGCAGGCCACTATGATTTGGGAATTTCAAGAAAACATATTAATGCTAGATAATGTACAACTAAGATTAGGGATATTTTAATATGGAACTCATGAGATTAATTAAGGTATAGATTTTTTACACAGCAAAATTAGGTAATGCACTTGACTTCCTAAAGAATTTTTATAGCATTAACACAACCAATGTTTTTGACAGTCTAGAAAATAATATTCAAACATTTACTAAAAAAATAGTTTCTGTGCCTGATGTTCTTTTATAAACACTTTGAGAATATAAAGTTGGCCTTATAGAATATTGACTTTAATAAAATTTATTACACTTAAATAAATGCAGATTTTGGTGTGAAGATATAAAGAAATAAGCCACTTAAGTGGGACTTAAATTTTAATTGTTCAATTCATTATTCTCAGTATTTTTAATTCAGAAAAATTGAAAATATCATATATCTAATCTGCCAGATTTCTGGAACAGTGAAATTTCTCAACCGTCAGGTGTGGGGAGAGAATGGTTTAGTGGTAGTGGTATTATATGTAAGCAGTATAGTCCATTTTATAATTTTATAATGTAATTAAATTTGAAAAGTAGGTTTTTAATTTGTTTTTGTTTTAGAAACTAATGAAAATAAAATTTACCGAAGTCTTTGCCAGGTTTGGAAGTGGGGAGATAAGTGATAGACAGTATTTTCAAATGGATTTGGAACAAATGAGATTTTCAGGTTTATAAAAAGGGGCATGAATTAAAAGGTTAAGAAACTCTTCTCAATAACATGCCATATTGGGATGAATCTAGAACAATTCTAACTCTGAAGGATTTTATATTATAAATGTGTGTGGAGGTAAGTAACTGAGGTTCTTATCCATCAGCGATCATTGACTTATTAGTCATGTGGTATCTTAACCTATGATGGATGGCAAGGAGAAACCATTATAGAACTAAAATTTTCATAGATAAATTTTTTTAAAGCATTGGCTATAATTTGGATCAGAAACTACTTTCCTATTCTCACTATTAGATAGTAAACTTAACTAATTCTTACTTGTTTGACTCACACTATGGAGATTAAGTAAAAATTTGAGTAAACCTTAGCTCCACAAATGTCTTTGGGAAGGAAATTTTGAAACAAATAATCTGTTTATTTTAATTACAGTTATTTATTTTTAGTAGCCCATGTTCTGCCTTCCATTTTGATAAGACAATTCTGAAACCCTGTCTAATGGTGAAATGAGATAATTATGGAACCTAAGTATTATTTATTTGAATTTGGTCCTCCTGTCCTCCCCTGCTTTTTCATTTTCTCGAACAAGGCAGTGTGGAAATTTTGTACCACACAGTGAATCAGGTGTACACTAGGGATTCCATTATTCTGTTTCCGGAGTGTTAAGCCCTGCCTTACACTCCAGAGTGTTACCCCCTTTGATTTCTTAGAATTCATACTTCCCATCACTCTCATTCCTCGTCTTCCTTGAGTTGCACGCTTCTGCTGTCGTTTCACTAGTAAGCGAATTCAACGAGTGATTTTCCAAAATCAGATTCTCTAGGGCATGATGATTGTGTTAGAGATCAAGGCCTAGAACGTTTGTTTCGTTTCTCCCCAACATTTCTATTATGTATTTTGTATCGTAAAACTGCTTCTTAACCTTCCTATATTATAAATACCTTCTTATGTTAATTTAAATATTGATCTTTTTTTAAATGATGGCACAGTTCCCTGCTGTTTAGGAATTTAATTCAATAACAACACCCAATTGAAGGATCTTTGAGTTAGTTTCTGTCTTTTGACAACCCGTAATGAATCCTGAAATGAACCTTTTTTGCATATTTGCCTCACAATATTTCTGGAATTGAAATTGCTTGGGTTGTTTGACATGTTATCAAAATCTTGACTTTCGGATATCTTATACCCAGTTTTCTTTCACATAAGCAGAGCAAAGTAGTATAATACTGTTTAAAAAGGTAATCACTGTGCACTCACATGCCTGCTTTGTCACTGACTTTGAAATACTGGAAGCTTGAAAGTTTGTGACTGACAAGATAAACAGAGAAGCACACTTACTAAGCCAGGGGTCTCTGTGTACCTATGTCACCAAGTCCATGAAACACCACAGCTTCCAGAAAATGCAACTGTTGTGCTATTTCGGGTGATAAGAATATTTTAAAGTCTTATAAAGTAATGTTTATTACATAATTTTTTAGTTTCATGGTCCCAGCATGTAGATTATTCTTTCTGTAAGGCTATTACCAGCATATAAATTTATGTTAGTGGTTTTATTTATTTATTTATTTATTTTTTAAGTGGTTTTATTTTTAAAATGTTAACTCACTGGTCACATCCTATTTTTTCTCCTTTTTGTTTCCTATAATTGCCTCACTTTATCATAAAAACAGTTTGTAGGAGATTGGAAGTATGTAGAGGAAAGCAGTCCTTATTTGCTCCACCTATTTCCTTTAATTATTGGCCTGCGTTTAAATGCAGAGGTCATTGAATTGACATGTTGGATGAGCATCTTCTTGGCTTTGTTGATGACAAAAAGAATCATATTTGTGGAAATATTTTTCTCTTTAATTCTTTTAGTTTATTTTAAGCTGTACCCTAGTGAAAAAAGATCAGCAAATGTATACCATATTAATGCTTGGGAATAAAATACAGTATAAAAGTTAAGATTTTTTTCCCTCGAGTTTTTTCTCTCACTTTTTGTTTTTAGCAGTCATCTTTAGGGAACTTGTCTTTTTCAAACAGTAGGTTTCTTTGGTCAGGGAACTGGAAATTGATGAAGTCTATCTAAAAAAGTGTATTCATGTTTTAGTCAAGGCTAATAGAATATAAAAAATAAGGAAAAATAAAACATTTTAGAAAAAACTTTAAAAATATGTCTAGAATAGGCCAAGCGCGGTGGCTCACGCCTGTAATCCTGGCACTTTGGGAGGCCAAGGCGGGCGGATCACAAGGTCAGGAGATCGAGACCATCCTGGCTAACACGGTAAAACCCCGTCTCTACTAAAAATACAAAAAAATTAGCTGGGCGTGGTAGCGGGCGCCTGTAGTCCCAGCTACTCGGGAGACTGAGGCAGGAGAATGGTGTGAACCCAGGAGGCGGAGCTTGCACTGAGCCGAGATCGTCACTGCACTCCAGCCTGGGCGACACAGCGAGACTCCATCTCAAAAAAAAAAAAAAAAAAAATGTCTAGAATATTGTAGAAATTTTAGATCTTGTGAATATTTTTTGCAAAATTTAGACATCTTTTAATTTTTTTTCCAACTTGTGTAATGTATACAAAATCTTATGGTTCATATACTTTGGAATACATTTAAGCAATGTGAGTTAGGAACCCTATGAACCAAATTAGGTAAAATATGAGCTACATTTTAAGAAATGTATTTCTTTGGGTTTATTTTAAATGATGTGTAGATAACATATCTTGTTAATTTTGTTGGTAAATTTGAACCTTAATAAAATGATCCACCATTTACTTGGAAAAAGTAAAACATGGTGGGAATGTAAATTAATATTACTTCCTAAAAATGTCTTGCATGAACCTCAGATGCACAGAATTGGATTAATCATTATCTGTGGTACGTGATGCCTTGTCATTAGCCCCTGAATTAATTGCTCTTCTTAATCTTGATTATGTATGTATTTGTTATTTTTAAAAACTATTTAATGGCCAGGCACGGTGGCTTACACCTGTAATCCCAGCACTTTGGGAGGCTGAGGTGGGAGGGTCATTTCAGCACGGGAGTTCAAGACTAGCCTGGGGAACATGGCAAGACCTTGTCTCTACAAAAAATAAAAAATAGCCAGGCATGGTGGCGCATCTCTGTGGTCCCAGCTGCTTGGGAGGCTGAGATGGGAGGATTGCCTGAGCCCGGGAGGCTGAACCTGCAGTAAACCATTTTTGCACCACTGCACTCCAGCCTGAGTGACAGAGTAAGACCCTGTCTCAAAACCAATAAACAGACTATTTAATGAACAACATAGAATTGCTGCTAATTTGATAAGTATGACTTATAATCTAGCAGGTACTGCTACCAATCCCATTCTTTTTTTTTTTTTTTTTTTGAGACGGAGTCTCGTTCTTTCGCCCAGGCCGGACTGCAGTGGTGCTATCTCAGCTCACTGCAAGCTCCGCCTCCCGGGTTCACGCCATTCTCCTGCCTCAGCCTCCCGAGTAGCTGTGACTACAGACACCCGCCACCACACCCGGCTAATTTTTTGTATTTTTAGTAGAGATGGGGTTTCACCGTGTTAGCCAGGATGGTCTCAATCTCCTGACCTCGTGATCTGCCCGCCTCAGCCTCCCAAAGTGCTGGGATTACAGGCATGAGCCACTGTGCCCAGCCACCAATCCCATTCTTTTTACGCTGCCATTTCCATCATCCACCACCCCCCACCCCAGATAATCTCTGTCCTGAATTTTGTATTTTTTCCCTTATCTTTACACACATACACACACAGTTTTATTATTATGTTAAACTGTGTGGTCATGAAGCAGGTTAGAGCAAGGTACACAGAAACCTGGCAAAGCTATGCAAGTGGAAAAAAATCAAGGTAATCATTAACTCTAGGAAAAACAGTTGTGCAAAAAGGGGATTAAAATAGAGATAATAGTGGCTAATATTTCTTGTATATTTACTGTGTGCCAGGTATTATTCTAAGACCTCACATGTTTCATTTATTAATTTTCTTAAAACTTCTATGAGATAAATACTATTATAATCCTCACTTTACAGATGAATATTGATTTCATCAAAAATGTTGATATCACTGTACCTGTTGGGGAATAAGAACCTCATTAAATACTCGAATATGGTAGGAAGTCTAAGTGATGTGGAAATAAGGTCTATGTTATATACTATGTAAAATTAAACAGTCATAACAAAGTGTAAGCATGCTGTTTGAAAACATGCAGGCAAACATCAGTAGAAACAACTTAAAAAGTTGAAACCCCTCAGGGTGAACAATTCAAGTGTGAGGTATGGAATTGCACTCTTACTATTGCACTTTCTAAACTATGTTGGTAAATAGATAAGTACCTGGTATGCAGGAGATTACCAGGAGAGAGAAAATGAAAACAAAACAATAAAAGATGATTTGGTTATTTATGTGTAGTGGTTATCATTTATACCTTATTTTAATATGGAACAGTGATGGTTTTATAAATTATTAAATAATGGAGACTTACACTGAAAGGAAGCTAAAACCAAATTTCTAGGCCTGAGTTTATCCTAAACTTTATTGGCCAGTCATTTAACCTTTCGGGGGCTTCACTTTCTTCAAATTTTATGGAGAATGTTGAACTAGAGATGATCTTTTACTGTCACTTTAAATTCTAAAGTTTCATTATTCTAGGTATTAGACTAATTTTTGTTTTTTAATAATAGGTCTTACTAGGCCTGAAACTAGAGGCTTCAAGGCTAGTTTTGGATGCAGCATGGCCGTTTACTCACAACCAATCTTTTTTTTTTTAACTAGTATTAGGCATATGTTATAAGATTAGTTATATATTAGTTATACGATTTTCTCAGTACTAGTTTATGTAAGTACCTACATGTCATTTTTATCCAACAGGGTTTTTTTTTTAACCTGTTAAAGTATAATATACAGAAAAGTTCATAAATTATAAGTGTGTATATATCTCAATGAACTTTTACAGTGAGCACACCCTAATTACCAGCACCCAGATACTGGATCAAGAAACAGAGCATTACCATGATTCCAGAAGCTCCTTGCAGTTGCCTCCCTCCAGGGATCAGCCATTATCCTGACTTCTAACCTCATATATTAGATTTTGAGCTGTGTAAATGGCATCTGGTAGTTGTGTAAAATCAAACATCTAGACACATGTATGTTTACATATATCTTATAAGTAATACATAAATATATATACATATATATCCATAAATATTTGTGGATATATGCTTTTAATCTTTTGGTTTGGGGGAGGTTTTTGTTTTTTGTTAGTTTTGTTTCTGGCTTCCCAGGATGATACATCTAAATTTGTTGAGATTTCCTACCGATAATGATTTTATAAAAAGCATATGCATTTATTATCCACTTACTATTTCTAAGTACATAGTCATAAAAGCAAAGTTACCTAAAATGAAACTTTTATTCTAGGTCCAGTGGCATTGCAGAGCACGGATGGTTGCAGGAGCCAACTTTTACATTGTTGGACGAGACCCTGCTGGCATGCCTCATCCAGAAACAGGGAAGGATCTTTATGAGCCAAGTCATGGTGCCAAAGTGCTGACGATGGCCCCTGGTTTAATCACTTTGGAAATAGTTCCCTTTCGAGTTGCAGCTTACAACAAGAAAAAGAAGCGTATGGACTACTATGACTCTGAACAGTAAGTCTTACATTCTCTGTACAAATCTTTGAAGTACTTCGTGGTCTAGCTGCTCCCAGGGATTTAGCTTATTGTCTAATCTTTACTGATGACAGGTTTTGTGGTACTCATGTCAGAGAAAGGTAAACCCAGAAAAGTAATTTCCCAACATTCTGGAAATTAGAAGTAGAAATAAAACTTGAATCTAGTTTCATGGTTTCAGGAATTTTGTTTTGAAGTCTGTAAGGACAATATTGTTATTTCTCTGCCTACTGTGTCTGCTATAGCTTACTGAGCATAACTAGTTTGAGGACTTAGTGATGTTTACTCTGGTAAGCCCAGGGAGTCTATGTATGGAGAGAGAATTTAGCTAATATTTGTGCAATCACTATGTGACAGGCAATGTCCTAATTATTTACAAGTATTAAATTATTTATAGGTTGTGTATCCCTTGTATGAAATGCTTGGGGCCAGAAGTGTTTTTGATTTTGGATTCCTTCAGATTTTGGAATATTTGAATATTTGAATGAGGTACCTTGGGGATGGGACTCAATTCTAAACATGAAATTCATTTATGTTTCAAATATACCTTATATGTATAGCCTGGAGGTAACTGTATACAATATTTTACATAATTTTGTGCATGAAACAATTTGTGTACATTGAGCCATCAGAAAGCAAAGGTGTCAGAGATGGAATTTTCCACTTTTGTCATGTTGGTGCTCAAAAATTTTCAGATTTTGGAGTATTTTGGATTGTGGATTGGGGTGCTCAACTTGTATTTTCCACAACAATCTCTAAAGTAGGTGCTGTTACCTCCATTTTGTAGGTGAGTATCTAGAGGCATACAAAGGCTAAGTAGCTTGTATAAGGTCACAGGACTAGTAAATGGCAGCTCAGCAGATGAACCCAGGCAGTCTGGTTTTAGAGTCTGTGGTCTTAATCATTAACAGCACAACTTCTGTCTTCAAAGATCTTAGGAAGAGCAAAAAAACCCAAGCTTTTAGTACAAATTATTGGTAGTATTGAACATTGTATTTATCCGTTTTCACAGTGCTATAAAAAACGACATGAGACTGGATAATTTGTAAACAAAAGAGGTTTAATTGACTCACGGTTCTGCATGGCTGGGGAGTGAAGGAGAAGCAAAGCACGATTTACATGGCCACAGGAAAGAGAACAAAGTGGGGAAGTGCCACACTTTTAAACCGTCAGATCTATGAGAACTCACTATCTTGTAAACAGCATGGGGGAAACTGCACCCATGATCTAATCACCTTCCACCAGGTTCCTCCCCTGACATGTGGGGATTATAATTCAAGATGGAATTTGTGTGGGAACACAGAGCCAAACTATATCAAACATACGTGAGGGGACTTCAAAAAGTTTGTGGAAAATGGAATTAAAACATAAAAATAAAAAATGTAAACTTTATTTCTTAACATAAGCTCCATCAAGATCAGGACACTTTTGTGAGTGATGATACCAGTCATTTAATCCATTCCTGAAGGATGAGGGTATCTGGAGATCTGGAGACTAGGGATAAAAAAGAACCAAGGGTCCTGGGAATTTAACCATGTCAATGTAGTCTTTTTTGACTGAAGAAAAATGGGTGCCCCTTAAAGATTTTTTAAGATTAGGAAATGAAGCCAGAAAGAGCCAAATTAGGACCTTAGAGGTGGATGCCTAATAATGTCCCATTGAAATTCCTGTAAAATTGCCCTTGTTTGATGAGAGGAATGAGCAGGAGCATTGCCATGGTGGAGAGGGACTCTCTGGTGAAGCTTTCCTGGGCGTTTTTCCACTAAAGATTTGGCTAACTTTCTCAAAACATTCTCATAATAAGTAGATGTTATTGTTCTTTGGCCCTCCAGAAAGTCAACAAGCAAAATGCCTTGAGCATCCCAAAAAACTGTTTCCACGACCTTTGCTCTTGACTGGTTCACTTTTGCTTTGACTGGACCACTTCTGCCTCTTAGTAGTCATTGCTTGGTTGTGCTTTATTTTCAGGATTGTGCTCGTAAAGCCACGTTTGATCTCCTCCCTCAGTTCTTACCAGGATCTTGATCCCACTTGTTTAAAATGTCCATTGAAAGCTTTGCTCTTGTCTGCAGCTGATCTGGGTGTAGTGGTTTTGGCACCAGTCAAGTGGAAAGTTTGCTCAACTTTAATTTTACAGTCAGAATCGTGTAAGCCAAACCAACTGAGATGTCTATGGTGTTGGCTTTTGTCTCTACTATCAAAATTGTTGGTCCTGGGCATGGGCAAGATTAATTTCTTCCTTGAAAATTTATGTGGTCTGCCACTATGGGCATCATCTCCAACATCATTTTGTCCCTTCTTAAAATGTAAACTGCTGATTTCTTTGGGACATTATCCCCATAAACTATTGCTGAAGCATCAGTGATTTCACCATTCTTTTTACCCAAGCTTAACCATAAAGTTGATGTTTGTTCTTGCTTCAGTTTTAGCAGAACTCATATTGCCCTGATAGGGGCTCTTTTTCAAACTGATGTCTTACCCTTCTTAGTGCCTCAAACTAGATCCTGTTCAGACATGTTATAATCAGTTAGTGTGAGTTTATTTTGGTGAAAAATGGAAATCCATGCATAGTTGTTTTTGATAATGAACATTTTCCATGAACCTTTTGGAGGCCCCTTGTATCTGTCTCTCTTTGACTGACAGAATTGTATTAACTTTCATCTATAGGTAGTACACTCTGTAAGTTTAAAGTGGTAGTGTGAAGCTGTAAACTCTGAAGTTGTGGGTTATAGCCCTGTCCTTGCTATATAACTTGAGAGTCCTGTCTTCTCTGCCCTGTTTCCTTGTCTCTGGAATAAAGGCAGTGGACAGGGTGATTCCCTCTTAGCCCAAAATGTGTAGCTCTTTGCATTATCTATAGCACCTAGTTATTTTTACACCTTAGTAGGTACTTGTACATATGAAATGTTTTGTGCTTGACCTTTATTTAGTATACCTGCTCTTTTAGTACAAATCACAATCCACATTCAGCAAGCAAACAGATAATACAACAAGCAAAACAGATAATTTTTTTAATTTACATTTTTATCAGTGTCAGCTCTACTGACATGTGCTAATTGGAAATTGACTATGGCCTAGTAACCATTAGTCTGAAAGCTGCCATCCTTTCCCATGATACTTCATAGTTGGTTCCCCATTTAGGAATAATGTAGCCCTGACCCTGTGTCCTCATTTTTATGGCTCATTTTGTAATAGTGGGGACAGAAGAGAAAAAGAAACCTTTAAAAAATTAAAACAACATTCTCTTGTTTCTAAAATGGATGTAGTTTGTTGTCATTTGATTTATTTGAAATAAATGATAAGTTGTCTGGAGAAAGAAATACTATTATTACCAGTGGAGATTGGGAGATGTTAGGTTTCTCATTAATGACAGAAATAATTCTGGAGACAATGCATACTTTTAGATGACAGCAGACTTTTCTGAGCGATGAACTGTAGCTAAAATGCAGGAAAGTCTTATGAGAGTGAATGAACAGAAAAGGCAAGTGTAAAAGGACTCCTGACTATTCCCTATATAATTCAAGACGGAAGATATTCTAGTTTATATTTTCTGAAGATCTGAAATGTGGCCCAGATTCTAGTATACTTCTGAACCACACCAAAAGAAAAATTTGCAACAAACTAGAACATTTTTACCCTTGTACAAAATTAGGTTTGTAAACATTTAGAAAAAGTTCTAAATCATGTGGGATTTTGTTTGCCTTTAAAAGAAATATGTATCTGTATGTATGTGTATATATACTATATATGTACACCTAGTACGATTTCACTGTCTAAAAAGTGCAACTGTAAAAGCGGTGTGCTGAGAGTTATAAAAGGATTTTTTCTACCAATGGACCTTTTCTACCAAAAGGATGCCTTAAAATTTTTTTAAGAAAAAAAGAATAAAAAGAAATTGTAGTAAACCTTGAACTGCTTTACCACAAAAGGTGATTAAAACTTTAAAATATAAATTGATTATTAAGGGAAGTAAAAAAGTTTTGAGTACAGTTCTGCCCTTTTATGGTAGGCCATTGTCAAAAATTCTAATTTACTTAGTCTGGGGAGAGGCCCTATAATTTGTAGTTCTTTTAAAAGCTCCCCACTTTAAAACCACTAAAAAAGGGTAGCAGTGCCTTCCTACAGATCTATAAAACATACAATGTCAGGTGAAATGCTGGGCCCAGAAACCTTTTGCTTCTCACCTAGCATGAGATTTATTTAGTTTGTGTATAAGGGATTATGAACACAATCTTGTTCTGAGCGTTAGGATTAACTTCCTTAAGTTGCTAATATAGTGGCAAGGGAGAGCAAGGAGAGGGAAATAAAATTATTCTGCTAATGGCTAAATGCTTAAAACTTAGGTGAATTTCCATTTTGATGAGTTATGAAAACCAAACTAAAAAGAGTTGAGCTTTTCTTTTACACTTCTTGTGCCAAAATGTTTCATTACTGTGGTCTCTTTGCATGATCAGTTGGTTTAATCACACGCAGGACCCTAAACCCCATCTGTATGTAGTTGACTGATGTGCTGGTAAGCCTTTGGTAACTTTGATGTTTGGTTAAATAACTGTGTAGTATTGCTTTAAGTCTCTCTTTTAATCATTCAAAAGCTAAATAATTACATCAGTTCTCTTAAGATTTTCCAAAGATGAATTCTATATTAGTTGCATGAGTGGCTCATTTTCTTGGAATTTTTTGGGGGTTACCAAATCTTAATAAGTAATAACTGGGGAAGCTTTAAAACTGCCTTAGTTTTCTAACTTTTTGTGTTTGTGTTCAAAAATAATTAAGTTGATGGTAATACGTTGGAAAGTGATTAAAATTTTGTGGAAAGGTGATAGCATTTGATGTAGTGAGAAAACAGTTATTAATTATGCACAGATGAGGTTGTCTTTTGTTTGATTAATGGATGTTACTCAGCGCCAGGTTTTATGTAATTAATGAATTTGTTTTGTTTTTTATTTGATTAAATACCAATGTAAGACAATGCTTAGGAGAAAAGAAACAAACTTTATGAAGATTTCAGGCAAAACGTTGTTGATAAGAATTATGATAAAAATCATCTGTTTATATTTAGAAAGTTAAGGAGGTTCAAATTAGTTATAATAGGCACTAAAGGAAATTTAGTTTTAGGACTACAAGATTAAAGTCCATTCTTTCAGAAATTGCAAATAAACTTTTAGAGGTAATTCAGTTATCTTATTTGTATTTTTTCCCCTCTGTTATAATGTAAGTCTTTATATTAGGGTAGATAGATACAGGATTATTCAGATTAGTGAAATAGTAAACTCAAAAAGCAGACAGTACACACGAGTGAGAGTGCCTTGTGGAAATGGGTAAATGAATGGGCAGGTGGACATAAATGCCTGTTATCTGGTTATTTCCACATTTTCAGTAGAGTATTTCTTTCATGTTTTTGATGCCAGAGTATACTTTTTTTTTTTTTTTTTGAGACAGAGTCTCACTCTTTTGCCCAGGCTGGAGTGCAGTGGTGCTATCTCGGCTCACTGCAAGCTCTGCCTCCCTGTTTCACGCCATTCTCCTGCCTCAGCCTCTCGAGTAGCTGGGACTCCCAGCGCCTGCCACCGCGCCCGGCTATTTTTTTTTATTTTTAGTAGAGATGGGGTTTCACTGTGTTAGCCAGGATGGTCTCGATCTGACCTTGTGATCCACCTGCCTCGGCCTCCCAAAGTGCTGGGATTACAGGCATGAGCCACCGCGCCCGGCCCAGAGTATACTTTAAATAATGTACTGTTAGTGTCATTTTTAAAAAACACTCTAACTGTAGGCATCCTTCAAGGCTTTTTCAGATATACTTTCCATGGGAGAGGTCATCCGTTCCTGTGGTTTCTGTGGGGGTGATTTTTAAACCTGTACATCAGTGTTTCCCAGTTGTATTAGTTTTTCGTTGTTGCGTAACAAAGCACCACTTAAAGTAACACCCATTTATTACCTCATGCATGGTTCTTTAGGTCAGAAGACTGGGTGTGCTTGACAGGGTTCTCTGGCCAGGTTGGGTTCTTATCTGAAGGCTCTGAAAGGAATCCACTGTCAGACTGAACCCTGTTATTAGCCGAGTTCAGTTCCTTCTAGTTACAGAACTGAAGTCCTTGTCTTCTTACTGGCTATTGGCTGAGCATTGCTGTCTGCTCCTAGAGGCCACTTTTGGTCTTTTTTTGTGGGCTGCTTCATCTCAGCAGTAGAACCTCCCTCATGTTGCATCCCTGTCATGCCTCAGATCTCTCTGACTTCCCTTCTGCTACAAGACAGGAAAATTTGAGTGATTAGCTTAGGGCCACGCAGATAATTTTGCTGTTTTAAGGTCAACTGATTAGTAACTTTAATTGTATCTGCAAAATCTCTTTTGCCATGCAATAACATAGGATGGTAATAACACTGGGGACAAAGGTCATTGGGGCTATGTTAGAATTCTGCCTGCCACACTAGTGAACATTTCTACTTAGATTTCTTGCTTCTTTGATTTCTTTCTAAATTTATTTCTTCTTCAGCCATTTCTTAAAATGGCCAAAACCAGCTTTACCTTTACCCTCATAATATCCCCAAATCCTACATTTCTTTAGTTACTTCTTATTCGCACTATATAGAACCTTAAAGTCCTTTATCCTTTTCCCTCACTCTTCATAGCCGAGTCTTATCAAGTTGACCACTGAAACGTTTCTTGTGTGAATTCTTTCCTTTCCCTTTCTTGCCACAGTCTTTGCAATACACAAGTATTTCTGTTAGAGTATTGGGAAACTGTCTTTTCTGTTAATTCATAAAATGCCTTGTTTTTATTAATTTTGATGTTTCGTCTGAATACATGTAGAGTCTGACTATAACTGCGTGAATTTACCAATGAGTCTCATCCTGTATTTGTTAATTTTGCACATACTTTATAGTGGGGAGTTGCTTCATGATCATTAATAGATAAGACCTAATTTAAACTCTATCATATTGTCTTCTAGTATGCATTTGAATTATAATTAGGTATAGTATAACTATGTATATTTTTGAAAATCAAATTATATATTTTATATATACTGGATCTTGTATTGAGGTCAATATATTCTATTGAAATTAGTACAAAACTTTGACTTTACTTTGCATTATTCATTTATTAATTTCTTATGGAGTCTTTACTATTTGCAAATAGTTTGCTTGCAAGCCATTGCTAGGTTGTAGGTACTATAGTTGGAAACAGGCAGATATTGTCATTGCCCTTATGGAACTTAAATTCTAGGAAAGAAGACAGATAGTAAACCACTGACCATACAATTGAAGATGGTAAGTACTTGGCAGAAGACTGTGGGAAACGCAGTTAGCACTTGCTTGACCAAGCCTGAGGTACCGGGGATAGGTTCCTGGAGTAAGTGATGTTTGCACTAAGCTCCAAAAGATGAGTCAGCACTCCTTTGATGAAGAAGGGAATAATAGTATTCTGGACAAAAGGATCTGTGCATGTCAAGGTCTTGGGTGAGAAGGATCATAGAGGGTTAAACAGAGTGAGGTAGAACAGAGTCAAAGGAGGATGATGAGATATTCAGGAGCCAGATAAGGCAGTTCTTGAAAGGTAGGAGCTGGAGTTGATAAGAATTTTTAAAAGATGGTGGTGTGACTGTATGGATTGGTTATAAAAAATTTGGGTTTCTGGTAAAGAGGTAGGTTAGATTTAACAGATTGCCTTTCTGAAGAAATTAAAAATGCTGGATTAAATGAAACATTTTCATAAAAGTATTGTGGATCTGACAAGATGATGATAAGAACTGTGAGGCCAAAACCAGTAAGCGAATGCTGAAAATTCACATAAGCTGAGCGTTGAAGCTGCTTTTGCCCTGGTAAAACTAACAAACTTGAGAGTATTGATTTTCAATGCCTCATAGTGTAGATGGGGATAGAAAATACAACTCTGCCCATGATCAAGGTGGAGAGCCCAACAGGAGACACTCCCATTCAGTTGAGACTCCCTGCTGCCTTAATTAAGTGTAAGGGAGAACCTGAAATGAACCCAGTTCCTTCTCCTGTTCTAGGAGACTGTGAGCAGGACATTCTACTTTAAGCTCGAAAGCTGAAAGCTCTGCTCAAATGGGCCAGACTTACATTACCTGGGTGATATTAAAACAAACAAACAAAAAACCCTCAAGTCATGAAATTAGTTTTTTGTGGTTCTTAAGTAGGCAGGCCTCTAAGCATTCAGCAGAAGCAAACATAAACTCTTCCTAGAGCAGCACATCAGTGTCCTAGGTCTCGACTTACTCCTATAAATATTTATATATACTTAATGAACAGTTTTAGTCAAAAATGACAAAGGATACAAGGCAACAAAGCACCATAAGCAAGAAAAAAAATGGAAACTACAGTCAGCAGAAGCAGACCTGCAGAGACTTCACATGTTAGAATTACCAGATATAGATTACAAAGTCAGTATACTTGTAGTGTTTGTAAAACCAAGGACAAGTGTGAAAGTATCCACATGGAACATAAAAGTTATAAAAGTGACCCAAAAGTTTAGAAAAGAGAAAGACAGGGAGGTCAGTGTGTAGGCATGTATCAGTATCATATGGGTGGGTTGCAATGGGCAGACTGGAGGAAGTGGCTTGACTTCAAAGCATCTTCAGGAGGCACAGTCAGTAGGACTTGTAGTATAATTGTTATATTAAATGAAGGCTGTTTTGCTTTTTCTTATCAAATACATAAATCTACTCACCTCCCCCATTTCAAAACAAAACCAATTTAGTTCAGTATCCTCTTTTGTAATTCCACAGGTAATGGGCAGAGAGTTTTAATGGAAGGAACTGTAGGTATAAAAGTGTGATGGAATTAGTGAAGGGTTCGTGTTTCACACACCATCATTATTGTGTACAATTTAAATTTTCTGTAACAGCAAATATTTTGATTCCAAAAGTGTTCTGATGGCAAGAGTCTGCTTCTACATTTCGTAAAGCAGTTAATAAAAGATTTTGTGTATTTTGCTCCCTTTAGAATATTATTCAACAATAGAAGATGATACATTCTACCTAGTTTTTATGGCAAACTTTCTTTAATCAGTAATGCAACAGATGACATGGAAATATGCATTATTTGTTTTATCTTTTCATAAGCCCCTCTTTTGAAACCATTGTAGGGAGGTGAGAAGCTTACATTTTCTGGAAATAAAATAAAAGTGATTTTTTTCTCTTAGTGGTTGATACTAGGAATGATAGATAAGACACCATTAAAGAGATGTTATTATGGTATTTTTGGTATAAAACCCAGCAATACCTATATGCTGCTCTTAGTCAACTATAGTATCTGGGAGAAAGAAGGGAGGGGGAAGGGGAGATATGCATGGAGCAGTAAACAGCAATTGAAGACAGAGCAGTACTCTTGGGCTTTGCCCCCAGTGTGGAATTCTAGTGAGCTGGAATCGACTACGTTGAAGACATTTTTTTTAATGCCAGGAAGCCAAAGTAGCTTTGAACCCAAAGCAGGACAAAGGTCATTTTCTCTTTCTCTAAAGCCCTGATGGGGTTTGACCACTCTTGTAAAGTATCAGTACCAGAGAAAAAGTAAAAAGAGCAAATGAGACAGTTCCTGAATGAGTATTTTCCCTAATGCATATGTAGAGCAGTCCAGGTCTCCCCATACAAGTGCCCTTGATGTCCTCCAGTGGAAGAAAAATAGGTCCCAGCCATTTGTGCTCACTCTGAAAAACCTGTCTTCCGGCTGGGCGCGGTGGCTCACGCCTATAATCCCAGCACTTTGGGAGGCTCAGGCGGGTGGATTACGAGGTCAGGAGATCAAGACCATCCTGGCTAACACGGTGAAACCCCGTCTCTACTAAAAAAAAATACAAAAAAAAAATTAGCCAGGCGTGGTGGCAGGCACCTGTAGTCCCAGCTACTCGGGAGGCTGAGGCAGGAGAATGGCGTGAACCTGGGAGGTGGAGCTTGCAGTGAGCTGATATCGTGCCACTGCACTCCAGCCTGGGTGACAGAGCAAGACTCCTTCTCAAAAAAAAAAAAAAAAAAAAAAAAAAAAAAGATAAAAAACCTGTCTTCCTAGAAAGTTTCTTCTTTGTGGCTAACTAGGGTGCCCTGATTTTGATGCATTCTTGGGTGAATAAGGGGTAAATGGAGTAAGTGCCCCCTAAGAGGTCAACCAATTGAAAATATGTTTGAGAAAAATTACGAGAGCATTTAAAAAGAGAAAATTAACACCTATGTCACCAATACTTTTTGTGTGGTTTGCTTTTATTCTCTTTATACATTAATCTAACACAGTTGTACGCAGTTGAGTTTATAATATAATAGAGTTTTGTGTCCTGCTTTTTAATTTACTTTTCATGAGCATCGTTCCATGCTACTAGAAGTTCTTTGTTATCATTTTAATGGCTCTTTGTCAGTATCTGGTACCATACTATGCCATAAATCTCACTGGTTGCAGTTGAATAAAGAAGTTTATGAAGGCTCCCCCCTACTCTGGAAGAGGCTTCCTCACAGCACACTCATGTCCTTAGGTATCACTGGGGGCAGGTAGCATCGATCTCCTTGTCCCATTTCTTCCCACTCCTCTTAAAAACACAGAGTATAGTTTTTCTGTATCTGTACCATCAGATGCCACTGAGATCTGGCCATGATGTTCCGTTAGGCTGTAGACCTGAGCTGTGTCTAGTCATTGACCTTCTTTCTTACTGTAAAGAGGTCTAGGAGGAAATAACTGTAAAGCTATATGTCTTATATAGTGATGTTTTGTTCTGTTACCTGCTTTTCTTTTTTCCTGTGACTTTGAGATCTCTTTTTTCTTTTCTGCCCCTTTAGGGTGAGAGTGAAATTTACATTTTATAAAACTATCAACTCAATCTGTCTTTCTTTCTTAATATACCCATTAGCAGGGTTTCTCAATCTCAGGAGTATTGGCCTTTTGGGCCAGATAATTCTTTGTTCTGGAGAGGCTGTCCTATGCATTATAGGATGTTTGCCCTGGGGAGGGGGAAGAGGATGGCAAAAATCATCTCTGTTGAGAAATTGAGTTGATTTTCCAGTACACTTTAGGACAGCCCTGGAAGTCCATTATTTGGCTGAATATTTAATAGGTGCCACACTCTAGCCTTTATTTAAAAGACTGGAGTGCTGGGAGGAAAACATGACAAATGAATGGCTTTTATTAATTAGATTTTAGATAATTCAATTTTTCATGTCTTTCAATTGGTCTTTGGTTTGAAAATAAAAATTGTTAAGTTTGTCATGTATGATGTCAAACAGTGCTTAAATTCCTAAAAAGATAGCCATAAATGTTTATCTGATTTTGAAGAGAATTTTTAATCCCAGTCTTAAGAATGCTTAATGTTTTGATGTATACTATGTTTGATGTAACCCGCTTTCAAGTTAGACTCAAAACAGATTCACTTATAAGTTACCACTATTATTTTTCGTCCTATCAAAGAAGAAATTCCCTTTTGCTTCTCTGAATTGCTTGTTGCCTAGTTAGCACTTTTAAAAAGCTGGTCTAATCGAATATGAACCTTCAAAAGATATACTTGAAGGGCCATCTGCTGACCCCAGCTCTTGTCCATGTGAGCAACTTGTAATGGTGGCTCTGATGGCCATGTATGTGGAGTGAGAAACAGCAGATGGTTGTAAAGATTTAAAATCTTCAACAAGTGGCCGAGAGTCATCTCTACTTTGGAGTTAGTCAAGATGCTGGCCACATGTGGTTAGTATGTTATGAAGGGTTTCACATATTCTGCTCATTTCGGGTTTTTTTCCCCTCCTTGCTGTTCTAACCTCTTCTCTTTTGTTTTAAGAGCTAGCATTCTGTCTGCTGTAGATTATAAGAATCTGTAACCAAGTGGTTTTGAAAAGGAAAAAAAGCAAACATACTTGTATTTCTTTTTCCAGTGCCATAGAAGATTGGTTAACTAATGTAGTGAAATGGCCCAAATTAGAATTTATTTGTAGTGAAAACCTAAGGTCCCTTATTTATTAGCCTTTCCTGCTACTGGCAGATTCCTGATTACTCACAGGTGAAGTTCAGAGATAATTTTAGCCCATTCCAGAAATTCTTCAGTTTTTTTTTAAATTTAGTTATTTCTGTAAAATAATGTCCATTTGAAGATGTACTTGTGAAAAATATGATTTGATTTTGGTGACTCTTGTGTCCACTCCTTGAACCTACATTCTGATAAAAAGTTAAAATCCTTATGTGACAGAGATGGAAATGTAAGTATGAGGTGGAGGAAAATGTGTTTTCCGTAGCCAGGGTGGAGTGGAACCACCACTATGTGGAAGTGGAAACTCCCATTCCGTGTGATGAAGAAATGCTTGTGGCATGCAGGGCAGATGGAGTGTGAAATAGCTTCAGGACAAGAGGTACCCAGGGACCTTGGTTTAAAATTGCAATTTCAGAAGGAATGCAAGCAAACTTCTGGATTTCAGACAGTTTGGCATTCTGGGGAAAGAAAGGACTTTAATTGGTCTGGCTTTTTTCCAAAAAGTTAGACAGAGTCATCTAGCAAGCTGCTGTCTTCTTTTTCATTGCCTTCAACAACAAGCACTTTATAAAGCAAGTGACAAGTTTTTCTTTTTTGAAACCAGAGTTTAAGATTTACATGACCAGAAAGTTCTAGTATCATAATTTTTCAAAATGAAGCTTATTTAGGGAGCCAATAAGTGGACCTCCTAAGGAACTGAAACACATTCAGTCAGTATTTTGTCAAATTATTATTGACCAAACCAGTTTTTAATTTTACATCTGGTTAGAGCAAGCATTTTTGGATATAGTTGGAAAGCTATCTGGACCCCCTCCATAACTAGTCAACTCCCTTAGCTTCCTGTCTAGGCTCTGCTTGCTAAGTCTTGTCCTGAGATGTAACCTCTCTGGCCTGGAGATAAAGTCAACTAACTGCATGGATGGATTATTTTATATATTCATTCACATGCAGATTCTCCACACCCTCAGAAGGCAACCTGACATCTTTATTGAGAAAATTAAGACCATTTTGCATTAACCACCACATCTTTTTCTAACACCAAATCATTTCTGTCTCTCTCCACTCCCCCACCACCTTCTGTTTCCTCTTTTCATCACTCCTGACCCTCCTCCTTGTCAAAGCCCCTCTCCCTGTGTCTTCATCCTGGGCTTCCTTCTCCATCTTATGTTTCTCTTGTTTCTTCTCCTGGCACTCATCCTCCTCCCCTTTCTCATTCTTGCCACTTATTTTCTCCTGCCTATATAACTTGGTAAGCCTTCTCTCGTTTCCTTAAAAAAAAAAAAAAATCACATCTCAACTCCATTGTGTATCTCTGCCATTTCACTGCTCTATCTCTTTCTTTTATCATCTATTAAAACTCTTCTATTAAGGAAGATTTAAATTCTGATTTGTCAACTCAGTGTTTTGTTCCCTACTGTGGTCATCTTCCTAAGCCCTCTGTGGCCTTTCCATTTTTAAGTTTCCCTTCTTCCATGACTACATATAATCATCTTGGTTCTCTTTCTACCTTTTTGACAAATGTTTTGCCTTTTGGTGAGTTTTCTTTCTTTGGAGAGCTTCTCCATTTTCTCAAACTCAGTTTTTATTTTAGTTTTGATAAACTTACAAATTGTTTCTAACTCCAGCTCTCCTGATTGTTTTTGAAATCTCTTCTCTCATAGCCTTGCTTATTTTTCTAGGCTCATTTCACATGCAGTAACTTTGTTTTTTTCCCCTTAAGTCATAGTCCTTTATGTAATATAAAGATGATAGTTTACTTTATTTTGAACTATAGTAACCAGCTCATCTGCATGGACCCGTATATCATGGTCGACTTGACATTTCTTGCACATTGAATATGATAGAGGTGGGAGATACTCCCTACATTTATAAACTCTCTGAATCAAACCATCTTATTTTGAAGCAATATCTGTTAATCTTTCCTTTTTATCCATCATCTTTAATAATTTGGTGTAGACATGTAAAATGTGTTTTACCTAAGAAGATGAGAGTTGAAATACTGAGTTGAATGTGTATGTCTATCTTCCTGGTAATGCAGGGAGTAGGAAGAATAGACAGGATGACTAGGGGAGGATGTCACATATCTGAATTAAAGTAGTAGTACCTTTCTGCTTAATAGTTAGAAATGAGATTATAAAACACTGACATTGATTTTTCTTGTGACTGATTAAATGAGTCACACTAGTTTATATTCATATCATATATGTATAGCATTCCAGAGTAAAACTCTTAGACATGTTTCAAAGGGGAGTGGAACATTTGTTAAAATCCTGGTTCCTCACTGGGAAGTTGGAAAGGCCAGAATTGGAGCTAACAGTGAATCTAAGAGGTAGAACTAGACCGGGAACCAAGTGTCAAGTTGATTGTAAGAACTGACAGCAGTGGTCAGGCAGAGGGGTAGGTCAGGTACAGGAGATGCTTGGAGGCCGGTGGTGAAAAAAAAAAAAAAAAAGCCGAAGACTCATATAAACCCTGTGAGCAGTTGAGTCATTGAGCACACAGATAACAAACATCAAACAGAGGAAACCAGAAGCTTGATATACCACCTAGATCACTAAGGAAATCATAACACTTCTTTCATGTTCTAGAGCCCACCCTAGTGAGTGGATAGCCCACAAGCTCATAGCTAGACTCAGTGAACTGTGATAAGGAAGATGGTGGAAAGCTGACTAGTGTGGAGGTGAGTGAGGTCAGAGAGAAGACAGATCTGAAGAGGATTATTGATGAGATCATTATGAAGGGCATGCTGAAACTTCTAATATGAATAGTCCAGATTTAGATAAAAGGGAATGTAGAAGTAGCCCAAACTTCAGTAACTAACATTTCTTATATTATGTATTTATGTGTTCACTTATTTATATCAACACTCCTATCCCATCTTAATGCATGTTAGTTTTTTGTCTTATGACCCTCTGCCACCCACTTCTAAGACCCATTCTTAATTTGTTACATTTGAATAAATATCTTTCAAAAAACAAAGTAGTAGCACAAATTGACCACAGTATTCAGTAAAGCTAAATTCCCCTTTTTGCCACAGTATAAAGTCACTTATTAAGGTCTATGAATGGTGCTATATTGAACCAATACATTTTCCTTTACATGTACCTATTTATCCTTTCATATTTCACCAAATATTTACTGAGCTCCTAGTTAGATAATAAACCACCTTATCACTGGTCAGTTAATATTTATTGAATATATTTGGTGTCCCTAGCACCATTCAGATGTATTTTTTACTGCTAATGTCTGTCATTTACAGGTGTGTTAATAGCCATTATAATTGTTATGAGGCCAGAATGATCACTTTGGATAGAGATTTTTAAAATGAGTTTTTACTCATTATAAAATTATAATAATTGACATTCTCATTTGATTTTGATAATATTGATAATTGATGAAATGATCATTGTAGAAAACTGCAGAAAACATGAATAAAATAAAAAGCACTTGTAAGACCACTTCCTAGAAATAACCACTGTTAACATTTGGGCATATTTCTTCTTTTTTTTTTAACCCCAACAATGACTACATAGGGCATATTTCTTTATGTGCACACACACTCTCTCTCTCTCTCTCTCTATTTTCTAAAAATAGCAGTGATATTTGTCTGAGTTCAGGCTGCTATAAAAAATACCACAGCCTGGAAGGCTTAGATGACAAACATTTATTTCTCACAGTTCTAGAGGTTGGGAAGTCCAAGATCAAGGTGCCAGCAGATGCGGTGTCTGGTGAGGACCCTTTTTCCTGGTTGTGGATGGCTGCCTTCTTGCTGTGTCCTTATGTAGAGGAAAGAGCAAGAATCTCCTGTCTCTTTCTTTTCTTATAAGGGGATTAATCCCATCATAGGGGGCCCACCCTTTTGGCCTCATTTAATTCTAATTACTTCCCTAAGGTTTTACCTATAAGTTCATAGCAATGTTTGTATATAGTTTTGTGTCCTGGTTATTTTATTTATCATTAATCACATCATGAGCATCTTATCCCATCCGTACTTTAATGACTATGTAATATTCGACTCAGGACTATACTGTAACTTATTTAGGATCTTTCGGCCTTTAGGTTATTTATAGTATTTTGCTGTTGTAAAATGACTTTCATATAGCTGTCTTAGGCATAATATTTGTCTGCCTCTAATTATTTCCTTCTAGGTTTGTAGAAGTGTGATTATTAGTTAAAACATACTTGGCATACCTCCAGAAGCCAGGGCCACTTGGTAGTTTATGATTGCACCAGGTTTTCAGGTTAAGTCTATAAATAATGAAGAGAGGAAGGAACATAGAACTGCCAACTAGAAGTAAACAGGCTCGTGATCTGGTGACCTGAGCGACTCTGAATGCTTGCTGAGTCCTAGTTGGCCATCTAGGTTGGTTCCCATGTTTGAGAGACGAGGATGGATGAATTTAAGGTAAGCAATATATGCCATAGCTATACGTGCTCTGTGCTTACTGGTTTGAGGGCTTTTGTGTGTTTTTGTATGTGTGAAGATGAGAAAAACTATCAACACTACCTCTGTTGTGTCTTGTCAATTAAGTAGTATTGATTATTGCTACTTGCTGTTCCAGAAGAAAAAAAATTCAATTTTACTCTTAATATTCCAGTATTAATTTAGCCTTTCAGATTGAAACTTCTTTAAAAGTTTTCAATTTATGCTAGTTAAATTAGATTTAGTGTTTTCTTGAAAAAAAAAAAATCTAGTTTTAGATTAGTGGTTGCCAGGAGCTGGGGAGTAGAGGGCAGAGGGGCAATGCAGGTATGACTATAAAAGGGCAACCCGTGAGATGGGTGTGGTTTTGGAAGTGTTCTGTGACAGCTACATGAACCTACACATGTGATAAAGTAGTATAGTATTAAGTGCATAAGAGAAATTAGTACAAGTAAATTAGGAAAGTCTGAGTAAGATTGGTAGATTGTTTCCACACTGATAATCCTGGCTGTGATATGCTATAATTTTGCAAGATGTTACCTTTGGGAGGAAACTGGATAAAGGGTACAATGGTGACTGGCTATATTATTTCTTACAATTTCATGTGACTCTACAATGGTCTCAATAAAAATTTCAAAACTAATTTTTTTCTGGTTCTAAAAATTGGTAATATTCAATAGTGGTTTTTTGTTCAGTGACAAATTTGAAATGAGATTTATATTCACAAGTACTATGTTCAGTATTTTTTTTTCATTAAGTTTGTCTAATATGAACAGAAGGAACAAATGCTTTTTAAAAATCTAAGTTTCTAAAATTATGAAATAATTTTCTTTTTTTCCTCTCCTTTAGCCATGAAGACTTTGAATTTATTTCAGGAACACGAATGCGCAAACTTGCTCGAGAAGGCCAGAAACCACCTGAAGGTTTCATGGCTCCCAAGGCTTGGACCGTGCTGACAGAATACTACAAATCCTTGGAGAAAGCTTAGGCTGTTAACCCAGTCACTCCACCTTTGACACATTACTAGTAACAAGAGGGGACCACATAGTCTCTGTTGGCATTTCTTTGTGGTGTCTGTCTGGACATGCTTCCTAAAAACAGACCATTTTCCTTAACTTGCATCAGTTTTGGTCTGCCTTATGAGTTCTGTTTTGAACAAGTGTAACACACTGATGGTTTTAATGTATCTTTTCCACTTATTATAGTTATATTCCTACAATACAATTTTAAAATTGTCTTTTTATATTATATTTATGCTTCTGTGTCATGATTTTTTCAAGCTGTTATATTAGTTGTAACCAGTAGTATTCACATTAAATCTTGCTTTTTTTCCCCTTAAAAAAAGAAAAAAATTACCAAACAATAAACTTGGCTAGACCTTGTTTTGAGGATTTTACAAGACCTTTGTAGCGATTAGATTTTTTTTCTACATTGAAAATAGAAACTGCTTCCTTTCTTCTTTCCAGTCAGCTATTGGTCTTTCCAGCTGTTATAATCTAAAGTATTCTTATGATCTGTGTAAGCTCTGAATGAACTTCTTTACTCAATAAAATTAATTTTTTGGCTTCTTATTTATGTGATCTATTTTATATTGCTTTGTTTCCGTATACCCTTTCCTCCTTGTGAAAAAGTTTCTGATGGAAGAGGGAAAACGCAGGCATCTTTTATTACTGGAATCCAATACTTAGTTTCTAATACTGTATTACAGTGAAATTTTTGATAGCAGGAGACTGTGTTCCATTATTTTATGTGGGAAAATAATAAGGCATTCTTAGTCCATCCAAAAAAAAGTTTCTTTGAATATTTCTCTAATATTCTTAAAACACCTGTATAACAATTTCCAAGGATTTGGAACATAGATGGGTACATACTGCTTTAGTTAGGAAAAACTAGCTTATGCTGTAGAAACACATCTCTAAATTTGTGCCATTTGATCCATACAGGTTGACATTCTGTTCACCTTAGTCATTCAGGGTGAAGTTCTCCCACCTTATGTTCCTATGTCAAAAAGAGGTTTTAGAGGGAAAGAGCATACAAATTACACACCAACTCTTCAGTGTTTTGAATCAGAAGTAACACACATCACCTGCTGGTTCATTGGGCAAAACAGGTCACACGGCCCCACTCAAATGTAAGGAGGGTTAGGAAATGCAGACTTCTGTGGGTATAGGAAGGCAAGTAGACTGGGAATATTGGTGACCATGAGTTGTGAGTAAGTACCAAAGTTGTCATTCTGTTCTCTGTATTTGGAAGTGGGGAATAGGGATGCATTTCTTGTATTGGTCCGTTTTCACGCTGCTGATAAAGACATACTTGAGACTGGGAAGGAAAACAGGTTTAATTGGACTTAAAGTTCCACATGGCTGGGGAAGCCCCAGAATCATGGTGGGAGGTGAAAGGCACTTCTTACATGGTTGGCAGCAAGAGAAAATGAGGAACATGCAAAAGTGGAAACCCCTGATAAAACCGTCAGATCTCATGAGACTTATTCACTACCATGAGAACAGTATGGGGGAAACTGCCCCCATGATTTAAATTGTCTCCCACCAGGTCCCTCCCACGACACGTGGGAATTATGGGTACAATTCAAGATGAGATTTGGGTGGGGACACAGAGCCAAACCATATCATTCTGCCCCGGCCCCTCCAAATCTCATGTCCTCACATTTCAAAACCAATCATGCCTTTTCAACAGTCCCCTAAGACTTAACTCATTTCAACATTAACCCAAAAGTCCACAGTCCAAAGTCTCATCTGAGACAAGGCAAGTTCCTTTCACCTATGAGCCTGTAAAATCAAAAACAAGCTAGTTATTCCCAGATACAATGGGGGTACAGGTATTGGGTAAATACAGCCATCCCAAATGGGAGAAATTGGCCAAAACAAAGGGGTTACAGGGCCCATGCAAGTCCGAAATCCAGTGGGGCAGTCAAATTTTAAAGCTCCAAAATTATCTTCTTTGACTCCAGGTCACGCTGATGCAAGAAGTAGTTTCCCATAATCTTGGGCAGATCTGCCCCTGTGACTTTGCAAGGTATAGCCCCCACCTGGCTTCTTTCACTGGCTGGCATTAAGAGTGTGGGTTTTCCAGGTGCACAGTGCAGGCTGGCGGTGGATCTACCATTCTGGGGTCTGGAGGACAGTGGCCCTCTACTCACAGCTCCACTAGGCAGTGCCCCAGTAGGGACTCGGTTGGGGGGCTGCCACCCCACATTTTGCTTCCACACTGCCCTAGCAGAGGTTCTCCATGAGGACCCCACTTCTGCAGCAAACTTTTGCCTGGCCATCCAGGCGTTTCCATACATCTTCTGAAATCTAGGTGGAGGTTCCCAAACCTTGATTCTTGACTACTGTGCACCCACAGGCTCAACACCATGTGGAGGCTGCCAAGGTTTGGGGCTTGCATCCTCTGAAACCATGGGCTGAGCTGTACCTTGGCCCCTTTTAGCAATGGCTGGAGTGGCTGGGACACAAGACACCAAGTCCCTAGGCAGCACATAGCATAGGGACCCTATGCCCGGGCCACAAAACCACTTCCTCCGGGGCCTCCAGGCCTGTGATGGGAGGTCCTGCCATGAAGGTTTCTGACATGGCTGGAGTTATTTTCCCCATTGTCTTGGGGATGAACATTCAGCTCCTCGTTACTTACGCAAATTTCTGCAGCCAGCTTGCATTTGTCCTCAAAAAATGCGTTTTTCTTTTCTACTGCATCATCAGGCTGCAAATTTTCCTTTTATGCTCTGTTTTCCTTTTAAAATGAAATGCTCTTAGCACCCAAGTCATCTCTTGAATGCTTTGCTGCTTAGAAATTTCTTCCTTCAGATACCCTAAATCATCTCTCTCAAGTTCAAAGTTCCACAGATCTCTAGAGTAGGGGCAAAATGTCACTAGTCTCTTTGCTAAAACATAACAAGAGTCACCTTTGCTCCAGTTCCCAACAAGTTCCTCGTCTCTATCTGAGACCACCTTAGCCTGGACCTTATCAGTATCAGCATTTTTGTCAAAGCCAATCAACAAGTCTCTAAGAGGTTCTAAACTTTCCCACATTTTGATGTCTTCTTCTGAGCCATCCAAACTGTTCAACCTCTGCCTGTTACCCAGTTCCAAAGTCGCATCCTAATTTTTGGATATCTTTTCCGCAACACCCACTCTCGGTACCAATTTACTGTATTAGTCTGTTTTCATGCGGCTGATAAAGATATACCCAAGACTGGGAAGAAAAAGGTTTAATTGGACTTACAGTTCCACATGGCTGGGGAGGCCTCAGAATTACAGTGGGAGGCAAAAGGCACTTCTTACATGGTGGCAGTAAGAGAAAATGAGGAAGATGCAAAAACAGAAACCCCTGATAAAACCACTAGACCTCATGAGACTTATTCACTACCATGAGAATAGTACAGGGGAAACTGCCCCCATGATTCAAATTATTTCCCACTGGGTCCCTCCCACAACATATGGGAATTATGGAAGTACAATTCAAGATGAGATTTGGGTGGGGGCACAGAGCCAAAACCATATCATTTCTCAAGGAGCTTGTAATCATACACACCAGCAATTGTAGTTCAGTGTTAAAAGGGGTAATAGTAGATAGAATACTGTATGATTGAATAGTGATGGAACAGAGGAAGGAATAAACTAGATATAGGGGATGGCAGTAGAGATAGGAGGTGAGAGGAGGTAAGAAATGCTTCACAGCAGAGGTGAACTCTGAGTTCAGTTTTATATCATGAGCACTTGTTTTCTGAGTAGAAAAGGTGGGAAAACATACTCCTAGCAAACAGAAATACATAAAATAGTTGGACATATTTCAGAGACTGTAAGTGCCTTGGATACAGTTTGGGTGAAAAATGCCAAGTGTGGGAAGCAGTGAGAAATGAGGCAGAGGGAATAACCAGGGCCCTTCACTTAAGATAAAATGAGAGCCTGACTTAGTCCAATGGCAATAGGGACAGATGAGAGAACAGGGCAGAATCAAGAAATATTTATGTGGTAGAACTGACAGAGTTGTTTGATTCTCTGGATGTAGAGGTGGAGAAGAAAGGAGAACTTGCACGGACCTTCAAATTCCTGATTTGGATGAGACAAATGGATGGATGGTAGCACTGGTAATGGAGACAAGGTAGATGGAGATAGGAGGATTCCAGTTAGTCTGTTCTTGGGGGTGTGGAGGATGGGGCAGCCTATCAAGTTGGCTCTTGTAGAATATTTGCATTTGTAGAATATCAAATAGGATCTTCAAGTAAAGATGCAGGAACTGGGTATAGAATTCTGGCTGAGATCAGCTTTTTATGATCATACTTTCTATGATGAAATAATCTTTTGTGATCTGGCCTTGAAGATTCATCATTTATAAAGGGATAGCAGATTATACATGGAAGTTTTGTACTGGCATTCAGGCAAATGGAAACAAAATACCACTAGGAAAAGAAATAGAAGGAAAAATGCAAAAAAAGTGGATCGTGGAATCATTAGTGAGAAAATTGATAAACAGAATAAATGGAGAATATGGGTAAGTGGATTGTGAATAAAAATATTCATTAGGGAGTGGTACAGAGTGGCATATGGATGTGTTGGGGAAAAATTAGAGGTAGTAGTTGATAAGCATATACACACATATTTTTTGCTCCACATTATTTAGATCTCACTATTGAGGAATAACTCCTTTATTTAAGTCTACAAAGACTGAAGGGTACCACAGATACTCCTCCAACCACAAACAGAGTGTGACATCACGCCTTAACTCCACTAATTCAAAAACTCCCACCAGAGTTGAACGTGTAGAAACAGATGCAAAGTTCTAGAGACAATGCATTGTGAGTTCGTGGTGGCAAGGACAGAGCTGGGATTCTGGAGGCAGCAATTGTCTAGTGGAGATGGCACCCATGGAGGTGGGGTCTCGTGTAGAAGTGCTGTCCTATCTAGAATATTCCAGGGACATAACCTTGGCTGGGTCCTCTACTACCAACTTACTTTCATTCTTGAACCACTTTCTAAACCTCATTCTTTTGCATTTTTCATCAATTCTGTAAAATACCCAGTAGCCTTCCCATAAATTCTCTACAAAGACTGAAGGGTACCACAGAGACTCCTAAATTATCTGGAGTAAGTTTCTATCATTTGCTACCAAGAACCCTGACCATGACAGGTGGCACGTGAAAAAAAGTGTATTTTTCATAAAATTCTTGATACTGCCAAATCTCTAGATGATTTTTACTGTCAACAGTGTATTTTAAAAGCTAAACATACAGTGGGGGAATAGACATTTTAAAAAATACTTGGCAGTCAAGAAACAGCATCCTTTCAAGACTACACCAATATACTTATTAAGGTGAGAATGAGAAGATGAGAAATTAACAGCACTGGGGTGAAATATGGTCTAGAAAGTAACCATGTGTTCTATCAGGCCATTGTCGTTAGTCTAGTCCCCTCTGTGACCTCCTGCCTCCAGCTCACCAGAGGGGGACATGGTGAGAACATGACTCCAGACTCCTGTGTCCGTGGGGTAAGTCACCCACTTGTATGTTCCAGACAGAAAAGAAAATAAAAGCAACCAATGATTTCCACCAGTTCACAGGTTGGTATTTGAGTCTTTACAAATCTAATATATGCAGAAATTTCATTTTTCCTCTTCCCAGTTCATAAAAATGAGCTCAAACCAATGTTTAAAACATTCAACCCTCATATCAAACCTCTCCTGTCAAGTGGTCTTGGAAATCTAGTGCCATTTTTATCTATCCATTAGCTGGAAAAGTGAATGAAAAAATACATTTTTTTAAAGGAAGAAGGAAAAGTGCAATCATCTTGGCAGAAATACAGTGTTTGAAATCTGTCACTTCTCTATTTCACTATGATAACCAAGACCACATATTTGAGTTCCATTTCCGTCCAAGAGGGGAACAATTATGTCTTTCTCTTGGAAGTCAGCATTCAAATTCTTTATCAGGGAAAATTCCGAAGTCATGCTTCCCACATATGATATATCCTTATCAGCACATATACATCCAGGAGTGGGTTGGCTTGCAAAGTAAGGAGGTATTTGCCCACTGGGCTTCTTTTATGTGTGGAGTGTATTTCTTAGAAGGCCTGCAAGCCTTTTTGGTTGTATTTCTGCAGGATCGCATTTTCTATTCCACACAGTCTTGTGGAATAAGACTGTGGAATTATATTGAATATAATTATATATAAGTTGTGCAAAAAATACCCTGCCCACCTAACTCTCAGTCAGTCTTTTTCTAGACTGAGCTAAAATCTGGCCTCCCTTAATGATATGCATTTGAGGACTACAACTGAGCAGAGGCACGGTAAGACTGAAGCCTTATCCCCACTTTCTGCTCCCCATGATTCCCAAGGGAAATGGCACCAGACTTTAGGGCCTAGATTTAAGGAACTGAAATAAGAAGCATGGAAAGTTTCATCATGAACTTTTATCTCCCGGACCTGTACCAGCACTGGGCATCTATAATGGTCTTTATTAAGAAGGGGAAAACATCTATACTGAAATAAGAAGACCAATGTCTTCTCTGCTTCCCTTCACCTTGGCTTATCCAGTCTGAGAATCATGTGTTCTCCCCAAGAAGATAACTGCTCTTGTCCTCCCAAGAGGAAAGTAATTGTATGTTAAAAGCAAACTTACTGGGACCTTGCTGCATAATCACTTCTCCAAGAAAAAATAGCCAAGTTAGAGTAATTCAAAGGGAAGACTGAGCTATGTCTGATACATTTCTGGAATCAGCATCTGGCTGCCCTGAAGCCTGCTTTAAGTGATTTTTCAATCTGAGCATATGGCCAGTGCTATTTTGTGTGATCCAGGGCCACATGTATATGTTCCATACAGGCACATATATAGGAATTTTACTTTTGATATGTTGTAAGCAATTTCTAATGGGCTACTCATAGCATTAAAGAATTTTGAGTAAGAAATCAGTTAAAAGTTTAGTTACTTAGGAGAAAATGTTTTGGCGAAACAGAAGACAAAAGTTTAAGAGAATATAGTTTTGTGATTAAGAATTCAGATTCTGAAGTCAAACCACTAATTCCTCCTTGGTTTTTGACTTTCAGCTTTATTAGGCCTCAGTTTCCTTGTTTGTGAAGCAAAAGTTATAGTCAGGAATTAAATGCTGCATTAAAGAACTGCTGCTTTTATTAATAATTACTTACTTTTAAAATACAGTCTTTGGGCCAAGAAATACAGTGATATCAAAATTGACAAGACTAGACCTTGGAATCTTTGCTTCATGGTACCACTCTCTAGCTCACTGAGCCAAGTGACTAAATATAATGACAGGGATACATTCTGAGAAATGTGTCCTTAGGTGATTTTGTCATTGTGCAAACATCATAGAGTTGACTTAATCCTAGATGGTACAGCCTACTACACACCTAGGCTATATGGTATAGCCTGTTGCTCCTAGGCTACAAAACTGAACAGCATGTTACTGTACTGAATACTATAGGCAGTTGTAGTACAATGGTAAGTATTTGTGTATGTAAACATAGAAATGGTACAGTAAAAATACAGCATTACAGTCTTATGGGACTACCCTCTGTAGGTATGTAGTCGGTCTAGGAATATAGTCTGTTGTTTACTGAAACATCCTTATGCTGCATGTGACTGTAGAGATACATGGTAGATACAAATCCAAAGGCAGTCAAAACACAGTATTCTTGGTTCAGCTGCACTTCTTTTTCCTTGTGTCCAACTTCTCTAGTGTTTCTTAGTTTTTTTTTTAAAAGTATATTTTTACAGGGGGAAAAAGCAGAAAAATGGAAACATTTGTCTAAAACAAGCATAGACAAATTCAAGTGTAATAGAAAAAAATTGAAAAAAATGATAGCACTTTGGAAAAGCAGAATCAAGTGTCTTTCAATACAGGTAGTGGAATATCAGAATTAGAAACATAGATTATTCTCAACATTATATTTAATTAAGAAGGTCTGCTTTAATTGTGTTCATTGGTTATATTAAAGCTGCATTTTATAAGCATTACAATTTTCATATAAAAATTCAATTTGATACTTCTCATCAAAGCATAAAATCTTACATACATTTAATCTTTAGAATTGAACTAACTATAAATGGTGCTTCATGTGTTAGCTCATTATTTGTATAGTCTGGATATTAACAGGTATTGGGAATATGGGAATATGAAATACAAAATTGTATACTGTTTCCCAGAGTTTTCCACACATATATTTTTTTCCCGCTTCATGTAGACAAAAGATCTCATGGCTATGACTAGGATGATGACCAAAGTATAGCATAAAGTTTAAATTCATCTTGAATAAACAGCAAATTCTTAATAATGGTTAACATTTACTGAGTGCTTACTGCTCTTTTTGCCAGCCATTGTGCAAAGTGCTTTGCATATACTGTTTTATTTAATGCTTGTAACAACACTGGGCACATAGTAAGAAATAGTAAGAAAGGAGTAGGAAAAAACAAGAGTTCTAAATTGAGAATTGAAAGAAAAATGAAAAGTACAATATAATTTTGTAGAAAGGGAAATTTAAAACTTTAATTTGACTTTAGTAAAGAGGTTAGGCATAAGATAAATGTGCAAAAATCAAAATTCTCTATTAATAATAATTGACTACAAATGAAAATGCCCCAGTGATGGCCATAAAACTTGTAAAATGCATATGAACAAACTTAAGAAAAAAAACCAGGGCCTGCTTGAATACAACTGTAAAATTTTAGGAAAAGACAGAAAACAAGGTCTGAAAAAATGGAAGGGTATACCATGGTTTTAGGTGAAAAGACAATATAAAAACATCAATCTTTCTAAAATAAATAAATGTTTGGGGAAATTGCAATTAAAACCTCAATGATTTATTTTGGGAATTAGAGAAAATAGTTTTATTAGTTCATTTGGAATAATAAATACCAAGAACTGATGAGAAAGTTATGATGAAAAAGTGAGGAGAGACTTAACCGTCAGACCCAATGACTCACAAAAGATATTAAGTAGTTGTCTTAAGACACTGAGTTTTGGGTTGTTTTGTTATACAGCAATAGCTTTTGTAGGGGACAAAAAATATGCTCCATCTACTAATGTTCTCTGGCTAGGGCCCTGTAAATTAGACTAAAAAAAGGTTAACAAGAGAAAAACAGTTTATTAATGGATGCAGTGCACAGCAAGGCAGAAACCTCTTGATGAGTAGTTGAAATGAAAGAAAGGCTAGAATTTGGCTTAGATAGCATATTTTGTTTTATTTGTATTTATTTATTTTTGAGACGGGACCAATCTCAGCTCACTGTAACCTCCACCTCCCAGGTTCAAGTGGTTTTCCTGCCTCAGCCTCCCCAGTAGCTGGGACTACAGGCGCATGCTACCCAGCTAATTTTTTTATTTTTAGTAGAGACTGGGTTTCACCATGTTGGCCAGGCTGGTCTCAAACTCCTGACCTCAGGTGATCCATCCACCTCAGCCTCCCAAAGTGCTGGGATTACAGGTGTGAGCCACTGCGCCTGGCCAATAGCATTTTAATGAAAACAAACAAACGAACAAAAAAACATTGGTAAAGAAACAAAACAAAGAAAAAGGGTTTCAGGCTTTCAAAGGTGGTGCTGTGGTTTGAATTCGCCTCCCAAAGTTCATGTGTTGGAAACTTAATCCCCAAGGCAACAGTGTTTAGAGGTAGCATCTTAATAGGTGATTAGGACATGAGGGCTCTGCTCTCAGAAATGGATTAATGCTGTTAATGCAGGAGTGGGTTATTATCTTTGAAGTAGGTACCTGATAAAAGATTGAGTTCAGCCCCCTTCTCTTTCTCACGAGAGTGCCCACTTGCACTTCTACCTTCTGCCATGGGATAATGCCACAAGAAGACCCTCTCCAGGTGTCAGCCTTTCAATCTTGGACTTTCTAGCCTCTAGAACCATAAGAAACAGATCTCTGTTCTTTATAAATTACCTACCCTCAGGTATTCTGTTACAGCAGCACAAAATGGACTAAGACAAGTGGCAAATAGAGAGAGGGTGAATATGTGGGAGAAATGAATGGAGTAAGGTTTGTTTGTTCAGGTCCACTTTGGTGCAGACTTTCCATCTCCTTCATGGCCATCAAGGAGAGGACATTCATGGCAGTTCTCCCTTCTCAGAATTGTCTGCGTTTAGTTGGATGTGGAAAGCTCCAGGAATACTTCTTTATATATCTGTTGATTCTCATATGCCTCCAACTCAAAATAATTTTTATGCCAAAGTGACATATTTTGGGATGCCATATTCTGATACCTTACACTAATTAAAACAAGTATTAAGGCTAATGTGTTCTAACTCAGCTGTGATTGTACTCATCAGCAGATGAAGGCTGGGGAAATTTGGGTTGTGATAAAGGTAAAGAAAATTAAAGGAATCTGAAATTGGAGCTAGAAGCTTTCCAATTAGAAGAATGCCTGATAGATTAATTAGAATAGTAGTGTCAAGAAATAAACTGGAATCAGGCAACAGTGTATATTTTTTAAAAATAGGGTTGAATTACTGAACTATAAAATAGAATGTATCCTTAATACAATGAGGAAAAACAAACTAGCTAGAATTCTGTAGACCAGCAGTCGGCAAATGACCTGGCTCACTGCCTGGTTCTGTAAATAAAGTTTTACTGCAACATAGCTATGCCCATTTGTTTATGTATTATCTGTGGTTTCTTTTGTGATCCAACAGAAGAGGTGAGGAGTTCAAGACAGATCTTACAGCCTGAAAAGCTGAAAATATTTACTATTTAACCCTTTAAGGAAAAAGCTCGCCAACCCCTGCTCCAAACCAAGAATTAATTCTACATCACGGGGTCCGCATATCAGAGTTTCCACCTAATAAAAGGGGACAGGTTTGGGGAACGTAGCATTACATATAATGTTTAGTTTGTATATCGTGCCTTTCTATTCCCTTCTCTGACTTGGAGGGAAGAAGCAGGGTAGGGGGAGATGACAAAGGGAAGAGACCAAAACTCTCCAGCAGATTTAACCCCTCAAAGTCAAAGAAATCTGCTTGGTGCTTGTTCAGTTGCCTCCTATTCTAGGAGTGAGATTGGATGTCTACAACTATAAAATGTCTAAACAATTCAGTTAAGTGTCAGACATTCAGTCTGACTCAGTTTGGGGCCTTGTGGACTGATCTGTTTACTGAATAGAGTTTTTATATTTATTTATTTATTTGAGATAGAGTCTTGCTCTGTCACCCAGGCTGGAGTGTGGTGGTGCGATCTTGGCTCACTGCAACCTTCACCTCCCGGGTTCAAGCGATTCTCCTGCCCCAACTTCCCAAGTAGCTGTGATTACAGACATGTGCCACCACGCCCAGCTAATTTTTGTACTTTTAGTAGAGACAGGGTTTCACCATGTTGGCCAGGCTGGTCTTGAACTCCTGATCTCCTGATCCACCCACCTCGGCCTCCCAAAGTGCTGGCATTACAGGCGTGAGCCACTGCACCTGGCCTAGATCAGAGTTTTTTAGCACTGTGTCGATCCATCAACCCAATTCTGATAATGGAAACTAAAGACCTGTAAATACAGATAAATATATTGTTTTAAGATACAGTGCAGAGAATAAAAATACAGATAATTATATTGTTTATAGATACAATGCAGAGAATAAAACTAAATATGAAATTTAATAAGCAATTATTCTAGTAGTTTTTTTCACTTCTAAACATATGATGACTGTCCGGGCAGTTACAGATTTACAAGGGTTCATGACTAGAATGTCAGGTTAGGCAGGGCACAGTGACTCACACCTGTAATCCCTGCACTTTGGGAGGCCGAGATGAGTGGATCACCTGAGGTCAGGGGTTCGAGACCAGCCTGGCCAACATGATAAAACTCCATCGCTACTAAAAATACAAAAAATTAGCCGGGCATGATGGTGGGCGCCTGTAATCCCAACTACTTGGGCAGCTGAGGTTAGGAGAATTGCTCGCACCCAGGAGGCAGAGGTTGCAGTGAGCCGAGATCATGCCACTGCACTCCAGCCTGGGTAACAAGAGCAAAACTCCATCTTAAAAAACAAAATAAAACAAATAAACAAACAAACAGAATGTCAGGTTTATCAGCAGGAACACCCAGATCATGCATAGAAACAGGGTACATGATCTGAGGTTCCTATGAGAACATTCAACTTTGTGCTTCCTGACTTCCATGTTTTAATTGGTGTCTTGTGCATTGTATTAGTATTTTTTTTGCATTTAGTTTCCTTTTAAAAATTGAGAACAAAAGAAAAATTTTAATGTCCCAATCTCTCAGGGAAATCACCATATACTACATAATAGCTATATTTGAGGTCTTAGGGTTTTAAAAATATTTTTGTCTTTGGGAAAATAGGGAAGGGATTTGGTTCCTTTTATTCATATCTCAAATGGATTAAAAATATTATGCCCAAAGTTTGCCTAAAAATTTTCTCTTGCTGCCTGAAACAACCAAAAGAGAACAAAGAACCTCAACACAGAAAACTAAAGTATAATACAGCTTAGAGACACACTTGAAAACTCAGTTTTAAGTGATTAAAATTACATTAAATAGAAACTTTTAAAGGCAATCTTTTTAGAAAATCATCAGAGAAGATATGACAAAAGCAAAGGGCTCTGTTTATAGGCACTATATATATAATATCTATAATGTTACGTTAAATGAGATTTTTTTTAAAAAGTGAAAGTACCTGTTCCAGAATTTTCCATGTATAATAGTAGGTGTTCAACATTTATTTGCTTTCTTCCCTTTTCAGGTAGACACTAGGAGTTACCTAGTGTTTATTTCACCTTCTTTATAGACAGGATCCTGATTCTGTTGAGGTTGGCAACATACTAAACCCTGGTGTTGGGTCATGATCACTTGGACTGATCATGACAGCCTTGTTCCCAGCTTTCCCAGGCTCTGTGGTGGCTATGAGAGGCCATGGGACAAGTTTGGACCAGGATACCTAAATAGAATTTTGTCTGGGAGGAGGCTTTTTTTTTCCTTATAAAAGAGAGTGGACACTGCTAACCATAAAATAATTCCTTTTTTTTTTTTTTTTTCTGTCTGGTAGGCAGACTCAAGAATGCTTCCTCAGCAAGCTGTATAACAAGACATGATGGATGTCATTTAGCAATTTCTGTTTGGTTGTATTTAACTGAGAAAAGTCTAAAGACATGTTTTTCAAATTATGGCCTTGGCCCATTTGTATTAAATTCACCACCTGGGTTGGTATTTCTGAATTGAAGCCAGGAATATGCATTTTAAATATGTGCTTTGTGTCATTCTTATGCACCCTGAAATTTAATATTTGGTGGCATAAAATCTGAGATGAATTTTTAAAAAGTTATCGTATGTTGAGATTTGGATATGCATTCCGAATGAAGACTTTAATAAGATTTGGACTTGACTATCAGCTCCGGAAGTGAGGATTTTATGGAGAAGTTATGATTTAGAATCAAAGAGTAAAGCCCTGGTCCCTTGGACATTTTGAGAATATTTAAGTTGAGAGTAAACATGATTTTTTCAGCTAAAGCTGGGGTAGAACAAAGATGGTCCCCTCCTGAACTAGGGCTCTGATAAATTGTTTCTCCTTTGTTAGTGAGGCTTAAAAATGTTTGCTTTCCCACAAATAATTCTCAGGAATTCCTGAAGTTCCTAAGAGCCCATGTAATCTTAGAACAGAATAAGGCCACCACTAACAATAGCAATAAGAACATTTTTAATGTTATTTTGGCTTCCATGTTACCGCTAGGGATTTATAGTTTGCTTGATGCAAGGCTTTTGCAGGAATTGACAGAACACTTTCCAGAGAGCTCAGGCTCCTTAGCTGAAAGCCTCATAATCAATTAAACACGACTTTAAGTTAGCAGACATCATGAGGTTCCTATAGACAGCTCCAGATTCCCCCAAAGGTGATCCTATCTTACAAGCCCCTCTGACACTAGGAGGAAAGCCCAGGTAGTCCGATGTGTTGTAGGCTTCCTTTTGTACTCTCAGCTGAACTGGCAAACATGGGAAAACAAGTCACACTGCGGGCATTTTCTCTTCAGGGCAAAGCCAATCTCCCATTCTCCGTGATTCCATCTCTCTTTCTCCATGGCTCTCCTGCTGCAACGGCAAGGTTATAAAATATGAAAGACAGGAACACTTCAGTCTCAGAAACATGCTCCTTATCAGAGGCCTTGGGGCAAGCTTTTAAATGTTAGCATTTTTTTTTTCTCAACTTTGCTTCAAGCTCTGAGGAATGCAAGGCAACCCTGCCACACTTCACGGGGCTGGCATCCCCTTGCCACTAGACACAGCTCATTCCCTCTTTGGTTGCCAAAAATCATTTGTGGAAGATTCCAATATTGAAGTGACCCACAGGCATGACTATGGGAGGTTGGAAGTCAGAATCTTAGCTCTATCCAAGCAAGTGACCCTTTAAGAGAACCAAGACTAATGGTTCTGAGAACATATTTAAAAATGAAATAGATTTTAAAAGGTTAGAGAAAATCTTATTATAAAAAATAAGAATATGGGAAATATTTGTAAATCATAAAAGAAAAAAATTTAAAAAGAGAATAAAATACAACCGGTGAAAAAGCCAACATGGGAAAATATTCAGCCATAGCAGATTTATTCTGAATGCAAAATTAAAACAACCTAAAGAATCTTGTTTAACGTTGGCTAGAATGCAATTAAACCAGAGCTAAAATGTGAAGGTCTGGGGGAATTTTGCTACATTTGTCTTCTAACTTGGGCTACAAGAATGTTCAGGAGAGTATCACCCTCCCCTTGCTTCTGGCAGTTGGAAGGCTACAGTAATCCTTCCTTATCCACAGTTTTGTTTTCCACATTTTCAGTTACCCATGGTCTGAAAATATTAAACAGAAAATTCCAGAAATGAATAATTCATCTGTTTTAAATTGCACACTGTTCCAAGTATTGGGATGAAATCTCACTCCATCCTGCTCCATCCTGCCTGGGACATGGATCATCCCTTTGGCCAGTGCGTTGACCCTGCATATGCTACCTGCCTGTTAGTCACTTTGCAGTCCTCTCAGTTATCAGATCTACTGTCATGGTAGTGTAGTGCTAGTTTTGCTGTGGCACCTCAAACAGCAAGCGATAAGTGCTTAGTTAAAATGGAAAAGGCCTTACATTTGTGGATGGAAAACGTAAACAGACATGTGTTCTGATTGACAGCATTGTGATGTGTCAGATTAACTTAATCTTAATTAAACCTTATCATAGGTATGTATGTGTAGGGAAAAAAACCGTAGTATATATAGGGTTTGGTACTATCTGAGGTTTTAGGAATCCACTGTGGGGGTGTTGGAATGTATCTCTCTTGGATAAAGGGGGACTACTTGTATTGATGACCGTAATGAGAAGAAATTCATGGACACAGCAGCAGGGTGAAGCCTACTGTGTGAGAATGAAATATTTACATCAGACCCAATAGGAGTGGCCTCTGTAGGGTTTTTTTGTTTTGTTTTGTTTTTTGTTTTATTTTTTTAGACGGAGTTTCGCTATTGTTGCCCAGGCTGGAGTGCAATGGCGTGATCTCAGTTTACTGCAACATCTGCCTCTCAGGTTCAAGTGATCCTCCTGCCTCAGCCTCCCAAGTAGCTGGGATTACAGGTGCCTGCCACCACACCCAGCTAATTTATGTATTTTTAGTAGAGACAGGGTTTCACCATGTTGACCAGGCTAGTATCGAACCCCTGACCTCAAGTGATCCACCTTCCTCAGCCTCCCAAAGTGCAGGGATTACAGGCACGAACCACTGCACCCGGCCCTCTGTAGGTTTTTACCCAGGAGTGTGGTGTGAGGCAAGTGGTGTTTTCAGTAAATAATTTGGGCTTTGGTGTGCTGAGTGGAGGGGAGGAACAGAAGAGCAAGATGCAGAGGAACCAGTTGAAAGTCCTGCACTTTTGCAGGCCGAGGGTCAGGAGGGTCTGGTTTAGGTAGTAAGAGAGGTAATAGAGATGGGAGGATACCTTTATTATTATCTTCCTAAATTACTTCCTGAGCCTCAAAGCCCTGACCTGTTTTGTTTGTTTGTTTGTTTGTTTGTTTTTGGTGACCACGTATGTCTCAACTTCATTATTCACTCACAGATGAGCTTTTGGCAATATGAGTCCCACAAAAGCAAATTTATTCTTCTCGCTGCAGCTCCAAACACCAGATAGGTCTGTTTTTAGGGTCTGTGCCTCAGGAAAACTCCAAGGACTCTTCTTTTCTCCTTCTCTGGAGGTCCTCTTTCTAATTGTTCCACCAGTCTTGTCACACTGAGGGATTCTCCCTACCTGCACTAGGACATACAGTGATGCGACCTTACCATTGAATTTCTGGGTTGCTTCTTGTAAACCTGCAAATGCATTTTCTTGATTTGGATTTCAGAATTTATGAAGAATAGCCCTGAGGAAATAATGCTAATTGCTAATATTTGCTGTGGGTTGCAGTGTGTGAGGTATTGAACATTAACTCTTCTAATATTCACAACCCTATGGTGGAAGGTAATGTTGTTGTCCCTGTTTTACAGATGAAAACACTGAGATTTATAAGTGACTTGCTTGAAGTCACATGTGGTGGAGTTGAGGACGGGAACCAAGATATGGCTGATTCCAGAGTTTGACTATATGTGAGACAGGCTTCCACTGAGGGATTTGGAGATGTCCAGAAATGCAAATTAGCCCTTTGAGATGAGTAGGCTTTTTTTAATTAATGGGAAATTAATGGGAAAACCTCAACTTTTTTTAAATATACTTTTAAGTTCTAGGGTACATGTGCACAACATGCAGGTTTGATACATAGGTATACATGTGCCATGTTGGTTTGCTGCACCCATCAACTCATCATTTACATTAGGTATTTCTCCTAATGCTATCCCTCTCCCAGCCCCCCACCCCCTGACAGGCCCCAGTGTGTGATGTTCCCCGCCCTGTGTCCAAGTGATATCATTGTTAATTTCCCACCTATGAGTAAGAACATGTGGTGTTTGGTTTTCTGTTCTTGTGATAGTTTGCTGAGAATGATGGTTTCCAGCTTCATCCATGTCCCTGCAAAGGACATGAGCTCATCCTTTTTTTGGCTGCATAGTATTCCATTGTGTATATGTGCCACATTTTCTTAATCCAGTCTATCATTGATGAACATTTGGGTTGGTTCCAAGTCTTTGCTATTGTGAATAGTGCCGCAATAAACATACGTGTGCATGTGTCTTTATAGTAGCATGATTTATAATCCTTTGGGTATATATACCCAGTAATGGGATTGCCAGGTCAAATGGTAATTCTACTTCTAGATCCTTGAGGAATCGCCACACTGTCTGCCATAATGGTTGAACTAATTTACACTCCCACCAACAGTGTAAAAGCATTCCTATTTCTCCACATCCTAAGAGGAGTAGGTTTCTAAGGATAACAATATCATAATGAAACAAGAATAATAAATAATTGAACATCTTCTGTATGCCAGGTTCTGTATTAAGTGCTTTCTACAACTTACCTCATTTTCTTCTTGCAATAAACTTATGACACAGTTAGAATTCCCACTTCATAGATAGGAAGGCTAAAGCTTGGAGAGATTAGGGGAATTATACAAGATCATGAAGTTAGTAAAAGACAAAATCAGAGCTGAAGTCAAGCTCAGGAATCCTGCAAAGTTGACCTACAGGAAAACCTCCAGGGGCACTTCTTTTGCTCTTCTCTGGAGGTCCTCCTTCTAATTGCTGTATCAATATTGTCACAATGTGGGATACTCCCTACATGCACCAGGAGCATACACTGATGCAACCTTACCGCTGAGTGTAGGCTGCTCTGAGTGGACCCTAGTTCATATGTATTTTCTGATTCTGATAATATGCTTGGAGTTGAGGCCACTTCGTAATCCAGATTTGCAGTGTTTTCTGAGGTGTTATCTGAAGACCTCCTGAATCAGAATTACTTCTGATGCTTGATAAAAGTATAAATCCCTGGACCCAATGAATCAGAATCTCTGGAGAAGTGCCCTGGGGATTCGTATTTGTAAGAAGCCCATGCTTGATCACCTGGTGGCAGAGTTCCACAAGCAAGAGCAGAAGCAGGCAAAGAGTCTAGTGGGCCAGGTTTGAAACGGGCACTGTGGTGCTTCTGCCATGCTCTGTTGGCCAAAGCAAGGCACAAGACTACCCCAGATTCAAGGGAAGTGGAAGTAATTTCTCTCTTCGAAAGGAGCTGCAAAGTCACATTGCAAAGGATAGAAGGAAGGAGATATTTTATGGTCATTTGCTTTATTACAACTGGGAATCACACCAAGCAGTGGGCTTGACAGTGCCCCACTCCACTCATTCATTTACAACATCCTATCCTGATGTATTGCCCTCTTTCTGATACAGACTGTGTGGGTGCACTTAGTTTTACAAAAATTAAATAAAAGAGTAGATGTTGCAATGAGATGGGAAGAGATTGTGAAAATCTTTATTACCATAAAATTTTCTCTGCATTTATCATGGCAAAGTACTGAATAATTAACTTAGAGATGTATAATTTGCATCTTTTTAAAATGAAAAGACAAGTGTTCCAGATTTTCTGTTCTTTTCTGTGATGACAAGTGTCTGTCAATAGTATGCTACCCACCAGACCTTTTTTGAAAATATAAACACACTTAATTCATCCCCTAAGTTTAAAGTAATGTTTTAACAATGAATGTAAAAGTAATTGCTTTTCAAAAGAAACTCCTGCTATGAACAAAGCATTTTAAAATTGGATGTTTGGAAATGTTTCCATTGTTCCATGATTTTACTGCCAAACAATGTGTATGTGTCCCATACAAATTTTCTTATATCTAAACTTAAAAAATTGACAAGTAAATTTTTTGTCTATTTAAAAACATATTTCAAATAAAGAGTTACAGTGGGTTTTCAAACTGTTTGATAATACAAGTTTAGTATCCCTTATTTGAAATGCATGGGAATAGAAGTGTTCTGGATTTTGGATTTTGGAATACATGCATACACTTAATGAGATATCTTGGAGATGGGATCCAAGTCTAAACACGAAATTCATTTATGATTATATACATCTGCACACATAGCCTGAAGGTAATTTTATCCAATATTTTACATACTTTTGTGCATAAACCAAGTTTGTATACATTGTACTATCAGAAAGCAAAAGTGTCACAATCTCAGCCACCCATGTAAATAGTCTATGCTGTTTGGCATCACCATCATTCCTGACTCTGAATTTATGTGCTACTAAAAAGCAATCATTTTCTTATGCTTGTTCACACGCAAGTACTTAACAGTAAAAAGTATGAGATACCATGAGTGCAGTGAAAAAATAATGTGTTCAGGGTAACTAAGCAGCACAGTAGCATCACCAGAAAACCTGTATCAACTGTTAAACATCAGCAACCACCAACAGCAGCAGGCTTTCGGTCTCCACCGATGATGTTGTGTTTTGACTAAAAGCTTAGTGCAAACTGTATTTTATTTTTTTATCAGAAGCAGTTAAGAGACCAGGAAGTGGTAGGTTGTCTAGGGATAAGGAGCCATTCTTCTGGATGGCTTTTCTTCTTTTTGAGACAGAGTCTTATTCTGTCGCCAGGCTGGAGTTCAATGGTGTGATCTCGGCTCACTGCAACCTCTGCCTCCTGGGTTCAAGATATTCTCCTATCTCAGCCTCCCGAGTAGCCGAAACTACAGGCACCTGACACTACACCCGGCTAATTTTTGCATTTTCAGTAGAGACAGGGTTTCACCATGTTGTCCAGGCTGGTCTCGAACTCCTGGCCTCAGGTGATCCAATTGCCTTGGCCTCCCAAAATGCTGGGATTACAGTTGTGAGCCACCACTCCTGGCCTGATGGATGGCTTTTTAAAATGTTTCCTCCAGAGTCTTCTGATTCATTAACAATGATATTTGTCTTCAAAGTCTCTCTTTGATTTTATAAATAGACATGACTCTTGTTCTGTTATTAATGCACACTGCTCTAGTCTTTCAATAACCCCATCACATTTTCACCGCATTGTCCACAGGCACTTTTTCTTCAGTGTTAACAACTTCATCTTCATTGTCACTTTTATCCTGATCATCCTGATTCAGAACCATTTCAGCTATTTTACCATTGATCAATGAATGAACAACTGGAGACTCTATCAATGTTAAAAACTTCTTCAATATCCACTTCTTCTAGCTTACTGATGAACACTGAAGGTATATCTTTTTGAATATGTAAGGAGGTCAGACATCATTTTTTCTCACTTGATATATAGAATCCTTCAAAGTCACCAACTTTTTTATCATCCTCACTGAACAGAGTCACAGACCAGAGGTTGTGCCAGGCATGCACAGCTATGTATTAATCACTGTGTTCCAAGGGTTGGTAACAACATATCCAGCAGCCATCATGCTAAACTCCTTTTGAAATCTTCCACATCCATGCCTCTTTTCACTGCTGTAGCATGCTGTTCAGTAGAGTGTTTTTATATTTACTGTTCATTGATCTAAGGATACCCTGGTCACAATTAATGAAGTCACATTTTGGGGGAAAGTACAGGGCATAAGCATTTTTGATGAGAACTTCAGCTGGAGGATGAGCAGAACAGTTGTCAAGGAATAACAAAATCTTGCAGTCATCACCCAGTCTAGCTTCCCTGCTCTGAGCATAAGATGCTGGTGCAAAATGTTTGTGAAAGCAAACGGAAAAGATGACCCTGGTGATCTATGCCTTTTTGTCAGCATAATAATGGACTGGTAAGAAATTCATTCCTTGGAAACAGAAAGGACACAGCTTTTCCCTATCACATCAGGTTTACTTATGCATGCCTGCAGCATTAGCACAGCCCAGCACAGATGGGACTTGGGTCCCATCTCCAAGATATCTTGCATACACAGAGTAGTGTATGCAAATATTCTTCTGTCCTTGGCCTCCTTGATTCCTGTAGGGGCTGTCTCATCATCTGCAGTCAGTGACTTTCTGGCTCAATAAGGCCAAAACAGTGATGTTTCATCAGCATTATAGACTTGTTCTGGTGTCAAATTTTCCTTGGTGATGACCTTGGCAAACTTGTCAATGAATTTCTCTGTTGTTTCATGTTCAGCAGATGCTTTATCACTACAAATATTTAAAAAATTTAATGCAACATTTTTTCTTAAATTTCTACAACCAGCCTGTTGAATATTCACAATTCTCTTCAGTTCATCGTGATAGATCTTTGCTTGTTTTATGATCAGCATATCATTATATGCATGTGTTTAATGCAATACTGGTGGATCCATTCTTTCAATACATAATCAATATTTTCATTTTTAGCTTTGCACAGTGTTTTTCTATTTTCATTAATTTTTGTTCATCACTTTAGGCATAGAACTTCAGCAGTTTATTTGTCTGTTGCTTCACGTCATAAATACTGGACATTCCAACACTGTGCTCTTCTGTAAGACATTTTACAGTTACACCGCTGTCCCCTTTCTCCAACAGTTTATCTTTCTGTGCTATAGATAAACATAAATGCTTCCTGTTTCACTTGTACACCGCTGTCCAGTTTCTCCAACAGTGTATCTTTCTGTGCTATAGATAAACATAAATGCTTCCTCTTTCACTTGTTACCATGATCATAGGGTATCTGCAGGCCTTTTTGACATGTCCAACAGTATCTTTACATCAGAGAGCAAAGAATAAGCAAAAAAACAGTGAGTAATGCACATAGGTCCTGGTCCATGTGGGTCATTGCAGGGAATCTGCCATTGGTGCATTCACCCTGCACAAGTGGCATTTTATTACCCTTTGCAGGCATGCTTGCATGGGGAAGTGTGGGCATGCATGGAAAAAAATATGTTGCAGCTGAAGAGGGCTGAGAGGGTCTTTTTTTCTTGGGGACACTGAGTAAACTGTGCTGTGCACTTACATTTCCACTGTGACCCATCACATTAAGTCAGGTGTGGAATTTTCCACTTATGACATCATGTCCAGTGCTTAAAAAGTTTTGAACTTTGTAGATTTTTAGATTAGGGATATTTAATCTACAGTAAGAAAATACAATATTTTCTGATTTATTTATAAGACAACAGACTGATATCATAGAGATAAAAATTTACGAGATGTATTTTAACAAAAATATTGAAAATTGGTGAATGCAAGTAAAAAAATAAACTTCAGGGTTTACAACCAATAACGTAGTTTTTCCATGTGGATATAAATATATGTATAATAAACTTTTTTCAGATGATAGCCATTAAAACTCAGTGATATAACAAAGTGCTGAACTAAGCTTTAGAATATAACAAGGTATTATATGTTACTTTGTGTTTACCTAAACCATTAATATTAATGTTAATTTTTTAGGATAAACATAATATTTGAGAAACAATACATACAAATTGAATTTATTTAAAAATATGGATTTTATAGGTTGAGTATCCCTAATGTAAAACTACAAAATCTGAAATGCCCTGAAATCCAAAACTTTTTGAGTGCAAACATCATGCTACAAGTAGAAAATTCCACACCTGATCTCATGTGAGGTGTTGCAGTCAAAACAGTTAAAACTTTGTTTCATGCACAAAATGATTTAAACTATTGCATAAAATTACCTTCAGGCTATGTGTACAAGGTTGCTATAAAACATAAATGAATTTGGTGTTTAGGCTTGGGTCTCATCCTCAAGATTTGCATATATGTATGCAAATGTTACAAAATCTGAAAAAAATCTAAAATTCAAAACACTTCTATTTTGAGCATTTTGGATAAAGTGTACTCAAACTGTATCTTTATCTCATCCTTTAAATTTTCTATTAAAAGATAATTAGGACTATTAGTACAATTGGCACATGTATAAAAATAAATGATCACACTCATTAGGTTGGTTATTATTTAAAAAAAACAAAATAACAAGTGTTGGTGAAGATGTGGAGAAATTAAAACCTTAGTGCATAGCTCATGGGAATGTAACATGGAGCAGCAGTTGTAGAAAATAGTACAGTGGTTCCTCAAAAAGCTAAACTTAGAATTACCAAAATTCAATTTCTCAGTATGTACCTGAAAAAATTGAAAGCAGGAACTCAAAGAGATTCTTTTGCACCAATGTTCATAGCAGCATTATTCACAGTAGCCTAAAGGTGGTATCGAAAGACAAAATTACAATAAATTTAGTTTAAATATCTTAATTAGCTTTGATTCACAATTCTGGAATTGGGCAGCCCTCAGAACCAGAATAGATTCTAAGAACTCTGGGACCCCAAAGTGGTCAGATAACATTTATGGATGGAGAACAGATGTAATGCACAGTCAGCTTAGTTGGTTACAGCTCAGTGTTTTGCCTTATTTGAATGAGTGGGCCACCTGCAATTGACTGAAGCTCAGCTGCTGTGATTGACTAGAACTCAGCCAGTTGTTAGAAGAGTTTATGTACTCCTAAATTAAGCTTTCAATTAGTAGTCTGTCTACCAATGTTGCAGTTTGCCACATAAGGACTCAAGTATAGAGGCAACCTCAGGCCTAAACTTAATTTAACTTAAAAGTAGAAATACCCAAACGCTCACCGATACATGAATGAATAAAGTTTGGTATAAACATGCAGTGGAATATTAATTTGTCTTAAAAAGGAATGAAATTTGGATACATGCCACCATATGTATGAAATTTGTGAACAGTACGGTAAGTGAAGTAAGCCCATCACAGAAAGACAAATATTGTATGGTTTCACTTATATGAGGTACCTAGAGTAAGCAAATGCATAGAGACAGAAAGTAGAATGCTGGTTTCCAGGGTCTTGGGGAAGGGGAGAATGGGGATTTATTGCTTTATAGTTTTTGGTACCCAGAATGTGGGACCTGAGGAAGGGTGAGTAAAATGGAGACCCAAAACCTTTTACTTTTGCTTCTGAGCCTTTTGGTCCTATGACATTCCTCTTATTTTTTTTCAGGAGAGTAATGGCACCTATCTTTCCTTTTACAATACTGGAGGTGGTCCACACCCGTCCCAGCAGCCACAGGTGGGTGCATGCATGGGATGGTTGGGTGGGACAGCTCCCTGTTCCCCCTTCCCTGCTGCCTGGGGTGCATGGCCATGTCTGCCACATGTGTGTGCAGTGTTCAACAGCTACTCAGGGCAGCAATAAGCCACAACTGCTGCCAGGGCCTTAAGGCACCCCACACGGCTGGCTGGCATTCCCTGCCATGCACCATGGAGTCTCCCAGTCCTTGGCCAGGGAGTCTCCCAGTCCTTGGCCAGGGAGTCCAGCTTTGTCCCCAGCAATTAAGCTTTTCTCCCTGGTGGAGGAATATTTACATAAGAATAAGAAGGTAAGGCCTGGGGACATATGGAACTAGCCACACCCTTAATTATGCTGGAAGGGGTCAAGCCTTGGCTGCATGTAGCATATAATCAAAACAACGTACCAGGTTTTACATTAAAGTTAAAAATTGCTAAAAGTTACCATTATGACATATAATTGAGACTACGGGAAATAGATTTACATGCAAGGTGTGTGAGAACAGTAAAATGTGTTTTTAATAAAAGGTTATAAGAAGGCTTAAAAGTGTAAATTCTTGCCTAGGGTTAAATAATTGTTTTAAATTAAGTAGGATGAAGTTAAAAGTTCAAACAAGTGATGGGAGGATTGTAAAAGTTAATCTTGCAAAAATTCCATGTGTGAACATACTGACTAAATTCAAAGGGTATTATATAGTTTTTCTGTAAATTGAGCATTAAAATAAGCACACAAGGTACTCTTAAGGCACTCAACTGCTCTTTACCAAAATTTGTAAAGGGTTATAAAAGGTTTTTGCTTTTTTAAAGTTTCTGAGTCATAATTTTGGTAAAATAAATAATTTATGTAATCTGGAATTCTGTTTCATAACATCAAATGTTTTAAACCTCTAACATATTTAACAGGCTTCTTAAAATCAAACTTCAGTTTCAAAATTGTCTTTCCTGACACCTGACTTTTCAGATGCTTCAGAAGGGCCCCTGGAGTACACAGAAAAGAGATAAACAAGATTATTTGACATGTTTCATTACATGGGATTGCCAAAATGGTGTTCAGTCTTCTTTAGGCTATATTTTGTTGAATAATACTAATATGTGTTCCAAAATTGTCTGGGGTTTCTAAAATTCTAATATCTGAGTATATGCTATCAATCATAATTGAAGTTGTTATGTTAAGTTTTTGTAAACCACAGAGATAACTAAACTTCTTTATTAATTTTGTTTCTAACTGTAACTACCCTGGACATTTTGTTATTCATAGACAATTGTCTTGTTTTAATCCTTTTCAAAATATTGTTTATAATAAGCTATAGAACTCTGAAGTTCTATAAGTTATAGCTAAGTGTGTTTAAATACAGGTTTCTGATAACTATGTAAATTGTGATATTTGAGTACAGGAAAAATGTACAGGACTCATGAAGAGCTGAATATTTATGAATATCAAGCAAAACAAGAACTAAATTGACTGAACTCAGAAAACTGAAACAATCTTTTGACTTTTGCTTGGAATATTGCTGATCCTTGTTTTGTTTTTCAGAGTCAAGAAAACTTATTTTGAACTATTTATAGCCTTTCATAATTGAGTAAGGTATACTCCTGTGAAGAAAATTTGGAGCATGTTGGTTTCTCTCTACCTGGTTCCTCTAGAATTTGGAAACTATCTGCGAATACTCTCAACCTGTGGCGATATAGTTGTTTGCATCAGTGCAATAAAATCAATTTTCTTTTGCAACAGAACACAATTGGAGAAACTGGTTGTTTTACCAAGGCTTTGACTGAAAGGATATGCTTCCCTTTAAGGAGTCAAGCTCAACTTGGAGAGCTGATAAAAGCCCCTTAAGAAAAAAAACTGGCCTCATACTCTTGTCTACAGAGTTCTTGTACAGGGTTCCTGACCTGTGGTCAGTAAAGAATGTTACTTTCTAACAGGCCCAGGAGCTCCAAGTTTATCTTGGGACCTTAAGAGGGGAGTATCACCCAACTCACAGGTATTTGAGGATACAAACCCATGGCTGGGCTCTGCTTTCAAAGATCCTATCTGAGATTCCTTGTGGAACAGAGTTCCATCAAAGCCAATCTAAAAAACCTATGTAGAAATAATTATTCTTGCTGCACTTTATGCAAATAATCAAGCCAAGTATAAGACTAAAGTCTATTTTGCAGATAACTCAGTTCTATCATGATTTTTTTTTAACAAAAATGAGGACTGGAGAGAGAGAAATGTTTCAAAACTTATACATTTGTCATTAAATTCTAAACTTAGCTGTTTTTAAGTTTTTGGCTACATTTTAGACTAACCCTGCTTGTTACTGTGACCCAACCAGCAATCTCCAACTGCAGCTCAGAAGGAACAAGAGGGATGGGTAATGTAGAAATCTGGGTTGATATTCTAGTTCTGAGTAATTATCCTGCAAATCCTGCCAGGTGATGGGAATAAATAGGATGCCCATCACCTAGAGGTTTCCTTTTTGGGAAAGTAAGACCAAGGGAACTAAGCAAAGCTAAGCACAATGCACCCAAACCTTAGCAAGCAAAATTATAGCCACTAGTTATCTGGGCATGTCAAAAGACACCCTTTTCTCTCCCTTGTTGGGGGGGCACTAAATTCCACAGTTTCACCTTAGCATTCAGCTTATGATAAGAAGTTCATGCACTGCCCCCTGAGATACATTTTTGTCCCAAACTCAATTACAAGCTTTGGGTCAAAGCCCAAGGAAAGAAAACTGGATCTGAGGGATCCAGAGGCAGGCAATAACAGAAGTTAAAAGACCCAGTGCAGGTGAGTGTGGCTGATTTCTACTGATTCAGCCAAGCTTTCCATTTCATGGATAAAGGCCGTGCTAGTATCCATGGCATAAATGAGGTCTAGGGAATTCAAAGGCTACTGACAGCAGGGGAGATAAGGCATACATGGGTAAGAGTGAATACTCTCACCCCCCAGACCCCCTTATTAACATGGGTGAAAGCCACTTTAACATCCATGGGTGGCACCCTGTTGGGGTTGCCAGGATGTAAGTATTCAAGGAAGGAGGAAAGAAAAAGGAATGCCTCACTTTTCTTCCTTCACGTACCACAAGTATTTGCTAGGAAGAGAAGGGAACCAGTGATACCTGCTCCCCTCTTTCTAGATGGGTAGCCATTCATCTTCAATCTGTATCCCTTTTGAATGCATCCTGAACCCCTGGGACTCCTTTGAAAAAAAAGTCTTATATTTTCCTTTCTCCTTTTCTATCCCCTCTTCACAGATAGGAAATTGTGTCTCTATACTACAGGACACTCCCATTGGATACATCCTCCAAACTGGGAAGAGTCAATTTCCCAAACCTTAAACTGGTCGGCTTAGGATTGGGCTCAGGGGAAGGGAACCCAGAAGGCTGACATGCTGGCAAAAGAATAAAGTTTTTCTTTTTTTCTTTTTTTTAACCAGTCGGCTTTTCGTCCCTCTCTTCCTGTGCAAACTGGTAAAAGGCATCAAGATTTTTGAGCTGTCCTTACCCCCACCTTGTTTCATTTTGATACATATTTTCTAATAGCCTGGTTTGTCTTCTGTTCTTGCCTTGAGGTCATCAAACTCCAAACGGTCATGCAACTGGAGCCTGGAACAATGGCCCCTTTTGCCAGGGACCCTTAAGAGAGGCCTCTGCAGGAGCTCTGACTGCCATTTTTCGAAAACAGCACACACCCTGTCAGCAGGAAACAGTTAAAATCAGTCTTTGTTCTTATCCTAATCCTTATCCTTATTCTAAGGGCAGTTAGATGTACTTCTTTAGAGTGGGGAATGAGACAGCCAAGTAAAAGGGCCTCCCTGGGGAATCCCCAACTGGCCTGCACACTGGGAGGATGGGGTAGGGCTTCGAGAAATTCAGGCTGTTTACAGCAGGGAGGAGCCTGGTCCCTCCGCTCCTGTTTCTATGTGGTAACCTGGGATTCAGTCTGTGATATGAGGGCCTGTTAACAGGAACCCCTCTCACCTGGCTGTGTAGTTTTTCCTTTTTCCTTTTTGCCCAATAAATTCCATCCCCCTCTCCCTTCAAATTGTCTGCAAATCTAATATTTCCTGGTCATGTGACAAGAACCCAGTTTTTCCTCCAACAATAGTTAGAGTTTCTATTTGGGATGATGAAAAAGTTCTGGAAATAGATAGTGGTGACTATTGCTTAATGACACTAGTGTACACTTAACGGTTAAAATGGTAAATTTTAAGTTACATATGTTTTATATCAATAAATCCACTGCAACTTCTGCCTTCCAGGTTCAAATGATTCTCTTGCCTCAGCTTTCCAAGTAGCTGGGACTACAGGTGCCCACCACCACGCCCAACTAATTTTTATATTTTTAGTAGATATGGCATTTCGCCATGTTTGCCAGGCTGGTCTCGAACTCCTGACCTCAGGTGATCCATAATTTAATGAATTTCAGAATTTAAAATCAGCAACTATGGTTTCGAATTCTGGCTCCTCCACTTCCTGGCTCTGTGACTTAGGCCAAGTTACTTAAGCTCTCTGTGCCTTTATTTCTTCAGCTGATCAAGAAATGATAATTCTTCGTGAAGTTTGTAGGAAGCTTTAAAGAAAGGAGGCTTTTGAAACTACAACAAATTGCACACTTAAATATAAATGCATTTTGGTAAGTCATGATTGTATAAAAGTCCTGCCCAAATTGAGCAGCAGTCTATTTTCTTAAAATTTTAAATTAATAAGAACTAATTAAAGCAAAGTAGAGAAATTAGGTAAAACATGAAGGAAAGAAATCAGCTATAATCCCACTACCCAAACTTGCTCTTAATATTTTATTGTCTTTTAAGTCTGTTTTCATGGATAGAATTTTAAAAAATATATAGTCATAGTTGTACTGTATTTATAATTGGGCCAGATAGTTTACAAATATAATTTATTTAAGCCATTTTCTCATTGTTGGATTTTAGGTTATCTTCATTTCCCAAGTGTTAATAATTTTTCAGTGAATATCATTAGGGATAAGGCTTTTAATTTTAAGTTCCAGGATACATGTGCAGAATGTGCAGGTTTTCATAGGTACATGTGTGCCATTGTGGTTTGCTGCACCTATCAACCCATCGCCTACGTATTAAGCACAGCATGCGTTAGCTATTTATCCTGATGCTCTCCCTCCCCCGACCCCCTGCCCAACAGACCCAGTGTGTTGTTGTTTTGCTGTATGTGTCCATGTGTTCTCATTGTTGTAAGTGAGAACACTTATAAGTAAGAACGTGCAGTGTTTGGTTTTCTGTTCCTGTGTTAGCTTGTTGAGGATAATGGCTTCTAAGCTCCATCCATGTCCCTGCAAAGAACATGATCTCATTCCTTTGTATGGCTGCATAGTATTTCATGATGTATATATACTACATTTTCTTTATCCAGTCTGTCACTGATGGGCAGTTAGGTTGATTCCACATCTTTGTTATTGTAAATAGTGCTGCAATAAACATACCTGTGCATATATCTTTATAGTAAAATGATTTATATTCCTTTGGGTATACCCAGTAATGGCATTGCTGGATCAAATGGTGTTTCTGGTTCTAGGTCTTTGGAATTGCCACACTGTCTTCCTCAATGGTTGAACTAGTTTACATTCCCACCAGCAGTGTAAAAGTGTTCCTATTTCTCCATAGCCTTGCCAACATCTGTTGTTTCTTGACTTTTTAATAATAGCCATTTTGACTGGCATGAGATGGTATCTTATTGTGGTTTTGATTTGCATTTCTCTAACGATCAGTGATGTTGAGCTTTTTTTCATATGTTTATTGGCTGTATATATGTCTTCTTTTGAGAAGTGTCTGTTCATGTGCTTTGCCCAATTTTTAATGAGGTTATTTTTTTCTTGTAAATTTGTTTAAGTTCTTTGTAGATTCTGGATATTAGACATTTGTCAGATGGATGGATTGCAAAATTTTTCTCTCATTCTGTAGGTTGTCTCTCTGCTCTGATGATAGTTTGTTTTTTCTGCGCAGAAGCTCTTTAGTTTAATCAGATTGCATTTGTCAATTTTTGCTTTTGTTGCAATTGCTTTTGAAGTTTTTGTCATGAAATCTTTGCCCATGCCTATGTCCTGAACAATATTGCCCAGATTTTCTTCTAGGGTTTTTATAGTTTTGGGTTTTACAGTTAAGTCTTTAATCCATCTTGAGTTAATTTTTGCATATAGTGTAAGGAAGGAATCCAGTTTCAATTTTCTGCATATGACTAGCCAGTTCTCCCAGCACCATTTATTAAAAAGGGGATCATTTCCCATTGCTTGTTTTTTTCAGGTTTGTCAAAGATCAGATGGTTGTAGATGTGCGGTTTTATTTCTGGGTTCTTTTTTCTGTTCCACTGGTCTATGTGTCTGTTTTTGTATGAGTACCCTGCTGTTTTGGTTACTGCAGCCTTGCAGTGTAGTTTGAAGTCAGGTAGCATGATGCTTCCAGATTTGTTCTTTTTGCTAAGAATTGAATTGTCTTGGTTGCACAGGCTCTTTCTTCATTCCATATGAATTTTATAGTTTTTTCTAAATCTCTGAAGAATGTCAATAATTATTTAATAAGAATAGCATCAAATCTATAAAATACTTTGGGCAGTATGGCCATTTTCATGATATTGATTCTTCCTATCCATGAGCATGTAATGTTTTTCCATTTGTTTGTGACCTCTCTGATTTCTTTGAGCAGTGGTTTGTAGTTCTCTTTGAAAAGGTCCTTCACTTCCCTTCTTAGCTGTATTCCTAGGTACTTAGTTGTCTTTGTAGCAATTGTGAATGGGAGTTCATTCACGATTTGGCTCTCTCCTTGTCTATTGTTGGTGCATAGGAATGCTTGTGATTTTTGCACGATGACTTTGTATCCTGAGACTTTGCTGAAATATCTCATCAGCTTAAGAATGATTTGGGCTAAGATGATGGGGTTTTCTAAATATATGATCATGTCATCTGCAAACAGAGACAATTTGACTTCCTCTCTTCCTATTTGAATACCATTTATTTCTTTCTCTTGCCTGACTGTACTGGCCAGAACTTCCCATTATTATGTTGAATAGAAGTGTTGAGAGAGGGTATCCTTGTCTTGTGCTGGTTTTCAAAGGGAAAGCTTCCAGCTTTTGCCCATTCAGTATAATATTGGCTGTGGACTTGTCATAAATTGCTCTTATTATTTTGAGGCTTGTTCCATCAATACCTAATTTATTGAGAGTTTTTAACATGAAGGGATGTTGAATTTTAGCAAAGGCCTTTTCTGCATTTATTGAGATAATCATGTGGTTTTTGTCTTTAGTTCTGTTTATGTGATGGATTACGTTTATTGATTTGTGTATGTAGAACCAGCCTTGCATCCCAGGGATGAAGCTGACTTGATTGTGGTAGATAAGCTTTTTGACTTACTCTCTGGATTTGGTTTGCCTGTATTTTATTGAGAATTCTTGCATCAATGTTCATCAAAGATATTGGCCTGAAGTTTTCTTTTTTTGTTGTATCTCTGCCAGGTTTTGGTATTAGGATAATGTTGGCCTCATAAAGTGAGTCAGGGAGGAGTCCCTCCTTTTCAATTGTTTGGAATAGTTTCAGAAGAAATGGTACCAGCTCCTCTTTGTGCCTCTGATGTAATTCACCTGTAAATCTGCCTAGTCCTGGGCTTTTTTTGGTTGGTAGGCTATTTATTACTGCTTAAATTTCAGAACCTGTTTTTGTTCTATTCAGGGATTCAACTTCTTCCTGGTTCAGTCTTGAGAGGGTGTACATGTGCAGGAATATCCATTTCTTCTAGATTTTCTGGTCTATTTGCATAGAGATATTTATAGTATTCTCTGATGTTTGTTTGTATTCCTATGGGGTCAGTGGTGATATCCCTTCTATCATTTTTTATTGTGTCAATTTGATTCTTCTTTCTTTTCTTCTTTATTAGTCTAGCTAGCAATCTATTTTATTAATATTTTCAAAAAACCAGCTGCTGGATTCACTGATTTTTTTGAAGGGTTTTTGTGTATCTATCTCTTTCAGTTCTGCTCTGATATTGGTTATTTTTTGTCTTCTGCTAACTTTGGGGTTTGTTTGCTCTTGGTTCTCTAGTTCTTTTAATTGTGATGTTAGGGTGTCAATTTGAGATCTTTCTAGCTTTTTGATGTGGGCATTTAGTGCTATAAATTTCCCTTTTAACACTGGTTTACCTGCATCCCAGAGATTATGGTATGTTGTCTCTTTTTTCTCATAGGTTTCAAATAACTTCTTGATTTCTGCCTTAATTTCATTATTTTCCCAAGAGTCATTCAGGAGCAGGTTGTTCAATTTCATGTAGTTGTGTGGTTTAGAGTGGGTTTCTTAATTTTGAGTTCTAATTTGACTGTGCTGTGGTCTGAGAGACTGTTTGCCATTATTTCAGTTCTTTTGCATTTGCTGAGGAGTGTTTTACTTCCAATTACGTGATAGATTTTAGAGTAAGTGCCATGTGGTGCTGAGAATGTATATTCTGTTGTTTTTGTGTGGAGAGTTCTGTAGCTATCTATCAGGTTCACTCGATCCAGAGCTGAGTTCAATTCCTGAATATCTTTCTTAATTTTCTGTCTTGATGATCTAATATTGACAATGAGGTGTTAAAGTCTCCCACTAGTAATATGTGGGAGTCTAAGTCTCTTGGTAGGTCTCTAACAACTTGTTTTATGAATCTATGTGCTCTGGTATCGGGTGCATATATATTTAGGATAGTTAGCCTCTTCTTGTTGAATTGATCCCTTTACCATTATGTAATGCCTTTCTTTGTCTTTTTTTTTTTTATCTTTGTTGGTTTAAAGGCTGTTTTTTCAGAAACTAGGATTGCAAACTCTGCTTTTTTTATGCTTTCCATTTGCTAGGTAATTTTTTTTTCATCCCTGTATTTTGAGTCTATGTGTGTCTTTGCATATGAGATGGGTCTCTTGCATACAGTACACTGATGGGTGTTGACTCTTTATCAAGCTTGCCATTCTGTGTCTTTTAATTGGGGCATTTAGACCATTTCCATTTAAGTTGTTATTGTCTTTTGTGAATTTGATCCTGTCATCATGATGCTAGCTGGTTATTTTGCAGACTTGTTGGTGTAGTTGTTTCATAGTGTCATTGGTGTTTGTACTTCAGTGAGTTTTTGTAGCAGCTAGTAATGATTTTTCCTTTCCATATTTAGTGCTTCCTTCAAGAGCTCTTGCAAGGCAGGGCTGGTGGTGACAAATTCCCTCAGCATTTGCTTGACTGAAAAGAATTATATTTCTCCTTTGCTTATGAAGCTTAGTTTGGCTGGATATGAAATTCTGGGTTGGAAATTCTTTTCTTTAGGACTGTTGAATATTGAATATTGGCCCCAAATCTCTTTTGGCTTATAGAGTTTCTGCTGGGAGGTCCACTGTTAGTCTGATGGGCTTCCCTTTGTATGTGACCTAACCTTTCTCTCTGGCTACCCTTAACATTTTTTCCTGCATTTCAACCTTGGGAAATCTGAAGATTATGTGTCTTGGGGTTGACCTTTTCATGGAGTATCTTACTGGAGCTCTCTGGATTTTCTGAATTTGCATGTTGGCCTGTCTTGCTAGGTTAAGGAAGTTCTCCTGGATGATATTCTAAAGTATGTTTCCCAACTTGGTTCTCTTCTCCCTGTTTCTTTCAGGCACCCCAATCAGTCGTAGGTTCAGTCTTTTTACCTAATTCCATAGTTCTCAGAAGTTTTGTTCATTCTTTTTCCTCCAATCTTGTCTTTCTGTCTTATTTCAGCAAGGTAGTCTTCAAGCTCTGAAATTCTTTCCTCTGCTTGCTCTATTCAGCTATTGATACTTGTGGTTGCATTGTGAAGTTCTTGTGTTGTGTTTTTTGGCTCCATTAGGTCATGTATGTTCCTCTCTAAACTTGTTATTCTGGTTAATGGCTCCTACAATGTTTTATCATGTTCTTAGCTTCTCTGCTTTGGGTTAGAACATGCTCTTTCAGCTCATTGAATTTCATTATTACCTACCTTCTGAAGCCTACTTCTGTCAGTTCATCCATCTCAGCCTCAGCCCAGTTCTGTGCCCTTGCTGGAGAGGTGTTGCAATTATTTGGAGGAGAAGAGGCACTCTGGCTTTTTGAGTTTTCAGCATTTTTTCATTGATTCTTTCTCATCTTCATGAGTTTATCTAGCTTCGATCTTTGAGGCTGCTGACCTTTGGATGGGGTTTTTGTGGAGACTTTTTTGTTGGTGCTGTTGTTGTTGCTTTCTTTTGTTTGTTTGTTTTTCTTTTAAGAGGCCCCTCTTCTGTAGGGTTGCTGCAGTTTGCTGGGGGTCCATCCTGCACCTGGAGGTGTCACTCCCGGAAGCTACAGAACAGCAAAGATGACTGCCTGCTCCTTCCTCTGGGAGCTCTGTCCCAGAGGGGCACCAAACTGATGCTAGCAGGAATGCCCCTGCATAAGGTGTCTGGTGACTTCTGTTGGTGGTGTCTCACCCAGTCAAGAGGCATGGGATCAGGGACTCACTTAATGAAGCACTCTGGCTGCCCCTTGGTAGAGGGGGTGTGCTGCACTGGGGGGAATCTCATTAGTCGGGGACAGCCCGGACCCCTCAGAGCCAACAGAGAGAAAGATTTAAGTCTACTGATTAATGGAGACGGTGGCTGCCCCTCTCCACAGGGGCTTCATCCCAGGGAGATCAGAGTTCTGTCTATAAACCCCTGGCTGGAGTTGCTGAAGTTCCCACAGGGAGGCCCCACCCAGTGAGGAGGGATGGGCCAGGGTCTGGCCTAAAAAGACAGTCTGGCCATGATCTACCACAGCTGTTGGGCTGTGGAGAATTCCTCCTGGGTCCAAACCACCCAATCTCCCTGGCACCGGCAGGGAAAACGACAGACTGGAGCTGCAGTGATGGCTGCTGCACCTCCCCCAGGAGCTCAGTCATCTTAGGCAGCTGGCAGCCACACTGATGATGGCCGCCCCTCCACCCGGGGGCTCGGTAGTCTTAGGCAGTTTCCAGCAAAGTGGCGGCCAAGAATCTACACAGCTCTGGGCTTGGGACCCAAGGCCCGGGTAGCATGGGCTCACGAGGGGATCTGATCCACAGGTTGCACAGATCCGTGGAAAAAGCATAGTTTCCCGGGTGGAGTAACACACTCACTGCCTACCTTGACTGGGGATGGGAGCTCCCCTTGCCCCATGCTGCTCCCTGGTGGGCCATAACTCGCTCTGCTTTTTCTCCGCTGTCCATATGTTGCGCTGTCTAGTCAGTCCCAACGAGAGAACCTCAGTTGCCGGTTTAGGATTAACTTGCCGTTTTCTTTCTTCTCAGTGGGAGCCTCCAACTGCAGGTGTTTCTAGGCAGCCATCTTGCCCCCGCCCCGCCTCGAGTGGTAAGACTTTTTAAAAAGAGATTATGTCTATAAGGTAGATTTGTAAAGGTGGAATTAGTGCATCAGAGTATTAGCCTTCTTAAAACAGACTCTTGACATCTAACTATATCCACAAGTTATTTTTCCCAACATTTACATTATGCAATAAAGAACATAAACAGAAAACTGTATACACATAAGCATAGTTCATTTCTCATTTATTTATTACAAAGCAAATACCAGTTTACATACATTACCATTGCTCCAGACATGCTCTTAATGCACCCTCCCAATCACTATTTCATTCTTTCCTTGCAAAGGAAACCACAATCTTGTTTTTTGGAATTTGCTTCCTTGCTTTTATTTATAGTTTTACCATTGAAGCATATATCCCTAAATACTAGAGTTTGGTTTTGTCTGCTTTTAAAACTTTATATAAATGCAGTCATACCATCTGTGTTTGTCTGAGTTCTCATGTTTGATTTTACGTTTGTAAGATTCATTTTTGTTGCACATAGCTGGCAAATTGCTCATCGGTATTTTGTTTCTGGATCATACACATTCTGTGAAACAAATGCTAACTTGTAGCTCATTCCCCATTACTTTAAATAGAAAATAAAAGTATGCTGTAGCACTCCCATTCCACCTGTTTCTTAAATGGAACTAAAGCAGTAATTATGTATATTACTTATATACACAAGCAATAGATTCTAAAATGCTTACAGTATGGCTTTCTGATCACCAAACAATAAGAGTAGTGGTTAATAAGCAATTGCTTTGCATGCAGTAATACATTGCACTTCCCTTCTTTTGGCAATCTTCAGCTTTTAAAAAAGTCTGTGTAAGGTCTGACATTTTAACAGTTGTATTTGGACTCACTGAATTTGACTACATTGTTTAATATGTTTTAATAAGATTTAGGGATATAAATACAAAACTTTCCCATGTAAACGTCAGCCAAAATAATTTGTGCTGAAAGGTGTATTTTATGAAAGCCGGGTATTAAATATCAAAAGACATTCCACCATAAAACATTAGCCAGTTAGATGCTCTGAGGGCTATGATTGTAGATGACTCATTTTAATTGTATAGTCATTAACTGATTAAATTCCGGTATTGGTATGTTTACAATCATTGGGTGGTTTGTAGGGGCAGTTATTTTACATTGCAGAGATGCAGGTGCTGTTTAATAATGGAGTTAGTTCTTTCTCTACTTTCATTTTCCTTAATCCCCAGAGCCCTTCAGCCTACTTACAAAATAGGAGCCAGTGCATCTTGAGATTTTATTACTTTTGTTCATCTTTGGGTATCTGGGGAGAATTAGCTACATAACTCTAAGGAGGAAAGATGGAACCAGGAACTGCTGCTGTATAGCATTTTGCATAGGTTTTCAGGAGTAAACCTCTATTTGACTGATGGTAGCACAGCAAACATCAACAAATCACATTTCCCAGTGTCGGTAGATTGAAATAAAGCACAAACATGTCCTGTTGGTTCTGTTTTTCTGGGGAACCCTGACTAGTACATTGACCCATGAAGACTAAAGGCTCAAACACAGGAGTTATCTGAGGTTAGTATCTGCATGTCCATGGCAAAAAGCCTCCAACCAATGTCAACAACCACCCAGTAGTTTGATAGGATGCAATATCATTATGCATGAATAAATTTCCCCAATTCATAAACTATTACAGTAACACCAAGATGATTTAAAATAGTTTTCCCTTCCACTTAATGCAATTTTTAAAAGCTTATAATAGACAGTGATTCTTCCTGTAAGGCCAGAGATCTAAGTTACTCTATGGTTTGAAACAGTGGATTATTTTAATGTAGAAGGAATAGCATTTTTTGACAGACTCTGCTAAACTACTTAAGGCTGAAGACTGTCATGTCAGGTAACTTCAACAGATGATCACAATGCCTGACATAGAATCCATGTGTTAAATCTTCCTAAAATGAATAAAAAAAGGTTATGGAGATCTACGGGCAGTGGGGGTTATGAGGCCAATGTTGCTTGATGAACCTTATCTCTAGTAGATGAAGCTACTTCCCAAGCTTGGCTGTCCAAAATGTCAAAAATATGGCCCCTAGGAATGTAAAATTTTACATATTTGGAAGGAATGGGGTGGACTTGGGGTTCTCAATTGCAAAAAAGTTGATATTACATATTTTAAGGAAACTTTCAAGAGTAACTTGGGTTAGGACTGTCTCATATGGAGTTTCCTGCTAATAGATTATGGGGGCCGGTGGGGGCGGTGTAACTCAGGGAATTTAATCTGTGTCTGTGGTCCCTTTGCTATGGTTAATGACCAGCGAACAGCTCTCCAACAATTGTCCTCAATATCCATCAGAGTCTCCCAGAATGGGGTCATTACTTTTCTATTCCCCAATACTTTCTAATTTCCCCATATCAAATATCTAACAATCTATAAGGCAGATATGAAAAGTTATTTACTAAAAGGTCAGATGTACCTCAAAAAGAGCAGTTCAGTGAAGAGGGAACCATGCCTATAACTTATTGCATTCCCCTGTGCTACATAATGCCTTATTGATTTAGGCATTTGAAAGCAGAGTAACCTAAATGGGCTTTCTTTCTCTTTCATCCCTGCTCCTCTTTCTGGGGACTTCTATGTCCAGTCCCCAAATCCTGATACGTTTTCTTTCCTCTGAGAAACTTCTACCATTGTTACAGGAGTTTGCAAACTCCAATGGCTTTGGCTTTGGTCAGGTACTCACGCATATTCTCCTTTGGTCAAACTTGGCTGGTTTTGAAAGAGAAGAGGAAGATCCCAATGGTGTGAGCAAGAGGGGACCCTGCATCAAGCCCTATGCTTTGGGGGACCCTGTTTATCACAAATATACACACAAAATGTAAAATTTTTAAAGAGTGCATGGGTACCTCCATCCATTGATTTCTGGAGCTCAATGCAATTGCAGCGTGACCTATGGCCGTAACCAACTGCCCTCCTGACTAACGCTTCAGGCCCCAGAGAAATGCTTCTCACATTGCTTTCCCACTGTCCTTGAACGAAAGGTGAGTATGTCTTCATGTCATGTGTGGTGTTGATTGTACTGCTGCCAATATTGAAGATGTAAAGTACCTCAGGAAGCAAAAAGGATTTGAATGGCAAAAGTATATAAGTAAGAGAAAAAGACAAATTAACTCATCAAACTCTTCCTCTCAGAGAGCATAAGTGCAACGGCTTCTTGCATCATGAAATATCATTTCCCAGTAGTGCTGAGAGTCCATGTTCTCTTCACGTTTCAATTTGTGGATCTAGAGATACTTACGAAAAAAGCAAAGTACTTTCCACAGTTTGTACATGGTTGCTGAGGTGCGTTTTTCAATATTACATTTCCTATCACTTACATTTTAGATATGTAGGTCTAGATGTAATACTGGTGAAGGGTGATAGCAATTCTTTGCATTGGCAACTCGATGGACAGCGAATGCCAGAATCATGAATGGTTTTGAAATGGGAAAAGTTCCCTTGTCCCCCTCACAGGGCATGTGCTGGGGGTGTGGCTTGCTTCCTCAGTGCCCCGCTGCTCAAAACCCCTAGTGGGAGCAGGTAGACAGGCAGGTTGTGGGGAGCATGAGCTCTGACCCCGCCGCAGCATCTAGGCGTGAATGTTTACAGCTCCTGAAGCCATAGTGGGCATGTTATAGTGTGCTCTTTTAGTTTTGCCGTCTGTAGATGGCTCGTGTCCTTACTGCAAAGACAGAGGGCTTTCTATATTCTGGGGTTCTTGCCTTGGTGTACAGGAAAAATCGGATCATTCGTGGGCTTAGAGAATGAGTGCAAGGCTTTCTTGAGTGGTGGAAGTAGCTCTCAGCAGATGTATGGGGGACCAGAAGGTGTGTGGAGTGGGAAGGTGGTTTTCCCCTGGAGTTGGGCTGCTCAGTGGCTGGACTCTCCTCCGACTACTCCAGCCAAATTCCCCTCGGAGTCTGTGTTGTTCCGCTGATCAATTGCCTGACGGCGTCTGTGTCTGACAGGCGTCGCTGGTGCCCGTTGGTGTGTTCTTCCACTCCTCTGCTCCTCTCCAGCCACGACGTCCAGCCACCTGTGTGCCCTTCTTCTGGTGTGTTCCTCTCAACGTCCAGCTGCTTGTATGCATGCCCAGTAGAGTCTCGGGATTTTTATAGGCACAGGATGGAGGGCATGGCGGGCCAGGGTGGTCTTGGAAAATGCAACACTTGGGCACGAAAACAGGAGTGGCTGTCCTCACGTAGGTCTGTGGGCGCAGGCCCAGGGATGGAGCCCTCGCCAGGGACACCACTCTTCTCCTCCCAGCACTTCCCTGTCCCTGTCCTTTATCAGTTTAATTTTCATAAATATATGTAATAGATTTACACATATTTTTAAAATATTAAATTAGATTTTAGTTTTCTTTACATAATTTTACTTGATATTTTGATACTTAATAGTAATATTTATTTTGCCCTTTCATTTTAATAATATGGAATATATTAGAAGAAAATCATTGTTTTTGGAAATATATATAATTTTAATTTTCTTTTTTATTTTTGGTGAAAATATATCCGCATTTTATATATAGTGAATACCATACATTTTATTTTAAATGTATTAGATCACTTTTGTCAGTAGAACAAAATTATGTAGAAGCTTTCACTCTAACAACATAATTAGTGATTTTTCTGAGTTGTAGGCAAAAAAATTTCATGAAAAATACACAATTTCTTTTATTAGTCATACGAACATCACAGACTCATCAACAGAATATCCAGATCTGCAGAATAGTAATTAAATTGTCTTTTTAAATATTTTGCCAACTTTCATTCATTTAAAAACCGTAGCTTTACATAGCCTCTTCAGTCTTGCTGTTATGAACGTATTTGTAAAAGTAGGAGGATAAAACATACTTCATTTAACAGTTAGGTTGATTTTTAACTTGAAATACTTAGATACATGGCCTTACACACCTGAGAGCTGGCCTCCTCTCAGCTAAGCTTTCGGGTGGCAAGGAGCTGGCTTAGTACTTATAGCCAGATTGTGGAATTCTCCTGTGGACCGTGGACAGTGTCACAGAACACCAATGCCAGACAAGGCTGCCCTGGGACCATGAGGGAGCAAGGCAAAAACAGGACCACTCTGGAATCATGCTCTGAGAACAAGAACATTTTTCAAGATGAGAAGTGACCAAACAAACATCCTCCTCTCCTTGTTACTATGAGAGACTGCTACTTCCTTATCAGTGCAACTTCGCCTCTACTTTCTTATAATTTTTCTAGATAAGAATCATTAAGATTCTCAAATATAAAATTCCACTCACTTCCTGAAAGCACCCAACCCCTCAGCAAAGTCTCACATCCTTAAACTCTCTTCAGAACTACTTACCCTGAGCCCAAATCCTGTAAGGCCTTTCAAGTGCCCTCTTATTGAGAAGATCCATGTCCTTCATGATAAACATTCTTCCTCCTTGCAAGAAATCAATAATTTAATCATGCTACAAGGATGTTCTTGGTGGTCTTTGGCTGAAGGGAATTGCCAATATCCTTGCTCTAGATCCTGCAAATATTAGGGGAGGTTCTGCCTGGAATGTAGATTCTGATTCCAGTTTGGCTTCTCCACCAGCTGGAGTTGTTACTGCTTCCTCACGAGTCACTGAAGGACCAAACACACACCTCTAAGGTCATTATTAATCTCATCTCAGACAGTACAAGAGGAAAGGAAATTCTTTCTGTTAAAATAACTTTAACTCTGCTCCTTTCCTAGTGAAATAATGTTGGTGTTACTTAATTATTCCTGGGAGAATGTAATAAATAATGCACCAATAATATGTTAGCCACTATTATAGTTATTGAGGATATAGCAATAAATAAAAGGACAAAAATCCCTGTGTTCATGGTGCTTATATGCTTTGGAGTGTTAGGACCCTTTCCTGTGTCTGGCTTATATTAAGAGTCTCTATATTAGATGCAAAGGGCTCTGTCTTAGTCATTTGGGATGGTAACTCCAATTGAGTGAAAAGTATTTTGATGAGCAGCCGTCATTGTCCCATCATCCTCCCCTTAGTGCTCCCCCTTACTGAAGATCGGGGAGAGGAGTTAAGTTTCAGACACACAAAGTAGAAGGCTACATTCTCTAAATGTAGATGGATACTTTGTCTTTTATAGTAGTATAGAGTTTGCTATCGGCAACGTGTATTTGTACATAAATAATTTATTAAATTAAAAAATTGCTTTCAAATTAAATATGCCCACTTTAATCTCCAGGATTTGCTGGCACTAAGGAAATCAATTTTTCTTTGTAGTTAGAAAAGATAACCTTAGTATTAGCACCAGTAATGCTATCCCAAAATCTAATATGATAAAATCCAAATGTAATTCAATGTGCCAAATTTGTATTGAATACCTTCTATGGGGAAAAATAGTGTCTTTCTTTTATAAACGTTAAAATGCTTTGCAAACATTAGTGAATATTTTCAAGATAATGTCTAGATCTGAGCTCAATAAACTTGTAGCATACCATACATATAGCTTACTATGTAGATATACATAAAACAACATTTTTAATAATGACTCATATGTGATAGTGTCTGCAATGTGGTTTCTGTTATAGCCCTAGTCCTCATCTGCTAGTAACTTTCTCCAAATTTAACTTTTTGGCTTGAAATTTTCCATGCCTGGTTTAAGCTAAAAGGTATTTTAAAAATTATTTTTTAGTTTCAGGGCAATTCTCGCTATTATATATACCTCTGCTAATTTCAATGTAGGTGAGAGAAGAAAAAAAGAGGAAATATTGGAGTATATGGATATGGTATTTGTATGTTCAACTAGAACCATAAAAAGGCCTTTATAGCCTATACCTAAGGTCATTTCATTCACCTCATTTCCTAAAGTAACTGGAGTATCACACTTGCTGTTATCTGGTATGCTTTGGTTGTTGCAGGAACTAGTCCTCTGCATGGAAACAGAAGATAGAAATATCCTTAGAGATTAGATTCCCATGGCATTGAAAGATGTGTGCTTAACTAATTATTGTGAGGAATTGGACACAATGCCCTGTTTCTGAGGCTCTTGAGATGGGAGTTCAGGCCTCCATCATGTTCTTTTCCTCCATTCCCTGCCCATGGAGCAAATGTAATATTATTTTAGAAAATTAAAGGTGGCTTTCATTGGAAAATATGGATAATTATAGCCTTTTAAGGTGTTTATATTGGAAAAGATGTCTCTCTGGATTTAGTTCTGATAGTCACATTGTCAAACGGGTCTCAGAGGTGTCCTACAGATAATTATTTTTTTCATAGAAAACATAGAAATGTAGTTGTAAGTGCACCCTTCCCTTCTTATCAAAAAGTAAAGAGTGAGAAAGCTGCCCTCATAGAGGTCTTTGGTGGCTGAGGTTTGTTGTTATATAAGCATACATGGCATTCTTGAGGAAAAAACTATTAGGGGGAGGCAGAAACAGGAATTCTTTTTAGGACCATGCAAGATAAAATGAAATAACTTTTATCTTATATTCTCGTGTGTCATAAATCTTCACCTCACACTTAAACTTGATTCCCATCTTAAGTGTCGTTAGAAAGCTATCACTTTGGAAATTCTGTTGTTTGATCTTTACCTAAAAACAAAAACAAAAAACCCATCAAGGTATCTAGAGGACCTTTAAAAAGATCACATATTAAGCATATCCTCTTTCTAAAGGCATATCTATATATGTGCAGATGCATAACTGGTTTGTGCATCTCTTTCTGTAGTTCTCCTGTGTAGACATATACATATACATCCATGTAGATGCACAGTTTCCCACAAGGAACAAAGGGAATCTCATAATGAAAAGCAACATTTTTTATGGGTCCATGCCAAGGTACCGGATCCTTGTTCTTTTCCAGTTGATTTAGCTTAATGATTCTCTGTCAGGCAAAAGCCTTTATGAATTCTGCATCATGTCCTATTCAATTACAGCAGCATGCTTGCCTCGGGTTTGCAAGGTTAAGCTTGAGATGATTTTTCCTCTAAGAATCTCTCCCATATTCAGTGACAAAATGAGATCAGTTACTGCTGGAGGAACATAATTATCAAAAAAGTTTTACTTTTTAGGACTTGTGCTTAAAAAAACTCTGCCTGGACAAGTTTTACCAACTTTGTTTAAAATCCACACCTAGTTTTTCATTTCTTTCCTCAGTTCAGTTACATATATGTCTTAGAACTGTGCTTTGAATTAGTTTTATGCTTAAGCAGACAGAATACATTGTCCACATACATGTTCCCTCTCAGCCTCATTCTTCTACAGAGAAGCATGGACAGAGCTCTGGGTTGGTCTATAAAAGCACTATCTGATAAAACTTTCTGTGATAAAATATTCTATAATCTCTTTTGCATGATATGGTGATCTCTAGCCACTGTGGCTGCTGGGCACTGAAAATGTGGCCAGTGTGACTGAGAAGTTGAATTTTGAAATATAATTTAAGTTTAATTCATTCAAATTTACATAGCTACATATGGCTAGGGGCTACTCTATTTCACACTGAGGTCTATAGGATTAAGCCCATTAAAATTTATTTAAAAATTTTAATTTATATATAATAATTGTACATCTTTATGGGGTATATGTGCTATGTTGATACATGCATACAATGTGTAATGATCAAATAAGGGTAATTGGGATATCCATCATCTCAAATATTTACCATTTATTTGCATTGTGAACATTCAAAATCCTGTCTTCTAGCTATGTTGAAATATACAATACATTATTATTAACTGTAGTCACCTTAAAACCCTATAGAACATGAAAACTTATTCCTTTTATCTAACTATAATTTTATACCCATTAACCAGTCTCTCTCTAGCTCTACCCTCTCAGGCTCTGGTAACTATTATATTACTCTACTCTCTATTTCTATGTGATCAACTCTTTCAGCTTCCACATATGAGTGAGAACATGTGGCATTTGTCTTTCTGTGCTTGACATATTTCCCTACATAATGTCCTCCAGTTTCATCCATGTTTCTGTGAATGACAGAATTTTTTTCTGTTTTATGGCTAAATTATATTTCATTATGTATATATACCACATTTTCTTTATCCATTCATTTGTTGATGGACACTTAGGATGATTCCATATCTTGGCTATTGTGAATAGAGCTGCAATACACATGGGAGTGCAGAGATCTCTTTGACTTATTGATTTCCTTTACTTTTGACATATGCCAGTAGTGGGATTTCTGGGTCATATAGCAGTTCTCCTTGTAGTTTCTTGAGGAAACTCCATACAGTTTTACATAGTTTCTGCACTAATATACATTAACAGTGTAGGAGTGTTTCCCTTTCTGCACATCTTCATTATTTTTTTGTTGCTGTCTTTTTGATAATAGCTATTTTAACTTGGGTGAGATTATATCTCATTGTGGTTTTTATTTTCATTTTCCTGATGGTTAGTTATGTTGAGCATATTTTCATATACATGCTGCCCATTTGTATGTCTTCTTTAGAGAAATGTCTATTCAGATCATTGTCTCATTTAAAAAATCACTTTTTTTTTTTTTGCTGTTGAGTTGTTTGAGTTTCTTATATAGTCTGATCATCACATCTCCCCTGCTAGGTAAGGATGATTTCTTTATATTAGTATATTCTGGATATTAATCCTTTGCTGGATGTATAGATTGCAAATATTTTCTCCCATTATGTAGATTGTCTCTTTCCTCTATTGATAGTTTCCTTTGCTGTCCAGAAGCATTTGAATTCAATATACTCCCATTTGTCTCTTTTTGCCTTTGTTGTGTGTGCTTTTGAGGACATACTAAAAAAAAAATCTCTTCCCAGACCAATTGTGAAGCATTTCCCATTTTCTTCTAGTAGTGTTATAGTTCCAGATCTTAGATTTAAATATTTAATCCATTTTAAGTTGATTTTTGTATATGGTGAAAGATAGGGGTCTAGTTCCATTCTTCTGCATATGGATATCCAGTTTTCCCAGCACTGCTGAGTGAAGAGACTGTTCTTTCTCCAACATATGTTCTTGGCTCCTTTGTTGAAAATCAGTTAGCAGTAAATGTGTGGATTTATTTCTTCATTTTCTATTCTGTTCCATTGGTCTATGTGTCTACTTTTATACCAGCACCATGCTGATTTGATTACTATAGCTTTGTAGTATATTTTGAAGTCATGTAGTGTGATGCCTCCAGCTTTATTCTTTTTGCTTAGGATTGCTTGGCTATTCAAGTTCTGTACAAATTTTAGGATTTGTTTCTATTTCTGTGAAGAGCATCATTGGTGTTTTAATAGTAATTGCATTGAATCTGTAGATTGCTTTGGGTGGTATGGATATTTTAGCAATATTAATTGTTGCAATCTATGAACATAGGATTTTAAAAAAAATTTTTGGTGTCCTCTTCAATTTTTTTCATCAATGTTTTACAGTTTTCATTGTGGAAATCTTTCACCTCTTTGGTTACATTTATTCCTAAGCATTTTATTTATTTTATAGCTACCATAAATGGGATTGCTTTCTCGATTTCTTTTTCAGATTGTTCACTACTGGCATGTAAAACTGCTACTGATTTTGTATGCTGATTTTGTATCCTGCAACTTTACTGAATTCATTTATAAGTTCTAGTAGTTTTTTGGTGGACTCTTTGGGCTTTTCTAAATATAAGATTATGTCATCCGGAAACAGCAGCAATTTGACTTCCTTTCCAATTTGAATGACTTTTTTTTTTTTTTCTCTTGCCTAATTGCTCTGACTAGGACTTCAAGAACTATATTGAATAAAAGTGGTGAAAGTGGGCAGCCTTATTTGTTCCACATCTTAGCAGAAGGGCTTTCAGCTTTTCACAATTTAGTATCATGTTAGTTGTGGGCCTGTCATATATAGCCTTTATTGTTTTGAAGTATGTTCCTTCTATGCCTAATTTGTTGATAGTTTTTGTCATGAAGAGATGTTGACTTTTTAACAAATACATTTCTGCATCTACTGTGGTTCTCATATGGTTTTTGTCCTTTACTCTGTTGATGAGATCTATGTTTATTAATTTGTATATGTTAAACCACCCCCACATTCCTACGATAAATCCTCCTTGACCTTATCATGGTTTATCATCCTTTTGATGTGCTGTTGGATCCACTTTGCTAGGATTTTGTTGAGGATTTTTGCATCTATGTTTATCATGAATATTGGCCTATAGTTTTCTTTTTTTGTTGTGTTTTTGTCTTCTTTTGATATTATGGTAATGTTGGCCTTGTAGTATAAGTTAGAATAAATTCTCTCCCCTTCAATTTTTTTTGGAATAGTTTGAGAAGAATTGGTACTAGTTCTTCATTAAGGGAAGTTTGGTAGAATTCAGCGTGAAACTAGCTGTTCCTGGGCTTTTCATTGTTGTGAGATTTTTTTTATTCCTGATTCAATCTTGTTACTTTTTATTGCTCTGGTCAGGTTTTCTATTTTTTTACGATTCAGTCTTGGTATGTCATATGTGTCCAGGAATTTATCTCTTTCTTCTAGGTTTTTCAATTTGTTGGCTATAGTTATTTATAATGGTCTCTAGTGATCTTTTGTATTTCTGTGGTATCAGCTGTAATATCTCCTTTTTCGTCTCTGATTTTATTTATTGGGTCTTCTCTCTTTTTTCTTTAGATAAAGCCTTCTTGATTTTGTTTATGTTTTCAAGAAACCAACTTTTCATTTTGTTGATTTGTTTATTCTTTGCCTCCATTTTATTTATTTCTGCTCCAATCTTTGTTATTTTTTTCTATCTACTGATTTTGGATTTGATTTATTCTTGCTTTTTTAGTTCCTTGAGGTACATTATTAGATTTTTTATTTAAAATATTTCTACTTTTTTGACATAGATGTTTATTGCTATAAACATTCCTCTTAGTACTGCTTTTGCTGTATCCCATACGTTGTGGTATCTTATGTTTACATTTTTATTTGCTTCAAAGCATTTTTAAATTTACGTCTTAATTTTTCCATTGACTCAGTGGTCATTGAGGAGCATGTTGTCTGTGTGTCCTTACAGGTGAGGTGAGTCTCTTGTAGGCAGAATATAGTTAAGTCTTGGTCTTAAAAAATCAATTCAGCCATTCTATATCTTTTAATTAGAGAATTTAACCCATTTATATTCAAGGTTATTATTGATAGGTGTAGACTTACTCCTACTATTTTGTTAATTGTTGTCTAGTTGTTCTATAGATCTTTCATTTTCTTCTTCCTCTCTTGCTTTCTTCCTTTGTGGTTTGATGGTCTTTCTGTAGTGGTAGTAGGCTTTGATTCTTTTCTTCCTATATTTTGTATATCTTTTATAGGCTTTTGCTTTATGGCTACCTGAGGCTTGCATAAAACAGCTTACACTTATAACATATCAACTTAAGGTGAAAACAGTTTAGAATTTAACTCTAAAAATTGCACTGAGATTTTGGCAAAATGCTACCATTCTTAAAATGTATTTATTTAGTTTTGAGACGGAGTTTTGCTCTTTTTGCCCAGACTGGAGTGCAATGGCATGATCTCAGCTCACCACAACCTTTGCCTCCTGGGTTCAAGCGATTCTCCTGCCTTAGCCTCACAAGCAGCTGGGATTACAGGCATGTGCCACTACGCCTGTCTAATTTTTTTGTATTTTTAGTAGGGATGGGTTTTCTCCATGTTGGTCAGGCTGGCCTTGAACTCCTGACCTCAGGTGTTCCACTCGCCTCAGCCTCCCAAAGTGCTGGGATTACAGGCATGAGCCACTGTGCCCAGCGCACTCTTGCTATTAATTACTATAACAAACTATCCCAAACTTAATGGCTTAAAATAGCAATTTATTGTTATTATTCATGATTCTGTGGGTTGAATGTACTTAGCTAGCTGAGCAGTTTTCACCTAGGCTCCCTCATGTGGTTGCAGTCACATGTCAAATGAGGATGGCATCATCTGATAGGTCATTTGAACTGATATCCAAATAGTTTTTTATTCCATGTCATGTGCATGGGCTGGTTTGACTGGAACAGCTAGGGGTTAGCCAGGTACCTCTCTCTTCAGTGAGCATCTACACATGACTAGCTTGAGGTTTCTCACAGCATGGCAATCTCAGGAAGCTGAAATTCTTCTATGGTGTTTGGCATCCCCTAGAGTGAGTGTTTGAGGAGACAGGAAGTAGAAGTTTCCATGTCCTTTAGACATGAAGACTAGCCCAGTGTCACTCCTTCTATGATCTATTGATTCATGCATTTAGCCTGCATAGATTTAAAAGAAAGTGGAATGGATGGGAAGAAAGCCAGAAGATTTGTGGCTATTTTTTGTTTTCCACAGCTACTCTGTAGAGTGACACATTCTGCTAATTGCAATCAGTGAAAATGTAAAAACAAATGCCTATACCTGACCAATAATTTCAATTTTCTGTCTTGAGACCAAGAAATTACAAGAAAAAATAATGCTTTTGGTTTTGTCTAAACTGTAGTGGGGAATTTCAACTTGAGGAGGAACTTAACCTAGGATTGATTTTTATTAGAGGAGCGAATACCGTGTGATGTGGTTATTTTCATGGTTCTTAAGTGATTGAGAACATTAAATTCTGGCTAGAAGTTCTCTCCATACTGCATGCGTATAAGTGCTGCTTTATTTCTGAATATGTAATGATTGTTTAGATTTCTTATTTAGTTAGGGAAGCTTAAGTGATTGGGTTTTTTTTAAATTAAGCTTTTTTTGATACTGTAACATTCAGCATCATGCTGATTTTTTCTTACAGAAATAATTAATAATCCCATGTTAACAAAAACTCATCAGTTTCTATAAGCAGTGCATAAGCTGGGTGTATCTGCATTTTTCATGTTGCTGTGCAGATAAGTGTGCTCATCTATTTGTGCTTCATTATACATTCAAAATATTTTTTCAGTTTGACATCAACGTTCTTCAACTTTCAAGCATCTGTATAGATTTCCTGTTGTCAGCCAGCTTCCACCTGTCTTGTCCAAGAGAATTATGTACAGGTGAACATTGCTTCTACCCTTAAAGGTTGACTGAATTACAGGACTGCTGTTCATAATTTTGTCTTGCCATTTGAAGTTAATCAATAACGTTCACAGAATACCATGAGATGGCCTGAGTCTAGGTCTCTGCATTATATGCAGGGTTAGCTCTTTCATCAAATGGAAGGTCTTCACTTATCTTGGGATTGGTCCTATATCCAGCTGCCACACTGTCAAATGGCTTCCCAAAGAAGCTTTTTGGATTGTTTTGATTTTTTTTTTGTACTTTGTTTCTTAGATCTTTATAACAGAGAGTGTTTTTTAGATAATCAAATTCAATAAGGCTTTAAGACCTATTTTGCAGGAGGAAATCTGGCTGTGTAGGGCTTTCTTGGTGTACACTGATCAAAGGAATGCTTTTCTTATCACTGTTTGGGGAACAGATTAAGCGGTGGCTGGTGCCCTGCTGATTCTTTGTTCCGTGGACTCCTTTCCTCTCTGCTGCTGTCATCTCTGTTCAGATCCCACAGTAAGTAACATAATCCCGTTCCTTTAGGCCTTGCCTTCATCTGCTTTAGTTCCATTTCCTCGGGCAGCTGCAGCTGAGACTCTGGCCTTTTTATTATCAGTAGCCATGGTGGCTGGTACCCAGCAAGGCTGTTTTAGCACAGAGAATGAGATGAATAATGGCTGTGGTTTCAGGGTTGGAGATGTTTGGCAGAACTGAGAAATCAGTGCCTGGGAACTGAAATGCAATTTGTTGTTCCCACACTTCAGAGGATTGCATCGTTTCTCCATCCTCACAGCTACTGTCTAGCCCAAACCATCAGCAACTCATCCACTCTTCCTCCTCTTCAGTACATTTTCCATCTATTGCCAGAGTGATGGTCTGAAGATGTGTACCTGATCAAGTCACTCCCCTATTCCCGTTGCTTCCCATTGATCTCAGCGTAAAGTCCAGTACCCTTACTGTGATCAGAACAGTGTCCACTTGTCAGACTGTTAACCTGAAACAACTTTGTAACAGATTTCATTTTTACTGATTTATCATACCCTGTGCCTTTATTTTCAATGCTTGCAATAAAGTGTGATCTGCGAAACACAACTTGTAAATTCACAGTGGTGAAAGTGCCTTAGATATTTGTAGTTACTCTTAATGCCCAGGTACAAAGAAGATCATAAGTCAAAAGTAACAAAGAGAAAAGAACTCTTCTTTTGTAGCAAGCCTTGATTCTCATTTCATATTGCTGGCCTTTGCTTCATGCATATGGTGTCTGGCCAACACCAGCTTTACATGAAAGGACTTCATCAGCTTTTAACAACCATATGGTAAAACCATCTACACATATTTCTTCTGATACCTTCAGGCACTGCTAAGCAGCTGGTATTAATGAATAAGAATGGCCAGTGAAATTATGGTATATTGTTGCTAGGAAGGAACAGTTTATAGCCAGGAGAATTACAGATTACTAGGCAAGAACACACAGGAATAGAAGGGATATGTGATTTCTGCATTTCATCTAGATGTGGCCACCTGTACTGCTTAAGGCAATACAATGCTTGGCTGATTAGCAAGGATTAATTCTATTCCTACTGATGGTGGTCCCAGGAGATGGAACCAATAGTTTCAATACCTATCAAAAGTGTTTCAGGGCCAATATCGCTAGCTGAAGCCACTGGTGGATCTATGAAAAGAGGTCCTGGTTAAGCAACAATAACAGCAACATTTTGTAATGTTGTCTTCTGGATTTTTCATCTTTGCTTGCATAAAACATTTATTTCCTCCCACTACATATGTTAAAATTTTTATTATGTCAAGACACAATGTCTATTATAAACTTTTAAGAGACTCAATTTCTACCATAACCAAGATGTAGAAATTTCTTCCTATCTACATGCGATTATTTTCAGCTTTATGTAAGCTTCGATGCAAAACTCAGTCTTTTTACTAGGTTTCACACAAAGAAATCCAAGCATATTTTTTGATAGTTTTCTTATTATAATTTGCATTTCACTTTGATGCATCCCTATTACAATAGCTTGAGTATTTGTTTCCTTCAGAGCCCTGGCCTCCAGCATCATCTTTTCCCTTATCCTTTGCCCAGTGCTAGCATTTTTTTTTTGACGCCTCTTTTTCTTCTCCACATTATTCATAGTAGGTTCCCTTTTTATCTGGAAACCTGACTGACTTTGATCAATAGGCTTAAGAAAAAGGTTTTACAGTGAAGTTTGTTGACCAAAATAGATACAATAAATTTTCTCTGATCCTTACACTGCAGTATGTTGGAAGTGGCCTTTTCCTTTTTCTAGTCTCTCTCTTTTTTTCTTACTTTCTGTTTGATGCCAATTTATTTTTATCAATTATTTGGCTCAAATGACCTGTTTTCATGTTTCAAAAAAAAATTTCCCTAAAGGGAATTTGAGTGCGAACTTCTATTTCTTAATAAAGTGCTTTTTGTATAGTCGGCCAAAATTATAGTATAAAGCAAGAATATTGAAAGTACTTAAGCTGATTCTACACAAATGTGGGAGTGAGAGTGTTCCCCCTAATCCCCTGTGCAGCTGTCAAGAGTTTCACCTACTCCTTTGGAACTTAGACTGTTCTAGGATATTTCAAAGGGATTATTCAAAAAGAAGGGGAAGACAGAGGCCAGACACATTCTCAGAGTTTGGACAGATTATAATTCCACTGGGCAGCTTTCAAGCTAAGTCCTAAGTGCTGCTGCAGGGAATTTCTTATCAGATATGGATGGAAAAGACAGTTATCTTGGGTTTCAAATGGATGCTATGAAAAGTGCTTTAAATCTTTTATAATTTATTATTATCATTATTATAAAATATAATATTTTTTGACACATAGCCAAGCCAGAATCAAAAGAAATCCACAAAGGGGCGTGTGGGAGTTGAAATTAAATTGGATGATGGAGTTATAGGAAGTAGATAAAGGTTTAAATGGCTGGGGCCTGGGATTTTGACATCTGCAGTGGAAGAGAAGTTTAGGTTGAAGGTCCTATAGGAATGAGAGCTAGAGTCGAGTATCCTAAATATATAATAGTGATAGCTGACAATTAACGAGTACTGTTATGGTTTGAAAGTGTGTGTCCTACCAGATTTATATGTCAAAACCTAATCACCAATGGGATAGTACTAGGAGATGGGGCCATTGAGAGGTGATTAGGTCATGAGGATGGAGCCCTCATGAATGGGCTTAGTGTCCTTATAAAAGAGGCCCTACTGAGCCGCCTTATCTCTTCCACCATGTGAAGACACAGGAGAAGGTGTCATCTAAGAACCAGGAAACAGCCCTTCACCAGACACCAAACCTAAAGGTGCCTTCATCTTAGACTTCCTTGCCTGCAGAACTGTGAGAAATTGCTGTTGTTTTATAAGCTATGGTATTTTGTTATGGCAGCCCGAATGGTCTAAAGTAAATACTATGTACCAGGAAATATGTGACGCATTGTAGCCTTTTAAAACTCTTAATGCTTCTGATAATCCTATGAAGTACATACCATTGTTATCTTAAAGCCATTAGTCATGAAAAAATAACTTGGGAAACAATTTCCACAGGAGTGTTAAATGTTACACTAGCCACGGTTGAAGAAAGGAGGAATAAATCACAAGATTTATCTGAGAATATTACACAACAGAAATACACATAGAAAATAAAAATGAAAGAATGTAGAAGAAAAAATATATAACACAAGAAACAAATTAAGAGACATGGAAAGAAAACAGAGAGTTTAATATGCATATAGTAAGGGGTCTAAAATTAGAGAAGGGAGAAATAAGAGGGAGAAAACATTGAAAGGGATAATAGGGAGTTTTGGTTGGCTCTGGGACAATGATGACCACTTAAATCTAGACCTCTCCAAAAACTCTCCCTCAAATCCTAAAATAAAAAATGAACCCAAAGGAGCCACACGTGATGTATGCCTACAGCCTTAGTAGGAAACAGAGAATCTTACAAATTCCAAATTACCTGTAAGTAGAGAAATAAATACAAATTCAAACGGAGTTACAGTTGCAGTTCCCACTGCTACAGCTGTCTATGGGTGCCCATGGTGGGAGAGAGGAACACGGAGGCCGTAGGTGTAGCATAGGTTTAAAAAAAAAAAAAAGCTACCATACAAAAAAGTCCTAACTATTAAATTGAGGTCTGGGACTTAGTTCACAGCACCAGCTACAAAGGGGAGTCTGGAATGTGAGTGAAACTGGAGGTAGCGGGCTGAGAGAAGCATTTCTTCTAAGGGAAAAGCAAGTACATAGAAAAAGAGATTTTCCTTTGGAGAAGTAACATGGAAGGAAAAGAAGGCAGTAAGGGGAAAATTAAGAATAACACAGAAATGAAAAGAAAAATAAGACATACCAGCTCTTCCCTTCCACCTGATAAAAGAAAAACTTCAGCCTAATTAAATTTAAAGGAGTTTAATTGAGCAACAAACGACCTGCTAATTGGGCAGCCATCTGAGCCAGAGTAGGCTCAAAGACTCCAGCACAGCACGTGGTGGAAGAAGAGTTATGGACAGAAAAAGGAAGTGATGTACAGAAAAGGAAAGTGAGGTAGAGAAACAGCCAGATTGGTTACAGCTTGATGTTTGCCTTATTTGAACACGGTTTGAACAGTTGACTAGATTTGGCCAAAACTCAATGATTGGCACAAGTGTAGGCTATGGTCTGTTTACACCTCCACTTGTTATAGTTCATGATGTACAGAAAAACCTTTAGGCAGAACTTAAAATATGTAAGGAGGCAGCTTTAGGCTAAACTTGGTTTAACACTCCCAACAACTAATATTATTCATTATAGAAACTGCGATGCACTGTTATGATGGAAGAGGGTGATATTGAACTAGAAATTCTTATGTCTAACACAGAAAAATCAGACTAACTCCATAAATGGTACTATAAATAGAAAATGAAAATAAAGTACTTCAGCTGATGAAAATTCTCACCAAAGAATCAATCAGTAAGCTGAATCATACTCTACAGTGAATTTAATATAATCGGGTAAATATTTGGAGCTATTATAAAAACACACAGCATAAAAACTCAATAAGAACAGAAATTGTTTTAAAAAATAAGAAATGTAATGAGGGTTGATTGAAATTGGGAAATAAATTAAGGGGTAAAAACAATCTCAGAAATGAAGATTAAATAGCAAGGTACCCAATGGGGAGTAGACTCAGATGATAATTCAATAAGAAGCATTTTAAGAAGACAGAAAAACAGCTAAGAGAAAATGATATAAAAAAGAAAGTAAAGGGTGATTAAATTAAAAAGACAATGAAAATCCAAATTAAGTATAATTGGAGTTGCTGAAAAACTAAAATGAAATAACAATGAAACAGAACTAATATTTAAAGCTGTAATCCAAGAAAACTTTATAAAAATGAGGGCAAACTTAAATCTAAATATTGAAAGGGCCTGTGGTGAACCTGGGAAAACTGATTTGAAATAGTAAACTCTAGTAAAGTTACTAAATTCTAAAGACTAATTCAAGAGCCTCAGGTCCAAATTACTAAAAAATTAAATTGGTATCAGATTTATCAAAATAAGGTAACAGTTGAGCAGCACTTTGGAGAACTCAAGAAGAATGAGAGATAAGTGTTTTTATATTCAGCCAAGTTATGTCTTAAGTGCTGTATGGGTTTCTTAGGGATACATTAACAACTTATTATAAACTTGGTGGTTTAAAACAGAAATGTATTCTCTTACAGTTCTGGAAGCTAGAAGTCTGAATCAAGCTGTTGGCATGGCCATGTGCCCTCTGAAGCCTCTAGGGAAGAATATTCCATGCCTCTTCCTAGCTTCTGGTGGCTTCTGGCAGTCCTTGGCATTTCTTGGCTTGTGGCTGTATCATTTCAATCTCTGTCTTTGTCTGCACATGGCCTTTCTCTGTATATCTCTCTATGTGTCTATGCCTAAATCTACCTCTCTTTTTGCTTATAAAGACACCAATCATTGGATTTAGAGCTCATTCTAAGTCTGGGATGATTTCATCTGGAGATCCTTGACTAATTACATGTGCAAAGACCCTGTTCCCAAATTGGGTTATGTTCACAGGCATGAGAAATTACAGCTTGAACATATCTTCTTGGTGGTCACAATTCAACCCACTACAAGTGCCAAAGCAAATATATATATATATATATATATATATATATATATATATTTAAAAATCACAAGAACTCAGAAAATACTAACAAGCTATTTCCAAGGAATCTAGCTTTATTTAACAGATAAATGACATTTAAGAAATCTAACTGCATTTAACTGAGCTTCATTTAACAGAGAAATGACAGGAAAAGCTTGGGCAAGAGAACTAATGTTGAATATTTAATAAATTTAGTTGTATACCTAAGACTAAAGGAGGCTGGTGACATGGGTGAAAGGGTGGTATGTCAACATTATATAGTCTTAAGAAGGAGAAAGAATGCAACTAAAAATGGGAAGAGTGGGGAATGAGAAAGGGAAAGTGGAGTAAGGTCATTGACTGCTCTGTAGATAATAGGTAGGAGTCAAGGGATACCATTTTATAAGTTGATAAACTGATGATAAGAAAAAGTAAGAGGGAATTAGAGCATACGTCCAAAGAGGACCAGTAGAACAAAAAATTAAATCATCCTAAACATCAAGAAATTGAGAATAAATATTAAGAAAAATGCAAACAAGACATGCCATATAGAAGATACACAATCTTACATAAACTTTGCAGTAACTGTAACATAAAGTAATATGATTGTATTTAGATCAACTGTGTCAATAAATGTAAATAGGCTTAAATTGCCCATAAAAAGAAAAAAGCTTTCTTATTGTCTCATATAGCAACCCTAACTCTATGCTGATTAAAAAAGAAATACGTAAAGCAATGGGAGTTAAAAAAGCTAAAAATACAATGATGGGCAAATTTATACTGGGCTGATATAAACCTATTATCAGACAAAACAGATTTCATGGCAAAAATAGTTAATCAGATAAAAAAGAACACTTTATAATACTACAAGCCACAGTTTACAGCTAAAAAATAATAGTTATGAATACCTATGTTTTAAACAGCACAATTATCAGTATTATAAAGCAGAAACTACAAAAGATAAAAAGGAGAATACATAGAAACATAATAATAATAAGAGACTAGAAATCACCACCCACAATACCAACTAGATGAAGTAGACAAAGGAAAAGGTAAGGATATAGAAGAGCCAAAGAACATAGAAATTTTAAAGGAGTTCAAAACCAAAAACAATCTTTCATGTGGATATTAAAAAGCCTTTTTAAAAAAACAAATCTTGAGTGAAAGAGGAAATGCAAACATAACTTACAGATTTCTGAAAAATAATGATGAAACACTACATAACCACACCTGTGAGACATATTTAGAGCAGAGATCAGACGGAACAATTATGAAGAATAACCCCAAACACCTATATCAATAAAAATGAAAGAATAAAAATAAACACATTAAATCCTAAGTAAATAAAGCCAGAAACAGAACAATAAAGCAAACCAAAAGGAAGCATCAGGCAGGATATAATAAATTCTAAACAATATTTAATGAGGCAGAAAACAGAGAAATAGCAGGGTAAATTAATAAATAAAAATACTGATTCTTTAAAAAAATCATAAAAATACAATAACCAATAGCTAAAATAATCAAGGAAAAATATACAGATATACAAATTAAGAAATGACAAAAGGAAAATAATTATTAATAAAGAGGAAACATATATCATAACTGAATAATTTGCCTATCTCTATGCAAATAAACTTAAAATCAAATTTACCAAAATTGATCCTAGTAGAAAGAGAAAGTTTCAATAGACTAATGTTCTTAGAAGAAATAGAGAGACTTATCAGGGAACTAACACACAAGAAAATACCAACCCTAGAAGTTTTCACAGGGGAAATGTAGCCAAATCCTAAATATTAGGTAAATTGATGAGATATAACTTGTTTTAGAGCAATGAAAATGAAGAAAATAAGGAACACCATCCAAATTCTTTAAATAAAGTGAATTAAACATTTATCTCTAAGTTTGATAAAATAGTGGTACTAAAACACTCATGAATATTGATGTAACATTTTTAAATAAAATATTAATGAACAGAATCAATTATCGTATTAACAACACAATAAACTATGACCAAATGTGATGTATATAAAGAACGAAAAGATGATTTCACATTAAAAATTTTATTAATATGATTCACCATATAATAGGTCTCACGACAAAAAAAATCATATGAATATTCCCATAGATGCTGAAAAAAGCCTTTGACAAAGTTTCATTCTAACAAAAACACTTAGGAAAAACAGAGATAAATGGATATTTTCTTGACATAATAAAATAACATATACTTGAATCCTACAGGGACCCGGAGCAAGATGCGTTAAGTCCACCATCTCCAATATTATTTAATATTGTGTTGGAAGTATAAGCCAATGTGATTAAAGAAAGAAAAACAATTGGAGACAATAAGTATTAAAAAAAAAGAATCAACTAGTTGCAGACAGTAACTTAAAAATATGCTAGAGAATCAATAATAAAACTAACTCAAGCATTAAAAGATTTTAACAAGGGAGCAGAATATAAAATTAACAGGCTAAAATAAATAGCATATATAAATATATATAAAATATATAAAAATATATATATAAATATATATAAAATATATATATAAATATATAAAAATATATATAAAATATATATATAAATATAAATAAATACATATAAATATATATAAATACATATAAATATATATAAATATATATAAATATATATAAATATATATAAATATATATATAAATATATATATAAATATATATATAAATATATATATATAACAATTTGGGAGTTATAATGAAAGAAAAACTCCATTTAAGATAGCCTTAAAGAAATAAGTAAACAAAATGCTTAGCACAGCTTAAAAAATGTGCAAAATCTATATGAGAATCATAAAGTGTTCCTAAATAACACAAATGGAAACCATTCTTTTTCTTTGATAAAGCATCCAATTTCATTCTCTTTAAGTGATACGTACATTTGTGATCCCAACAAACATACCAACAAGCTTTCTACCTGAAGGAAATCAAGCTGATACTGAAGTTTATACAGAAGGAGAAACACATAAGAAGAGCTAAGAAAACACTGAGAAGGAGGCACTATGGGTTGGTGGGGTAGGGGAGGACTAAAATGTCTCTCTATAAAAAAGGTTTTTGATATTAATAATAAAGCTAATCAATAATTAAAATAATAAGGTGTTGGTGCTTGAAAACTAAGACCAATGGAATAGAATAGAAAATTCAAACTACACTCGGGCAAAGATGAATTTTGAAAAATAAATGGTGCTAGTAAAACCAAATAATCATTTGGAACAAAAAAATGAGAACTATTCCTCATACCAACTACAAGAATAAACTTCAAATGGATCAGAGATCTAAATGCGAAAATTAAACTCAAAGAAAACATTGGCGAATTCCTCCATAATCCATATATAAGAAAAGCCTTCTAAATATGACTTAAAATACTGATGCATTAAAAGACTGAAAAATTTGCCTACATTAAAAAAATTTTATAAGAAATAACACCATTAGCAAAGTTAAAAGATAAATGACAAGTTGTGAAAAAAATGTCTCAACGTGTATCACAAAGTACTGACACTGACATCCCTAATATATATAAAAATATTAATAATTAAGGAAAGAAGACCAAAAATTCAATTGAAAAATGGGCAAGATATATGAACTGACAACACAAAAGTAATATAAAATGGCTCTCAAACATATGAAAATGCATTCAACTTTTCTCATAATAAGAAAAATGCAAATCAAAACTATACTGAGATAACATTTCTTAGGTTGGCAAAAATTTAAAAATATTACAACACATTCTGTTGGCAAGGCTATGAGGAAACAACTCATCTTCTCCACTGCAGATGGGAATACAAAAATGGAAGATCCTCTATGGAGGGGAATTTGTCAATATATAATATAATTACATATGTATTTACTCTTTGACCTAGCAACCCCATTTTTAGAAATTTACTCTAAAATTAACCAAAATATAAACAATGTATGCATAGAATTATTCTTTTCAGCATTATTTGTAACTGCAGGATGCTGCAAACAACCTAAATGCCCATACATTAGAGATTAATTGGCTAAATTATGGCACATTTACATGATGGAGTACTATGTAGCTACAAAAAATGATAAGGATTCTGAGTTAAGATTCTACTATGAACTTACATGGAGTAATGTTTAGACTATATTGTTAAACAAAAAATTAAAGCACACACACATACACCCAAATTTTTTGTTTAAGAAAATGGGGAAGTAAAAAAATACATGCATCTATTTATACATGCAAAAAGAAATATAGGAGAAATAAGAGAGGAATTAATAAAATAGCTCATATAAGGGGTTAAGGGGACCACAGATAATAGGTCAATAAAATGAAATTTAGTAAATATATAGAAAATTTTAATGATACAATTAATAAGCTTGATTTAGAGAGCATTTAGATACCACTGAGCTGAAAAATTAGAAAACACTTTTTTTCTAAGTACAACATGAACATACATAAAATTTGCTCAACTATTTGATTTCATAGAATATGGTTATATTCTTTGTCCAAAATAACCTTAGATTATAAATCAACAACAAAATATATTTAACCAATTCTGATACATTTAGAATACAGAAAACGTAACAGTAAGAGTTGAAGATGAAATCAAAATTAGAATTTTGAAATATTTGTAATAGATGGCAATACAACTACTGCATGTTGAAATTAGCAAGATACAGCTATAGCAGCACTCAGAGGGAGATTTATAGCCTAAGATGCATTTCTTTAAAAAATTAACATAGACATATTAAACATTTAGCTCAAAAAACTAGGAAAAAAAAACACAGAAGAAACACAAAAATGGTAGAAGAAAAAAAAGAATGAAGATGACATAAGAAGTAAGCTTGCTTGCAAGCAAACTAAAAATCAACAGAGATGATCATCAAAACCAAAATCTGGTTATTTGAAAAAACTTAGTAACATAGTTCTGTAAAGATTGACCATGAAAAATAAACAGAAGGAATAAATCAGTCATATTAATGACACCACAAACAAAAGTGCTGTAACTATCATACAGGAAGGAATGACAATGTTCAGGAGCGGAGGCCATGTTCAGCATTCACTCAAGTGGAGCCCAGATGCTGCCTGCTTTCATGATGGGTTCTGCATTTCTCTCTGTGTGTCCTTTTAGGTTCAGCCTTTTAGCCTGGCCACTCCCTTCACCCTTTACATGTCTTCCACTTCCATCCCCACACCCTTAAAAACCTTACCTGTTTAAGCTCCTAATTTTTAACACTTTTTATTTTTATTTTTTGGTTCTCCTAAATTCATTGTTTTTGAAATACAAACAATTTCATTGTTTTTGAAATTCAAAGTAGATCCTCCCTTTGAATCTCTTCTGCTGTGTCTTAGCCTGTCACTTTGCAATAGGCACAGGAGAGTATTGCTTCAGAATGTGATGTGGGAAGGGAAAAAGTAAATTTCTCTAAGAGAAAAAACATTAACGAAGAGCTGAAAATCTTCTTTTCCACATATGTTTGTTCATGTAGGTAATTTGTTAATGATAATACAATAGCCATCCTAGGAGCTGAATTTCAGCCATGGCTGGAAGGAAAACTATTAAGCTTACCTCCTATTTTAGAATAACATTTCTTTTTTAAAATTGTACATTTGGGTGGTTAGCTTAAACTAGAAACTATAAATGTGGAATATACTAGACCTTTGGCAGAAATGATGAATGGAGACACCTAATGGTGGTGATCAAACTCTTAAGATATAGATACTCACATCTGTGAGCCTTTCAATTAGCATAAAGTCAGCTTGTTTTCCTCTATCCTGTGACATTTTCTTTCAAGTGTTTGAATTTGGTAAACTTGCAATGTGTCTTGTTAGACACTTTTGCCTGTAATTCTTCAAAACCATGTGTGACCTAATCCATATGCTTTTCATTCATTTATAATCAAATCATCAAAATACAGCCTTTACAGAGCTATTTGATTTCAAAGAACATTTTTTAATAAGCATTTAAAGCCTTTTGAGAATAAAAACGGGATGCCACATTTTTCCAAGGAGCAAACACAACACAACCAAAAACACACTTACACCTACAGAAATCCAAGCTTCTGGGTTTTAATTCTTCTCTATTTATGGTTAAATGGGCCATCCCCTATCTCACTTTAACTCCTGGTGAAGCATGAAGTGTTTTGATATGAGGAAGTAGTATTTCTCAAATTACTATTTAAAAATAGATTTAGCTACTATTTGGGCAGCTCATATTAAGACCTGAGGGCCAAGAGACCCAGAGGGGTCTAAGGGAAGAGCCTGGAAAACTGGCAGCAGCCCCTGCTCTCCTTAGTTAGGAGTCCACTAATTTCACAATTGTCACTCTAATCATGTGTCAGAAATACCTGCATGACTTTAAAAGGCTGCATGTATGTTTCTGTGAGCTCTGGGCTCTACAACTGTGGGAAAAGTTACATAATGAGATGAGTTTCTTGGCTTCTGGAGGCTTAAGTTGTACTGTGATGCTCTCATACTTGGGGAGAGGTCCATTGCATGCCTCCATGTACAGTCATACCTGACTCTCATGTCTCACTGTACTTTCGGGATGATCTACTCTAAATAACAAAGGATAAAAGAAGTTGTCTGAAATATTTGCTTGTAGGTTCAATTTTGTTTTAGTAATTTTGTGAGAAATTCATTATAAAATCAACGAAGGAGCGTCACATGGCTTTTGTGTGGAATGTCTATTAAGTAGAGATAGCATATACTTCTTCCTTACTCCCTAATTTTTAGAGAAATATTAGCCTGAGGTTGCAGAGTAGATCATTTGGGTGGCAGAAATAGGATGTGGCTGTCAAGGACTATGCAAAAATACTTTTTTAAATCTTTTTAAAAGCTATGGGGGTAAGAACATATTACCAACTGGTAGGTAAAAATGAGAATGAATTCATTATTTAAAGACACTAATATGGACTTTTCCTCATCCCTACATTGATACAAATCCAAGTTCTTATTAATTCTCTCTCCAAAACATTTCCTGTATCTGTCCATATCTCCCCAAGTTCATTTGTATTCTTAGGATTCTCCAGAGAAACAGATCAAGAGAAAAAATAGATAATTTATCCTAAGGAATTGGTTCACATGATTGTGAAGGCTGACAAGTTCCAAGATCTATGGTTGGCAACCTGGAGACCATGAGAGCCGAGATGTAGTTCCAGTCTGAAGGCTGGTAGGCTTGAGATCCAGAAAGAGCAGATTTTTCAGTTTGAGTCCAAAGGCAGAGAATACCTATGTCCCAGCTTGAAGGCAGTCAGGCAAGTGGAGTTCTTTCTTATCTGAAGCTTTTTGGTTCTATTCAGGCCTTCAACTGATCAGATGAGGCCAACCCACATTAAAGAGGGCAATTTGCTTTACTCAGTCTACCAATTCAAATGTTAACCTCATCCTGAAACACTTTCACAGACACACTAAGAATAATGTTTGACCATATGTCTGGGCACTTTATGTTCTACCTAGTCAAGTTGACACATACAGTTAATTAACCATCACAGTACTGTAATCAACACCATCATCCTATCTTGACTATTGTCATAGTTTCTAATGGGTCTCCATACTTTTCCTCTTGTTCCTCACAATTCATTTTCCACACCACAGCCAGAAATATATTAGATTATATCTCAGAATAGCTTGCTTGTTTGTAAATTCTCATTAGTTTTAGAATAAAATCTAAACTCCTTACCCTGGGCCTGACGTTCCTTGCCAACCTCTTCAACCTTTTGTGCTACATGACTTTTGCCTTGCTGGCCTTTTTTTCTGTCAATAAAATACTCAAAGTCCTTCTCATGTCAGGGTTTTTGGTACCATTTCTCCTTACCTCTCAGCAGGGTTGCCTGCTTCTCTTCTGTTAAGAGTGGGCTCAGATATCACCTGCCCAGAAGGACTTTTCCTCACTACCAGATGAAAGCAGCCCTCGTGTCTTTCCTCACCTCCCATTCCAACTCTTCTCCATCACTCAGTTTATTTTGTTCATTGCATTTATTATAATCTATATTTCCTTACTTACCAATTTACTTATAGATTATCTGGATCCTTCACTAGACTGAAAGCTTCTTGAAGTCAGAGACTGGGTCAATCTTGCTCTCCACCAGCTGTCTTATGCCCAGCCCACACTTGGCCCACTTACCCTGCATTGAATAAACACTTGTTGAATGAACAAATGAAGGTGTCTGCTTTTACTGGGGTATTCTGAAGTGTTTTTTTGGTTTTGTTCTTGCTTCAGGTATCAAATAAATATTCTGCCAACTGGTATTTAGTATTGGAGTGAGCAAATTTATAGAAATGTGAAACATAAAAGACCAAGAAAGAGGAAAAGACAGAGTTATTTCTAGAAATAAGAAATAAAAATAAGTTCATAGAAAATTTTGTTTTCTATTTTATTTGTTCCAATTACATTATTTATCTTTAAAGAAAAAATTTTCTAGATTGTCAAAATCCAGACTTTTCCAGGAATACATTACGTTAATGTAGGGTTAGTCCTTCCCTACAAGAAGCCTTAACTGACTTTACTTGTGGTTGTCCATTCCACAGAAGGTTTCCCTGCTCTCATATTCATGAGCAAGAAAGAATAATGTTGGTCTCTAGTGCTTAGATGAATGACCAACAATTATCTGATGCCTACTGACCCATGAATTTTTGCAAATTTTTTGACTTTAAAAATTGGTAATATTAGAGGATGACATAGTTCAAGCTATAAATAGTAAGGCCCATATTATAAGCTAAGCTCATCCCAAAGTCATTCTTTTTCAGGAGCAGTAACAACAATTTCACTGGCCTTCTGGAGTAGTGCTCTCTCTCCCCTAATGAATTTCACTGATCCTTTGTCCTCCCCCTTGCCCTTCCTTCAAATGTGAGCCAACAGATGAAGTTGGCACCTGGAATTGCTGACAAACGAAGAACTGGGTGAAACAATTCATGCCTGTTGTTGGCATGCTGCAGGGCATTGAGACAAAGACGTAAAGGGGGGAGATGTGCCCAGTTTAGAGACTGAGCAGGCTTCAGAGGTGGAAAAAGAGGCTTTAGGCAAATAACAGCTCGACTGTGGGGTCAGAGCCCCAGGATTACCCAGCGTTATGATTTCACACGTTTAAAGCAGGACCAGCACATATCTGCATGGAATTTGAAAGTTTTTCTGGCACATCTGGTGTTTGGCATCTTCAGAAACACAACCTCTGCTTCAGTTCACTCCAGCTGTTCTACGGCAGAGGCCTTTAAAAGTGTGGTCCTGGGACTAACAACATCAGAAGCACCTAGGAACTTTTTGGAAATACAAATTATTTACCTTGCTATGCAAAATATACTCAATTGGTAATGAGGGCAAAGCCCAGCAGGCTGTGTTTAACAAGCTTTCCAGGTGATTAGGACAGACACTAAAGTTTGAGAACCACTGTTCTAGAGCCCTGATTCAGTCTTCCATCTCAAAGACATATTTTCAGGAGAGGTATGAGCTGTCATTCATATCTTAGTATGAATGAGTTTATAAACTCATTTATCTATATTATGTGTGTATATATAGAGACACACAGTTTGTGTGTATATACATATATATGTGTATATACACACACAACTAATTCATACTAAGATATGTTTGGTAGCCTCAATTAAGGATTAAAAAATTTTAGTTGTCAGAAAGAAGTTTCTTTTCTTTTTCCTTTTTAAAAAAGCAATAGATAATTTTCCCACTGCCCCTGAAACTCAGCCACTGGAATGATATCTCTTCTCTTACAAACCAGAAATATCCCTGAAGAGTTTTTCTAGTGAGATTAGGAGCTACAAGCTTTTTGCCAGTCAAATTAGAACCTGCACAGCTCATGATTTGTTTATGCTAATTCATGTTATGAGTACTTTGAGCATTTTAAAAATGCTATTTTCTGGTTAATGCCTTTTCTTTCATGATGGGATATTACGATGATAAGAAATTATAAACGTGAAGTATACTGTTATAAGATTTTACTACATATTTGTTCCTTATTTTAGAGCTAATTGTAGTTAGAGGTGACTTTGGAACCAAAACAACCAGGGTCCAAATTTGCAACCTACTAACTGAGAAAACTTGGGCAAGTTGCTTAACTTCTCTACAACTTCGTTTTCATATTCCTCATCTATCCCAGGAAGATAAAAGATTTCCCTTCTGGGGGTGTTGTAAAATTTAAATGAGAAAACATGGGAAGCATTTTGCCTGCTGCTCAATATATGATCATTGTTATTATTTGGTAGAATCGGGTAGCTGGTGACTTAAGAATAACAAACATGCGCACACACACGTGTTTGTGTGTGTGTGTGTGTTGGGGATAGTGCTGACCATTCAGTACTTTTAAAAGAGAAACAGGATTTTGTTTAGAAAGTGACTTTCCAGGAAGCCATTTTACTCTTAATCACCAGCTTCTTCTAGTCCACAGTACTTATTTCTATTTCATTTTAACAGAATGATGCCTGGGATAGCTTTTAAATTAAATTCTCACTTTTTACACTCTATCTTCCTAGACTTTAAGATAGGTTATTAGCGAGACTGGCAGGCCAGCCGATTGACTTTCAACTTTGTTTACAAGCTGAGCTTCCTGGAAACCGGATTCCTTACAAGAATACAAGCTGAGCTTCCTGGAAACCTGATTCCTTAGAAGAAATTGACAAATGGGATCTAATTAAACCAAAGAGCTTCAGCACAGCAAAAGAAACTACCATCAGAGTGAACAGGCAACCTACAGAATGGGAGAAAATTTTTACAATCTACCCATCTGACAAAGGGCTAATATCCAGAATCTACAAAGAACTTAAACAGATTTTCAAGAAAAATCAAACAACCCCACCAAAAAGTGGGTGAAGGATATGAACAGACACTTCTCAAAAAAAGACATTTATGCAGCCAACAGACAAATGAAAAAATGCTCATCATCACTGGCCACCAGAGAAATGCAAATCAAAACCACAATGAGATACCATCTCATACCAGTTAGAATGGCAATCATTAAAAAGTCAGGAAACAACAGGTGCTGGAGAGGATGTGGAGAAATAACATTTTTACACTGTTGGTGGGACTGTAAACTAGTTCAACCATTGTGGAAGACAGTGTGGCAGTTCCTCAAAGATCCAGAACTAGAAATACCATTTGATCCAGCCATCCCATTACTGGGTATATACCCAAAGGATTATAAATCATGCTGCTATAAAGACACATGCACACATATGTTTATTGAGGCACTATTCACAATAGCAAAGACTTGGAACCAACCCAAATGTCCATCAATGATAGACTGTATTAAGAAAATGTGGCACATATACACCATGGAATACTATGCAGCCATAAAAAAGGATGAGTTCGTGTCCTTTGTAGGGACATGGATGAGGATGGAAACCATCATTCTCAGCAAACTATTGCAAGGACAGAAAACCAAACACTGCATATTCTCACTCATAGGTAGGAATTGAACAATGAGAACACTTGGACACAGGGTGGGGAACATCACACACTGGGGCCTGTCGGGGGGTGGGGGTGGGGGAGGGATAGCATTAGGTATATACCTAATGTAAATGACGAGTTAACGGGTGCAGCACACCAACATGGCACACATATACATATGTAACAAACCGGCACATTGTGCACATGTACCCTAGAACTTAAAGTATAATAATAAAAAAAAAAATACAAAAATTTCTTTCCTTAACTTGCTAACAGATGTGCATGTAAGGCTCATTGACCCCCATGGGCTTTAGCTGAATTGAGGCACTTTCGAAGCTCCTCTGTGATTAGCGAGACCTTGAATAATAGTATTATGCAATCAATAATAGTGATTGACTTAATTGTCAATCATTTGGTTGAATTAGTGTTTAAATTTAGCTAATTAGGTTAAATTTAATGGTGGGATTGTGTATACAAGCAGATAATTCAACGAGTTAACATAAAAAACCAAAAGTTACACAACTGTTCTGAGCATGTGTTGGGAGAAGAAAATAGCTTTGACTGGGTGTGCCTTCCAGATTGAGCCTTTTTTTTTTTTTTGCCTCCCGGCCCCTTTTTTTGTATGCTTAGATCCTGGGACTCCTTGAGAAGACAGCCCTGAATTGAGCAAATCCATCTCCCTCTTCTTAGATACCTGCCCATGAGAAACTGCCCTGTCATTAGTTGTCTCAAGTCCCAGCTTGCCTTCAGAATACTGTGGAGCCGCCCACATTGAAAGGAAGTGAAGCAAAAGAAAACTCTTCAGACTTGAAAGTCAAGAGTAATGCAACAGTATGATGATTCTGGGATTATTTTCATAAGGAACTGGCTGACTGAGCATCCTGGTTCCAGGCTTCACATTGTAGCTTCTTTTGTCTGTCAGCTTGTTTGAAAGGGCTGTGGTGAAATTTTTAATAGTTGTTTTTAAAATCTTGTTTATAATGACCTTGCAGAAACTGGAAACTTTTCTTTGTACCAGTTTTGTCCTTTTCTATTTTGCAAAGAGCGCTTTCTGTATTTCCAATGGAACTTTTAAATTTTAAAAAAATACTATATTGACAATTTTGGTAGGAATGAATACCTAGTTTTTGATTCAATGCTCATCCATTATTTACTGAGGACTTGTCAATCCACTTTGCTTGTAGTTAAGTGACAATTGTGTTCAATGGAGGCACAGAGTGGTGAGGCTGTGGTACTGGTTTACTTATCAGAAAACATGGTCTATTAATGCAAAGGAAGATATTGCTCAAAAAAGGAGGGTCTCTGAGAGATGTGTAAGCTTGAGGCCAACTCCCTAATTTGAATCTTTGAATGATTTTTAAGGAGGATTGTCTCAAAAAAGTTTAAATAACTCTTCAGGGTATACAGATAGAAAGTAGATTGTGAAGGCCTTTGGGGTCATATAATCAAGAGTTTAGTTTTTGCATCATACTAATGTAGAGAAGTTCATTCACTTTGAGAACTTCATTGATCTCCGAGTCTGTTGGGCCTACCATAGTTTGTGCCTTAGAATTTTTCAGATATTTCTGAGGTCAAGTTTACACAGAAAATCCCATATAGTATTGATGAGAAGTAGATGTCATTGTATTAGAGGAGAGATGTGTATCAAGGCTAGTTGGTAGAACTGGGATATATCAAAATAAAACTATAGCTTAAGGGTTAAAAGCCACATTTGGATGAGGTAGACGGTCTTATGAAAGACATTAAAGCTGGGTTCTCAATTTTAGTTTCACGTTGAATTAATACTCAAGTATATCGGGCTGGGGATTTTGAGTGGAAGTACCTTTAGGAATAAAGTAAGTCTGGCCAGTGAGATATAGAGAAAGTGTTCTGCCCTGTTTCTGCGTACTTGTAACCTGAGAATGAGATAAGGTTTCTGCAAAGATTTAACTGTTCCTGCATTACACTGGCTTGGCATTTTCTTTTGTTAATCGTATTATGGAGAGATAATAATTATATAAATACATGGGTTAATATTCAGGAAAGATGCAAAAACCTGATTAGGTTAGCTCCACCTTGAGGGAAATTTGGCAAAAGTGACTGAAAGGGAGAAAGATGAAAAATTATAGGTGATGGGCCTGTGTTGTATGTTATAGGATTCATTGAGTCTGTGGGTTCAAGTGCTTCTGGGTACTGTGCCTTCTGCTTATTTCACCCACTACTGGGTTGCAACCAATATACCAAATCAGCACTTGCAAATCTGCTGGCCTCACTGGTTCTAGCTGTATGCATTATTTCCTGGAAGGGGCTTCATATAGGAAAGGAAGTTCATTCTCTTGGTAAGTTGGCTTCTGACTAGAGTCCTTATAGCTGCCTACTGCTTAGATTGAGCTGCTTGTCCCTTGTCATTATCCAGGAGAGTTGAACCTAGAGGAGAGTAGAGGGAAGAAGAGTAAATTTCTGTTAGAAGAAGCTAACACCTATAAAATGTGTATTAGAGAGATAGGTCTGGATTAGAGCCCTAGCTCTGCTTTTTAGCAATGATGTGACCTTGGGCAAGTTAATTTACTGAAACCAGTTGCTTTACCTTTAAAATTATAATATTATCTAATATTTATATATTCTGTGTTCAAGGCACTGTGTTAAGCACTTGCCAAATGTTATTAACATAAGATAAAGATTATTATTTTTCCCATTTACAGATGAAAAAGAAAAATGTTGGAGAAGTTAAATAACTTGTACCTGGTCATGCTGCTAGTGGGTATTAGAGTTCAGAGCCTGGATTTGGACCCAGGTGCTTGGACTCTGATGTGTATTCTACTGACCACCACAGTATACGTCATGGGATTGTTGTTTACAAGCTTATGTCTTAAAATGTACAGATATGCAAATGGTCTAAAGCATGTAGCCCAGTATATAACACACAGTAAACACACAATCTTTATTAACCATTATTACTATTGCAAATCAAGTGCTATATATATTTTAATGTACACAACCTCTATCCTAAAATTAGAATTGTTAGATTGGGAAACTAGGAGTCAGATGGGTTAAGTTCATATAGCTGGTAAGAGATTTAACCTGTGATTTAAACCAGGTTTTTCTGACTCTAGAGACCATGTACTTTCTCCTCTACCAGTAGTTTGTGACATGTAGTATGGAGATTTCTGAGGACTCAGAATTAGTAAGAAGGCTCTACACATCTACGGTTATGCTAAGCATTGTTGTAGACAGAAAGTATAATCTATGTCACATGTATATGTACTATTTTAGATGTATGGTTTGATTAACACACAGAAATCTATTCTTGTAATTAAGAAAATGTAGCTTCATTAATAGGACTATTAATCCATGATGTATTCTTGTCACTATATATTTTTCTCAGTGTTCAAATACCAAAATTACAGTTACTTTTAAGTGGAAATGCATAGATATTTTTGAAGTTAAAAGAATCTTTATATTTGGAAAGTTTTAGATGTAATAAACCACATGAGTTCATAATCCTCCATGATTATAGGACTATGTCTATCATACATGAACTGGCTTGTACATATTTCCTATTGTAAGTGAAAGAGTCTTAGAGTGAGGTAACTATAGCATGCTGCACAGACACAGTGGGAGAAGGAACGGAAAGCTCTATTGGGTGTTTCGTTCATGGATTCACACCATAAATACCTTACAATAGTTTTAATGGAGAAAGAAACACCCAGAGGAAATTAAAAAGCAACAGTTTTGGCTATGAAAATGTGAATACCTAAATTGCTAAAGCCTTTTGTAGGATTTGAGAAGTGTGATTTATATTAAAAACAATGGGAATCATATGGCCCTCACCCAGAGAAAGTGTGTGAGAATTTCTCCCTCAGGGGTCAGATGAATTACAGGCCTTTGAAAAGAGGAAATTTTGAGTTAATTTTTCATTTTAGCATTACATTGGGGATTATTGAAGGGAAGAAAATCCGATTACTGTATAGGATGGTAGGCAAGAAAAGAAGCTAAGCAAGTTTTTACTTGTATCTTCAATGGTGTGGTGTTTCATGAATAAACACTTTGAGATATCTATCAACTCTCTCCTTAGTGCCACTTATTTGATTTTAAGCCTCACTTCTAACTTGGACTGTGTATTGTATTTGTAATCTAATTTTTGGTCTGGTTTCAGTGATTATTTAAATCATGGTTGTTGACACAGAATTACAGTGAAAAGCCCTTGAGTGAGTGAGTAATGAGAATCACCATAGCCTCTAACTCTTCATTTAGGGTAAGAATTTCAAATGTTCTTTTAGGTTTGGAGCCTTTTCTTCAAGTGAAATCTAATTTAGGTCCAGTGTATACACAGACGAGAGTGGAGGTGTTCTGATGGAATCAGTGAACCCCATCCACTGCCAAACATCATTTCTTGATGCCCTACCCCCATTCCAGCCTTTGGGACACTCTGGAGGAATGCCTAGGTCTGGTAACCACACTTTAAAAAGCACTGCTCTGTTGCCTTTCAAGTCATTTACAAGGATACATTTCCTACCCAGTTATTTCCCAAACAGATTTTCATTTTGGTAGAAAGTCGAATGTGCATATCATTTTTCTGCCTTCTTTCTGAAAGAGTGATTAGTTATCACTCAAGAGATAATAGCTTTCTCATGGTTTGTCAGTACCAACTGATTGCAAGAAATGAATTCCTAATGATTGAATGCCTTATTATATAGCATTGTGTTTCTATTCAATGAAGGATATTGACAGAGAGTGGAAAAACTATAGTAATATAATATCAAAGTGAACTTAATTAATAATAGAAATCAGGGTACTGTTTATTAAGCACATGGAATATATGCCAGGTACTCTACCTATATTTTTTACTCATTTGATTCTTATATCATCTCTATGAGCTGGTCATTATTACTTCCCGAGGTCATTATTACCTCATTATTACCTCTATTCACAAATGATGGGATTGAGGTGCTGGGAGCCCAAGGTAACACGCTAGTAACTGGCAGAGCTGGGATGCCATCCTAGTTGTCTCCGGTTTCATGCCTGTACTCTTTCCACAAAGCCACTTGTCTTTATATATGTGCTGATTTATATATTCTGCCAATGTGCTTCAAATTGGTTTGTATATATTTGTACACACACACACACCCCTCCTCCAAAACAGTGCTCAGAGTAAAAAAGTTATATTAAAATCAGTTATAGTCTGATAGAATCTCAAATTATAAAAGCAGTCAATCATGTACAATTTGTGACTGAAATGATAATTTTTACCTTATTTTGAAGTTTCTCCACAAGATATGTATTTTGATAATTTCTATAATAATTTATGTGGTTAATACAGTATTCTAGGGAAGCAATTAATGCTATAGGTTAGGGTATAGGGTAAAGAAAAAAGATGGATAGAAAGTTGAAGAGCTGAACTAGCATTATTAAACAAGTCGATATTTGGGAAATTGAATATGCGTGTGTGAGTGCATGTGTGTGTTTGTGTGTGTGTGTGTGTGTGTGATATGTACACATTAATGCAGTATAATAAATGGTACAAGATTTATCTTTGTTATTGTTGACCTTGCATTGTCCATGCATCATGACGTCTCTCATTTTAGAAAAACACCCCTCTTGATCTCATCTTTCCTTGAAGCTGATACCCCATTTCTCTATTTCCTATTTAAGAAAAACTCTTGGAAAGGACCCCTCCCCTCTGTTGAAAGAACTCCAGTGTGCACATCCTATGGTTAATTTTCTGTCCGTGTTTTACTAGGTTCTCAGCATCATTAAACACACTACATCACTTCTTTCTGGAAACTCTTTTTTCTCTTGGCTTCCATGGTGCTACACTCTCCTAACCTGCTGACTCTTATCTCCTTTGTTGTTTTTCCTCCCTGTTCTGAAAGGTCACCATCCAGTTCTTGCCCAATTCTCCTGTATTGTTTACCTCTCTCCTTCTCCCACTCTCCTCCTGCAACCACACTGACCTTGCTGATTCTTGACCACACCATGCCTCTCCTCCCTTAAATCCTCTGTGTTTGCTTTCCCCTCCATCTGATACACTTTTCCCTTATACATCTGCAAGTCTAACTCCCTCATGTCATTTAGGTCGCTGCTCAAATATTGTTACTCTACTCTCTATCCCAGAGTCATTCTGAAATCCCTTGTTCTGCTTTATTTTTCTTTAAAAATGATCATGCTCTGAAATTATGTAATTATTTATTTACCAATTTTGTTTATCTACCTTGCTAGACTATAAGCTTCTCTAGGGCATGGACTTGGTCCATCTTGTACACTGCTGTATCTCTAAAGAGTAGAACAATAGTGGCATTTAATAAGTGTTCATAGATCTTTAATAAAGTAATACATTTATGAGTTAAGCAGCTCCATGTGGAATGACAATGCTTTTTACTAATTTTATACAAACTAGGCTCACTCCTGGTTTCTAATTTTCGTTTTGTTAGTTTTGCAGTGGCTACTTTAGAACTAATACATTAAATTTATTCCAAAAGAAGCCAATAAATTTCAGATGTATGGTGTGATTAACACATGGAAACCTGTTCTTGTCATTAAGAAAGCATAGGTTCATTAATAGGACTATATAATCCATGATGTTTTATAATTTAATTGTAATGAAATTTATAAGCTTAATCCTGATTTTATAACTTTGTACATTGTCTGTTCAGATTTCAATTTCATCCTCTTCCTATGTGTATGTCTTTTAACGTAAGAGTCATACTTTGAAATAAAGGGGATGTACATTCATACATATTTGAGTCCACAGTGATATGTTTAGGTTAATTACGTTGTTTTATGTAAGCATAAGCACATACATACACATTCACCAAGGCACAAAGCCCATGAAGAAATTGAAGCCAGATGATACACAAAGAAATCCCCAAAGGGAAAGCACCAATCTGTCATTCAGAAGAGTTTCCACACTATATAAAAGATACACAGACTGGCCTCCACAGTAGCTGAAGGATAGATTTTGCTGTTCTAAATGATAACTAGGAAACCACTAGTCCACCAAGAATTTTTTCATTAGGCAATTAACCAGATGGGAAAACATGTTAAATTAGTACTATTAAACAAGGTAATTAAGTAAATAGTTCATTTTATAACATAATGGACAACTTATATGTATTACTTTCTAATAAGATAGCTAAAGTCTATTATCAGAGCTTTTCTTGGAACAAGGTCATAATTTATTAATTCAATTCCATTGGAGACATCAGTAAGAAATCACATAAAAAGTGCAAAAAGATGTATAAGACAGATATTTCTTCACTATTTTAGAGAGGAAAATCTCAGGTGTGACCATATGTAGGTATTTCTCCAAGTTAGACATGTCTATCTAAAATAGTGGGTTTCAAACAGCTCTTTAGACTCATTCCCATTGAAGTGGTGGTAGTAACATTTCTGAATTAAAAGATTAGATGGTCATATTTTACTTGTTACACTGTAATGAGTGATTATCTTTATAATGTAATATAAAGGTTACATTAAATTTGTTACAATGTAATAAGTACAACATATATCTCTGACTATTCCTTCCCCATTCTTTTATTTTTTCTAATCTTGGAAATTCCTTAAGTATACATTACTTTTGTAAATAGAGGAAAAGTGTGCTTGAGAATTGAGAGAACTGTTAGAAAACAGGTTGAAAATTTTCTGTGTGGGAGTCATATTATTGTTCAAATATCCTCCCCAACCTGGTGTGCCATATACAGCCAATCAAATCAAGTTTGCATAATTAGGAAACCTCTAGACGCAGAGGTATCCATGATTGAGTTTCCTAGATGTTCAAATGTAAAACAGATGAAGTGGCTTCTTTACACAGACAGTTCTGTTTATTCATAAATGTAAAGGAGTATGCCCATTGTAAATTTAGCAGACTCTAAAATATAAGTGAATTCTCAGAGACTGAACAGGCACTCTGCTAAGAATGATATATGGCCTTCTCTGAGACAAGTAAGTGTGGTAAACATATAACTTCTGGTCACATATAGTTTGTCTGCCAGGTGATGCCTAACCTCACTCCATCCCTCATCCTCAACCCATCCCTGACCCCACTTCATTCCAGACCACCACTTAATCCTCACTTGCTACCCCAGGGGGTGGGGATCTACAACTGGGTGAGGTTCAATGTTGTGAAAAGGTTTTAGAATGGGAACACTATATCTGTTTCACACATTACTTGTTAACAGAAACAGCTGAAAGTTTAACAGTTTTTTTTTTGGGCTGTGTTTAAAAATCCCCTCCATGAAATAGCTGCATCAGTGCACAGCTGTGTCAAAATAGCCTTGTCAGGAATGCCATGTATGCACATTTTTTCCCCTCAAATTATTTCGGACAAATAACATGTTCCTATGTATTTCTTGTCTTCCCAGGTATACAGTAATGTATACTTTATAGCATATGCCTGGTAAATAAGTTTATAAAGCATAATGATAAAAATCTGATGCCCACTTGATACATTACTGTTCAAATTAAATCACAGTATCACTTTTTGAGACTCCATCCACCTGGGGTATCTCAGGCCATAGTCTATGTTTCTGAGCTTTATGGCTTTATTATTTAGAATTTAATATGCAAATCTGAAAATAATTAGTTACACCTTAAGAGAGAAGCCCTTTGATGAGTTTAGGAGATTAGAGAACAATTGCATGCACCAGAGCAAAAAACGATCAAGTTTTATTTAGGCTGTAAACATAAATTCAATAACCAATAACCAATAACCACCCTTTCTCCACTATTTGCATTGATTCATCTTTAAATCTCTATTGCTTTAAAAAAATATTTCACATTAGAAAGTAGAAATAAGTACACTGTATTTTCTAGTCTTTCCTAGAGGGGTACCCTAACATGATTTTAACTTGAAGTGAATGAAAGGAGTAGAGTGGAACTTAGTTGTTACGTACTACATTTTAAAAAGATCAGTTTGGGCCATGACTTAGATATTTATGATGAAATTTAGAATTATGCTTAATGCTATTTCAGGATGTATGCAAAGTGACATGAACAAGTATAAACTGTATGACCTTGGGTGAGTCACTTGACCTTTCTGAGGGTCTGCTATGGTTTAAATATGTCCCCTCCAAAATTCAGGTGTTGCCAATGTGGTAGTGTTAAGCATTAAGGCCTTTAAGAGGTGATTAAGCCATGAGAGCTGCTCCCTCATTGATGGAATTAAGGCTCCTATAAAAGGCACTTCAAGCAGCCTTTGAAGAAGCACCTAGCTTGCCCTCTATCTTCTGTTGTGTAAGGGCACAACATTTCTCCCTTCTCTGGAAGATTCAGCATTAAGACACCATCTTACGAAGTGGAAAGCAGCTTTCACTAGACAAATGAACCTGCCAGCACCTTGATCTTGGACTTCTCAGCCTCCAGAACTGTCACAAGTAAGTTTCTGTTCTTTATAAGCTACCCAGTCTCAGACTTTGTTATAGCAGCACAAGCAGACTAAGACAGGGTTCATGTACTCATCTTCAAAATGAAAATTGGAATATTTGCCACCCAGAGCCACAGGAAGTTTTAAACTTGGTATGTAAGGCCCTCAGTCCAGGGTAAATATTTCACCTTACATAGCACCTAACTTAACCTGGAGGGTCTCTGAGACTCTGTTTCTCTCTATTCATGGCCTTGAGTTGAGACTTCCTTTGTGTCTTTTTCCATAGCTCTCAAACTTTAACCCTGGTTTGCCTTGGAATGATATGATTGCCATTAGGAGAGTGTTCTTGGGAAGGTTTCAAGAGAAGCCTAAACCCAGCTCTTCTTCCCCAGCTGATGTAGAACCCTTGGAAGCAGCCAACAGCAGCCAACTGCAGCCAGTCCCACGCAGCTCTGGGACAGCTCAGACCCTCACTTAGTCCCTTGCTTCTCCAGGAAGTTCCCCAAACCCATTAGAGCAGGCTTGACTTGAGGCCTGGCTGGAGGCCTAGACTGAGTCTCACCATGACAACCTTCCAGACATCCTCATGCTTATCCAGACTCCACTTGTGAGTGTGCTGGGAGGGAGTGTATAGTTACACATTTAAAAATAAAAGCCCGAAATGCAGTTTAGGTAACACGCAGTGTGAATAAGATACAGAGTAAAAACAAAACAATTCAGAATTCTGCCTGTTCTCTTATAGAGGGTCGTGTTAGGGAATGGGGTTGGGGCAGAGTGGGGTGGAAAGGTGGCATTCAGGGTTGATTTGGAGAAAGGCTAGAAGAAAGAAAGACTGGAAGTTCTTTATGATTTCTATAACTTTACTATGATCAGTTCTATGTATTGTCCACTAAAATATATCCTGTGAAAGGGAGCTATTTCATATTATGTACAGGAAAATGGAAAATTTGCTTGTTTATCCCTATACTTGGAGATCTTTATAGAACATTTATTTTATTCTAAATTATTCTGAATTTTTGACTCACCTAACTCAGTGAAGGGCCCCACTGAAAGATTAATAGTTATTCTGTTTGATATATAAAATTGATAAATACAGTTCAGTTGAGTCAACTTTCTCATATTTCATGGCTTGTATATCAGATAACTTGTATCAGTGTTCTCAGCTTTGACTGCCCATTGGGGAGCTTTAAAAAATAAAACAACCCACTACTGCCTGGGGCTCAACCTCTGAGATTGGAATTTAATTGGTCTGAGAAGTGGCCTAAGGAGCAAGGGTTTTAAAGTTCCCAGGTGATTCTAATATTTAGCCAAGGTTTAGAACCTCTGGTCTAGATTAAAGATTAAAGTACTTGGCCTAAGCCTATTATTTATACAACCTGGCAAAAGAAAAACAAAATGAAGCTCTCTTCTACTCAATTCAGTGAATACTTGCAGAGAAGCTGCTCTCTTCAAAGCCCTTTTCTTTTAACTCTAGCTTTGCTGTTTTATGATTAGGTATCATTGGAAAGAAAAGAATCAGAATCTTACAATTTTATTGGTAAAATCGTGGTTAGAAGTAATGTAATCCAAGTCTACTGTTTTAATGAGAAGTATAAACTAATAAGAATGCAGAAAAGTTAGTGCGAAACTACCTTTATTAGTAAATATATAAATGGGGGAGGGAGAGAGAGAGGGAGAGAAAGAAAGCACGGAAAAATTTCTCAACAGATCATTAGACAGCATTTTATACATATTAAGCTGTGAGCCCTTCTAAGCACACAACTGACAAATCTCTCAGTGGGACTCAGAATAACTTGAATCTAAATAGATGTACAAAGGAAAACCAGTATCATGTCATTTGTCAACTTAGAAGGCATGCGAGGGAGCCCAGACTTTGGTTCTTCTCTCTACTTTTCTCTGTGTTTATTACTTTTCTTTTTCTCAAATCTATATATTGTTCTATTTAATAATTTGTCATTTTTCTTTGTTTAAAAATATTTTGCACAAACCTACAAAATTAGAAAAGAGGAATGACTACAGATAAAAAGAAAATTAAAATAATTTTAAGATAATAACTTAGACTTCTTCAGTATATTTAAATGTCTGCAACAAATGAATAAGTTTTTTTGAAAATATGAATTACCAACATTGTTCAGAAAGAGATAGAACAGTTAAGTAGACCATTTATTATAGAATAAATTGAAACATTTTCAAAAACAACTTCGTTTAGCTCAGATAGTTTAACAGGTGCATTTTAGCATATTTTCAAGGAATTTGTAATTCCAGTTCTATTTAAATTACTAAGTCCAGAGATAGTAGGGATGCTTCTAAATTTTTTTTAAAAGCTGTTATAGCAATGCTACCCAGACTATACAAAGATGGTACATTTAAGGAAACTCTAGATGAGTCTCCCTTATGAACATCTATACCAATACATTACTGTGACTGAAGACTTCAAATATTTGATTTTATTGGATTTTTAAATTTTTACTTTCAATTTGTTTTTCTTCTTCATTTTCCCCTTTGCCATAGAGCAGGTACTGAGTGCTATACTACTTTGCCTCTGGAGAAATTTGTGGCAATAAGGAAAGTCAAAGTTGCCTGCAAGACACTTTCTTTCTGGGTCTGGTCTCTAAAAGCTGGAGCCCGTTGAGGAGATATGTTAGGAGATGTGTCTTGGAGGTGGAGGAGAGGGCATCTGAGAGACATGGATGTGACAGGCTTTCTCATAGACTCTACTGTTAAGGGGAGGCTGAGGCTTGGGAGAGGGAAGTGGAGCTCTGTGGGCTCTGTGAACAGCAGAGACCTGCACCTGTTCCTGGCCCTGAGGGACACCTGCATAGTATCTGGTCTTGTCATTGTTCTACACATTAAACATGGCAGAGGAGGAGCAGAACCACTGCCAGGCATGGCAGGAGCATACAGGACAGTGTGATAACTGGTACTTAACCACCCTCCCCCTCAAAGACTTGGTCCTCTGTAAATCTTCGAGCCCTTTAATCTACTTAGGGGAGGTGATAGGGGGAACTTGGGATGAGGACAGGGAGTAAAAATTAAATAGATTTAAAGAAAATAAATAACATATGTATTACTCACCTGAGTGTTACACCATTATATTAGTAATTAAACCCTAATTCGCAATACTATAAATCTCAACAAAAAGTAGTTTATTTCAATAATGAAATAATTTTCAATTTTTGAAAATTTAGGGATGTAATTCACTATATAAATTTAAAATGAAAAACCATGTATTATAATTTTGAATGACAAATCAGTATATGACAAAAATTAACCCCTATAACTGCTTAACAAATATGTGAGTGTATGTAAAGTATATATTTTAGTTACATATGTTCTATGTAGTATATATCTCATGAATACATTCTTTATTTGCTCTTACTAAATAGAATTCTGAAGTGTTTTCCATGCTAATATGTAGAGAGCTTTTCAGTCTTTTTTATAGCCGTAAGATGGATATACCAGAGTTATCTAACCAGCCTCCATGGATGGATATTTTTAGTATACCCAAACTTTTGCTGTAAAAAATCAGTGCTGTAATGAGTAATCTCAAACATACATTTTCCCAAACTTTCTTACCCAGTTACCGACCTTGAAAGTTGCAATTCCTTCCACAGAGAAATACATCTTTTGACTTGCTATTTTAGGGTTAGAATTTTATTTCATGTGAAGAGATGCAAGTGCATTGGTTTAAGCAACTTATGCTAGATATATCTCTCTTAGGCCCATGTTTATAAATTCTGCTACTTCTCTTATCACTTCTCTAACTTGACAGAAAGACACACAATCTGCACATTTTAGCTTTCCTATAAAAAATTTCCAAACCATGGGAACAATTCATAATTTGAAATTAATCCTCTTTCTGTGGAACTGGGAAACCCTAGACTATTCTACAGCAAACAAGGCCAATTAAGTCAACAAACACCAGGGTACCTTACTGGTTGATAGTTTTCACAATGTACCCACCTTACTTAATCTCCTTAATGATGTAACTTAGTTCTTCTCCAGATAATTGGTAAAATTTGCCACTTCCAGTTGAAATAAGCAGACAGGAATTTTAGGGTCGTCAATTAGAACATATATTTAAAAATGTAATACACAAAATTCTGACTTACTATAATTCCCAATGGAATAAAATAAATGTTCACTGCTTGGCTATTAGGGTTAATGTTAGATGATCGAACACTGTATGCCTGAGTATGGAAATTGCCAATACCACATGGAGGCAGTAAACCTGGTTTCTTCCCTTATGCAAATCACTTCATATTTTGGCGACTACTAGCTATTAAAAAAAGACTTTTAAATGTGTTTTCCTAGGTGTCAAGGGATAAAAAATATCTGGTACAAGCCACTAGAACTTCATGTCTGAGTTAAGTAATGTAATTTTCTTATGAGCTTAGGTTACACATAATTAATGTTCTAAGGGGAAACAAAGGTCATTACCAGCATCTAATGTTAAATCTTCTAATGAATAATAAGAACTTTACTTCTTTAAATGACTTAATCATTCTCCGATTTTGTTTTCCCAAAGTATTCGTTCATAATTTCTTCTTGGCTCTTGGTATTATAAAAGTTAATGAGTCCCTGGGTTATCGCAAATATGTAGTAGATGACGTTTTAAAACAACTTTTAAAATAGTTTGGTCCTAATTCAGACATATATTTGTAAATCAAACAAATGCAAGTATATTTTACTTGTTATATTGCTAATACTGAATAAATTTATTCTGTACAATTCAGAGTAATCCATTTAGAGGTCTGGTAATATACCCTAAATGAAATAGACCCTATTTATATAGTACCCAGGGTTTCTATAGGAGAACACCTTCTGCAAAATGAACATTGGTAGTCAAATAGCCAAATACATTATATGATGAAAATAGTGTGTATAGCATGACTAGAAGCAGAAGTTCTAATACTGCATGGGTTATTTATTCTCTAGAAAGTGATAGTGAAGCAAGGTTGAGTTACTCATTTTTGTGTCTTTTCAACAATGGAAATTTAAAAATTCTTTACTGTGTGCTTTTTATATATCTTGGTCATTCTCCTGAGATCTAACTTATGGTCAGCAGACTACTTAGCAGTCCAGCTGGTAACCATATTTCCGAAGGCCATAGAATATAATCTGCTCAGTTCATAATGACAGAACAGATTTAGTAGAAGAATTTCCTCTGGATGTTAATAAATATCTGGCACATTATTTTCCCTACTTCTTTTGTCCCTTATGTCTTTAAATTGTTATTTTCCTGGGTCCACATAAAAATTTTTTGGATGTTCAATATTTAGTTGGTGTGTGTGTGTATGCATGTTTGGGAGGAGAATATGTTATATAAAAATAATCATATAGATAACAATCAAACTAAAGTTTTCCCCCTCTCTGATTAGCACTTCTTTTAAGTAATTTTTTTCTTCTCAGAGGGGAGGGAACCATTATTCTATACTTCATGTTGAACATGGCCTTGTGTGTCTGCAAATTGTACTATGGGAAAGTATTAGGAATAAGAAAACATGAGCTGATTTTTACCTTGTATGTACTTAACAACTTTCACATGAGGAGAGATCCTCACATTAGACAAAATATGATTAAAGGCAAACATTGAGTAGAGAGGATTTAAGCTAATGCCCTCCAGAATGTGGCATAGTCTTCTTTGTTGGTTTTAAGGGTTGCTTTTTCTTAAATTCTTTTTGGTTTAACACACATTTTCCTTTCTTTTTAGTACTTCAAATCGAGACATACTCAGTAAATCTTGTTCAGTAGAAAAGACCCTCATCTGTGTATGGTGGTGTAATGGAAAGAAACTGAACTGGAAGCTTGTTTTTTTGTATCAACATAGAGTATTTTCCACTTTCTTAGATTGGATAAAATAATACACAGCACACAGGAGAAAATGAAATGTTTGTTTAAAGTAAGCTAAGAAATACATTAAGTAATACATGAACATGAACTTGGTCTGGTAGAAATGTGCAGAACAGAAGCTTCAGGGTTTTTACACCTGGAAATCTCCTAGGGGGCTGTCTACAAGAAGATGCAGAAAAATGACATTATGCTTGCTGACTCAAATCCAACTTTACAACAGCATGGGTTTCAAAGTCCTGCCTTGTCTTCCTTCTTGGCCCAGGCACAGGTAAATTTCCGAAATGTCCTATTAAATTTCACCTTTCATCTTCTGGAGACTGTAAATGGCTTTGCCTGCTTGTCTAAAAAAAGAAAAGGAACTTAAACCTTTGTGTGGAATGTTTGCAGTAAGGACAAACAAGGAAGATCATGAGAATGATTTCTGCTGTACATAATAGAAAACTTTAATAAGGAAAAGGGATTTATTGGCTCACATTATTGAAAAAGCCCAGCGGTAGGACAGGCTGCAGGTGAGGTTTGGCCTGCGCACTTGCTGTGCTTCTCTGTGATTTACTCTGTCCTCACACCACTCAGCTTTATTCATACGTTGGCTTTGTCCTCATACTGTCTTTCTTTGTGGTCACAAGATAGCCTCAGCTTCCAGACTTCATATCCTCATAGTATATTTTTCCAGAGCTAGAGAGAACATCTGTCCAGGCCACATTGTCCCACAACTCCAGGGTATACGATTCACATGGAATATAATGTAAATTGTGGCTCCCAGAGTAGTGACAAATGGCAGCACTAGCATCTGCATCCCAGAATTTCCAGTAAAAATTATCTTGATTGTTCCTATATGTGAACCAGTATAGATCCCATATCCACCCATGAACCAGTCACTGTGTCATGGGAGCAAAATGCCTTGATTGGTTTAGTTTTGGAAAATGGAAGCCAACCCTGTAGAGAAAGTGTAAGATGCACTGGAACCACATGGATTTCCAAAAGAAAGTGGGGATTATTTTTAAGGGACAAGTGAAGAGCAGTAGCTGCAGAGGAAACTAAGAATATACTGCTTTAGATGTTTTGGAATAGAATTGTCTCTTTTGTCCCATGACAGCTACCTTGAGCACTCAGCCTTCCTGATACTTTTCAAGGTTCCTATCGCCCCTGTTTCCTTACTCTCTGTGAACTATTACATTTGATTTCTGCCTCTACCATTCTACTGCAACAGTTTTTGCCTTGTCAGATCCAATGGAGGCCTCCAAGTCTCAACATGCTTGACCTCTGCAGTATTTGATAATTGCATTATTTCTTCTTCTCTCTTGACTTTCTTGACATCATTCCTGGTCATCATCCACACTGATGACTCCCAGGAAAGTCATCCACTATTATTTAAATGCCTAAAGTGGACTCTAATGAATTCAAAATATTTAAAAAATATTATTGACCATTCCCTTCTGTGTTTAAATGAAAATGTTTTCCCCATAAAAAGCAATATTATAGAATACAGTTATGTTTCATGTAATTATATTGCTGTCTAATATCACTATGGATAATTTGGAAAGCTCAGAAAAGAAAAAGGAAGAAAAATAATCTATTGTTCTATCACTCAGATATAAATGTTATTACTATAGCACTCAATTAAAAAATTTGTATAAGTTTATGGTATGCAATTTTATTACATGTATAGATTTCATAGTGGTAAAGTCAGAGCTTTTAGAGAGTATCCATCACTTAAATAACACACATTGTCCACATCAAATAATTTCTCATCATCCACCTTTCCTCCCACCTCCTCACCCTTCTGAGTCTCCATTGTCTATCATTCCACACTCTACATCTATGTGTACCCATTATTTAGCTCCCACTTACAAGTGAGAACATGTGATATTTGTCTTTCTAAGACTTGTTTCACTTAAGATAATGGCCTCCAGTTCTATCCAAGTTGCTGCAAAATACATTATTTTATTTTTTTTGTGGCTAGGTAGTATTCCATGGTGTGTGTGTGTGTGTGTGTGTGTATGTGTATATATATATAGCCACATTTTCCTTATCCAATCATCTGTTGATGGACACTTAGTTTGATTCCATATCTTTGTGTGAATACTGCTGCAAAAAATGTACGAATGCAGGTATCTTTTTTATGTAATAATTTCTTTTCCTTTGGGTAGAAACTCAGTAGTGAGATTGCTGAAATGAATGGTAGTTCTAAGTTCTTTGAAGAATCTCCATACTATTTTCCATAGAAGTCAAACTCATTTACATTCTCATCAATAGTGTATATAGAGTTCCTTTAGCTCTGCATGCTTGCTGGCATCTGTTATTTATTTATTCTTTTTATAATGGCCATTCTGACTAGGGTAAAATGATATTTCATTGTGGTTTTAACTTGCATTTCCCTGATGATTAGTGATGTTGAGCATTTTTTCACATACCTGTTGCCCATTTGTATGTCTTCTTTTGAAAATATCTATTCATATCGCTTGCTCACTTTTCAATTGGGATTATTTGTTATTGTTCTTGTTGTTGTTATTTGAGTTCCTTGTATATTCTGGATATTAGACCCTTGTTGGATGCATATTTTGCAAATATTTTCTCTCATTCTGTAAGTTGTCTGTTCACTCTGTTGGTTATTTCTTTTGCTGTGCAGAAGCTTTCCCGTTTGTCTCATTTGGTTTTGTTGTCTGTGCTTTTATGGTCTTAGTCATGAATCTTTTGCCTAGGCTAGTATCCAGAAGAGTTTTCTATAGGCTTTCTTCTTGTTTTTCAGGTCTTAAGTTTAAGTCTTTAATCCATCTTGAGTTGATTTTTGTATATGTTGAGAGGTGGGAGTCCAGTTTTATTCTTCTGTATATGGCAATTCAATTTTTTCCAGTACCACTTCTTAAAAAAGATGTTCTTTCCCCAATGTTTGTTTTTGTCAGCTTGGTCCAAGTTTAGTTACCTGTAAATATGTGGCTTTATCTCTGGGTTCTCTATTCTGTTTCATTGATACATGTTTCTATTTTTATACTGATACTATGCAGTTTTGTTTATGATAGCCTTGTAATATAATTTGAAGTTAGGTAATATGATGCCTCCAGCTTTGTTCTTTTTGCATATGATTATTATAGCAGTCTACTTGATATGCCATATGAAATGTGTGATTAAATTATTTATACAAAATTCTTTATACTATTTTAATGTTTTTTGTATATACTAGGACCATTGTAGAAAAATTTAAAAATATAGAAATAAATGTTATCTCCCAGAGATAGCCACTATAAGTAGTTTTGGATTTCCTTACTGTTATGAGATGGCATGAAAAGGTACTGGAAAGAGTTAATGTATACAGCAGGAATTCTGTTAATCTTCTATAATGGAAAAAATTTCAGCAATTTTTTCTGGTCAATATGGGTTTTAATGTTATAGAAAATAATTACTCAAGTCCCTCTACATTGGAAATAATCTTTGTGTTGTACTATACAGCTCTTTGTTGGAAAGTCAAAAGGTTTTATTTTTTCTTTCAGTAGAATATCTAATCATTTAAATATTTTCTTCATTATTAGTAAGGTGGTAACAGAATAGGACCAGTTAGTATTTTGTGAGCTATCAGAGATGGCAGGAGATTCCGTGTGAACTGTGGAATAAAGGGTAGGCACAAGATAAATTTCCTGATGCTGGGGAAGGAGAGGAAGCAGCTGAGAGAAGCTGAAGGAAACAGAGTCAAGCTTCTCTTCCCAGGTTGCAGAATCACCTGACCACACATCATCCAACTATATTGCTGGGTAAGAAGAACACAAATCCTCCTAAATAGTCATGATCTTTTATTTTGATTAATTTATATTTGCTGGAAGAAGTCTCCAAGTAAGTTTTTTTCAAGAACTTTGAATAGTGTGTTTTCTAAGCTCCTATATACTTGAAGATATATTTTATTGTCTTTACAAGTTTGCTGAGTATGAAAGTGTTGGTGTACAATATTTCTCCTCTTTTTTGGCCTTCAGTGTTTCATTTAATAAGTCTAATGACAACAACCTGCCTTTTATTCTTTTGACAAAAATCCCCTTTATACTTGTAGATATTTTTATTCTTCCTTGCCATTCAATTATTTTTCCAAATAACTTTAGCTGTATCCTTTCACTGAATTTTATCAGACTATAGTAACAACTCCTTAATATGAGAATTCAGGTATTTACTTTTTAAGTCAAAAGTTTTCTTCAATTATGTGTTTAATTATTATGTTGGATTCAGTTATGATGCCATGTTTGTTTAAGGTGCTAAAAGTCTTACTTTAAATTAGTATATTTTCATTGGGTATGACTTTCTCTTTTATCATTATCTCTTTCTTTTTTTTTTTCTTTTTTAAATTTTATTTTATTATTATTATACTTTAAGTTTTAGGGTACATGTGCACAATGTGCAGGTTAGTTACATATGTATACATGTGCCATGCTGGTGTGCTGCACCCATTAACTCGTCATTTAGCATTAGGTATATCTCCTAATGTTATCCCTCCCCGTCCCCCCACCCCACAACAGTCCCCAGAGTGTGATGTTCCCCTTCCTGTGTCCATGTGTTCTCATTGTTCAATTCCCACCTATGAGTGAAAACATGCAGTGTTCGGTTTTTTGTTCTTGCAATAGTTTACTGAGAATGATGATTTCCAATTTCATCCATGTCCCTGCAAAGGACATGAACTCATCATTTTTTACGGCTGCATAGTATTCCATGGTGTATATGTGCCACATTTTCTTAATCCAGTCTATCATTGATGGACATTTGGGTTGGTTCCAAGTCTTTGCTATTGTGAATAGTGCCGCAATAAACATACGTGTGCATGTGTCTTTATAGCAGCATGATTTATAGTCCTTTGGGTGTATACCCAGTAATGGGATGGCTGGGTCAAATGGTATTTCTACTTCTAGATCCCTGAGGAATTGCCACACTGACTTCCACAATGGTTGAACTAGTTTACAGTCCCACCAACAGTGTAAAAGTGTTCCTATTGCTCCACATCCTCTCCAGCACCTGTTGTTTCCTGACTTTTTAATGATTGCCATTCTAACTGGTGTGAGATGGTATCTCATTGTGGTTTTGATTTGCATTTCTCTGATGGCCAGTGATGGTGAGCATTTTTTCATGTGGTTTTTGGCTGCATAAATGTCTTCTTTTGAGAAGTGTCTGTTCATGTCCTTCGCCCACTTTTTGATGGGGTTGTTTGTTTTTTTCTTGTAAATTTGTTTGAGTTCATTGTAGATTCTGGATATTAGCCCTTTTTCAGATGAGTAGGTTGCGAAAATTTTCTCCCATTTTGTAGGTTGCCTGTTCACTCCGATGGTAGTTTCTTTTGCTGTGCAGAAGCTCTTGAGTTTAATTAGATCCCATTTGTCAATTTTGGCTTTTGTTGCCATTGCTTTTGGTGTTTTAGACACGAAGTCCTTGCCCATGCCTATGTCCTGAATGGTAATGCCTAGGTTTTCTTCTAGGGTTTTTATGGTTTTAGGTCTAACATTTAAGTCTTTAATCCATCTTGAATTAATTTTTGTATAAGATGTAAGGAAGGGATCCAGTTTCAGCTTTCTCCATATGGCTAGCCAGTTTTCCCAGCACCATTTATTAAATAGGGAATCCTTTCCGCATTGCTTGTTTTTCTCAGGTTTGTCAAAGATCAGATAGTTGTAGATATGTGGCGTTATTTCTGAGGGCTCTGTTCTGTTCCATTGATCTGTATCTGTTTTGGTACCAGTACAATGCTGTTTTGGTTACTGTAGCCTTGTAGTATAGTTTGAAGTCAGGTAGTGTGATGCCTCCAGATTTGTTCTTTTGGCTTAGGATTGACTTGGCGATGTAGGCTCTTTTTTGGTTCCATATGAACTTTAAAGTAGTTTTTTCCAATTCTGTGAAGAAAGTCATCGGTAGCTTGATGGAGATGGCATTGAATCTATAAATTACCTTGGGCAGTATGGCCATTTTCATGATATTGATTTTTCCTACCCATGAGCATGGAATGTTCTTCCATTTCTTTGTATCCTCTTTTATTTCATTGAGCAGTGGTTTGTAGTTCTCCTTGAAGAGGTCCTTCACATCCCTTGTAAGTTGGATTCCTAGGTATTTTATTCTCTTTGAAGCAATTGTGAATGGGAGTTCACTCATGATTTGGCTCTCTGTTTGTCTGTTATTGGTGTATAAGAATGCTTGTGATTTTTGTACATTGATTTTGTATCCTGAGACTTTGCTGAAGTTGCTTATCAGCTTAAGGAGATTTTGGGCTGAGACAGTGGGGTTTTCTAGATATATAATCATGTCATCTGCAAACAGGGACAATTTGACTTCCTCTTTTCCTAATTGAATACCCATTATTTCCTTCTCCTGCCTAATTGCCCTGGCCAGAACTTCCAAAACTTTGTCTTTTTAAAAATTCAAACTCTGGTAGACCATCTCAGATTCATCCTTTACAATGCTAATTTAGTTTTTCACAATTTCAGTAATATATAATTGCCTTTTATAAACATATAATTATATTATTTAATTTTAATTTTTCAGTCCTTCCTTATTTCTGATATACTTTATCTTATTTTGTTGTCTTTTATTCTCAGCTACTTACTTTCTCTTGCCGATATGGTTTCGCTGTGCCCCTACCCAAATCTTATCTTAAATTGTATCTCTCATAATTCCCGCCTGTCATGGGAGGGACCTGGTGGGAGGTAATTGAATCACGGGTCTTTCCCATGCTGTTCTTGTGATAGTGAATAAGTCACATGACATCTGATGGTTCTATAAAGAGGAGTTTCCCTGCACATTCCCTCTTGCCTGCCACCATGTAAGATATGACTTTGCTGTTTCTTTGCCTTCTGCCATGATTGTGAGGCCTCCCCAGCCATGCAGAAGTGTGAGTCAATTAGACCTTTTTCCTTTATAAATGACCTAGTCTCAGGTATGTCTTATTAGCTGCATAAGAACAGACTAATATACTTCCTGTCTGATAAAGAAAATGTCTTTTTATATTTTACTAAAGATACTTAACTGTTTAAAATGTTTCTAACTTCCTGTAGTATGGTTTCTCTAAGTCTTCGCTTAAAAGCTTCATTTCCCAGCTGGGCGCAGTGGCTCATGCCTGTAATCCCAGCACTGCTGGAGGCTGAAGCAGGTGGATCACTTGAGGCCAGGAGTTTGAGACCAGTCTGGCCAACACAGTGAAACCCTGTCTCTACCAAAAAATACAAAAATCAGCTGGCGTGGTGGGTGCGCCGGTGGTCCTAGCTACTCAGGAGGCTGAGGCAGGAGAATTGCTCAAACCCAGGAGGGAGAGTTTGCTTTGAGCTGAGATTGCACCACTGCACTCCAGCCTGGGCAACAGAGTGAGATCCTGTCTCAAAAAACCTCTGAAACCCAAAAACATAAAAGCTTCGTTTCCCATAGAGTGCAGATTTTTTGCTAATAAAGCTTTATATTTCTTCTGGGTTCTGTTTACTCAAAAGACAAACTCTATTCTTAGTGTTTCAAAAAACAAGGTATGGAGGTTGTCTTTGGTCCTATTCTCTGGCCGTGGTTCTAGAAGACTCTTCTCCAATGTACTAAAGGCAAGTTAACGTGCTCAGCCAGCTCATTTCCCAGGGCTTTCAAGGCTTTGCTTGATTCTAGTTGGTTTTGCTGAAATAGAATCATCATTTACCTGCTAAGCTCAAGTACTCTGAAAGTAAGTAGGACATAGTAGGAAAATATAATTTGCAGCATGCACTGCAAGTAAGACTTTTCTTGACTCCTAGAAGGCAATGCACCATTCACTCCATTCTCTCCTACACACACACACACACACACACACACACACACACACAGCTCTGTGGATTCCTGGAAGTTCCTTTCTTCTTTAGGTTGTGGAAGAACTAGGAATTGATGAGTGCGGTTGACTTTAGAAAGCAGCAGTCAAGAGTTGGCTTTCTAATTTTCTGATGAGTATGGGTGGGCCAGGAATAAAAATGACACTGAATTTGGGCATGTAGGCAAAGGGAGGTCTAGAACTGGTGGTGATCCATTTTGTGTGTTCAGCCTGGTTTTAAGCAGGCATACTTCCCAGGTTTTGGAATTAGGTTGATTATTGGGCCTACTTCAAGGTACTGAGAAGTTTTGTCTCGTTCTATGTTGTCATGAGGATTTTGGTAAGAAGCTGTAAAAGATCTCTTTGCTATAAAATAAAACTAGCTAACCACTTTGGCTTCCTGTGAAATACAGTCCACTTCTATTTTTGTTGCTACCACCCGTACATCTCACACTTTGACTCTCTTTGATAGTGTATCTCTAATCCTCACTTCTAGGCACCAGTGGGGTACCTAGAGGCAGCTATGTAACTGATATTGGATATCTGCACCCAAATGTCCCATATGTACCTCAAATCCAACCATCAATTTCATCCCCTTGCCCCAGCCTTTTCTTTCTCCTGTATTTCTATTTCTATCTTGCTGTGTGACAATAACATTCACTTCATCACCTAAGCCAGAAGCATGGGAGTCTACCAAGAATTTTGTTTTGTCTCCTTAACTTCTCAAATCTACTCAATAATAATATCAGCTAATCCTCTGGCACTTATGATATGCTTTTAAACATATAAACAGTGTTATTAAATACTTTGCATATATTAACTTATTTAATCTATATGATTACATTATAAAGTAGGTATTCTTTACCAAGGCTGGGACTAGAGTAAGTCAAGTGAGACACCCAGTGAGGAAAATTTAAGAAAGCACTCATTCTTAGTAATGCAAGTGCCATGCTTCACTTGCTTTATCCTAGTCCTAATCCTGCTCTTTATTATGCCCACTTTATAGATGAGGAAACTGAGGAAGAGACCCATGAAATAACTTGTCCACACTCATATAACTGGTATGTGACAGAGTTGGGATTTGGAGACTGTTCATCAGTCTCCAGGGCCCACAAGCTTAACCACCGTACCACGCTGCCCCTCACCAGTCACCTGCTCCTTTTATCTTTCAGTTAACTCTTAAATCTGCTGGTTCCATTTCTACTGTTCAACTCCTCATTATCTCTTACCTGGATGATTACAATTATTTAACTGATTGTCCTGCATTAAACGTAGCTTCTATCACATCTATAGTCCTTAGTACTACTGGAGTTATCCTATGTAACTTGAATAATTGAGATATAGCTAATTTTAATTCTCCCCAGTCCTCCTGCATGATTTGATAAAGGTTAGCTATTTTCAGTCCAACCATTTAAAGATGGAAAAGAGACCTATTTGTTGGATCCAGCAAGCTATAAATGGGAAGATATTGAATTTATATTAATCACCATCTCATTCTAACATGCCTATTCTTCTGGCTGTGAATCCAGGTTAAGAGTCTTTTGGGGTACTTGCATTCTTCCCTACAGAATTGTTCATAATATGGATGGGCTTAAAGTCTCCATGTAGCCCCTCACTTCACTGAGCAGCTTCCCATATTTCCTGGCTAAGGAAAAGAGGAGTGGCATGGGGTAATGAACGATTACTCCAGCAGTTTGGCAGTACTTTCCTTTACAGGAATCCTGTTATGATGGGGCCCAGTTCTCATACCATGTTAACTTCAGCCTAGCAGCCCAACGCTAGCTTCTTACTGGGACATCTCTTCTGAAGCTGGACATTAAAAGAGAGTATCTTCATTTTCATTGCCTCCTAGAATCCATGCAGAGGAATTAGAGGAGGGGTATTTTCCTCTCTAATGATTACTTTGACTTAGAGAACTTTAGTGATGGATAATATAAAACATTTCTCTGGCTAGGTTTTGTTTTATCATTGTAAATAATCTCCAATCCATTGTATATTTCAACTCTAAATATATTTACTGTCTTAGTCCCTTAATAGGTCATTGTGACTTTGCTTTATTCATTCAGGGGAAGAATAATGTAATGTTATTCATAGAAAATTTTCAAACTTAGTCAAACATATTTCTCAAATTTTTAATCCAATCCATATTAACTAAGCATAAAACATTAAGAAATACTCAATTCTAAGCACTTTGTGTGCACTAACTCATACACATTTGTATAAACACTTTATGAGATGGATACTGTTATCTCCACTCTACACATGAGGCACAGAATGGTAAGGTATATTCCTTAAGTCACTCAAATGGCAAATGACAGAGCTAGAATTTGGTCTGGGGAGTCTGACTTCAGCCACTTTGATGAACTGCTTAAAACCCTCCATTAAGTCCTATTGCTACAGAATAAAGTCAATGTTCTTTAGCACAGAACACTCTCTAGCTCCTTACATGTCAGATTTATCAGCACCAAACTGCTTATTGCTCTTTGCATACACCCTGACAATTCATACCTATGTGCCTCTAAGTCTTAGTACATGCCGTTCCCTCTTCCTGGATCTCCCTCCTCTTCTCCCTGCTCTGCTGGTTATCTGTTTCCTCTCTCTCTCTCTCTCATCCGTCCCATAAAAAAATTACTTATATCCTGGGCTAATTCTTCTGCTTTTGTCTATTTCTCTTTCCTTGGTATCTCTTTCCTCCATTCGTAATGAAGAGCAGCAAAGTATTATCTCCGGCTGTATGAAGTTGTCTTTTAAAAATGGGTAATCTTTTTACTAAGTCAGTATTTGTCTTAGTCCATTTTGTGCGGCCATAGCAGAATACCACAGACATAAATTACCACAGGGTAATTTATAAAGAACAGAAATGTATTTCTTACAGTTCTAAAAGTTGGGAAGTCCAAGATCAAGGTGCCATCTTTTGGCAAGGGCCTTCTTGCTGCTAGGGGAAGAGTTCTCTGTCCTCAGGTGGTAGAAAGCAGAAGGGAAAGAGAGGCAACAGGGGCCAGTCTTGCATTTTTATAATGCCATTAATCCCACCCACAAGGGCAGAGCCTGTATGGTTTACTCACCTCTTGAAGATCTCAGCTCTTAATACTTTTACAATAGCAATTACATTTCAAAATGAGTTTGGGAAGGGACAAACATTCAAACATAGCCGTATCTGATAAAAAAAAAAGTGAGAAGAGTGACTTATAACTGTGACTTAACCCAATCCCCTCAAATTATCTTTGAATGGCCTTCTCTACCTGTCTTTGAATAAGCTTCTGATTTCTTTTAGAATTTTTTGAACCAAAACTGTTTTTGAAATTATCTAACACACAACCATCATTTCAAATATAAGGAAACAGTCTCAGGGAGGTTGACTTGGCCAAGATCACAAAATTAATCATGAAAAATCCCAGGTTTTCTGTCTTAGAAGAGTGGTCTCTCCTCTGTACTTTATAAGCCTAGTTGGATAACGGAGAGAAAAAGGAAAGCATTCTTGCTTTACATCCTGTTTCCCGTTTCCCTTTATGACAATCTATTTTTCCCCTTTGGCCTAAATTTGTGACATGAAGGTGTGTGCTTCTTCCTTTGAGAGGGAGCCAGGCATATCCCTCAGCTCTTCTCTTTTCCTCTAATCTTTCCCTTAGGCTACCTTTCTCTTGCTATGTCCCAAATTCATGTCTCTGCTCATAAGAAAAACATTACACACACTATCGTCTTTGTTAAACTCTGAAGTATATAATAATACCAGTACAGAAAGACAGAAATCATGTCCTTGTCATATGGATGGCATGTGTACTTTCATTGTCCATTATTAAAAATAAAGTTGCTTAAGCTTTTATTTGTATGTGTGTAGTAAATAAGACAACTTGACCCTTGGAGAAAACAGAAATGTAGATTCAGTGAAGAGTCAATATCGTGAATATACTTCCTTTCTTATTGAGGTAAAGCAGTAAAAGCATCTAACAAGGACCATATGTATGGACCAGAGCGCACAGACATGTAAATACATATGTGGCCTCTGCAAGAGGTACCGTAGGTAAAGGTCACAGAAAAGAAAGCAGCTTCACTGACATCAAGGAAATAGCAACTATTTACCGACGGCCAGGCATTTCAAATAATAGCATGGACTCCAGAACGACTTCAAAGGGAACTGGTCAGGAAATAGACAAGTAATGAATTTGAATACTTCTGAGATTCCGGAAATTTAAAAGCAGGGTCTTCAAATATATGCATTAAGGTAGATCATGAGCAATTATTTCATTTCTGGAAATTGCTCAAAGCCTTTTGTAGAAACAGACAACTAAGTCCATTTTCTGCCTTTGAATAATGCTACATACTATTAGAAACTTGGGGCAAATTTAAAGAAATTAATCCCGAAATCATGAAAAAAATGTATATCATGCTTAAAATATACATTCATTTTCTTTTCAAAGGTAGCATTTTTTTTTTTTTTTTTTTGAGACGGAGTCTAGCACTGTCATCCAGGCTGGAGTGCAATGGTGCGATCTCGGCTCACTGCAACCTCCAACCTCCAATCTCCTGGGTTCACACAATTCTCCTGTCTCAGCCTCCAGAGTAGCTGGGATTACAGGCACACACCACCACACCTGGCTAATTTTTTGTATTTTTAGTAGAGATGGGGTTTCACTATGTTGGCCAGACTGGTCTCTAACTCCTGACCACGTGATCTGCCTGCCTCGGCCTCCCAAAGTGCTGGGATTACATGAGCCACCATGCCTGGCCTAAAGGTAGCATTCTACAAATTACTTTCTGTAAGGTAAATGAAAAATGATTCTTGAAATGTTTTTAAACTGACTATATCATTTTAACTTTCAGAAGTGCATCTGATATTTTTGGTTTGTGTACGCTCTACTTCAGGAGGAATCTATAGGCTGGGAGCAGTCATTAATTTCAATGACTATATTGATTTTTTGATATATGTCATTAAATAATATAAAAACTAAGTAAAAAATGTTGTGGTGGGTACACAGCAAATAGATCTTCATTTTGCCATTCTTGATTTTTAGGGATCTTAGGGTCTTATATTTCTCATAAGTAAATCAAATTATTAAGACCTTTAAAGTATAATTATTCAAAGTAGTAAAAACAAAATAATTAGATTGTGGTTATGTCATTTTTTGGTCTTGGCATTTGGAAAAATCATTCCCAGGACTACTTATTTTTAAAAGAACACAAATGTTTCTATTCCAAATCCAAAAATATGGGCATAAGTCTTTCAGAAAATAAATCACTCAACTAGCACAATTTATAACCCAATATTTGGGAGTGGACTTCTGGTATAAAATTATATAAACTCTAGCTACCACTACTTTACAATTGTGCAAAACTGGATTTACTTTCCTTTAGGTACATCCTTGCCCAAAAAACCTCCCACAGGGAGGCAGTGTGGTCTAGAGAATGAAATACCCGTTTGTACTTTGAGTTTTGCCACTGTCTTCTGTATGATTACCTTCAAAATTTGTGTTATTTTAAAAAGTCTCCTTTAGTCATTCTCACCAAAAAGGCACCCTTTGCTTACATGTAAAACTCATCTATTTTGGTTAATCAGGTTAGTCTTTTAATTAAAGATATGCTTGCAGAAGAGATGAGGAAAAATTTTTTATCCATGCATTAACCAGTGCCTGGCAAAGCTTCAATAAGGAACACAGCATGTACTTGCATCCCAGGTGATACTTTGCCCCAAGCACCTTGTTACTTCTCAAATGTGTCATGGTTCCTTACATAACAGGCTTGTTAGAGATAGGTAAAGGAATTTTGGGCACTATTATTTGTTCGAACATATTCTTCTAAGCCTATTGAGTTGCAGACACTGTGCTAGATGCCAAGGACAAAGGGGTGGAAGACGGAGTCTGATTCAAGGAGTTCACAAAGTAAAAGGCCAGAAAAGACAACCTTGAGGAGAAGAACACAGCATATTAGGTCTACACTGGCACTGAGAAGGGGCTCTTGAAAAGGTGAGGAGAGGACAGAGTTTTCTGGAGCCATAAAACAAGCATACGTAATTACAGTTAGATAGGAATAAATGTCAAGAGATCTACTCTACAGCAAGGTGACTATAGTTAATGATGATCTTTTATACTCTTGAAAAATATAAAAAGAGTGGATTTTCTGTGCTTTCACCACAAAAATGATAACTATGTGAGGTAATACGTTTGTTAATGAGCTAGTTAACCATTCCACAGTGTATATATACTCCAAAATATCATGTTGTACATGATAAAAAATGTACAACATTATCTGTCAATTTAAAACAATTAAACTGTGCATGCAAAAGACACACAGAGCACTGTTTTCTGGGTGCTGCACACTTGGGAAATGTGTGTGGGTTAGTACTGATGCTGTGACAGGTGTTGACAGGGAACTGGCAGGAAATTAGTTTAAACCTTTTGCAAGGATAATAGTCATCAAAAGATTTTAAGCAAGAGCAGGGTATGATTATATTTGAGTTTTTGAATAGCTCTGCCTGCTGAAACCAAGCTAAGAGGAGGGGAGAGAGCTGAGAGGTTACTACATAAATCCATGTGAAAACTAGTAACAGCCACAACTATGGTACTGGAAGTAAGGATATAGAAAAAGGATATATTCACAAATACTTTTGAGGCAGAATCTCAAATGTCTCATAACTAGTTGAGTATGTGGTCAAGTAAGAGTGAGGAGTACAGGGTGATTCTTCAGATTCTGGTGTCAGTGGTGGGGTGGCATTATGCCATCCAAGGCATAAAGTAGGTATCTGTAAAAGGAGGCATTATGTGTGGTTGATAAATGATGGTGAACTAAGTCTGAGGTGTTTGGAGCTCTAGAAATGCTCAATGAGGCCAGGCACGGTGGCTCAAGCCTGTAATCCCAGCACTTTGGGAGGCTGAGGCGGGCGGATCACGAGGTCAGGAGATCAAGACCATCCTGGCTAACATGGTGAAACCCCGTCTCTACTAAAAATACAAAAAATTAGCCAGGCATGGTGGCAGGTGCCTGTAGTCCCAGCTACTCGGGAGGCGGAGGCAGGAGAATGGCATGAACCTGGGAGGTGGAGCTTGCAGTGAGCTGAGATTGCGTCACTGCACTCCAGCCTGGGCGACAGAGTGAGACTCTGTCTCAAAAAAAAAACAAAAAACAAATAACAAAACAGAAATGCTCAATGAATGTTCACTCTTTTCTCCTGTTTCCTGACCCCCCGCCCTAGAATATTTGTAGTTGTCTAGTAGGCATTAAATATGTGATTCTGGAAATAGGTCTGTAATTAGTCAACATTTAGATGATTGTTTCAGCTACTAGATGGATACAATTTCCAATGGAAATGTATGTATAATTTAAAAAGAGGACACAAAGGAGTTAACTCTGGAGCAAGTCAACATAAAAAAAAGCTGTGTAATTATTAAAATGTTTTGTCTTGTTACATTTCTAACTTCATATTTCAGGTGGATGAAAGATTGGATGGTAGATTTTGACTTGATAAACATTCCAACAGCTCTGTGAAAACCAGTGAGAACAACTGTTTTTCACTCAGTGGGGTTCTTTAATGATGTCATTTTGTGATAAATTGTTTTTATAGCAATACAAAGAAAAGGGAAACTAAATTCCTGACTTTTATTGGTTCTAAAATTGTACCTACTGATAAGCTCAGATTCTGAATTGATGCAACTTGTAGAGTGTGGTTATAATATTTATGGCAGAACATATATTTACTTGATATCTCTTGTGTATCTGGATGGATTCTCTACCATTCTGGAGAGATTAGGTAATATTTGTGGTTGTTCTTTTTTTTACTTTTTTGTTTGTTCAATTAAATACTCAACATAGAATTATTTGTAAAGCTTTTTTTTTTTTCTATTCTGGTGTATTAGTCTATTCTTGCATTACTTAAAGGAATACCTGAGATTGACTAACTTATAAAGAAAAGAGGTTTAATTGGCTCACAATTCTGCAGGCTGTACAGGAAGCATAGCATCTGCTTCTGGGGAGGCCTCAGAGAGCTTTTATTCATGGTGGAAGGCAAAGCAGGAGCAGGTGTCTTACATGGCAGGAGCAAGAAAGAGCAAGGGGGGAGGTGCCACATACTTTTAAATGACCAAATCCTATGAGAATGCACTCGCTATCATGAGGGCAGTACCATAGGGGATGGTGCTAAACTATTCATGAGAAACTGCCCCCACGATACAATCACCCCTTACTCAGACCCCACCTCTAATGCTGGGAACCACAATTTGCATGAGATTTGGTGGGGACACAGCTCCAAACCATATCATTCTGCCCTGACCCCCTAAATCACATGACCTTCTCACATTGCAGAATACAGTTATGTCTTCCCAACACTTCCCAAAATCTTAACTTGTTCCAGCATTAATTCAAAAGTCCAAAGTCTCATCTGAGACAAGACAAGTCCCTTTCACCTATGAGTCTGCAAAGTAAAAAACAAGTTATTTCCAAGATACAATAGAAATACAAGCATTGAGTAACGATTTCCATTCCAAAATGGAGTAATCAACCAAAAGAAAGGAGCTACAGGTCCCATGCAAGTCCAAAATCTAGCAGGGCAGTCATTAAATCTTAAAGCTTTAAAATAATCTCCTTTGACTACAGGTTCCAGATCCTGGGCACACTGGTGCAATGAGTGGGCTCCCAAGGCCTTGGGTGGCTCCAACCCTGTGGCTTTTCAGGGTTCAGCACCCCTGTGGCTACTCTCAAAGGCTGGCATTGAATGCTTGTGGCTTTTTCAGGTGCAGGGTGCAAACTGTTGGTGGAGCTATTATTCTGGGATCTGGAGGATGGTGGCCCTCTTCTCATAGCTCCACTATGAGGCAGTGTGCAGTGGAGAATCTGTGTGGGGCTCCAGTCTCACATTTCCACTCTGCACTGCCCTAGTAGAGGTTCTCCATGAGGGCTCCACCCCTGCAGCAGGCTTCTTCCTGGATATCCAGGCATTTCCGTACATCTTCTGAAATCTAGGCAGAGGCTTCTAAGCCTCAACTCTTGCATTCTATATACCTGCAGGCTTAACACCACTTGAAAGCCATCAAGGCTTACAGCTTGCACTTCTGAAGCAGTGGTCTGAGCTGTACCTGGGGCCCTTTGAGCCATGGCTGGAGCTGGAACAGCTGGGATACAGGAAGCAGTGTCCCAAGGCTACACAGGGTAGTGGGGCCCTGGGACTGGCTTATAAAATGAGTCAGTCCTCCTAGACCTCTGGGCCTGTGATGGGAGGGGCTGCCTGAAAGGTCTCTGAAATGCTTCTGAGGCTATCTCCCCATTGTTTCAGCTATTAGCATTTAGCTCCTTTTTACTCATGCAAATTTCTGCAGCCTTCTTGAATTGCTCTTCGGAACGTGGGCTTTTCTACTACAAGGCCAGGCTGCAAATTTTCCAAACTTTTATGCTCTGTTTCTCCTTTAAATATAAGTTTCAGCTTTAGGTCATGTCTTTGTTCATGCATATGAGCATAGGTTGTTAGAAGTAGCCAGGACACATCTTGAATGCTTTGCTGCTTAGAAATTTCTTTTGCCAGATAAATCATTCTCAAGTTCAAAGTTCCACAGATCCCTAAGGCAGGGGCACAATCCAGCCAAGTTCTTTGCTAAGGCATAACCCATGTGACCTTTACTCCAGTTCCTAATAAGTTCCTCATTTTCATGTGAGAACTCATCAGCCAGACCTTCACTGTTCATATCACTACCAGAATTTTGGCCATAATTCAACCAGTCTGCAGGAAGTTCCAGACTTCCCTCATTTTGCTCTCTTCTCCTGAGCCCTCCACACACTTTCAACTTCTGCCCATTACCAGGTTCCAAAGTGGCTTCCACATTTTCAGGTATCTTTGTAGCAATGCCCCACTCCTTGATACCAATTCTCTATATTAGCCCATTCTCACATTGCTATAAAGAAATATCTGAGACTGGGTAATTTATGAAGAAAAGAAATTTAATTAGCTTATGGTTCTGCAGGCTGTACAGCAAGCATAGTGTCATCTGCTTTTCTGGAGGTCTCAGGGAGCTTGTACTCATGATGAAAAGCACAGAGAAAGCAGGCAAGTTACATGGCAGGAGCAGGAGCAAGAGAGAGAGTGGCAGAGGGAGGTGCCACACACTTTTAAATGACCAGATTTCATGAAACTCACTCACTATGGTGAGAATAGTACAACGGGGGATGGTGCTAAACCATTCATGAGAAACTGTATCCATGATTCAATCACCCCCACACCAGGCCCCACCTTCAACACTGGGGACCAAAATTTGATGAGATTTGGTGGGAACACAGATCCAAAGCGTATCATCTGGTTGTCTTCATTGTCAAACCAAGAAGGTCACCTCTAGCCAATTGCGTTCTGAGCTGTCCAGGATTTGAACTGCTGGAAATCCTATGATGAGTACTGACTGCATGTAGACATCTCTCTGTCTTGCCTCTTTCTCTTCTTCTTTTCTGCATGAAAACAAAATTTTACGGTAGCTCATCCTCCTCACTCAGGCCTCCACCCCAAACCGTTATGTATCTAAGGAAGCATTCAGGTTGTTGACTCTTAGCTAATCTAACAAATAAATCTATGCTAATATATTCATGGCTAGGAAATAGAACTTCTGTGTTCTCTATACATATCAGCAGAACAAGTTAGTAGAGGTAGTAGTATTTTAGACACAGTGGGCTTTTTTGTCTCTATCAGTAGGATGATTTTACAGGTAGAGATGTCAGGAAATGTTGTAAACCATGGCAGCAGGACTATATAGATACGTAGCTGATTAATTTGTTTAAGCAAAAACTTGGACATTTCTCAAGTCATTCTTGTATTAAGAAAATCAAATCAGAACTTCACAAACCAAGCCTGCTATGAGTCAAAACACAGAAAACAAAATTTGACCTATAAATATATGTTGAGGAAATAAAACTTATGGTGAATCTTACTTGTTTCATTCCATAACATGCTCACTCATATTGCTCCAACTACATTAGCTTCCTTCTGTTTCTTGTGTACAAAAAAGACATTCCTTTCCTCAAAGCCTTCCATTTACTGTTATATCAGCCTGAATGTTTTTCCTTCTAGAGGCCTATGTGGTTCATTCCCTTAATTCCTTCTCAGATTTGACTACTCTATCTATAATAGTATCCCTCTCATGATTCTTCATTCCCAAAGGCTATTTTTCTTCATAGCACTTACATATTGAATATATACTGTTCAATAATTATATTGAATATATACTGTTCAATAATTATATTGAATATATACTGTTCAATAATTATATTGAATATATACTGTTCAATAATTATATTGAATATATACTGTTCAATAATTATATTGAATATATACTGTTCAATAATTATATTGAATATATACTGTTCAATAATTATATTGAATATATACTGTTCAATAATTATATTGAATATTACAAGCTCCTGTCTCTTACAAGCTCCTTCAGGTCAGGAATTTGCTTTCCTGTTATTTATCCAAAGCCCAATTCAATGTTTACTACACAGTAGGTACTTAATAAATAATTTTGAATAAATGTATGGCAGTGTTAAGCATAGAACCCAGGTCTTTGGAGTCCTAATCCCGTATTCTTTTCACGGTATACCACAGTTTTCATATGGTTTAATGCTCATCTCTTGAAATTGTTGTGTCCTCTGTCCTTGCCCTACATATAAATACTTCATACCTACACCAGCAAAAATGTACTTACAAATCCCCTTTTGGGGAAATTTTCTTGGCTGGTGGTTTTCATTCTTTAGGGCACATTAGAATCAACTGGGAATCCTAATAGTACAGATTTGCAGGCCTTAAGTCACTGCTCTTGATTTAGTAGGCTTGAGGCAGTCTGATAAGCTGCATTTTAACAACACTGTAGGAGATTCTGAAACTACTGGTTGTGTGACCACATTTTAAGATTTGGCCTATAAATGTATGTTGTAATATAACCCAAACAGAAACAGCTCTAGGCTTGAGAGGACATTTTCATTGCAGCCTGGGGGTGATCACTCTCATCCCAGCTTTGATCTCCAGTGTTACATCCAGACAGTAGTTCATTTGAATAAACTAGGCTTTGGTGAAATAACAGGAAAGCAGATTCCTGACCTCAAGGAGCTTGTAAGAGAGACAGGAGCTTGTAACATTCAATATAATTATTGAATGTTATATATTCAGTATAATTATTGAATGTTATATATTCAGTATACTTATTGAATGTTATATATTCAGTATAATTATTGAATGTCATATATTCAATATAATTATTGAATGTTATATATTCAATATATGAGGAAAACAGCAGATTCCCTCAGGCTCCATTAAAGCCCCTTCTTTTACGTTCTTACCATTGGACAGTCTTTAGACTTCACACAATCTGCAAATTCCGTGTTAGTTCTGCCACAGAATCCATATAGCATCGCTACTGCTCTGGTCATTGGCAGGATAAAACCGAAGAAAACTGATTGTGAGGAGGGGAGAATGGAGAGTATTGGAAATACAGTATATTGGCATGTGTATGTCAGTCTGAATGTAACACTGGAGGTCAAAGCTGGAATGGGAGTGATCATCCTCAGGCTGTGAGGAAAAAGTTGTCTCAAGCCTAGAGCTGTTTCTATCCTTAGCTCTACCTAATGAAGAATGGAGACTTAAAAAAGAAAGGCATAATCACCGTGGGTTATATTACTAAGATTGCAATTGTCATTTCAATGGCTAACTGTAAGAGAGAAAGGCTATACAAAGGTATAGAGGGACAATGAGAGAGGTCATGGTCATACAAATTTCCAAATCCATGACCATTTATCTGATAGTCATGAGATTTTCAAGAATGGAAGCATATAGTTGACTTCGAAAAAGGAGGGCATTGGGACTCACCTCTTAGGGTTGTTTTATAGATCAAGCAAGATCCTGTGTATAAAACACTTAGCAAAGTACCTGGAAAATAATAATCACAGTAAGTGATAGTTATTTATACATGTGGTATTATTATTAATACATGTGATTAGGTAGGGAATCTCCATGTTTCATTCTACCTCATGAATTTCCCAAATTTTTACAACCTATGGTGAAGAAATAAGGTTTACACAACATATGTGAAGTGTGTTGACATCTTCAGAAAAACAAAGAAAAAAATCACAAAACACTCACCTAAATGATAGTATATACAATTTCATCATCGTTATTTAGGAGTTCATCATGTACTTCTAACCATTTTTCTAAAGACTTAAACTCAAGTAATATCCAAAATGTACTTGGCTAAATGCCTCATTTTTGAAGTTGCGTGTTTGGAAGAAAACTTATTCCACATGTTATTAATTATTTTATACATAATTAAGGACTTCCAACCAGTTAAAAGAATTTCCAAGATTTATTTTCTTTTAGAAATTGAAGTTGCCTTTGGTTTAGTTTTGACTTGAAATACTAACCATGTCAGCTCTATTCAGGCAGTCAGGAACACTGTTTGTGTTTTTTTTGATCACCAGTGTATTCTCAATAATCAGCACAGAGTGTGGCAAATAGTAGATGCTCAATATTTATTAAATAAGTGAACCATTACATGTTTTTTTTGTGATCCTAGTAAGTACTTGTATTCAAAGGTACTGACTCAAATTTTTTGTGATCCTAGTAAGTACTTGTATTCAAAGGTACTGACTTTTTAAGGAGTGTTTCACTTGTTAGTAAGCTCTATGCAATTACAATGGGTTTATTAGTTTCCTAGGGCTGCTGGAACAAATTACCACAAACTGGTCGCTTAAAATACAGAAATTTATTCTCTTACAGTTTTGGAGGCCAGAAATCCAATATCAAGGTGTCAGCAGGGCTATGCTTTCTCCAAAGGGCCTAAGGGAGAGTCCTTCCTTGCCTCTTCCAGCTTTTGATAGCCCCAGGTGTTCCTTGGCTTGTGACTGCAGAACTCCAGTCTGTGCTGCTCTTTTCACAAGGCCTTCTCCTTTCTGTGTCTTACCCTTTTCTGTCACTTACCATTGGATTGCAGGGCTCACTTGGATAACCTCAGGTGAGATTCCTAAAATTCTTAATTATATTTGTTAAAATCCCTTTCTAAATGAGGTCAAATTCACAGGTTCTGGGATGTGGATTTATCTTTTGGAGATCCACTATTCAACCCACTCCAATGGGTTAATGGAAAATTTCAACATTTATAGTGGGGTCTTATTTCCCAGACTGGTTTCCTAACTACCTCTCCATACACAGAATTTCTGAAGTTTTTGTAGTTGAGAAGTTTGAGGATGTTGGTTTGTGTCTAGGTCTAATTTAGAATGGAAGATGGGAGAAAAACAAATCAACATTTCACCTATAGATGGAAAAATATAGTGAATGTTGAAAACTGGTGGGTGGAGAGAGGAAGTTAAGTAAGTGCTCAAGAAGTAATGTTACACCCAACCTGATGATGTGTGCATGATATGTTAGGGGTGGGTATTTGATACATAGTGATTCGAGTGATGACAAATGCAAAAGAATAGTGGTTATGACGGTATAAAGAGGGCCATTTTGCAATAATCTTAGCATTTCACCCTTTGAGAGGGAAAAGTGGTTGTGTACCGAATTGATAAGTCATAAATACAAGGCCAGAGACTCCCAGGATCAACAGTTTGAAATGAAAGCCTCATGAAGAATACTAATCAGGAAAGAGACCTGGGGTAGATTGTGCCTTCTACACTGAAACCATCTGCATTTGATTTGGCAGTAGTAAAATGCAAGGTCTTGGAATGTATACATAACAAAAGAAATAGTACATCAGTGGTAAGTTTTTCCAGTGTAAAATAAGAAGCCAGTGAGAACACATTCAGAAATATTGTAATTCTGGCCAGCATTTTATTGAGAGGAAATTGTGGAAATTGAAAATGTTCAGCAGGTGGCAACTGCAGTGCTCTTTTTTTTTTTCTTTCTTTTTTTTTTTTTTTTTTGCTGAGCAAGGGTAAAACTTTTGCTGAAAAATAAGTCAGTATTGCTTCAGTGAAATGATTCTTAGAGAGAATTGTGGGAAGTCATGGAGTAAAAAAATATCCTGAAAGGGGAAGAACACACACTGAATAGGTTAGAAATACAACTATAGCACCACGGGAAGACCTTGATGAATAAATCACTCAGCGTGCTGGTGAAGAACCCAGTAGTAATTGGAATAAAGTTCCTTTTGTTCTAAGGCTTACTCATTGAAATGAGATTTTAATGCCTGGCCTCTTATGAAAAATAAAATAACAAAAATTTATCACATCCATTAGTAGCCAAGCCATACACAAATGTGTTTGTAAAAATAGAAAGCACCTGCAACTTCGGGAGTTAAAAAAGTGAATTTATATTTGGGAACTTGAGGGAAAATTATAAATCTAGCTTTTCCTATCACTGGAAATTTCTTTTGGTGAGTTCATTATTCCACTCAGGCAGTTGAAGTCAAATAGTGAGAATAGTAAATAAAGATATTGGGAATTTATACAGAAATGGAGGTACATAGTTGCTGTGTGAATATACTTGCTTATATGCAAATAAAATAGGTTTTGCTGTTTGATATGATGTACTTTTAAAATGACCGAGATAAAAATATCCCTACAGCTTTACTTGCCATTTGTGCCTTTCGGGTTCCCTTATTTTTCTTTTAATATTATATCACCAGCTTCCTTTTTCCCATTTCCCTAACACTGGCTAGATATATCCAGGCTTCTCTCCATTCTGATAGCATCCATATTATCAGTCTGATTTTCCCACAAGTATTTAGGCTTGCTTGGAATTTAATATTTAAAAAGAAACAAATATTATATACAGTACTGTACTCTCTTATCTTCAAGGAATACGTTGCAAGACCCTTAATTAATGCTTGAAACTGCAGATAGCAAGGAACCCTATATATATTATTTTTTCTTATACATACATAGATACAGTAAAGTTATAAATTAGACAGAGTAAGAGATTAACAACAATAGTAAAATAGAACAATTATAACAATATACGGTAATAAAAGTTATGTTAATGTGGTCTCTCCCTCTCTTTCTCTCAAAATATCTTAATTTTTTTTGGACTAAGGTTGACCACAGGTAACTGAAACCACAAAAAGCAGAACGGTGGATAAGGGAAGAAACTGTGTATACAATTTGAGAAATCCATCCTTGACTGCTAAAAAAAATATAATCATCCCATTACATTTTTTGTTTTAATTAATACTGTGAAAATAAGTTTTTGATTATATCCCCATAAAGAGCAAATTAACCTATTCCTCAAATGTCCTTTTCTCTTTCAAATTTCCTACCACCTATTTTCCAATGTAATTTATGACTTTGAACATGTATTTATCAATTTTCAAACTCCCAGAGCAGTGGTCCATTCAGAGGGCGGCGCAAAGCTTTGAGAGAGTGCACAGTAATTAGTTGGGGAATAGGAAGAAAGAAATATTATTTATATGTATTTTTATGTAAAAGATCAAGAAAGAAATTGTAATCTAATATACTATTTAATATATGAATTGATAACATATATGTACTTTATAAATATACATATAATGCATATTCTTGTTAGAAAATTCTATAAGTGTTCTAAAGTACATTTCCTCTTTACATTTTTTTGGAATTAAACTTTTGACTTCAAAATAATTTTTAAAAGTAAAGAATTGATTCAATAATACCCCAGAACTCTGATCTTAAGTGTTTCTCACATGTATTTTTCTTCCTGAAGGTTTTCTTTTTTTGACATTTACAAAATAAACATACTACACTTCTAGGTCTCTGAGCTATTTGTCAGAATTTATTCTTTTTGCAATACTGGGTGGTGATCAAGAGTGCCTAGAGGTCTTATAAAGACCCCTGAAATATTGCTAAATACTAACATGCTGAAACAATGATCGATTTTTACCTCTACATCTGTTTTGAAGATTTGGTCTATTATATTTCTTTCTCCTTCTTTATGTATTTTTCTTTTTTCCTAATTACTGCATTAAAACACACATTCATTTGAAATTTCCTCTTTGAGTACAATTGTTTTAGGTTAGCTGAAATGCAGTAACTTCCCAAATCTTTGTTTTAGCAGGAGGTTCCAATTTTGTGGAGTCTTTTTTTTTTTTTTTTTTGGGGAAAGGGTGGGATTTCTAGTGTCAAAGTTATGAATGATAAGATTTGCTTCAATAGGTAAATTCTCTTCTCCTGTAATGTCACTGGTATTTCTGCTATCATGGTTTGTCTTTCTGCAGCAGTTTCTCAGTATCTGCTTACAACATAAATTTTAGGTTTTAGCCTATATAAAATAAAACATTTATTAGCTATCAAAAAGATAACAGTGGTGGTGTGGTCATAGTGTTAGAATTTTTTCTTACTGTTTTTTCTGCTCTTATAACTTTCTTAGCCTTTCTTACAAAAAGAAAACCCCTCCTCTAAAATGTTTGAGTCCTTCATTTGTCCTTATTTAATTAAAAATAATTATTGAGCATATACTACATTCCAGGCACCATGCTAAAACATGGAGCACGGGCCAGTCATCAAAACAGACCCAAACTTTGCTGTTCAAGGAACTTACAGTCTATTGAACAATGCGAACAGTAAAGAAGTCATTGCATTATTAACAAATATTGTAAATGAACTTCAAGGTGCTGAGTGTCTTTTAAAAATTATTTCTCCTAATGCTATCCCTCCCCTATCCCCCACCCCCCAACAGGCCACAGTGTGTGATGTTCCCCTCCCTGTGTCCATGTGTTCTCATTGTTCAACTCCCACTTGTGAGTGACAACATGTGGTATTTGGTTTTCTGTTCCTGTGTTAGTTTGCTGAGAATTATGGTTTCCAGCTTCATCCATGTTCCTGCAAAGGACATGAACTCGTCCTTTTTATGGCTGCATAGTATTCCATGGTGTATATGTGTCACATTTTCTTTATGCAATCTATCATTGATGGGCATTTGGGTTGGTTCCAAGTCTTTGCTATTGTGAATAGTGCTGCAATAAACATACATGTGCATGTGTCTTGATAGTAGAGTGATTTATAATCCTTTGGGTATATACCCAGTAATGGCATTGCGGTGTCAAATGGTATTTCTGGTTCTAGATCCTTGAGGAATCACCACACTGTCTTCTGCAATGGTTGAACTAATTTACACTCCCACCAACAGTGTAAAAGCATTCCTATTTGTCCATATCCTCTCTAGCATCTGTTGTTTCCTGACTTTTTAATGATCACCATTCTAACTGGCATGAGATAGTATCTCATTGTGGTTTTGATTTGCATTTCTCTAATGACCAGCATTAGGAAAAATAGCTAATGTAGATGACAGGTTGATGGGTACAGCAGACCACCATGGTACGTGTATACCTATGTAACAAACCTGCATGTTCTGCATGTGTATCCCAGAGCTTGAAGTTTAATTAAAAAAATAAATAAATACTTATTTTAAAAAGGCATTCTATAATCACATTTCCAGTGGAAGGGGGTCAAGAATGTCTCTGGGACCTTTTTCTCCCACTCTGTTTCAGACCACACACTCCTGCTTTCCCTGTTCACACAAGCAAGACAATGATGAAGATGAACAAAAGCACAGCTCATTTCCCTGTGGTTCTTTAAATCTGATTTGTATCCAGAGCTAAACATTGGGGGTTAATTTTTGATTATTTTAAAGCAATTTTGCAGGTGTAAATTGTTTTCACTAGAAATGTCAAAACTGTTGACCACTTTTCTTCATAGTTTCGATTCGAAAGTTTCATTGACCCAATCTGTTGTTACCAATTGCCTGAGGCCAAGTACAGGGACAAAGGTGATTTGGATGCATAAGTCCTAGATATGATCTTGTGTTTTGGCATAACAATACAAAGTTAAACCTTGATAGCTTCTGGAGATAAATAATGTTTGTAAAGTAAATCTTTTGTGAAGTAGATATTTTGCACATATTAATAATATGTGTGATGCTCTACCTGTAATTTTTCTGGTAGGCTGATTATCTTACATAATCAATGTAGATGATTTTACAGCTCTCAAAACAGAATTCTTTTATTTTAACTCACTTCCTTACGCACACACGGTCGGGGTCGGGGCATATATGTGTGATTAAATGTATCCTTGCAGAACCTTAGAACTATACTCTTTTACATCTGAGACAGAAATAGTATTAATATCAGAAATGCTTGCTTTCTGAATGTATAGATTATGTATTAGAAATTTTGTTCCCTAATGTATCCTTATGAATGAAAAAGAATGAATTAGGCAATCCTGACCATGGTCTTCTTTGTTTTGATTTATCATTTATATATGGATCAGTCATATTTTCATATTGCATAAATATGTTTAGCAACTATAGTAGAAACCAATTCTACTAGTTATAGATAGCTGCAAAAAAAGGTGGAAAAACAGAGCCAGAGATAAATGGAACAAATGGGCAGCACAATCTGGAGCAGAATTCTAGGCTTCCTCTTCTCCACTTTGTCTTAATTGCTAGGGCCATATTGCTTCTCTCAACCACAGAAGAACTAGGACAATATTATAGAAATCTGGTTGCAAAAGATTAGGGAATAACCCTTCAATAAATTTCAAAAAGAAAGTTTTACAAACTCTCTTAGATTGTTTTACATCATCATTTTTCTATGTTCTGTGGTTTCTTTGTTCAAACAAATTTAGGAAACAATGCCTTATATAAAATTAAGAAGGTTTCTTTACTGTCGGACTCCTCAGAATCTTTAAAGTTTTAATATGCCTCATAAGTAACTAGAGGAAAAAAAGCATGTTGCATTTTTATTTTATCCAAGAGCCATTTTTTGAGGGTTCCATATTCATATTTCATGAAAAACAATTTAGAATAAAATATTTATGACAGTAGTTTGCATTGTGTGCCTTTCCATTTGGTATAACATTTGTACATTTTGGGATTACTTCAAAATGTAATCATAGCAAAGTGTTGTCATATCTGTGAGTGAAGATTCTAAGTAAAACATGGAGAAAAGAGATTTACAAGGAAAGAGATTTTCCTTGAGTGCCTTTAAGGCCAAAAAATAACCAGATTTGGTTGGGAGCAAATGGAAAAAGCTACTTTTGTGCTGCAATTACTGCCAGAAGAGTTATTTCATAAGGAGAGATGAATGAACATAAAAGAGATTGCCCTCAGATATGGGAGAAGTGAGAGGAAACATGGAAAACCACATAAACAAGGCTTCATATTGTGGCCTTAAAATATTTTCTACCTACCTCTAATATTGAGTCATTAAGTATCAAGGATTAGGGGGCAGTGTGATGATGGAGCGGCAATGGTGATAAAATGGCACATAGGAGGGTGAGGGCAGCATGTCCTGAACATGGAACTTCCTCCTACATCATAGGAGCCTTTGGTGAGCCCCACTCTCCCCAGTTTCCCAGTTGAAAGTTTGGGGGTTGAATCCTAGACCTCAGACTCAACCTCATTAATTCCTCCTTCTTGAGTGATTATAGCAATGGTTGAGCTCTGTATCCTCACAATGACTAGGCCCCAGCTCTCATCTGTTTCTCCCTTTAAGGAGGTCAGAAACTACAAAGTCAAAAATAAGATAGTAGTTCTGAAACTTGTTTCTTTTCATTCTTTGGGAATTTATCAACTTATGTGGGCAAGATCTCACAACCACCCACCTTGCAGAAGACTTTCTTTGAAAACTGAAAAAGAAAAAACTGGGCCAGGAGCAGTGGCTCATGCTTGTAATTCCAGCACTTTGGGAGGCCAAGATAGGCAGATCCCCTAAGGTCAGGAGTTCAAGACCAGCCTGACCAATATGGTGAAACCCCGTGTCTACTAAAAATACCAAATTAGCCATGATTGGTGGCAGCCACCTGTAATCCTAGCTGAGGCAGGAGAATCGCTTGAACCAGGGTGGGCAGAAGTTGCAGTGAGCCGAGATCGCGCCATTGCACTCCAGCCTCGGCAACAAGAGCGAAAGTCTGTCTCAAAGAAAAAACAAACAAACAAAAAACCCAGAGAAAACCGAAATTATATTATTCTCTGAAGGCAAGCGTGTGTGTGTGTGTGCATGTGTGCGTGTATGTGTGTGTGAGAAAGAGAGAGATCCACTCAATTTAAAATATGTGATTCAGTTGTGGAGATTTAAGTTTTATATTTTTGAATTATATTTCATTTGTGAACCACATCAAATTATTTAATAGAAACTTGTGGCTTAAAAGATATTCATCATCAAAAGCAAACATGTGGGCATAAACCAATCATTTGGCTTTCAATTTGATATAGCCCATGATTTCTTCAGGTGAACAAGAATGGAATTTGAATGAGACCCAGAAAAGGTCAAAGTCCATAGAAGGATTGCTTTGACTCTCTCAAACACTGCACAGACCTGGGTTAACATTGGAGATCTAAAGAAGTGCATGAAAGCAGAGACACAGATGTTGACCAGACCTGTGAACCAGGCCCACTTTGCTTGTATTATGCACAATGACCTCTTTTCCTGAGGATCAGACTGCAAATGGAAATTGCAAGCAGCACTTTGATACCTAACAAGTGCTGAGCTCTAGGTGATGCCCTGTAATATGGTCTGGCTGTGTCCCCACCCAAATCTCATCTTGTAGTTCCCATAATGTCCATGCGTTGTGTGAAGGACCTGGTAGGAGGTAATTGAATCATGGGGCAGTTACTCCCATGCTGCTGTTCTCATGATAGTGAGTTCTCATGAAATCTGATGGTTTTATAAGGGGCTTTTCCCGCTTTTGCTCAGCACTTCTCCTTGCTGCTGCCATGTGAAGAAGAATGTGTTTACTTCCTTTTCCACCACTATTGTAAGTTTCCTGAGGCCTCCCCAGCTATGCAGAACTGTGAGTCAAGTAAACCTCTTTCCTTTATAAATTACCCAGTGTCAAGCAGTTCTTTATAGCAGCATGAGAACAGACTAATACACCCTGATTTCCTTGTTGGACATGAGCTTGCTGCATTTCACTAGTACATCTCAGCAGTAGGTTAAAGACATTTGAAGTCGTCTTTCTTCCACTGGTGTCCTCTCTTGCATAGTTAAATATAAACCAGCCAACAAAACAACTCACTTATGCAGTTTAACCTCTACCTCCTTTTAGAAAATTCATATAACAATCACATTTAGATGGTTCCACCTGCTACTTTTGTCTTACAACTTTAGATTTGCTTTAATTTCTGGTTGGCATGTAACCTCTCTGATGAATGTTTAATGATTTATAAGCCACTTAAAAATGCCATGTAAAGGTGTTTTCTGATTCCTTTATAATGTGAGAAATCCTTTTATAGCGAGCAAATTTTACTCTATTTTTATTTGCTAATAAGATGTTGGGAAAAATTTTTTTATATGAGACATTTTTAATTTCTGGTAGTCAGAAGGTGAAAACACATCATTTTCTTTCATCTTTGAATCTCTCTGTCATGTATTTCACCCAATAACTAGGCAAAAACTTTAAAAAGGGCTTTAGTGGTTTCATAAAGATTTGACTTGAACATCATTACAAAAGTGAATTTTAACAAAATTAAAAAATCAGAATGCACACACAACATGTGAAGTACCAAAGTTTAGCATAATGAAAGCCACTGACACATTAATCAGTATGATTTTACTGATCAACTAACAGTAAGTCTTATAAAAATAAAAAATTATAAAATAACTGTATATTCAAAAGTATTCCTTTCATCTGTTTTCTATATTGGAGTCCTCATAAATTTCTATTGAAAAGGGGTTTTTTCTCAAATAAATTAAAAATCATTAAAGTTTAAAATTAGAGAAAAATACCTGATTTTAGGGAAGCAGTTTTGCTAAGTGGCTGAAGTGGTGCATCCCTACCTGCCTGCCTGCCTCTCTCAGACCCAATTCTAGACCCAACTTGCTCCACTGTACTGAAGTGATTTGGAAGAACCAAAAATGAGGAAGACTTGCCTCATTTGAGCTCTATTCTGAGGGTTTACTGCCTTTGGCAAAATATTCAATTCACCTGATTCCTAAAATGTTTGACTGAAAGAGTCTGTAATTGTAAAGTATTTCTTGAACAAAGACTGATTTTTGAAGGGAGAATGTATATCTACTCCTTTAATCTAAATATGGTATTCTAGAAGAATATAAATAAACTTTTGCCTCACTTTTGATAGAACATACTAACTCAGAAAGTTTAATAACACTTTCAGTCTCTGAAATGGAATAACCTTATTTGGTAACTAGGACTTTTCTATGCAATGTCTAGGAATAATGTCTAGGAAAGGCATAGTGACTAAAGCCACTACTCTATTCCTCTTGGGGAGAGAGTATCAAAGCGAAGAATCTTCTTCAGAATTGCCTTGAAATCAAAAGTGTACAAATAAGAGGGACATGGAGGGTCACCCCATTCTGTTATGATAGCCTCACTTTGTTTTGTTGCTTTTCTCTAACATATATGTTACAAAAGTATGAAATATTTATTTGACATAAATATACTCAAGTAAGGACACTAGACTTCTTTCCTGGAAGAATTACCCTAAAAAGAGAGATCCTTTGGGTATAGAACAAGCTGCTTCACTGATGTGGTAAAGTTGAAGACCAGTGAAAGGTCAACACGAGGGAAAACGTTCTCTCCATCTGCTAAATAAGCCATTCTATTACACTGATTTAAGAAACCAGAAATGTCCTTAAAATCTGTTTTGGGAATCTTTTCCTTTCATCTCCTCTTAGCAACTGACATTTATTACTGTCTTACGGTGCAGGTGAATATAACAAAAACACTCATGTATCCAGGTCAGAGAGAGACTTATAATACAGTTCAGTCCTTACAGGCCGAAATCCCTTGAGACTCAAGAAGAGAGGGAGAGAGAGAGAGAGAGAGAGAGAGAGAGAGACAGAGAGAGACAGACAGACAGACAGACACTCATGCAGGTTTTCTCTGGAATGCCGAAGGTGCACCTAGCCTACTTCTTGTCATTCTTCTCATTAACAATTGTTTAGTGAGAAGTAGAGGTAAATACCACTTAATTGCTTGCAGACACTCAGGGTATGGAAAGCTATCCCTGGCAGGAAAAAGAGCCAATTGCATCAGCTTTCATCTGTGCTGTAAAATGCGGCAATACAATACATACATGGTTTTGTTAATTGATGGGGCTGTGGTATTAATCTCCTCGAATAGTTTTCTAAATATTCCAAGCTCTTTTGGGTAAATTCCACATAACTTCTTTTGTCTTTGCTTTGATAATATCAAAATAACTCATCCTCTGGGTTTTTCTAAATGCCAAAATGGAATTTCAACAGGGTTGAGATAGGTTCTCCTGTGGGTAAAAGTGTCTTCCATACAAGTGCAGGTCCCTTTCGTTGTGACCTGAGCACTGGGGAGAATGAAGCAGGGGACCCATATAATCAGGATTTGCCTATGTATAGAAGCTGTTAAAGTAATACCATTTTTAATTCAGGAATTTAATGTACACTGAAAATGTCAGCACGTTAATTCTCACACAATAGATAAACATAGTAATCAATTTCCACATATAAACAGAGGAGCTAAAATACAGAGCTATGTTCTTTGCCTGGTATGGCAAAAAAAAAAAAAAAAGTTGAAATTCAGGCCCCAGGCAAAATTTTAAAAGTCACCATCCCTTCAATTCTATCCCCAACATCACCTTATTTGATTCCCCCAAATAATAAGTAAATAAAAAGTCTGGCTACTAATCTCTTTATAACTGTAACCTCAGGTACTGTTTGAGCAATAGTCACATTTCTGAATACAGAGGTTCTTATCAGGAGTTAAATAAAAGGTCAAGACATTTCAAACTCTGGCTATCCCTTGATCTTTCAGAAGGATGAATATGTAAGTATAAATTGCTGGAGAAAATATAAATATCAACCTGGGTTGGGGAGTGGTGATGTGGACCATGGTGGCCAGAAACAAAGAAAGTATGAAAGGGGAAAAGCTTTGGATGTAAGGTTCATTTTTCACTTTCTACAGTGGATCTAGACAAGAGGAGATGGAGGGCAAGGGCACAGGGAAAGGGCTTTTCCAGTAGGTGAAGTGATAAAGACATCAGGATCAGGAAGAATTTTAGATGCAGTGGTGGTAGCAGAGGTAGTGGCGGTAGTGGCAGTGGTGACAGCAGTGATGGTGGTAGCAGCAGTTGGTGATAGCTGTGGTGGCAGTGATGAGGGAGGGGGAGGAGATGGAGGACCATGAGGGCGAGGCAGTGCAAGATACTGCTTTACACAGGGCTGGGCACACAGCCTGCTGGGCTGTTTGTACCACAAAGGCGAGCAAAAGTAAATCGAGGCTTAGGTTGTAGAAATATGCTACAGGTCAAAGTTCTCTACTTTCATGCTTGTGTAAATGGAAGAAAACATTATCTCTAAATTTTGAGACCAAGAATCTTTTGGTAGAGCCAAGGAAGGATAATTTATAAAGAGTTACTCCAGTCCAAGTAAGAAATAAGAATTTGCAAAATGCCCCTGCTCTCATTTTTTTCTATTAGATTAAACGAGGTTCAATATTTGAATTTCTTCCTTTCTTTCATTTTTTTGAGATGGAGTTTTGCACTCTTGTTGCCCAGGCTGGAGTGCAATGGTGTCAACTCGGCTTACTGCAACCTCCGCCTCCTGGGTTCAAGCAATTCTCCTGCCTCAGCCTTCCGAGTAGCGGGTATTACAGGCAACCGCCACCACGCCTGGCTAATTTTTTGTATTTTCTTTTTAGTAGAGATGGGGTTTCACTGTGTTGGCCAGGCTGGTCTTGAACTCCTGACTTCAAGGTGATCCACCTGCCTTGGCCTCCCAAAGTGCTGGGATAACAGGTGTGAGCCACTGCACCTGGCCTGAATTTCTTTATGTAATTGAACACACAATTCTACACAGTTAATTCTCACACAATTTATTTGACACATAGGTCTACCATTTTTTTTTCTATTTTACAGATGAAATGATGTTCAGAGAAGTAGAAGTGACTTACCTAAAGTCAGCTAGTGGCTGATTCAGACTCAGATTCAGTCCCTATGGCTAGGCTAGAATCACCCTAACTATCCTATTACCTTTCATCAATGACCACAGAAACCGCTATTGTTTTCCAGAAGTTAGAACTGTTTTCAGAGGTGCATTGGACATTCTAAGCATTATTCTAAGCTTGGAAAACAAAGTGCTGGAGATTTGTTAAATTAGCACTACAGAGTACAGAGTTTTGAGCAAAGTCGTATTAAAAACTCAATAAACAATATTCTTGCTCAATAAAAGTGCTTGACTTTTTTTTTTTTTCAAAAGTACATATTATGGTCATTAAATGCCATTAAGAGAAACTAGGCTTGTTGAAATGTAAGCAGGGGGCATAGATGATTTAATTTCTTTTGGAATAAAGTTCCGTGCAGATATTGTTTTAGAAGAAGCAAGGGGCACATAAAATGGAAAATAAGAACAGAGAGCAGGTTCAATTAAATACATTTTTACTTGTGAAATAGATTCCCTTAAGTCAGGGCAGCTTCTGAATTCTATATTTGGCGACATTTGGATCATCCAAGTCTCTGATAGAATAAGACTTTCATGGAGGGTCCCTTGCATTTATGGAGAGGCAGCAGTCCTATGTTCATAGATGCTCAGGAAAGCACATTCTCTCCCAATGATGGGCGTGTTTAATATGCACCAGCTTTTGTTCTGCCCAACACTTACTTTTTCCCAGAGCAAAGCAGTTTTATCACATGGGCCTGAGCCTACTAGAATTTCAGCCTGTCATTCTGGGCACTGGCAAGGTCCTGACCATATGTTCAAAAATAAAAAAGATCAAAGAGTTAATAAATAGTGGTCAATATGCGTCTAGTCAGTACAAAAGAAGAAACAAAACAGGGCAGCAGACTTCATTTCAGTGATGGTGCTAGAAAAGAACCAAATTACTACCACACCAGGAATGGCAAGTAATTCTGCAAATGGAGTCCATAAAACATGAAGTCTGCCTGTTTCAAAAGACAAAAGCCAAAAAACAAGCAAAAATTCTACCCTAAAACCAAAAAAACAGTGTTCTTAGATGCATCAGATAACATCTTATGTATTTTTCAGTTTTTATAGTAAGCTTAGTATACTAAGTTTTATACTAAGCAATTTATAACAATCTATTACAAATTGTTTATTTTGAACTCATGCAAGGAATGGGGCAACTCATCTGAACTTTAAGACGTGGAGAATATCAGGACTCTGGTTCAACTTGCTTCATAGGAACAGAGACAGTGTTGACAATTAAGCACAGTATTTTATTTTTTGCTTTATACTTTCTTAAATGTGCCTGAAGCTTCCACCTATAAATGAATAGACTAAGTACATGATTTTCTTAGTCTCTCTTACTGCATTTTTTTAGAGTATAACTGGGATTGGATTATCGGGGAGCACTACAATGCCACAATAATAGACAAGACAGGAGTGACATAAGCAAGATGGAAGAATAGGAAGTCCCAGGCTACACTGCCTTCCACAGAAGCTAGCAACTTACCCACAGACCACAACATCTTTTTGAAAACCCCAATACTTGTAAACAAGCTCAAGACAGCTGTGTGGTCCACAGAACTGAATGAAAACAAACTTAGGAGGATAAAAAGAATAGTCTCACTTTGACTGTGCCACTCATTCTCCTCCTCTAAGTCAGAAAAAATACCAGACAAAGAGGATCGCCCTGGGCTCATGGTTTCTACAGGGGAGAAGAGAACAGGAGGATGTCATCCCAGCTTTCCTAGCATTCCAAGATGCTTCCCAGGAAGCCCATGCCAATCTCACCTCACGGGGAATACTGCAAGTAATGGCATGGCTACACCATCAGAGATGAGGCAGAAACAAAAGAGGCAAAGTTCATGGTGACTAGTGTGTGGGTCTTGGTGGTACCTTTGTGTTCCTGCCAGCTGTGGTGCTCACTTGGAGACACAAGCCCACTGCATAGCTCATTTACAAAGATGAGAAGGTCACTTTCAGAAGTGTGTTGCGAAGTTCAGTCTGGCTTGATTTGGACTTCCCATCAATTGGATGGCCAACTTTGATGCTCAGCCATAAAGCCCACCTCAATTACCCTTCTCAGGCAGGGAAATGCCTTCCCTACCCATTTCAGAGAAGCAGAAAGGTTAGACTTTCTTGACCCAATAGTCTAAAAAGTGATGTGGCTCAGCCAAAAAAGCCAACCAATCACCTATCCAGGAAGGGTTATGCTTACCTCTTGACATTTTGGAGAAGCGTGGTCACTAGACCTGCTCAACCTGGGAGGGTAAAACAGCAGCTTGACCCAGCCAAAAGCCCACCCCATGGCTCCACCCAGACAGGGAGGCAATTCTGAAATATGAGTTTCTAAGGAACATTGCCTCTGCTCTTGCTTGTGCCAAGCAGTTAATCTTCCTAACTTCAGAACCTAGCCTATAGCACCACTCAACTATAGATCTCATGTAGCAGAATCACCTAACCAGAGAACATATTCTGTGGCTAGCCTGACTAGAAGCCATCACAGTATCCAGCTAGCAGCTCTGCCTGATAACAGAGCTCAGTCAGTGATCTCACCAGACAGTGAAGCACAGTCAGCAGCCCCACCAACATCAGAGCAAAGGCAGTGGTCCAGCCAACTAGATAATCCACAACAAGTTCTGCCTGCCCAGGGTTGTCACCAGCTGGCCCTTCCAGAATTATAGGCTAGAACAGATAGTGAAGGTCTGCCCATGCCAGAGAACACTTGTAAAGGCTGGAAGAGGTGGCTGTTTCCTCAAATGCACAGACAACAGTGAAAGGACACAAGACTTATGAAGAATCAGGGACTCATACCACCTCTAAAAGAAACTAAATAAAGTTCTAATAATGGATCTTAAATGGAGATCTATGAAATAACTGACAAAAAATTAGAATAATCCTTTTAAAGAAGTTAAGTGGGCTATAAGAATATACGGTTCAAATATTAACTGTAACTTGTAAAAGAAAGCATGAATAAAGCAAGAAGTTTGACAAAGAAGAAGCAATAATTAAAAAACAAATAGAACTTCTATAGATAAAAAGCATGATGACTGAAATGAAAAATTCAATAGAAAGCTTCAATAGCACACTCGATCAAGTAAAATAGAATTAGTATATGATCCAGCAATTCCACTTCGGGGTATTTACCCCCCAAAAATTGAAGTAAGTTTGTCAAAGAGATATCTGTACTCCTATGTTCTTTGTAGCAATATTCACAATAGCCAAGTATGGAATCAATCTAAGTATCCATCAACATATTAATGGATAAAGAAAATGTGGTGTATAAACACAATGGAATACTATTCAACCTTAAAAAGAAGGAAATTCTGTCATTTGTGACAAAACGGATGGAACTGGAGAACATTATGCTAAATAAAGTAAGCCAGGCATAGAAAGAGAAATACTGCATCTTCTCATTATATGTGGAATCTAAAACAATAAAAGGGTAGAATTATGGTTACAGAGGCTGGGGAGTGGGGTAGGTGGGATATTATAATCGAAGGATACAAAGTATCAGAAGGAATAAGTACCTTCTTTCTTTGTGATCAATTGGATAGCATAGTGAATACAGATAATAAGAATGCATTATACAGTTGCTAAAAGAGTATGATGATTTGGGCAGAATGCTAAGCTGCATGAAATAACTGATTCAAAGATTCCTCAGCTGCTAAGTCTTGGAGAATCAAGCCAAATGATTGATTTTAAATTACTGAAGAAATGAGGAGAGGGCAAGAGTGTGCCCATATTTTCATGCATATGTGGATGCTCAAGCCAATTAAGCAGGCAGAAGAGATGCTGAGTACCAGGGTTATATGCCCATCCATGTTTATCTGGGAAGGAAGTCAAGGAACTATGTGGCTTTGTGAAATTTCTCAATGGCCCTTAGAGATAATAGGTTTCATATGAATAGTTACTTGCAGATGTGTGTTTCTGTCCCATTACTCTCCTTGAGACTTAGCATCACAGAGGAAAGGACCATAGCAAACTCAGATACCAGGTTGCAGCTTGTTTTCTTCTGGGGGAAGAGCTGCATTTGTTCATTTATTTATTCACTCCCTCCACTCTTATTGATTACTTAATAAATGAAGATGCTAAATATTGCATTGGGAGGATAAAAACAGTTAAGACATGTTCCTCTTCCTGCCTGTGATGTGCTCACTAGAGGGTGGAGGCCTGACACCACCTGATCACTGGGCTGTTGACCAGGTACAAACAGCAGCAAAACTTCCCAAGATGCTGCACTTTTTTTTTTTATGTACCTCTACTCCATCATGCAGACCCTGTATTTCCTGGAAAACTAAGAGGGAGAAAAGAAGGCCTTATAAATGCTAGCTCATTAAACCCACCCGTTTCCAGTAAATAAATTCAGATCCTCAGAAACATTCTGAGGATTCGCACAAAACAGTCAGGTGAGGGGAAGCATATTAATTAGAGATGCTTCTCATTTTGAGACTGAAATATAGCAACTTTTTTTTCAGAAAAATGATGACATTGGGAACAACTCTATTTCCTTTTCCTGGGCGTTCTTGGGTTAAGTCAATGAAAGAGATTATCACTGGCCTCTAACTTGGAAAGAACACAAAAGTCTCGCAAAAGAGCAAATAACAGGTTTTGAGAGGTTCTAAATTCACTGACGGTGATAAATATTATGCTGGTGCAAACGTAATTACAGTTTTTGCAATTAACATTTGCAAAAACCTAATGTTTGTTCCACTTTTTGAAGTTGAAATCCATTTCAGGGAAAGATGTGTACCTACACTGGAGATTATCTAGCGATGTTCTTTGTGATAATGGCTAAAGATTTGGATTAAGTTGGTGGAGTGCTTCATGCTTCTCATTAGTTTATTCTAAAACTATCCTCCGTTTCTCCACTCTCCCTAATAGATTATCTTTCTGCGTCTTCTCATGCTGCTTTCACAAAGATAGCCAAAGCCAAACCCATCTGGTCTCCATTTTATTATATGCGCATTTGTCTCTCCCCTGTTTGAGCTTCTGGAACTAGCCTGCCCAATATGGCAGCTACTGTCCATATGTGGCTATTGAATATTTTAGATATGATGTATCCAAATTGAGATATGCTATAAGTGTAAATACACACAGGACTTCAAAGACTTAGTAGAAAAAGAACACTGTAGAATAACTCATTAATTTTTTATATTGATTTCTTGACGTGATCATGTTTTGAATTTATTGGCCTAAATAAAATATATTCTTAAGTTAATTTCAACAGTTTCATCTTACTTTTAAAAATATATCTCTAAAAATTTTTAAATTACATATGTTGCTTACTTTATGGCTTTATTGGGTGATGCTGTACTAGAGCACTTGGAGTCCTGAATAAACAATTTACTGCTGAATTATTTTTTGGTTAGGAGTCAGTATTCTTGGGTTGTAAGGAACAGGAACCAGTCATGTTTTGTTATATCAAAATAAAGGATTATCATGAAAAATGGAGCTATCATATGAATGAATGGCCTTTTGAGGGACATCTCAGCCTCTATATTGTGTGATCTGATTCCCATAATAAATGTCCTTTCATATATCTTTATATACATACATAGATATATACACACACATACATACATATGTATATGTCCTATTGGTTCTGTCTTTTTGGGGAACCCTAATACTCTGGATCATAGGAATATTGCATTCCAGAACCATGGATAAGGTTAAACTAGAAGTAGTTGGGTGAAGCTGCTAAATTGAAACATTGGACAGTTATATATTTCCTGGAATTGTTTGCCCACTTCTTTGCTTATCTTTCATCACTCTCCTATCATCAATCTTTCTCTTTCTACTAGAGCATTTCCACTAGCAAACAAACCTGTGCTAACCTCTCCTATATTCTTTAACCCATTAATGTTGTTATTGATGTTTTCACACCACTGAAACTCATACTAGATCTTGTTTTCAAGTAACTGTCGTTTGATTCAATCGGACAAACATTTATTACATATCTATTGCTTGTACAGCATTGTGGAGTGTGCTGAGGCTGTTTGAGGATACTAGAACGAAGCCGATGAGAGCACTCAAAGGACACTTTCAGGAAAGCTCTGAGTACAAGCACAAATGCACAGTTCTCTTTGCTTGCTGTGGGAAGCTCTGTAAACTTTCAAGTATGCCTGTTGCAGTTTTGCATGCCTTGAAGAGGTTTACACACTACGTAATTTTAAGAAGAAAAATTTAAAAAGAAAAAAAGATGCCAATGTTTTCCAAGTGTTTATTATCTGCTAAGACCTGCACTAGAAGTTTTCCATAGATTACCTGTTGAAACATCTGAAGTAGATGCTTGTAATGAACTGAATGTTTATAGACCCTCAAAATTCACGTTGAAATCTTAACCCTCAGGTGACATTATTAGGAGATGAGGTCTTTGGGAGGAGATTATGTCATAGGGGCAGAGCCTTCATGAATCGATTACTGCTCTTATAAAAGAGGTCCCAGAGTGACCCTAGACTCTTCCACCATGTGAGGACACTGTGAGAGGGCATATCCATGAACAAGGAAAGGGGCCCTCATTGGACAGCAAATCTCCTGGCACCTCGATCTTGGACATCTCAGCCTCCAGAACTGTAAGAAATAAATTTTTGTTGCTTATAAGCCACCTAGTTTATGGTACTTGGTTATAGTAGCCTGAACAAACTAGGACAATGATCTTGCTATTATTTTATTTTTTGCTTACTTGTTTATTTGGTATGGCTCCCTTATAAAACTTAAGTTCCATATCAATACAGACTTTGTGGTCTTATCCCCATTGTTACAACTAGCAATAGTACCAGAGATATAGCATTTAGTAAATATTTATTAAATAATTTAGATTGGTGTGATTGTCTCATCAATGAGATTGTCAGGTCTTTGAAAAAAAAAATATAAAGCCAAACCTCAGAGTTTGAAACACAGTTCTGGGCCCATAGAACACACTCAATAAGGACTGGTTGAGGAGAGTAATTGTTCCTTTTTCTTCTCAACTTTTTCTTTTCTAGATCTCTGCTGAAATACTTCATTTGTTAAAGGTAATTCCAATATAAACCTAGTAAGATTATTTACCAGCTTGCTTAACAACATTTTGACTTTGGAGGAGAGCATGACTGTGTTTAAAATTTTGTAGGGTAGAAAGACAAGACAAAGCTAGCTGAAAACTAGAGGCCCAGAGTACACCCACATTTCATACTTTTTTTTTTTCCTAACTATCTTTCTTACAAAATTAGAGTGCTTTAGTGACTAGAATTATACTTTCCAAGAAACTAGAAATGTTAAAATGCCTGGATTTTTTTCCTCTAATGATTTAAATGATTTAATTAGGGTTTGGCATAGTAAAAAACATGATTTATGTTCACAACTATAAAAACCTCTAAGCCTTTTTGTCAGATCTTTTGAGCAGAATTTTCCTGAAACTTTCTCAATATTTTTATATTTGGAAAACTACTTTTATTTAGAAATCAGATAAGAAAAAATATTAAAATGTAGAATTTTCCCAGAAACATATTGCATAAGAATTGTTGTATTTGATGTCATCATAAACCATCACAAGAAGCACCCTAAAAGAGCTCAAGTTCTCAAGGATAATTTTAGGGAAAGAGATTGCCTGTTACTGTGCCTGCTAAAAAATGTTTAACTGATTGGTGTGCAAAGAATCTTCTCTCATCTTTGAGATTCTTTCTTAAACTTTGGTTACTGCATTTGTTAGTTTATTATTCACAGAAACATTTTTAATTTAAAACTAAATTAAGCTTTTTTGTCTTTTTAATAGTTTATAGATCTTGACAATTACTAATTCTTCTGGTTGTCATGGGGTTAAAACTGTACCTACAGGTTCACTATAAATATATTTTTTTCTGTTTTTTTTAAGCTTTTAAGTTCAGGGGCATATATGCAGGTTTGTTATATAGGTAAACTTATGTCATGGGGGTTTGTTGAACAGATTATTTCATTACTCAGGTATTAAGCCTAGTACTTGTTATTTTTCCTGATTCTCTCCTTCCTCCTACCCTCCAGCCTCAAGTAGGCCCCAGTGTGTGTTGTTCCCCTCTATTTGCCCATGTGTTCTCATCATTTAGCCCCCACTTAGAAGTGAAAACATGTAGTACTTGGTTTTCTGTTCCTGCATTAGTTTGCTAAGGATAATGGCCTCCAGCTCCATCCATGTTTCTGCAAAGGACATGATCTCATTCTTTGTTATGGCTGCATAGTATTCCATGGTGCATATACCAAGTTGTCTTTGTCCAGTATGTTACTGATGGGCATTTAGGTTGATTCCATGTTTGCTATTGTGAATAGTGTTGCAATGAACATATGCAGCCATGCATCTTTATAATATAATGATTCATATTCCTTTGGGTATATACACAGTAATGGGATTGCCGAGTCAAATGGTATTTCTGTTTTTTGTTCTTTGAGGAATTGCCACACTATTTTCCACAATGGCAGAACTAATTTACGGTCCCATCAACAGGGTATAAATGCTCCTTTTCCTCCAAAATCTTGCCAGCACCTGTTATTTTTTGACTTTTTATAATAGCCATTGTGACTAATGTGAGATGGTATTTCATTGTGGTTTTGATTTGCATTTCTCTAATGATCAGTGATGTTCAGCTTTTTTTCATATGAATGTTGGCCCCATGAATGTCTTCTTTTGAGAAGTGTTTTTTTTTTATTGGCACATAATAGTTGTACATACTTAATTAAGGGGTACATGTTCTATTTTAATATATGCATACAAGATATAATGATTGAATCAGGTAATTAGGATATTAATCACTTTAGATATTTATTATTTCTTTGTGTTGAGAACATTCTAAATATTCTCTTCTACCTATTTAAAATATATTATAAATTATAAATATATTATAAATATTATATATAAATTATAAATATATTATGATTATAAATTATACCTTCTGAGTCTCTGGTAACCACCATTGTACTTACTACCTTCATGAGATCAATTTTCTTAGCACACACATATGAGTGAGAACATACAATGCTGTTTTGGTTACTATTGCCTTGTGGTATAGTTTGAAGTTGAGTAATGTGATGCTTCCAGCTTTGTCCTTTTTGCTTAGGATTTCTTTGGCTACTTGGCCTTTATTGTTTCCATATTAATTTTAGAATTGTTTTTTCTAATTCTGTGAAAAAAATTTTTGGTAATTTGATAGGAATTGCATTGAGTCTGTAGATTGCTTTGGGCAGTGTGGTCATTTTGAAAATATCAATTCTTCCAATCCATAAGCATAAGATAATTTCCCATTTGTTTGTGTCATTGATGATTTCTTTCAGTGGTGTTTTTTAGTTCTTCTTGTAGATATCATCTCCCTGGTTAAATACAGTCTTAGGTATTTTATATTTTGTAGCTATTGTACATGTGAAGATTTGCTAGTATTTTATTGAGAATTTTTACATTTATGTTCAACAGGGATGGTGGCCTGTAGTTTTGTTTTTTTGTTATATCTTTGTCTTGTTTTGGCATCAGGGTAATATTGGCTTCATTGAACGAGTTAAGGAGAATTCCTTCCTCTTATATTTCCTGGAATAATTTAAGGAAGATTAGTATTAGTTCTTCTTTATACATTTGGTAGAATTCAGCAGCAAATCCATCTGGTCCTGGGCTTTTCTTTGTTGAGAGACTTTTTATTACTAATTTAATATCATGACTTGTTATTGGTTATTCAGATTTTCTATTTCTTCCTGATCCAGTCTTGATAAGTTGTATATTTCCTGGAATTTATCCATTTCCTCTAGGTTTTCTAGTTTGTTAGTATATAGTTGTTCAAAATAGTCTCTTATGATCTTTTGTATTTTTGTGGTATCACTTGTAATTTATCTTTTTTCATTTCTGATTTTGTCTATTTGGGTCATCTCTTTTTCTTTTATTAGTTAGTTTAGCTAGCAGTTCATTAATTTGTTTATCTCTTTAAAGAACCAACTTTTTTGTTGATTCTTTTATATTGTTTCTTTTGTCTTTATTTTGGTTAGTTCTGCCCTGATAATTATTACTTCTTTTCTTCTGTAATTTTGGGTTTGTTTTGTTTTTGCTTTTATAGTTCCTACAGGTGGGGTTATTTGTTGTTATGGTTTTGTTTGGTTGATTAAGTTCTTTGTAGATTCTGGATATTAGTCCTTTGTTGGATGCATAGTTTGCAAATATTTTATCCCATTCTGGGGGCTGTCTGTTTATTCTATTGATTATTTCTTTTTATGTACAGAGGCTTTTTACTTTAATTAAGTCTCTGTCTATTTTTGTTTTTGTTATATTTGCTTTTAGGTCTTAGTCATAAATTCTTTGTCTAGGCCAATGTCCAGAAGAGTTTTCCTACATAATAAACCATTTTCTTCCAGGATTTTAATAATTTTAAGCCTTACATTTAAATCATTAATTTCTCTTGAATTAATTTTTGTATGTGGCAAGAGACGGGGTACAGTTTCATTCTTCTGCATATGGGTATACAGTTTTCCCAGAACCAATCTTTAAATAGGGTATGCTATCCACAGTGTATGTTTTTGTCAGCTTTGTCAAAGGCCAGTTTATTTTAGGAATGTGCTTTCATTTCTGGGTTCTCTATTCTGTTCTATTGATCTATGATTCTGTTTTTATACCAGCACCATGCTGTTTTGGTTGCTATTGACTTGTGGTATAGTTTGAAGTTGGGTAATGTGATGCTCCCAGCTTTATCCTTTTTGCTTAGGATCGCTTTGGCTATTTGGCCTTTTTGTGTTTCCATAATAATTTTAGGATTTTTAAAAAAATTCTGTGAAAAAAATTTTGTTGCCTGATTGTAATTTGACAGGAATTGCATTGAGTCTGTAGATTGCTTTGGGGAGTGTGGTCATTTTAAAAATATTGATTCTTTCAACCCATAAGCATAGGATAGTTTCCCATTTGTTTGTGTCATTGATGATTTCTTTCAACAGTGTTTTAGTTCCCCTTGTAGATCTTTCACCTACTTGGTTAAATGCATTCTTAGGTATTTTATTTCTCATAGCTATTGTAAATGTGAAGACTTGATTTGATTTTCAGCTTGATTTTCATTGCTGTATAGAAACCCTACTAATTTCGTGTATTAATTTTGTATCCTGACACTTTCCTGAAATCATTTATCACATCTAGGAATCTTTCAGAAGAGTCTTTAGGGTATTCTAGGTTTAACATCATATCATCAGCAAACAGGGATAATTTGCCTTTTTCTTTTCCAATTTGGATGCCTTTTCTTTCTTTCTCTTGCCTGATTACTCTAGCTAGGACTCCCAATACTCTGTTGAATAGGAGTGGTGAAAGTTAGCCTTCTTGTCTTATTCTAGTTCTCAGGAGGAATGCTTTCAACTTTTCCCCATTCAGTATTATGTTGGCTGTGAGTGTGTCATATATGGCTTTTATTAGTTTGAAGTATGTTCCTTCTGTACCTAGTCTGTAGAGAATTTCTATCACAAAAGTATAAATTTTATCAAATATTTTCTCTGCATCTATTGTGATGATCATATGGTTTTTGTTTTTAATTATTTATGTGGTGAACCACATTTATTGATTAGTGTATGTTGATCCATCCTTGCATCCCTGGTATAATATTCATTAGGTTGTGCTGTATTATCTTTTTGATATGCTGTTAGATTTGATTTGCTAGTATTTTGTTGAAGATTTTTGCATCTATGTTCATCAGGCATATTGAAGTGTAGTTTTCTTTGTGTGTGCATGTGTGTGTGTGTGTGTGTGTGTGTTTGTGCCTGGCTTTGGTGTCAGGGTGATACTGGCCTTATAGAATAGGGAGAAACCCTTCTTCCTCAAAATTTTTAAATGGTTTCAGGAGGATTGGTACTAATTTTTTGTATGGATGGTAGAATTTGGCTGTGAATCTGTCTGCTTCTGTGCTTTTTTTTTTTAACTGGGAGATTTTTTATTACTGTTTCAAACTCACTACTCATTATTAATCTGTTCAGGGTTTCTATTTCTTTCTGGTTTACTCTTTTGAGGTTGTATGTTTCTAGGAATGTACCTGTTTCATATAGGTTTTCTAGTTTGTGCATGTAGGGATGTTCATAGTAGTCATGGATAATCTGGATTTCTATGGTATCAGTTGTAATCTCTCCTTTTTCATTTCTGACTGTGCCTATTTGAATATCTTTTCTTTTCTTTTGGTTAATCAAGCTAGTAGTCTATCAATTTTGTTGATCGTTTCAAAGAACCAAGGTTTTATTTCCTTGGTCCGTTTTATTATTTTTTTGCCTCTATTTCCTTTAGTTATACTCTGATTTTTGTTATTCCTTCTCTAGCTAGCTTTGAATTTGGTTTGTTCTTGTTTTTCTGGTTCCTTGAGGTATGATGTTAGGTAAATTTATGATCATTGTATCTTTGTGATATAGATATTTATTGCTATAAACTGCCCTCTTAGCACTGATTTTGCTGTATCTCAGAGGTTTTTTTATGTTGTTTCTCCATTTTCATTCACCTCAAAAATTTTTTGACTTCCATCTTAATTTTGTTATTGACCCAGAGATCATTCAGGAAGCAGGTTGTTTAATGTCCATGTATTTGTATAGTTTTAAGAGTTCATGTTGATATTGATTTTTTTTTTTTAGACAGAGTCTTGCTCTGTCACCCAGGCTGGAGTGTAGTGGCATGATCTCATCTCACTGCAACCTCCACCTCCTGGGTTCAAGCAATTCTCCTGCCTCAGCCTCCAGAGTAGCTGGGATTACAGGTGTGTATCACCACACCTGGCTTTTTTTTTTTTTTTTGTATTTTTAGTGGAGACGGGGTTTCACCATGTTGGCCAGGCTGGTCTCAAACTCCTGACCTCAAGTGACCCACCTGCCTCGGCCTCCCAAAGTGCTAGGATTGCAGGTGTCAGTCACCACGCCTGGCCTGATATTTATTTTTAGTTGTATTTCACTGTGATTTTAGAAAATACTTAATATGATTTTGATTTTTAAAAATTCATTGAGACTTTTGTGGCCTGACCATATGATCTAGTTTAGAAAATGTTTCGTGTGCAGATGAGAAGAATGTATATTGTGTCATTGGATAGAATGTTCTGTAAATGCCCACTCCACTAAGTCTATTTGATTTAGAGTCCCATTTACATCTAATGTTTCTTTGTTGACTTTTCTGCCTTGATAATCTGTTTAGTGCTATCATTGTGGTGTTAAAGCCTCTTCTTTATTGTATTACTGTCTATCTCTTTTCTTTTTTAAAATTAAATTAAATTAAAATTTTTTTATACTTTAAGTTCTGGGGTACATGTGCAGAACCTGCAGTTTTGTTACATAGATATACATGTGCCATGGTGGTTTGCTGCACCCATCAACCCATCACCTACATTAGGTATTTCTCCTAATGCCATCCCTTTCCTAGCCCCTGACCCCCTGGACAGGCCCTGTTGTGTGATGTGCCCCTTCCTGTGTCCATGTGTTCTCATTGTTCAACTCCCACTTATGAGTGAGAACATGTGGTGTTTGGTTTTCTGTTCTTGTGTTAGTTTGCTGAGAATGATGGTTTCCAGCTTCATCCATGTCCCTGCAAAGGACGTGAGCTCATCCTTTTTATGGCTGCATAGTATTCCATGTTGTATATGTGCCACATTTTCTTTATCTAGTCTATCATTGATGGACATTTGGGTTGGTTCCAAGTCTTTGCTATTGTGAATAGTGCTGCAATAAACATACATGTGCATGTGTCTTTATAGTAGAATGATTTATAATCCTTTGGGTATATACCCAGTAATAGGATTGCTGGGTCAAATGGTATTTCTAGTTCTAGATCCTTGAGGAATTGCCACACTGTCCTCCACAATGGTTGAACTAATTTACCCACCAGCAGTGTAAATGTATTCCTATTTCTCCACATCCTCTCCAGCACCTGTTGTTTCCTGACTTTTTAATGATTGCCATTCTAACTGGCGTGAGATGGTATCTCATTGTGGTTTTGATTTGCATTTCTCTAATGACAAGTGATGATGAGCTTTTTTGCATATGTTTGTTGGCCACATAAGTGTCGTCTTTTGAGAAGTGTCTGTTCATATTCTTTGCCTACTTTTTTTTTCGATGGTGTTGTTTGTTTTTTTCTTGTAAATTTGTTTAAGTTCTTTGTAGATTCTGGATATTAGCCCTTTGTCAGATAGATAGATTGCAAAAATTTTCTCTCATTCTGTAGGTTGCCTGTTCATGATAGTTTCTTTTGCTGTGCAGGTCTTTAGTTTAATTAGATCCCTTTTTTCAATTTTTGCTTTTGTTGCCATTGCTTTTGGCATAAAGTCTTTGCCCAGGCCTATGTCCTCAATGATATTGCCTAGGTTTTCTTCTAGGATTTTTATGGTTTTAGGTCTTATGTTTAAGTCTTTAATCCATCTTGTGTTAATTTTTGTATAAGGTGTAAGGAAGGGGTCCAGTTTCAGTTTTCTGCATATAGCAAGGCAGTTTCCCAATACCATTTATTAAATAGGGAATCCTTTCCCCATTGCTTGTTTTTGTCAGGTTTGTCAAAGATCAGATGGTTGAAGATGTATGGTGCTACTTCTGAGGCCTCTGTTCTGTTCCATTGGTCTATAACACTGTTTTGGTACCAGTACCATGCTGTTTTCGTTACTGTAGCCTTGTAGTATAGTTTGAAGTCAGGTAGCATGATGCCTCCAGCTTTGTTCTTTTTGCTTAGGATTGTCTTGGCTATGTGAGCTCTTTTTTGGTTCCATATGAAGTTTAAAGTAGTTTTTTCCAATTCTGCAAAGAAAGTCAGTGGTAGCTTGATGGGGATAGCATTGAATCTATAAATTACTTTGCGCAGTATGGCCATTTTCATGATATTGATTCTTCCTATCCATGAGTATGGGATGTTTTTGCATTTATTTGTGTCATCTTTTATTTCCTTGAGCAGTGTTTTGTAGTTCTCCTTGAAGAGGTCCTTCACATCCCTTGTATAGGAATGCTTGTGATATTTGCACATTGATTTTGTATCCTGAGACTTTGCTGAGGTTGCTTATCAGCTTAAGGATATTTTGGGCTGAGACTAAGGGACGTTCTAAATATACAATCATGTCATCTGCAAACAAAGACAAAATCAATGTTTAAAAATCACAAGCATTCCCATACACCAATAACAGACAAACAGAGCCAAATCATGAGTGAACTTTCATTCACAATTGCTACAAAGAGAATAGGTTTTGACATTTTATATAAACCTTTATTTTTTGAAGGCTTTTTTCATTTCTTAAAATTCTTTTTTATTTATTTTTTTCTGACCAGGTTAATTAGAAAGACCTGTCTTCTAGCTCTGAACTGCTTTTTCTGTATTCTGTGGTCTATTTTTAGATTTCAACTATATTTTATATTTCCCTCAGTGAATTTTTTATTTCCAGAAGTTCTTTTTTTTTCATATATATATCTTTGGTAAGTTTTTCACTCATACCCTAAATAATTTTTCTTATTTATTTGCATTGGTTTCTAACTTTCTCTTGGATCCCATGGAGCTTCCTTATGTCTATATTTTGAATTTTTTATCTGGCATTTCAGAATTTTCATTTTGATTAAGATCTATTGATAGAGACCTAGTGTGAACCTTTGAGTTGTCATAATATCCTGTTTTTTTTTTTTTTCATACTGCTAGAATTGTTAGTATGAAACAATTCTAGTTAGTTTGCCTTCCTGGCTAGAGAAGCTGTCACTTATTTTTTAATTTACTCCTGTTTGGATGGGACATTTCCCCCGCTTGAGGATATAACTGTAATGTATGTTGTGTATGGTCAATTGGCTTTGACTCTGGGTGCTTTTAAGGGGACAAAGGTCTGTATGGGTTCCTTGATTACAGATAGCCTTTGTGTAGTGACTTTCTTAAATGCCGGTTATAGTGGCAATGTACTTGGCATATGAGTAATCTTACTACCTGCTGCGGGACTGGGAGCAGGACTGCGATTGTGAAGGTTTCAGTAAACTTATCTTATTCACCAGTGCTTAGCACTTCTGTCAGTTGATTTTGTATTGCATTGTGCAGTTCAACCTTCAGGACAATAGGTGTGGCTTACAGGTAAGAGGCAGAAGCAGATGGGTATGTCTTTGGTCTTTGGTCTTTGTTTACTGGGAGGAGCTCTCTGTTGCCTCAGGTGATGGGCTGGTCTGTGGAATGCTTGGCCCTGAGTTCCATGCTGAGGGCAAAAATGGGGGACAAAGGTAGGCAGAGCTGGACCATCAGGTTCACCCTTGAATACCCAATGATGAGCACAAGCACCAACCCTGATGGGGAAGGGGGATAACAGGTGGGGGAACTCCTAGTGAAATGTGCCAAGGTGTCTTTAGAGGGGGAGGGGGCTGCACCAACCCCATGTCCTAAGCAGGCAGAAATTTGATCCACCTCCGGATCACATCCCTCTTCTGAAGCTCTTGACTCTCAGTTCAGATAGACACTCTTATCTATCTCCAGGCCACAATGTAGCTTAAAGCAATAAAAAAACTCCTGTCCTATGGCTCTTTACTGAAATGGATTTAGAGGGAACCTCTTTCCACAACCCAAAACAGACAGCTTTGTGGCTCACTTTTTCTCTGCTGCAGGAATGCTGCCACTCATTGTAGAGAAGGGAAGGGATCCCACCTTTTGTGCAAGACAAGGCCTCATGGGTCTACAGGTACGCCTGCACCATTCACCTGCAGGAGCATCCATAGCTGTATCCACAGCAGTATGTGGGGTGGGGAGAGAAGATGTCCTCCTCTCAGCTCTATGTCCAAGCATTGAGTTGACCTATTCATGGGGGTCAAACCACACTCCTCCTCCACAGAGCCAGCACAGTACCTGCATCTTCCTGGCACTGTTGCCTTCAGCTCACAAATGGAGAGCTCTAGAGAACAGGAGACTGTGGGCTCTGATTTTCTTTCTTTTTTTTTTTTTTTTTTTTCTGAGACAGAGTTTCACTCTTGTTGCCCAAGCTGGAGTGCAATGATGTGATCTCGGCTCACTGCAACCTCTGCCTCCTGGTTTCAAGTGATTCTCCTGCCTCAGCCTCCTGAGTAGCTGGGATTATAGACATCTGCCACCATGACTGGCTAATTTTTTGTATTTTTAGGAGAGATGGGGTTTCACCGTGTTGGCCAGGCTGGTCTCGAACTCCTGACCTCAGGTGATCCACCCGCCTCAGCCTCGCAAAGTGCTGGGATTACAGGCGTGAGCCACCGCTCCCGGCCATGTGCTCTGATTTTCTTTGTCGCAAGAGGTGCTTCCTTGGTGTGCTTCACCCTGCCTCCCCTGAGGAGTAGCACTGCTCACTGGCCAGCCCACCAGGAATCCCTGTGTCCTGCCAGTCCTTTGTGGTTGCCAGTGTCCAAGTGGTACTAGAGAATGTTTGCAGGGATCCAGTGATGCAGGCGATCTGGTGATAAGACACTAAGGCTGAGATTCCCTGGGCAGGATGAGGCCCACAATGGGTGCACACCCAGTATGATGCCCACCACCTCAGCTCGGGTGAGTGGATAGGATGAGTGGCCCTGAGTGAGCTTCTTGATAGCAGCCAGTGCAATGCCATTAAACAAGTTCTCAAATCACCACTCACACCAGTGCTTTGGCTCCAGAGAGCAGCGGAGCCCTCTAACAGTTCCGAAACCAGCAGTCTGCCTTAGAGGGAGGGGAGCCAAAAAATATCTCCATTTACCCTTTTCATGGAACTCCAAGTCCTTCAAGGTTTGATTTGTGTCAAACTTTCTTCTTCTTCTTTTTTTTTTTCCTGTGCCCTAGCTTCTTCCCATGAGTTCTCTGAGAGGCTCTGGCACTCTTCTTTTGATATCTTATTCAAGTTATGATTACTCACCTATAGCTTTGGTACTTCCTCCTGAGGGCAAATGCTGTTCAACATCTCTAGTCAACCATTTTGGACACACACACAAAAATAACAAAAAACTTTTCTGTTTTTTTGATGCAGGGATTTATTTGCTATACTGACAAATGTAAACTTTCATCTTCTTACTGATTTTGCTGTACCCCAAAGGTTTGTGGTGTGCTGTGTTCCCATTTTCATTTGTTTCAAGAAATGTGTTGATTTCTATTTTAATTTCTTCAGGAACATGTTTAATTTCAATTTATTTGTATAGTTTCCAAAATTTCTCTTAGTATTAATTTCTAGTTTTATTCCATTTTGGTCTCAGAAGATACTTGATATAATTTCAGTGTTCAACAGTTGTTAAGACTATATATATACATATTTTTTTTTTGAGAAGGAGTCTCACTCTGTTGCCCAGGCTGGAGTGCAGTGGCAGGATCTCCGCTCACTGCAAGCTCCGCCTCCCGGGTTAGCGCCATTCTGCTACCTCAGCCTCCTGAGTAGCTGGGACTACAGGCGCTGCCACCATGCCTGGCTAACTTTTTTTGTGTGTGTATTTTTAGTAGAGACGGATTTCACTGTGTTAGCCAGGATTTTTTTGGTCTGAAATATGGCTTATCCTAGAGAATATTTCAAGTGTTAATTAGAAGAATGTGTATTCTTCCAATAAAAGGATAAAATATAGTGTAAATGTCTGTTAGATTGATTTGGTCTAATGTTCAGTTTAAATCCAGTGATTTTTTTGTTTGTTTGTTTCTTTTCTGCCTAGATAATCTGTCTAATGCTGAAAGTGGGGTGTTGAAGTCTCTCATTTTATTGTACTACAGTCTTTCTTTTTAGATCTAGGAATGTTTGCTTTATAAATCTGGGTACTCCAGTGCTGTGTGAATATATATTTACAGTTGTTATATCTTCTTGCTGCATTGATCCCTTTATCATTACATAGTGACTTTATTTGTCTTTGTTTGTTTGTTTGTTTTTGACTTAAAGTCTGCCTTATCTCAGATAAGGGTAGAACTACTCATGCTCACTTTTGGTTTTCATTTGCATTGAATATCTTTTTTCTCCCTTTACTTTTAGCCTGTATATCTTTACCAGTAATATATGTTTCTTGTAGGCAGCATGTAGTTGGATCATGTTTCTTTTTTTTAATCCACACAGTTAGTCTGTATCTTTTAAATTGGAGAATTTAATCAACTTAAATTTAGTTATTATTGATATGTGAGTTTTTTCCTGCCATATTGCTAATGTTTTCAGGTAATTTTGTATATTTTTTCTTTTCTTTTTCTCTTATTGTTTGTCCTTGTGGTTTGGTGACTTTCTGTAGTGGTACCAATTGACTCTTTTCCTCATTTGTCTGTTTGCTTTATCAGTGAGTTCTATACTTTCCTATTTTTTTCATGATGGTAACTGTTGTCCTTTTGCTTCCACACTTATGACTCCCTTGAGAATTTCTTGTCGGGCCAGTCTAGTAGTGATGAATTCCCTCAGCCTTTGTTTGTCTGGGAAAGGCTATTTCTCAGCCCATGTGGACCCATGTTCACCCTTCAGTGTCACCACTGGAGCCCAAAGACTGGCCCACCTGACATTCCTGTCCCCTGCACAACTTCACCACAGCCTCCACTGATAACCACACCCAAGCCAACTGAGGAAATCACAGATACCACAGTAAAGGGCTGAGCATGCCTATTCTTTTGTCCCAAGATGACGTACACTGGTGACAATGTTAGTAGGTCCAAGTGAGCTGATTCTTGGGAACTCAGATGCTGGTAGTGGTAGCAGGGTGCTGGGTGGAAGGGCAGGTTCTCAGGCCCCTGGACAGCCAATGGGGTATGCGTAATGGCAGTAGCAGTGGCAGGATGACCCTTTGGGTCCTGGGTGGTGTGTGCTGGGTGTTGATAGTGGCTGTGATGGTCTGGGCAGGCTGGCCCCCAAACTGCTAGGCAGTATATATATGTGGATGTTGTTCATGGTATTGTTGACAGGCTGGGTGGGTCCATATAGAGGTTCCCTGGAGGAGTACATAGATGCTAGAGTTGGTGGAATGGGCAAAGTGATCCCCAGGTTCTTAAGTGACATGTTTAGGCACTGGGTGGGTGGTGCCAGAATAGGCAGGCCTGATCTCAGGCCTTTGGTGCTATTCAGGGGGCATAGGCTGTAATAGGCAGTTTAGAAGGCAGGGTGTGGTGAACTGTGGTGGTGCATGTAAATAACCTGACCTCAGGGCATGCCAGAGCACAATAATTGGTGTGGGTGGGGTTTCTATCAGCAGTATCCTGTAGGTATATCTCAGGCTCTGCCACTAAATGTACTCAGGGCCTGAGGTGACTCTAGTCAGACAGTGGTAAAGCCAGGTGGAACTCCTACTGGGGTGAGAGATTACCCTCTAGCACAAAGTAGATATAAATGTTCCTCCTGTGGGTACCAGCCTGTAATCAAGAGCTACAGAATTTTGCCTGGTGCTATGTTTTACTCTGATGAGGCCAGCACTGAGTTTCACTGTAACATCCTACACTCACTTTCTTCTTACTCCCCTAAGCATGCAGCTGCACTGCCTTGGGTTGGAGGAGGGGTGATGCAGGCAATGAAAGACTGCCCTTCCTACTCTTTTTATTTGTTTTTTCTTTTTATTTTGCTAAACCAGGTACTGTAATCTCTCACCTGTTTTTTTTTTTTTTTTAGTTGTTATCAAGAAATTGAGTTTCTCCAGAAGCATAATGTATCATATCTTCAACTCCTTTTAAAAACCCGTTACAGACTTCCGTAAAATGTTACTTTTTTCCCCCGCACAAGTATTACACATTTCTTTTAGTTTTCCTTAGATATTTTGAATATTTTGGTTGCCATTGTGAATATACTTTTGAAAATTACATTTTAAAATTGGTTTATAGAAAGTGATTGATATTTATATGTTGATTTTTCTATTCAGTGATCTTACTGCTTTGCTAGTTCTAATTTTTCAGTTGACTCATCTTTGATAGGAAAAATATCTATGAATAATGACAGCTTTGTCTTTCTATTTCTCCCATTTCTGAAACCACCTTTGCAAAATTATGACTGAGACAGTGAAAGAGATCTAACACAACCAACTCCATCTTGCTTCTAACCTCCAGGCTATCCTTGTTCATTCCTGGGCATAGGCTGAACTCACTTTGGGAGGAGCTTGATTTTTTTTTTTGAGACGGAGTCTCGCTCTGTCGCCCAGGCTGGAGTGCAGTGGCGGGATCTCGGCTCACTGCAAGCTCCGCCTCCCGGGTTCACGCCATTCTCCTGCCTCAGCCTCCCAAGTAGCTGGGACTACAGGCGCCCGCCACTACGCCCGGCTAATTTTTTGTATTTTTAGTAGAGACGGGGTTTCACCGTTTTAGCCGGGATGGTCTCGATCTCCTGACCTCGTGATCCGCCCGCCTCGGCCTCCCAAAGTGCTGGGATTACAGGCGTGAGCCACCGCGCCCGGCCGAGCTTGATTTATAGTTTGTGATTTACAGCAAAGACAATAATAGCCCTTTCCCAGGGCAGACCTCCTTCTTGCCAGGGGGCTAGATTGTCTTTGTAGGATTAACATTAGCCACAAGATTGGAAATTATGGGTTAGGAGTTATGCAGCTGAAGGCTACAGGATTCTGACCCACCCTGGACTGCTCCTAAGATCAGTGCTTAAGATGTTTTGCGTACCCTGCACTTGATGGATCAGCTGGCACCACCCAGATTGATAAACTGGCTTCTCTGATCTTGTGGCCCCTGATCCGGGAACTGGCACAGTGCAAGAAGACAGCTTTAACTCCTTATGATTTCATACCTGACCAATCAGCACTCCTGGTTCACTGGCTTCCCCCCACCCACCAAGTTCTCCTTAAAAACTCTGCTCCCTGAGTGCTCGGGGAAACTGATCTGATTAATAACAAAACTCCGATCTCCTGCACAGCCGGCTCTGTGTGAATTATTCTTTCTCTCTTGCAATTCCTCTGTCTTGAGAAATCAGCTCTGTCTAGGCGGCGGACAAGGTGAACCCACTGGATGGTTACATTTCCAACTTTATTTTTTTTTTCTTGTTTTATTCCATTAGTAATGTGGTCAATAGAGACTTAAATATTGGTTGTATTGTGGACATTCTTGGTTTATTTTTGTCTTTATTAAGATGTTCATTATAGATTGTTGATAAATATCCTTTACCAAGTTAAGAAATGTTCCCTTAATGCCCCAGTGAAGAAGCTGAGGTCAACATGAGATTTGAAATATTTAAAGTGGATACAAAACTATTTCAGCAATGCAGACAATTGCAACCTACAGAATGGGGGAAAATTTTTGCAATCTACTCATCTGACAAAGGGCTAATATCCAGAATCCACGAAGAACTCAAACAAATTTACAAGAAAAAAAAAACAACCCCATCAACAAGTGGGCAAAGGATATAAACAGACACTTCTCAAAAGAAGACATTTATACACATGAAAAAATGCTCATCATCACTGGCCATCAGAGAAATGCAAATGAAAACCACAATGAGATACCATCTCACACCAGTTAGAATGGCGATCATTAAAAAGTCAGGAAACAACAGGTGCTGGAGAGGATGTGGAGAAATAGGAATACTTTTACACTGTTGGTGGGACTGTAAACTAGTTCAACCATTGTGGAAGTCAGTGTGGTGATTCCTTAGGGATCTAGAACTAGAAATACCATTTGACCCAGCCATCCCATTACTGGGTATATACCCAAAGGATTATAAAACATGCTGCTATAAAGACACATGCACACGTATGTTTATTGTGGCACTATTCACTATAGCAAAGACTTGGAACCAAGCCAAATGTCCATCAATGATAGACTGGATTAAGAAAATGTGGCACATATACACCATGGAATACTATGCAGCCATAAAAAATGATGAGTTCATGTCCTTTGCAGGGACATGGATGAAGCTGGAAACCATCATTCTCAGCAAACTATCTCAAAGACAAAAAACCAAACACCACATGTTCTCACTCATATGTGGGAATTGAACAATGAGAACACATGAACACAGGAAGGGGAACATCACACACCAGGGCCTGTTGTGGGGTGGGGGGAGTGGGGAGGGATAGCGTTAGGAGATATACCTAATGTAAATGACGAGTTAATGGGTGCAGCACACCAACATGGCACATGTATACATATATAACAAACCTGCACGTTGTGCACATGTACCCTAAAACTTAAAGTATAAAAAAAAAAAGAAACATTCCCTTTTATTGTAGTTGTGAATTACATGAATAAATTTTCCAATGAATGTTCCCTACTTTCTTGGATTAAAACTAAACTAACTTTTTCAGAATGTATTATTATTATAATTTATTTTTATTTTTATTTTTTTTGAGACGGAGTTTCACTCTCGCCCAGGCTGGAGTGCAGTGGCGCGATCTCGGCTCTCTGCAAGCTCCGCCTCCACCTCCCGGGTTCCCGCCATTTTTCTGCCTCAGCCTCCATAATAGCTGGGACTACAGGTGCCCACCACCACGCCTGGCTAATTTTTTGTATTTTTAGTAGAGACGGGGTTTCACCGTGTTAGCCAGGATCAGAATGCATTATTTTTTAAATTGGCTAATATTACATTTATTATTTTTGCATTGAGCTTTATAAATGATATTTGACTTAATTTCCATTTTTGGTGACATTTTTGTTAAATATAGACAAAATGAACAGTTTGAACACAAGTCTGTGGAAAGTATGTGAAGTGTGTACAGGAGGAATAGTGTGTATGTGCGTGTGTGTTGTGTGTGTGTGTGTGCGTGCATGCATGCATCTCTTTTTCTAGGGAGGGTGGATTTATGAGATATAGTTTTCATGGCAAATGAGATTGGGGAGAAAGGTTGAAGCTGGATTTTGGAGGCCCTAGAACACAAGCTGAAGAAGTTTGTTCTTTGTTCTGCAGAGAAACTATTGAAGTTTAAGCACAAGAGAAGCAAAATTTGATTTGTGCTCCGAAAACTAGAGATGAAAAACGTATTACCTCAAGCAGAGAGATTAAATATGAAAAAAAGAGCAATTAAATTTGGAGCCACTGGATAGCATAACCTCTAAGAAAATAGTATAAGGAGAGTTTCATGAGCATGAGAGTGAATAAAACAGCTATTATGTCATGAGAGACTATTGAAAAGAAGCTTCAAAACATCTTATGACATTACAAAAGCAATAATTGGACTGTTTAAGAAGTATTGCCTTCCTAGGCAGATACTGATGGAAATTTAGCAATAATGATAAAGAAAATTGAAGTGTTTATCAGGCAGGATTTAGTGGTATGGTGATGACCCATGCACTAAAAGGTCAGGGAGGGTGACTTAAATATAATTTGTACATCCAATTTCATCACACAGCGGCAAAGAGATTTTTCAGTCTAAACAAATGACGGATGCATTTGTGACTTATTACCAGAGAATGAGCCCAAGAATATAAACTCAATGTCATTGATGAAAGTGAAGAGATCCTTTAATTCTCTCAAGAATGATTTGTTCTGAGTTGTCCTGCACAGCTACTTCCCTTAAAAATTATTTTTTCATGAAATATAACACATATGTAGACAGGTATATAAAACATAAATAAATTAGCTCAATTAACACAAAGCATAATGTTCTGTAACCATCTATTCAGATGAGAAGTGGAATATTAACACTTCAGAAGTGTTCCCTCCACCCAATAACTACTCTGTGTCTTCTGCAAAACAAACTATTATTCTTACTTTTATGGGAGTTATCTCTTTGATTTTCTTTATATACTGTTATCTAATAGTGGATCTTTAAACAATATAGCTAATTTTCCCTTTTTTATATTTTTAAGATTACATTGTTGAGTATTGTTTTAAGCTGTTCATTTCATTACCACAGTATTTAATTTATGAACACACCATAATTTATCTGTTCATTCTAAAGTTGATGGATATAATGCTGCTATGATTCTTGTATATGTCTTTTGGATCACATATGCATCCATTACTGTTAGGGAGGAATGAAATAGGGTTATGAAGAATAAACATTTTCAACTGTAATAGATAATAAATTATATTTCAAGAAGACTGAAACAATTCATACTCCTAAGAGCAGCATAAAGGAGTTCCTGTTGATCTGCCTGCTTACCAAAACTTCAAATTGTCAATCATCTAAATTTTAGCCATGTGGAGGCTATGCACTAATAATTCTTTCTCCTTTTTGTTTTTCATTTTCTTGATTACAATGAGGTTGTGCATCTGCTCACGTGTTTATTGACCATTTGGATATCTTCTTTTCTAAAGTATCTGTTCAGTTCTCTTGCCAATTTTTCTATTGGGTTGTCTTTCTTTGCCATTTTCTCATTGATTTTAAGGAGTGCCTTATATATTATAAGCCTTTTGATGATTATATATGTTAAAAAATCTTTTCTTTCCCTGTGGTTTGCTTTTTTATTCCTTAGGGTTGTATTTTAATAAACAAATGTTCTTACTTTTAATGTTAATGTAGGCCAGTTTATCAATTTTTACTTTTGTAATTAGTACTTTTTAAAAATTACTAATCTTTCTATTCCCTGAGATCATGAGGTTATATGTTTATTCTAGGTGCTTTATTATGTTTCTCCTTCTCTACATCACTTCCTTTGTCTTTCACTTTTGCTCCCTGGATCTGCAAATAATTTTTGGCTTCAGCTCTATCTTCTGGAGAATCAGACAGTGTGTTTTGTAATGAGCATATAGATGTATTTTTCTTTATAGTCTGACTGTCTCTGCCTTTAAATTGGTGCATTAGGCCATTTCTGCTTAATGTAATTATTGCTATGTTTAGGCATAAATCTAACAATTTACGTTTTTTTCTTGCCTGTTCTATATTTCTTTTGTTTCTTTGTTGACCTTATTGGATAGTATTTTGTAATATCTTAGTTTGGAAGATGTACATATTCTCATTCAATTATACTTGTAATTTTAGTGATTAAAACATACAGATTTAATTCATTAAAGTCTAATATTAGTTGATAATTTTACCCATTTTACCCTTTATTAGACAATGTAAACATCATAGAACATTTCATTTGTCAGTCCACCAAAGTTTATGCTATTGTTGTTGTGTATTTTGTTTCTCATTACATTTTAACCTACACAAGGCATTATTATTATTGTTTTAGGCCATCAATATTTTCTTAGCTTGTATTCTTTCAAAGACAGATCTGAGAAAAGGATTTGGGAACAGATTGTCTATTTTGGAAATGGTCCCAGGAAGCATGACAGGAAATAAGATAAGGAAATGAGAAAAGTTAATAAAGGATGCATCAATGGGAGGCAGTTGTGGTAAGCAATTGTAGCTCAGTACTGTTCCACAAAGAAACCATGTAGAACACATCTCAGAATCATCTCACCAAGTTATGAGGATTTTGGAGCATTTAGCTATCAGCATTCATTCTTTACTGATTGAGAATTCTCCCATACTTCTAAGGTACAACCTGCTTTCAGAGATGTTGCTCCCATACATGAAAGGGAACAACACCCTGCAAGCAGGTTGTACCTGCTTATAACTGAGTAAGCTTCCAAGGTACCAGAGAAAGCCCTTAGGCAGAGAAGAAAAGAAAAACAGGCACTTAAGAAGGAAACTATTAGCATGCTGGAAATTGTCTGTGATTGCCTTCGTTATGAAGAAATGGATTAGAGAATGAATCATGACTGCTACAGAGCACCCATTACATTACCCAGATACACTTATGCCTCATATGTTATTTTCCTCTCTGTTATTGATGCTTCAGGGTGGTGGCTAGCCACAATTTCTTAAAAATAAAAGAAATGGAAAACCAAAAGACCCCCTCACCCCGAAACACCCTTTCAATGGGAATATTAGTGGAATAAGCCACAGTCCCCACTGCTGCAGCTGGTCCCAAGATGATAGAGCCATGAATTGCCTCCATCCTTCATATCCTGGTCATTCTGTTTATGCACCCATTGTGTTAGCACTGCGGTGGCTAAGAACATAAGCTGGTTTACCTCCACTGAATGAGTTAGCTTGTGCATCAAGACCTTCAAAATCTCCTCTCCAGTAGATGTTTCCTGGTGGGCAAGAATGTGAGGCAAAGATCTGCACAGTTTGTCTCCACTTCCATAGGTATGTTCACATGCCTCTTCCGCAGACATCCTTGTCTTTCATTCTCCAAAGGTCTATGATGATTTATCTTCCCCACCTCCTCTGTTTTTGGAAGGGCAGCAGTGGTTATCTGAACGAGGACATGACAGGGAGAAACATCCTTGCATTTTGTGACTCCGAGAGTAGAGAATATCTGCAATTCCAAACAGGATTTTGTATGGTTTTTGGTTTACTTTGTTGGTGATCAGGGATATTATCAAGGGCTTCACTTGACTCTTAACCATCCTGATGATTGTTACTTCGCAGATCAGAAAACTAATGTGACATAATCAGAATGGATATGTTAGTAACTAATTCTGATTATGTATGTAGAGACTGGGGAATCCTTAAGAGTGGATCCATGGCCTCTTTGAAGCAATTAGACTCTCAGTCCAACAGAGGGGCTATTATGGCATTTTGTGTTTCCTAGTATCAGTGTTAGCTCTGATACTATATTCAATTACTCTCAGAGGATCTGGGTATTCCTTTTCTCCTGTGTAGTTACTTGGAAAATAGCTATAGGTCCCTCTGGGGCATAATCTAATGTATATTATATATTCCTGTTTTGGCAGTTGATTTGGAAGTTCTGAAAACTAGCTTAGAACAGGAGTTGGGTAAGGAATCATGATTTTCTAATAAGACATAGACACTGAACTTCTGCACACCTGATCTCTTTAATTGTTATATAAATTGAGCAACACTCTCATTGGCTTTCTGTCTCTCTTGCTTCCAGGAACAGAATGACTTATTAGCTGTTGACGTAGATTTTCATAGGTCTAGGGCTCCCAGTTGTCGCTGGTGATTACAGTAATTATATCTACATTGCCTCTAATTATTAAATTCTGTCATTTGACCTTTGCCATTCTGAAGTCATATAATCCATATTGACACTAGGAAGTTTGTTTCTGTTAAAGAACCTCCTGCCATCATTTCTGGCCCACAGAAAATAGCCTCCCTGAGCTTCTAAATGATGCTGAATATATTCCTTTTCACCTCAATAAAGGGAGTGTCCTTTAGTCCCTCATGGGAAGGTTTTATGGTCTCATATAATTAATCTACTCCAATCCTTCTACCTTGCAACTCCTTGCTTTTTCTTCAACATTCTTCTAATACAGCCTGGCACAGTTGAGTCTAAAATTTTATTTGATTTTGAACTGGATTAGTTAAAAGTTTTAAAATTCTTGTTAACAAATGTAAGCTCTTCCAAATTCATTGAAAAGTTGTTGATAGTCATGTTCAGGTTCCTCTCATGCATGATTTATTTCTGTCTTTTTGTAAAATAAAAGACAGTCTTGTACTTGTTGAAATATGCTCAATAACTGTTCAAATGTATAAAAGACATGCTGATATTTCTCCCTGTCTCCCTTTTTTTTTTCATTATTCCTCTAGTTAAGGGTTTTTCTCTATCATTTTATTTCAACTCTTTCTTGTCCTCAAAGAATTTTTTTTCTCTTGAAAAAGATGCCTTTGAATGAGAAAGAAATCAGATTAGATTCCATATTCATTAAAGCAAGAGATTTATAAGCAGAACGATAGAGCCTGTCAATCCAACAGATGTGATGTCAGTGAGGCGATGCAGATAAGTGGTGATAGAACTCACATTCCTGCTGCATTAAGTCCCCCTTAGGCCTTGCCTACTGCTTTTCTGCTCACTCTGGGCAGCACAACTGAGGACGGGCTATCATGCAAGATATGATTTTCAATAATATTGTAAGCAAAATGATTTTTAAAAAGATACTATTTTTTTCTTGCCAACATTATGATATTGGTTTGCTTCTCTTCTGTAGCATGGAAATAAACCAGTCAGATCTCCTGCTATGGGGCTCCAGCTGCTTCCCCTGTGGATTCATCATTTCATTTATGGCAGGACCATGGTTCCTTCAACTGCTCCCAGCCAATGACTAAGCATGGCAATTGTAAAAAGGCAGACTCATTCCAGCAAGATGTGGGACTCTTCCAATGGGCAACTTCTCCGAGGACTGTACTGGAGTCCAAGGCCCCTCCAGCCCAATTTTCCTTTCTTCTCTCTCTCATGTTTTAGATGTCAGACGTGCATCACAGGCTCTTCCTGCCTTTTTCTGTTTCCCTCAATACATTACTTGCATATTGTATTAGTTATTTAGTACTGTGTAACAAATTATCCCCAAACTTAGCATCTTACAACAACACAGTTATGATATGCATGGCTTAAATGGGCCCTCTGCTTCAGGGTCTCTCACAAAGCTGTAATCAAGGAGTCAGGCAGTGCTTGGGTGTCATCTGAGGCTTAAATACAGAAGGATCTGTAGGACTTAGTTTCTCATAGGCTATTCTATTGAGGACCACAGACTGTTGCTGACTATTAGTTGCAAGCCTCTCTTAGTCCTTTGCCACATTGGTCACCATGATGGTTTGCTTCATAAAAGCTGTAAAGGGAGAGTCTTTTAAGCTGGAAGTCAAAACATTTTGTAGCTTAATCACAGAAATAAAATCCCAGTACCTTTCCATATTCTACTGGCTACAAAAAAGTCACTTGACCAGCCTGCACTTAAGAGGCAGGAATTATGTAAGGCTTAAATGCTGGATAGAGAGAATTATTACAGGCCATCTTAGAAGCTGACCATTATTCACATCTAATACCATCTTGATGTCTGCTTCTCAGAGACCTCAAACTAACACATCTTTTCTAAAAACAATATTCTAAAAAATAGTTTTGCTTACTAGGACATTAAATTGGAACAAGGGATAATCTCACTAAAAATGTAAAAAACATTTTTTTGTGTGTGTTAGAAAAAGTTTTCAACAAATTAAATTTAACAGAGTTTATTTGAACAACAACAACAAAAGTTTCATAAATCAGGCAGCACTCAAAACCACAAGAGGTTCAGAGAGCTCCACTCTGCAACTGTGGGCAGTGAGTATTTGTTGACAGAACACTGAAGAAAACTGCAGAAGTAGTTTGGTTACAGCGAGGCTTTTGCCTTGTTTGCATGTGGTTTTCTCATTCGGCAGCCTATGAATGGCTGGCTTTTGGCTGCTTGAGATTGGCTGAGACCTGGCTATGTGTTACAAAAATTAGGTTTCTAAGTTACGTTTTGGTTCATTTATGTTGTAAGTTAGGTTGCAGTTCCTTATGTAGGAATTCAAAGTATAAAGACAGCCTCAGGCCCATGGCCTCCTGCTTATTTATTTTAATAGCTGTGTAATGTGTCTAGATAAAGGACATTTTAAAAAGATTATTTTGTGTGAGATACAACATTCTGTCACATTTATTGGCATAATGTTTTCTTTTTCAATAACTATAACTTTCAGTAGATACTTCATTTTTAGCCCTGGTAAGGAAGGATTACTTATGTATTATAAATTAATAGATTATCCTATAACTGTGACTATGAGTGGAGTGGAACTCAAACTGAAATTGCTATAGGCAGGGGTACTATTTCCTTGGCTAAGGTAAGCCTATAAGCCTATGGTTTTTTCTTTCTGCAAGTAAAATGATTTATTTCACATCAATTGCTCAAACAAATGCTTCAGAGGAACTCCTGCCATTGATAGCACACTTTAAGAATTGATGCATGGGAATGTGAGTTGCTGGGGTTGAAAGACTGTATAAAGATTGTGTTGAAATGTACTATGGGTTTCATGAGCTGTGACAAAGTATAATGCTATGCAACTAGCAATAAATTAGTTTAAATCCTTGCAATACCAAATTAATAGGGAATATTTTTTATTTGGGAGAAAATCCAGTGTTACGGAAGGCAAGTAGAAACCACAAAACTCTTATTTTAGATTTTGTGAATCGGAGAACCAAGACATATAGCACTAAAGTCCTTTCTTTTCTCTTAATAAATATGTGAATAGTAAAATAGAGATCAGCTTTATGATCTAGAACCTGACCAATTAACTATTCTTCCTATTTTAACAAATCTATTGTGGATCTTAGAATTACCTATGAGAATTTGACAATTTGGCACAGTTTTAGGAAAAAAAGTGACCACTGTATCAAAGGAGCAAAGCTCTGCAGAAAGGTAAGAGCTAAATAAGAGAATCTAGGTATAATTCCACAGGGACATAAGAATTTTTTTTTTAGCTGTGTCTGAAATAGGTATGGGAAGAAGTTTTTAAAAACGTAATTAGAAAAGGATAAATTCATACTGACTGTCCAAGGCAGGGGGCTGGGGATTATTAAAGGAAATGGTGAAAGTTCATTATATGAGACAATGAAAACTCAGACCAGCTGTGGCGTTCCAGAATGCACCCAAAGTAATCCTAGCTGGGCTCTAGGGAATAGCCTGACCTGGGCAGCAATTTCCAGCTCTGACTTAGAATCTCTATTATTGCATTAGTTTTGTGGGTTGGCTCCAGGCATGAATAGTTTACAATGGTGACTATTAATTCCTGTAGTTGAATCCATATTTCTGTGGCCTGCCTTGTGTTTGGGGCTGCTAACATCTTCTATCGTCTTCATGGGGAATCTAATAGAAACTTTCACATCACAGTATGGACAGCTTGCATAATAAAAAGCTTGCAATGGGATACATGGTGTTCATGCCAGGAATATTCATCACTCATTGTTACCTGTGAGTAACACATGGAAGAAACTCTTCCATATGACTAAAAATACATCATATAGGATACAGCATCTTTTATCAGGTGAAATATTTAGTGCCAAAGTGATAGGGAAACAGCTCATGAGTTTGAACTAAAAGTTTAGTCAATTGTACATGTAAGTGGTAGATGAGAGGCGGGATGACTTTCCTTTTATGAGGGTTTACATAGCCAATTTATTGTTATTATTATTATGCAAACTTCTGTTTCTTTTCTTGGATTTTGAAACTGAGCCTTAGTTCATTAAAGCTTGATTTCACTTTACTCCAGTGTAGATCAACTGAAAAGAATGGGTTACAGGTGTGCAAGCTACTATTGGCCTTAGCCCTCAAGGTGACTGTGGGGGCCGAGGGAGGCTGGAGCCATTGAGACAGTCACCTTGGGCTGGAGGTGACTTGTCCATTTACATTGATGTTTGCCATGCAGTCTTTACCATGTGTGCATTCTGTGCCCATACATGCAAGTTTGGGAAGTACTATCCTTTCCTTTGTGTGATCGTTTTAGATCACTTTGATTCTCTGAAACACACTAAGAGAAGTCAAGGGTCATATATTGACTATTTCCCACGATTGGCTTTCTTCCACCAAAACTTCCCCTTTTATCTGCCCACACATAAAAACACATATGTCTACTTCTGAGTTCTGAGCATTTCTAATGATAATAAATCCTCAATGTGACTTTAACAGCTTTTCTTTAGCCAAAATGATTTGCATACCTGTTTAGAATGTATTAGGAAAATAAAATGTGGGGCAGAAAATGTCGAGATCTAGCTAGACTTCTTCCTATCAGGCCAATTATCTAGCCTCATCTGTATGAAAGAAGCTGATGATCTCCAATGATTTTTAAGCATACCAATCTATGGAAATGCACAATTTAGTCATGCTACCATCTGGTTATTACTGTTACTGTAAGTGATTAATGATCTTATATGAAAACACTAATTATTAAAATAAATATTTTTAATGTAGAAAATGTATGTGTTCATATATTTGGCACTTGGGTATGTACTTCACATGATGCACTGTGCTGGTGCTGGGGATTCAAAGGTGCCTAATTCATAGCCCTTGCCCCTAAGAAGTTTATCTTCTAGTGGTGAAAGATAATGAACAGAAAGTTATGTTTCATACGGTAAGGTTGGTGGTAGAGATGATGTCTACACTCAAGCTTCCTTGTCAAGGGAGGGGTACGTGAAATTTCCCAGGAGGTGCCTTCAGTTTCAAAAGGGTGTGAGGAAGACACAGAGGTCTGGGGGCTGCTTGTCTTCAGCTCAGCTAGTTGTACATGTGTATCCTTTTGCTGCTGTAGTCGAAGCCCTGAGTTTGCCTCAGTGATTAGGATGGACCTGCAGCACTGTTATGCAGTACTGCGGTGGCATCCTTCATTATGTAGTTAGGAAATATCCCCTTCTGGGTATGAAAGGTGGGTTAAGTTATCAACTTTTACTTATGAAAGTGTACATTGTATAAGATACCAAGGTACAGAAGTCATTTTTGCCTGTGTCTTAGTCTGTTTTGTGCTGCTATTACAGAATACCAAAGACTGGCTAGTTTATGTAGAATGGAGATTGATTTTTATAGCTCTGGAGGCTGAGAATTCCTCCAGGTAGAGAGACCAACATCTGGTGAGGGCCTTCTTGCTGTGTCATCGTGTGGCAGAAGGTAGAAGGGCAAGAGAGCACGTGAGAGAGCAAGAGATTGAACTTGCAGCCTCAAGCCCTTTTATAATCAGTGTTAATTCATTGAGGATGGGAACCCTCAGGATATAAACACTTCCCATTGCACCCACCTCCTAATACTGTATTAACTTTCCAACACACGCTTTTTGGGGAACACATTTGTATTAGGCCATTCTTGCATTGCTGTAAAGAAATACTGGAGACTGCTGGGTAATTTATAAGAAAAGAGGTTCAGTTGGCTCATGGTTTTGCAGGCTGTACGGGAAATGTAGTGATGGCATTTGCTTCTGGGGAGGACTCAGCAAGCTTTTACTCATGGTGGAAGTTGAAGCAGAGCAGGCACTTCACATAGCAAAACCAGGAGCAAGAGAGAGTGGGGAGGAGGTGCCACACATTTTTAAATGATTGGCTCTCATGAGAACTGTTGTGAAGACTGCACCAAATGGTGAGGGATCCGTCCCCATGCTCTAAACACCTCCCACCAGGCCCCACCTCCAACATTGGGGATTACAATTCAACATGAGATTTTCGTGGGGACAACTATCCAAACTATATCAACATTCAAACCATAGAAGCCTGTCATACTTGCCATCTGTCATTTGCCATTGAGGATGCTGAGTTATATTTTCTTTGAATTATTTAAGGCAAGTGTAGCAATTCAGGAGAGAATGATTGCTACCAGGAATTAATGCTGTAAATACAGGAAAACCTTAATAATTTGAAAGAAAGGAGAGGATTCTTTGAATGACAGAGAAACAATTTGAATTAGAGAATATCTTTTTTTTTTTTTTTTTTGACACGGTCTCACTTTCTTACCGAGGCTGGAGTGTAGTGGTGCGATCTTGGTTCCCTGCAAACTCTACCTCTCAGGCTCAGGTGATCCTCCCACCTCAGCCTCTTGAGTAGCTGGGACTATAGGCATGTGCCTGGCTAATATTTTTTTTTAAGTAGAGATAGGGTTTCAGCATGTTGCCCAGGATGGTCTCGGGCTCCAGGACTTAGGTGATCCACCCACCTAGGCCTCCCAAAATCGTGGGATTATAGGCATTAGCCACTGTACCTGGCCAAGAATATCTTTTCAAAATGCAACTTTGTTATTTCCAAGTAAATGTAGTGTCACTACTGCCAGGAAACAACACTAATAGCATTAAAAGTCTGGGCTCTTAACCCATACCCTACTGGGGCTATAATCTGGGGTTTACCAGTTACTGTTTGAGATTGACCAATATGTTTAACTTTTTAATCTCTTTCTCTCTCAATATTTCATCTGTGAAAATGTAGGTTTGTATTGGTACATTCTAAGAAGACTAAATGAAACACATTTGTAAAGCACTTTGAAAAGTGCTTGGCTTTAGAAAGCACTCAATAAACACTAGCCTTAAAATTTGCCTTTGTAGAGCGCTTTACTCAATGCAGTTTCACGTCTTCTATCTCATTTGATCTAATTTCACCACAGTATGTTATTAGGTGGCTTTTGCTAACCAGGGCTCAGAAAGGTTAAGTGGGTTGTCAAAGAGAAGTAGTTAATTAAGTATAGATTCAATATTTATCCTCTTATGCCCCAGCAAACTCACAATTAAAGAGATTTAACATTATGGTTTGCAGATTCTTCTAGGCCTGACCAAAGCTTTGGTTCTCCTGTCATGTCTTAGTCTGAAATATTTTTATTCATTTTTTTCATAAATGTCATTTGTCATCAGCTCTAGTGTAGCATCTTATTGGACTTGGATTCTGGCTGGGTCATAATCTCACTGAGGCCAGGATTGTGGACAGGTTTTGTATCTCTTTTGTCCTTTAGAGTGCTCAGCTAAGATTCAATTCCACTCAGTCAGACCTTAAACTCAGTGATATGGTTTGGCTGTGTCCCCACCCAAATCTCATCTTGAATTGTAATCCCCATGATCCTCACTTGTCTAGGGAGAGACCTGGTGGGAGATGATTGGATCATGGGGGCAGTTTCCCCCATGCTGTTCTTGTGATAATGAGTGAGTTCTGATGAGATCTGCTGGTTTTATAAGAGCTCTTCCCCCTTCACTCCTCGCACTTCTCTCTCCTGCTGCCTTGTGAAGGGGGATGTGTTTCTTCCCCTTCTGCCATGATTATAAGTTTCCTTAAGCCTCCCTAGCTATGCGGAACTGTGAATCAATTAAACCCCTTTCCTTTATAAATTACCCAGTCTTGGGTATTTCTTTATAGCAGTGTGAAAATGAACTAATACACTCAGAATATGTAAGTAATAAATAACAGAATAATGTCAGATTAAAGTGGAAGTAGTATTGGTTCATATGCAGTTCTCCTATGCAAAAGAAGTGGAATAATGGAAGTAGAATTATAACCTTCATCAGGAAACCAAAATTCCTAAACTTTCCTACTGCATGAAATACAGCTACATGAAATAGAACTAAAATAGAACCCTTTTAATTCTATTTCATGAAAATTCAAAATGAACATTTGTACCCTGCATTCATTCTCAGAGAGAAGCACCTTTAATCTTGCAGGGCTCCGAGTTCCTGGCAGGTTGCTCTTGACCCAGCATCTGCATTTTTTTCAGTGCTCCCAAGCCAGCATCCTCACTTTGATTTTGAGCACTTTTAGCATCATCGGAGGCATCCTGTAGGTTTGCTGGGCTAGTAAATTATTTACGTTTGTTAGTTATTTATCATTTTTGCTAGTTACCTTAGAAGATACAATAATTATTTTTATTAGTCCACAGTTGAAAAACTTGCATGGGTTTTGAATAATGGGCCACAATCTTAATTTCCCTATAAGCCTATTATTTTGCAGAATGGAAGGATTCTCAGTAGCACATACAGGTATTATAGAAGAAAAGCCTGCAAAATCATCCTTAGTTTTCAATGCAGTCCCATTTTCCTTATCTGAAACCAGTGGGGTCAGGTATATTTTGCAATTTTTATATCTTTTTTGAATTTAAAAAGGCAATAGGTGCATAGACTGTATATTATCTATAATCAGCACATTGTAATCAAATACATCAAAGTAAGTGGGGTAAATTAATGTCGTAAATAGCTTCAAGTCAGTTTAGTTCACATTTTACCATCAAATGAGTTATAAAAAACATGTTTGGTTTTCAGAGTGCTTTGGAATTGACTGCCTAGGCATGTCTTGGAGTTACTTGTATTCCACTGCTCTGGCTCCGTAGTTACATAGTGCCCTGTGAAGGCTGGGCTTCTCTGGGAGGGAGCAGGCTTCCTAGGCTGTCTCTGGGAAGGCAAGAAATGAGCTGCTAACCTCTGGCTTTCGCCAATTCTGTTTGGGCAACTCAACCACACTTCTCCATCTGAGGTTCAACCCTGGCTGGGAATGAGAAAACAAGGACACTGCATTGGACTTTCTTTTCTTTTCTGTGTTTTTCCCTTGGCTCCTTCTCCCTGGTCTAGAAGGGCTTCCTCCCCCATGCCCCATGGAGACTTCTCTTATGTCATGTTTTCTTCCCCTGCTATTCTGTGACTTACAGTAAGATCTCTAAGTTCCAGGGAAAACCCCTTGCTCTATAAAGACAAACTTGTGAATAGATAAACCAATCTAAGACTTAAAGTTGACTTGTTTGTTTGAGACTGGGTTCCGCTTACCCCAAGAACAAGAGATTATCAGAAATAAAAATGTTTTAGTTTAATATTGAAAAATATTGTGCACATTTCATCAACATGATACAATTTAAAAGTGAATCACATGACTATATGTTTTATATATGCATATGTGTGTGCTTTTGTGTGTGTGTGTATATATATATATACACACATACACAAACATATATTTATATCTCAGAATAGAGCTTCTAGATTATATGAGTTCATGACAGAATGGAGCCTTATATTAGTACCTTTTAGCATAAGAGCCATTTTACCTATTAAATGTTTTAAAACTTTTATGAGCAACCCAGTTTCAGGAGTCTTCTAGTTGAAAGAGTAGCAAATTGAAAGTATTTTATTTAGCAGTGAGAAAGGGATCTCTGTCTCCTCAGTCTGGTGTCTCCTTTAATCTAATGTTTAGTGAATTCTAGAGGTTTTATATATATATTTTTTTGAGGTAATTTTTTTTTACTTTTATTTTAAGTTCAAGGGTATAAGTGCAGGTCTGTTACATAGGTATAATTGTGTCACGGGAGTTTGTTGTACAGATTATTTCACCACCCAGGTATTAACCCTAGAATCCATTAGTTATTTTTCCTGATCCTCTTCTTCCTTCCACCCTCAAGTAGGCACCAGTGTGTGTTGTTTCCCTCTATGTGTCCGTGTATTCTCACCATTTAGCTTCCACTTACAAGTGAGAACATGTTGTATTTGGTTTTCTGTTCCTATGTTAGTTTGCTAAGAATAATGTTTCCGGCTCCATCCATGTTCCCGCAAAAGACATGGTCTTGTTCTTTTTTTATGACTGCATAGTGTACCATGGTATAAATGTACCACATTTTCTTTATCTAGTCTATCATTGATGGGCATTTATGTTAATTCCATGTTTTTACTATTGTGAATAGTGCTGCAATGAACATACGTGTGGATGTGTCTTTATAACAGAATAATTTATATTCTGTTATTTATTTGGGTATATACCCAGTAATGGGATTGCTGGGTCAAATGGTATTTCTGTCCTTAGGTCTTTGAGGAATTGCTACACTGTGTTCCACCATGACTGAACTAATTTATACTTCCACCAACAGTATAGAAATGTTCCTTTTTCTCCACAACCTCACCAGCATCTGTTATTTTTTGACTTTTTAATAGTAGCCATTTGACTGGTGTTAGATGGTATCTCATTGTGGTTTTGATTTGCATTTCTCTAATGATCAGTGGTGTTGAGCTTTTTTCATATGCTTTTTGGCCACATGTTTGTCTTCTTTTGAGGTGTGTCTGTTCATGTCCTTTGCCCACTTTTTAATAAGGTTGTTTTTGTATTGTAAATTTCTTTAAGTTCCTTATAGATTCTGGATATTAGACCTTTGTTGAATGCATAGTTTGCAAATATTTTCTCCCATTCTGTAGGTTGTCTGTGTACTCTGTTGACAGTTTCTTTTCTGTGCAGAAGCTCTTTAATTAGAACCCATTTATCAACTTTTGCTTTTGTTGCAATTGCTTTTGGTGTCTTTGTCATGAAATCTTTGCCTGTGCCTGTGTCCTGAATGGTATTGACTAGGTTGTCTTCCAGGGTTTTTATAGTTTTGGGTTTACATTTAAATCTTTATCCATCTTTAGTTAATTTTTCTGTATCACGTAAGGAAGGGGGTCCAGTTTCAATTTTCTGCATAGGCTTAGCCAGTTATCCCAGCAGCATTCATTAAATAGAGAGTCCTTCCCCCATTGCTTATTTTTGTCAGGTTTGTCAAAGATTAGATAGTTGTAGGTGTGTGATTTTATTTCTGGGTACATGATTCTGTTCCATTTGTTTATGTGTTTGTTGCTGTATCAGTACCATGCTGTTTTGGTTACTATAGCTCTGTAGTATAGTTTGAAGTTGGGTAGCGTGACGCCTCAGCTTTGTTCTTTTTGCTTAGGATTGACTTAACTATTCAGGCTCTTTTTTAGTTCACGTGCATTTTAAAATAGTTTTCTCTAGTTCTGTGAAGAATGCCAATGGTAGTTTAATAGGAGTAACATTGAATCTTTAAATTGCTTTGTTCAGTATGGTCATTTCAATGATATTAATTTTTCCTATTCACGAGCATGGAATGTTTTTCCATTTGTTTGTGTCATCTCTAATTTCTTTGAGCAGTGGTTTGTAGTTCTCCTTGTAGAGATCTTCCACCTCCCTAGTTAGCTGTATTCCTAGGCATTTTATTCTTTTTGTGGCAATTATGAATGGGAGTTCATTCCTGATTTGGCTCTTGGCTTGACTGTTGTTGGTGTATAGGAATGTTAGTGATTTTTGCACATTGATTTTGTATCCTGAGACTTCTCTGAAGTTGTTTATCAGCTTAAGAAGCTTTTGGGCTGAGACAATGGGATTTTCTAGATATAGGATCATGTCATCTGCAAACAGGGATAGTTTGTCTTCCTCTTTTCCTATTAGGATGCCCTTTCTTTCTTTCTGTTGCCTGATTGCCCTGACCAGAATTTCCAGTACTATGTTGAATAGGAGTGGTGAGAGACAGCATCCTTGTCTTGTGCCAGTTTTCAAAGGGAATGATTCCAGCTTTTGCCCAAGTGAGAGAATTAGCTGAGGTGTCTCTTGCTTATTCAGTATTTCAAAAATCACCGCTAATCAGTACACACACATGACCAAACTAAAAGTGAATCATTTGGCCACTTTTGGGGAGAGTTGAAAGTTTTGTGGGTGGGCATAGGAAGGTATTGGGGGAGCTGCATTGCTGAAATAATCAAGTTTATGTAACCCAGAACTTTCAGGAAAAATCCCTTCAGTAACTGTGGGGCTGTTTGTGTAAGGAGGAGACAGTGTTCACTCATCATTAGTATGATCGCTTCAATACACATTGTCTGTGAATGGTGGATTGAATCCATTGCCAACATTTGCAGGATAAAATATGTGGCCCGACAACCACAAGGAAAAGAACTATTTTCCCAGGTTTTCTCCTCTAGCCATAATAATATTATGTGGATCAGAGATTTTGAGCCCCGCTTCCTGTTAATATGAAGGGAGGATATTATGAGTTCTGACAAATAAACCCACGTGTTTTAAATATAGTGTGTTGGAAACTTGGAAGAGGGACATCCTATTACTACTGCATTGTTTTAAGAATGAGAAGCAGGAACCTGGAGAAAGGAGGAGACAATTGTATTCATTTGGCACTGTGCTGCTGGTGGGTTATATTCTCTTTTCAAAGCATGGTAGAGACTCTTTGTTGGACTCTGTGCTTCAAAGCAAACCAGAATAAAGTAAGGGCCATTTTAATTCAATTTAAAAAGAATTATTTCACCCCCCCTTAAATCTCATCATAAAACACTTTCAAGAGAAATTGTTGCTAAATCATGGGCATCAGGGTGAGCATTCTATAGTCTTTCATAGATGTTGTTTCTTTTATATACATTTTAAGCACATATTTTCAACACATTTTATATAAGCTTACATATAAGCTCATATAAATCTCCCTATATTAAATCTTTGAATTTACTTTTTCCTTTATATCCATTATTTTTTGCCAGTTCTTTCTTCTTTTCCTGCTCTCTCTATTCCCATAGCTTTACGGATTTCAAAGAACACAAATGAATATGCAAAAATAAAGGAGGAAGAAATGAAGATTCCTTGCCTTCTGCATTCCTAAGCAGTCAGTTTTCTGCCTTGCACATAGCATGGGGTTGGGGAGGGATGTGGGTAAGAGAGCAGAGCTGTGAAGGCAGGGTGCCTGGGTTTAATTTCCGGTGTCAGTACTCAATGAGTAGGTAAGCTTGAGCAAGTGACTTAACCTCTCTGCTGCTATACCTTGTGTGTAAAGTCAGGATAATAATAGAACTAACAGTTTTTTGGAGAATGATGGTGGTCTGAGGATTAAATGATGCAATCCACTAAAAATTTTTAAAACAGTATCCTAAACAAAGAAAGCACTAAAATGACCTGGTACTACTTTCTCTAAGTCTAGAATTATCTATTTGTATGCATGTTCTTTTCCTTTATTGTCAGCTTTGTAATTTCACTTTTTGCCCCATCTCTTTCCCTATGTTTGACCTTATAACTGGGCTCAGCAGATGTCGGAGAGAGAGATTGATTGAGTTCCATGTTTAGGGAATTGAAGAGTGATTGAGACTGGTTAGTCCTCTGTCAGTTGTCTGTCCAGGCTCCTCTGTCCTCGGAGCCTACATTCTAAGAGAACCACAGGAAGTTTATAAACAAGGTAAATTCAGAGTGTCAGGTACATAGATGGAAATGAAACCATGATGAGATGGAGATTCACAGGGGTGGAATGGATGTACATACTTTAGATCAGCGGTTCTCAACCTTTTTGGCACCAGGGATCAGTTTCATGGAAGACAGTTTTTCCATGGACCAGGGGGTGGGGGGAACATTAGATTCTCATAAGGAATGTGCAATCTAGATTACTCACATGTGCAGTTCACAATAGTGTTCACCTTCCTATGAGAATCTAATGCTGTCCCGCTGATCTTACAGGAGACAGAGCTCAAGTGGTAATGCTGGTTCACCTGCTCACTGACTGCTGTGTGTCTAGGTTCCTGACAGGTCACAGATTGGCATCGGTTCACAGTCTGAGAGACCCCTGCCTTAGATGAAATGGTTACAGAAACTCTCTCTGAGCAAGTGACATTTGAACAGAGATCTAAATATTGAGAAGGAGGCAGCCATGCAAAGTTTTGGTAGAAGACCATTCCAGGTAGAAGGACATTACAGGAAAAGGAATCAGAGATTAGCAGGTTAAAGGGTCCTGAGACACACTGGCTTGGGTGGTTCAAGGAATACAAAGTATAACCAGCATGGCTAGAGCATAATGAGCAGGAGAGAATGTGGCCAGAGGCAAGATTAAAGAGAGAGGCAGAAGTCAGACTACATGACCTTGCAAATTAGGTTAAGGGATTTGGATTTAGTGCAGGGTTTCTTCACAGCAGCGCTATAAAGATTTAGACCAGATTTGTTGTTGTGGGGCTGTCCTGTGCATTGTAGGATGTTTACCAGCATTTCTGGCCTCTGTCCACTAGAAACCAGTAGCATTCATTCCTGAGTTGTTACAGTTAAATGTGTCTGTAGACATTGTCTAATGTCCCTGGGGAGGCAAATTGCCAGAGATTGAGAACCACTAATTTAGTGTATTTTCAGTAGGGAATAATATGATCTGATTTACATTTTAAAAATATAATTTTGGCCAATTTGTGGAGAATGGAGTATAGAGTAAGCACTCAGTCAATGCATGTTGAGTGAATAGATAAATTTATTATTGTTGTTCCAGTACAACCATTGCTACCATGAACAGTTACAGGATATAAGATCCACAGTCAATATAATAATGGCTTTGACTTCACTGGATAATGAGCTGTATGTAAGACATTGTTGGTTATTGGAAGTTGATACTGTCAATAGTGTAGGACAGTCCTTCATAGTCCTTAATACAGACTGAATAGTCCTTAAGTACAGACTGAATCATTAGTTTATTCTACATTACAGCAAAGTCCTGAAACTAATAAAGTTTAAATTTCACATTTTTTCAACTTCAGATGACTAGGTCTCATCCTAAACTTGATTACAGAAAAACATAAGTTCATCTGTGAACTATTGTCAGGGCAAGCAGTGATTATTTCCAATAACAGATAAAAAGCCATCTTCTTTTTTGTTCTGCATTCTAAAATACATTCTCTCTGAGCACCCAAATCTTTTAACTTGAGTTTATAAAATTGGCTTGCATCCAGTGTTTTTTTTTTCAATCAATTTTTAAAATTTGGAATAATTATTGAGGCTAACCGTTGTATTATATCCATCTGCCCACTAAGGAATCAAAAGTGTACAAAAGAGACAGAAGACACAGTACCCTAGTGATAGATGAATGGCAAAATGTTTGGAGGCTCCAGTTTGAATATTTCTCTGTTTTTTTTTTTTCTGGTGGATGAAGAACTGTGGTGGATATCTCATAAGAATTGATTTTACTTTGATGTGTGTTTACTTTCTCCTTCCACGGATTAGAAATACTACAAATAAAAGTGTTTCCTATGATACTTTCACATATCTTATTCTAGCTCCAGGAAAAAACAACATATGTGAAATACGTAACTATAAAAGACCCCATCTGAAACATGATCGGTCTTCAGGGATGTTTGAGGCCTTTCGAGATTTAGGTAAAAGCTAAAGTCTTCCCATTTTTTTGTTAAACCTAAATTATAATTGGCTTCAGGTGGCTGCATTGGTTTGTCAAAGGATTATCATTCCCAGAGCTTCTCTTGGTTCATGATATCTGGGTACTTTGGTGAACTCTACTACCTTACATAAAGTGTCTTTTCTGAAAAAAAATTTTTAATGTTGATTTATGTTAGAAGTTAGTTTGAAGGGGGAAAAACCGTGGCAAAGGAAATAAAAACATTAAATGTGATCAAACTTCTTAAATTGAACTTTGTTAAACTCAAATGAGATTTCTAGGAAACATTGAGAAAGGGGAGTATTCTTTATCAGTAACTGGAGAGCATTCTATAGGAAAATGACTTTTTTTCATTGTGTGTGTGTGTGTGTGTGTGTGTGTGAAAGAGAGAGAGAGAGAGAGAGAGAGAGAGAGAGAGAGAGAGAGAGAGAGAGGTGTCTCATTCTGTTGCCCAGGTTGGAGTGCAGTGGCGTGATCTCGGCTCACTGCAACCTTCACCTCCTGGGCTGAAGTGATTTTCCTGCCCCAGCCTCCTGAGTAGCTAGGACTACAGGCATGCACGACCCCGCCCAGCTAATATTTGTATTTTTTTTGTAGAGATGGTGTTTTGCCATGTCGCACAGGCTGTTCTAGAATTCCTAGACTCAAATGATCAGTCCACATCATAATCTTTTTCAATTATTTGATAATCCTCAGTGAACTAACATCTGTGAAAATAATTTAATATAACAATGCCTCCTTTTGTCATTTAAAATCATTATATAATTTTCTATATATCTACTTTATTCCAGTTTAAATATAACAACAAAATACCATTGAATCACGGATAAATCTCCCATAGTACTAGAAAGAAATAAATTTTGCTGCCAATACTCCAGTTAGGTAAATAAGTAGAGGCATTTAATAAGTTATCTGCATTTTCTAGTTTCTCACATGCTTTTTAAGATGAATAAACAAATAAATATTGAATGTTCTAGGTTGAAGCAATTCCAAATAAGGCATCAATATTTGATTTCTACTCTAAGCCAATAAAAAATGTTTTGCAATCACTTTTACTTCAAAAAATCACTAGATTTTTTTGCACTCACTTTTATTTCTTTCCCTGACAGGAACATATAATACTTTGCTCATGCTGGGATCCAAGAATCATTATCAAGGTTCTGTTTCCAGTTTAATAAAATGTATATTTTCATTGGGAAATTCCAACCCAACTAATTGTCTTGGAACGTAAAATGTGATAGGTGTGACCTAGTTATACGAAGCCTGTTTGTTCTTTCTTTTGGGTTTTATGCTCCTTACTGTGGATGGGCAAGAAAAAGCTCACATGTGAGTATTCAACAGTAGAAAAAATATGTAGGTTTGCATGAGGTATTATAGTCACCTCAGGGAAAAGGGGCTAAGTCGTCTAAGGGGCTGGAGACTCCATATAATGGAGAGATGGCAAGAACAATGTAAATGAGGAAATGGGTTGTGCCCACTACAGGGAGAAAGGACTATTGAACAATTTAACTAAAATCTCTTAAGATAAAGTAATCCTTGTGACATGAGAGATAAAGATTGAACTGATTATATTTTTAAATTAAAAGACATAATCGGTGATAATATGTGCTAATAAAATTAAGAGACCAGATGTTTGTGTGTTTTTTTGGTCATGAAGTTTGAATAATTAGTTTCACCACACATCCCAAGTAGATCCCATATCTGGAAATATGCAGTTTACACTGTCCCTTTGCCAGCATATCACAAAGTCACTGGAGAATGTGCTCCCTGGCTCTGCCAGTTCTTTTATCTGGCTTCCTGCTCCCTTCCCGTAGGACTTCATCAAGGGGGCCTGCTCTGTCACCCACCCCCAACCCCAAACAGCTCAGGTTCTCCCATGAGAAGTTCTCACAGTTCCCTGTGCTTTTCTATAAGTTATCTCATATGTGTTTAAATATTTATGTTGTAATTATTTATTAATGTCTAGCTTCCCTCATAGACTATATGATCTATCAGGGCTAGAGTTTTTTTTTTGGTCATATTTGCCACAAATGTCCCCATTTCTTGGGTCCATGATTGTCTCTTGTGGCCCTAAACTTGGCTATGTATAAATAAATGACACATTCCTTACTCCACCACATTTAAAACTGTCCAAACAGGTATTTTACTAAAACTTATATAATTTTTGTCTCTAGGTAAAATTTTTCTTATTTGTATTTTTGGATCCTGAGCTAAGCTGTACTCTGCTCTTTGATTGTGCTTCCTATTTTAATTCATTTTTAAATAAAAAAAATAAAGTTCTGTAATCCAGAGCATAGCATTGGCTTTTCAAAATTGAGAACAGCTGCATGTTACAATAATTCAGTTCACAGTATTAGCGGAATGTACAAAGTATTGTATTTTTCTTCTGACCTCATTGTAAGCCTCTGGAAAAATAAGGCACACCTGTCTGTCAGTTTCAGAATAAACAGAAATGATCAAGAAACTTTATTTCACAGCTAGTCATATACTGAGTTCATGTTTAAAATTTTATTGCTGCACATAACTTTATCTAAGAGAGAGACTGACTGTGGGCTACGAATGGGAAGTGATTCACATCAAGTTGCAATAAGAATGTAACTTGACCATGAGGCAGAGAGTCTATTTTAAAGCCAAAATGTCTTTGCAAAAAGTTAACCCAAATTTGGATCTACTATAAAATATACAAACTGAGAAGAGAATAAAAATTCTTCGTTTTGGAATTCAGGAATGGGAGAAGGACATAAGCACATATTTAATGGTTTTTTATATTGATGCTCTGGACTAATATTTCCCCTCCTAAAACAAAACCAAATAAACCAAATAATTATTCTATGACCTAGGTTTGACTTTCTGTAAATGTACATTTTACTGATAAGTTATAAATAGTTTATGATGATTTTAAATTAAAACCAGAAGTTAAATTTAGAGCATGGAAGAGATAAATAAGTTAACTTTCAAAAATGTAGTGTTTTAAACTGCCTTGTCATATATCAAATCAAAAACTCTCCAAGGACTCTCTCTGGCTATGATCAGAGATATTCTTAGCAGAGCCTGTGTCTACTCTGGTAGCTGGAATCTATGAGCTTTTTCTTTGGTAATTTTACAGTCACTGAGGCTGTTTATATGGAAATATCCATTCTGGCTCTCACATTAATAATTGTTAATGATATGAGAATTAAAAGTGGGAGCTTAAGTCCCAGGGCATTTGGAGACATTTCAATAGATTGAAAAAGTCCGAAGCATAGGTAATTGCATATCAGTGGTGTTTGTAATGATCACAGGGGACAAATAATTACATCTAAAGGTTTGGGGATAAGATTAAGTCTGGGAATAACTAAGTGTGCTAATGACTGGTGGATGAGCAAGCCTTTGACGAGAAGGAGTGTTAAAAACCAAGCCCCGTGGACTTAAAATATTGGCTCCTCTGAACCTTTTGGAAAGCCTGGAAGAAATAGCAGGAGCTTCTAAAATATAGGCCTCTACTTAAGTCAAGCCTCTGCCATGGTCTTTCTTGTGCAGTGCAGCCTTTGGCAAATTACTGGCCTTCTTTACTCTCAGTTGCCACAGCTATTTCTATGGGGTCAGTATTAAATGATACAATGTAGTAAGTAACTGGCATATAGAAGGTGCTCAATAAATGATGTCTATTATTTAAGAGACAGTATAATGGAGTGTTTTAATGTCCTTGCTTTATTACTTACTAGCTTTCCCATAAGATCATTAGTTTCTTAAAGTTTTTCCTTCACTGGTAAAATAGGAAAAATAATACCAAAATTGCAGACCTGTTTAAGGAACAAAATGAGTTAACACATGTGACATCTTAACATATTACTTCGTGTGTGGTTAGCTCTAAACAGATTTAATTATAATTATTAATATAATAATCACAAGAATGATCAGTAATATCATTCATTTGGCCTTGATACACCTCAGTTTTTTTGTCTGTAAAATTAGATTTCTCTAGAGCAAAAATGCTCTTTTTGTCTGTTGGATAGCATAAAGAAAAGTCTAGCTGTTAGCTTTCATTAGGAAAAACAAGAACAAAGACTATAGGAAACTGGTCACCCTGCCCAGTGGGAATATGGCCCTTCTGGTTTATGGAGAGGGATAAGAAATGGGAATAGTAGGTGTTACTGTCTTCAATGAAATATGGTATTGTTTCTTTTTTTTAAAGTGCTTTAAGGAAAAGAAATGCCAGACTAAGTCCTGAAGACCTAGCAATTTTGATTTTTTTTTTTAAAGTTTTACTTTTATTTCATTCATTTCTGTTTTTCTGTCACCTATTCACTGTTTCAGGAAATGGCTTTTGTTTTCATTTAATTTATGCACACATCAGATTAGGTATGTGTTATGCCTATCATGACCTCAGAAATGTTCAATGCCAGCTAATCACCATCCTAAGTTTTAGTGACCAGCTTTTGAACATATAAAACAAGACCTAGTAGAGAATATAAGCAGCATTAACTAGTTAGCTAGCTAGCCCCAAATCTTCCTGTGCAGCCAATAAAATACTTTCAAAATTATCTGCAGTTACCTGAGTCTTTGAGGTAAACATAGTATTAAGGGAAATAATTCTTTTCCATTCATGTCTTTGCATTTTTATACTCATTTATATCTATTTAGTAGGCTAACCCATGATCATATACCCGTAAGGAGAATTCTTATTATTTATTGTCATTGCTAGGACTCTCCAAATGCCACCAAACAGAAAAGTAAAGTAACTTATCAATAGGTAATATTCTTAATTGCAGAGTTATTGTGCTTGTGTGGTCTAAAGTGTACATCTACAACCTGCCCATACTGAACACAAAAGGAGGAAAAAATGTTGCGTGGGAGCAAGATGTAGAGGAGGAAAAATATCTTCTCTTCACCTACCATAGGTTCATGGCTGAGGCCTCCATAATAAACAATGGGTTAGCAAGAGAAAGGCATACACATTACTTCAATATAAGCTTTAAATGACACAGGAGACTTTATAAATAAATGAAGACGTGAAGAAACAATTAAACCTTAGTTTTCTAATAGTAGGTTTCATGAAGAGTGGAGAGTTGTGGAAAAATCTGGTTGAGCAGGAAGGGTCTGATCTAATGATAATAAACTGGGGAAACGTGGGAAGACCCAGTTGCTCAGATTCTTCTCTGTGCCCTGTCAACCTAAAGGAAGAAATGGAGGCAATTTAGGATAGAGAGTTTATTTGGGCTAAGGTCGAGGACTGCTGCCCACAAAACACTTTCAAGTTGCCCTGGGAAGCACTTCAGAGAACAAATGAGAGGCTCAAGCTTTTAAAGAAAAATGGATGAATCTGGATGGAGAGATTACAAAACTGTTTTTCAGGAATTCTCATTGGCTTTCAGAAATAACATTGTTTAGCAATTGGCCATACATTGTTGAACTGTAGTGTATTTTCAGTTAGAATGTCTAGTCTATGGCATTGTTAGGTTAATTTATAGATATTTGTGGCATCAGTTGGTTTAGACCCCACATAGTAAGTGGTTTCAAAATGATGACTTAGCTCAAGGATAGGGGTTAAAGTGGTATATGACTGCTGTCTCATTTCCATGCCTCTCTGGGCCTGACAATTTAAAGGGGCTAGGATTTCTCAGATAAAAAGTTTATTTTCTTTCTCAGCCTCTTCCTGTCAGGGTAAGAATATTCCTTTTTGCTGATGAGGTGGGGGTGGGGAACCTCTCACGTGTGGGTCCTATGACTTGCTTCAGGAATAGGTCATAAAACCTTCCTAGGTTTTATGACTTCCTTTATGGGAGAAGGGCTGAAGTCAGAGAGAACTGTCTGCTTCCTCTCTTTTCTCCAGCTTAAAATACTCAGTATGCCAAGGTGGTGGATTTTGAGGGAGTGTGTCCTGAACTCTATCGGGGACAAGTAGAAAAAATTATTGGAGGTACTATTTTTACCTTTTAAAATTTTCTGAGTGTCAGCTATGACCCTGAACTTTAAGCGGGCAACCATATGCAATTTCACATCCAGATGGTAGAATTAGATGCCTTTGGAAACTGTGAACTCTTTCCAGGATCCAGGTCGCTGTTTAACACTGTATGCCTTTGGCAGTGGGACAAATTGGACAAGATAGAGAATTTCCACAGACTATTCTGGGTTACAATCATTTAATGTGGGGATGAAAGGAATGTAAATAGGCTGCATTAAGAGGTTTTGTTTGTTTTCATTTCTCTGTTTTAGGTTGTTATAGGAAAAAACTGTTCAGATATCAGCCACTTCATATGATCTGCCTCATAGTTTGTGACCAAGTGTGTTAAGTTTTGTTTTATTCTTAGGAGGCTCACTGAATGAAAATGTAACATGAAAAGTAAAATTATGGCTGGGCGCTGTGGCTCATGTCTGTAACCCCAGCACTTTGGGAGGCTGAGGCGGGCAGATCAACTTGAGGCCAGGAGTCTGAGACCAGCCTGGCCAATATGGTGAAACTCTGTCACTACTAAAAATACAAAAAATTAGCTGGGCATGGTGGCACATACCTGTAATCTCAGCTACTCAGGAGGCTAAGGCACGAGAAAGGCTTGAACCTGGGAGGTTGAGGCTGCAGTGAGCTGAGATCGTACCTCTGCATCCTAGCCTCAGCGACACAGTGAGACTCTGTCTCAAAAAAAAAAAAAAAAAAAAAAGCAAAATTAGGAGGTTGTTTTCTTAGTCAATTTTTAGTAACATCACTGCTAGTGATCTCCTGTTCTATCTGGACCGTGAGGACTTTAAACACAGAAATTGGTTTATCTTTCAGGTCTCGGCTCAGCTCAAATTCAACTTCTGCAGAGGATTCTCAGACTCTCCTCCCCATCTATATTTTTTTCTCAAAACAACGTGTTATTTTCTTTTATAATCCATATTACAATTTATTAATTATAGGGGATATAATTTACTGGTGTGGTTTTATTAATCTTTACAAACTTCTCTCTTTCCTAGACTATTAAAAAAAAATTCATCATTTTACAGGCTCCTCAATCATAGATCTCATCTTAGACATTTTCTGATGGAAAATCTGAGAGAAAGTAGTGAATTCTGCTGGAGGTTAAAACAATCTACACAGTAAGGAGGTAAGAGAGAGAGGGCAGGGAGTAAGGATAGGGTGTGAAATCTAGAAGGAATGAGGGTCTAGAGAATTTTTTACAAAGTGAATCTAGTTATCTGCCACTAAACATGCATATATATGTATATCTATATGTGTTATTTATTAAAGAAATAATGCTTTGAAAATGTGTTTTATGGCTAGAGAAAAAATTAGTAAAATCTCAAACTTAAAAAAATTGATTTAATATTATAGCTCGAATTGTATTCCATAAAATTTCCATATAAGCTAGATACCCATTAGATTGAAAACTTTTGCAAACATTTGCAACTTTTCCTCTTTATTATAGTGTGTTTGTTTATATTGTACCTCTGGCTCTAAGTAGTCACCTATAAGAGAACTTTGTATTATTGGCGAGTCATTGGCAAGACACTTTTATTCTTTTTAGGTAATAATTTGCTGGCAAAATGCAATCATTTAAGCTATAAATAGTATAAATATCAAATACATGTGCATAAATTACTAATATAATCTTAAATTGTCCACAATGGACATAGAGTCAATGCACATGGGATAGAAGTAACATATGAAAGATTGACTGAATGGGGATCATGGTGGATGGGAGGTAGGACTAGATTGTAGCTTCAACTGAGACAGACAGAGCAGCATGTGGAGGTTCCTATCGTGAATTTTTGCTCCAGAATGACCTCAGGAATAAATTAGAAAATCTGAGAGGAGCCACAGGCTCCCTGAAGGAAGCGGATTGCTCCTGCTGGACTCGGGAGACACCCCAAATATTGCACTGGTATCCATGGCTGAGAGACCCACAGACAGTTCACATCACAGGTCTCTGTGCAGACAACCCGCAGTACCAGTGCGGAGTATAGTAGACTTCTGAGGGGCTAGATCCAGAAGAGATATAACAATCACTACAGCTCAGCTCTCAGGAAGCCACATCCATAGGAAAAGGGGGAGAGTACTACATCAAAGGAACACCCCATGGGACAAAAGAATCTGAACAACAGCCTTCAGCCCTAGACCTTCCCCCTGACAGAGACTACCCAAATGAGAAGGAACCAAAAAACCAACTCTGGTAATATGACAAAACAAGGTTCTTTAAGATCTCAAAAAAAATCACACTAGCTCACCAGCAATGGACGCAAACCAAGAAGAAATCCCCTATTTACCTGAAAAAGAATTCAGAAGGTTAGTTATTAAGCTAATCAGGGAGGCAACAGAGAAAGGTGAAGCCCAATGTAAGGAAATCCAAGAAATGATACAAGAAGTGAAGGGAGAAATATTCAAGGAGATAGATCACACAAATAAAAAACAATAAAAACTTCAAGAAACAATGGACCATTTATACAAATGCAAAACGCTGTGGGAAGTCTCAGCAATAGAACTGAACAAGTGGAAGAAAGAAATTCAGAGCTTGAAGACAAGGTTTTCAAATAAACCCAATCCAGCAAGGACAAAAAAAAAAAAAAAAAACGAATAAGAAAATATGAACAAAGCCTCCAAGAAGTCTGGGATCATGTTAAATGACCAAACCTAAGAATAAGCAGTGTTCCTGAGGAAGAAGAGAAATCTAAAAGTTTGGAAAACATATTGGGGGAATAATTGAGGAAAACTTCCCCAGCCTTGTTAGAGACCTAGACATCTAAATATAAGAAGCACAAAGAATACCTGGGAAAATCATTGCAGAAAGATCGTTGCTTAGGCACATTGTCATCAGGTTATCTAAAGTTAAGATGAAGGAAAGAATCTTAAGAGCTGTGAGACAAAACCACCAGGTAACCTATAAAGGAAAACCTGTCAGATTAACAGCAGATTTCTCAGCAAAAACCCTACGAGCTAGAAGGGACTGGGGGCCCTATGTTCAGCCTCCTCAAACAAAACAATTATCAGCCAAGAATTTTGTATCCAGCAAAACTAAGCTTCATATGTGAAGGAAAAATACAGTCTTTTTTAGACAAACAAATGCTGAGAGAATTCACCACTACCAAGCCATCACTACAAGAACTGCTAAAAGGAGCTCTAAATCTTGAAACAAATCCTGGAAACACATCAAAACAGAACCTCTTTAAAAGATAAATCTCACACGACCTATGAAACAAAATTACAATTTAAAAACCAAAACCAAAAAACAAAAAACCAAGGTACACAGGCAACAAATAGCACAATGAATGAAATGATACCTCACGTCTCAATACTGACATTGAATGTAAATGGCTAAAATGGTCCACTTAAAAGATACAAAATTGCAGAAAGGATAAGAATTCACCAACCATCTACTGCCTTCAAAAGACTCACCTAACACATAAGGATTCACTCAAACTTAAGGTAAAGGGATGGAAAAAGACATTTCAGACAATGGACACCAAAAGTGAGCAGGAGTAACTATTCTCATATCAGACAAAACAAACTTTAAAGCAATAGCAGTTAAAAAAGACAAAGAGGGACATTATATAATGATAAAAGGCCTTTTCCAACAGGAAAATATCACAATCCTAAATATATATGCACCTAACACTTGAGCTTCTAAATTTATAAAATAATTACTAATAGACCTAAGAAATGAGATAGACAGCAACACCATAATAATAGGGGACTTCAATACTCCACTGACAGCACTAGGCAGGTCATCACTACAGAAAGTCAACAAAGAGACAATGGATTTAAACTATATCCTGAAACAAATGGAGTTAACAGATATATACAGAACATTCCATCCAACAACCACAGAATACACATTCTATTCAGCAGTACATGGAACTTTCTCCAAGATAGACCATATGATAGGCCACAAAACGAGCCTCAATAAATTTAAGAAAATTGAAATTAGACCAAGCACTCTCATAGACCACAGTGAAATAAAATGAGAAATCAACTCCAAAAGGAACCTTCAAAACCATGCAAATACATGGAAATTAAATAACCTGCTCCTGGATGATCATTGGATCAAAAATGAAATCAAAATGGAAATTAAAAAATTTTTCAAACTGAATGACACTAGTGACACAACCTATCAAAACCTCTGGGATATAGTAAAGGCAATGCTGAGAGGAAAGTTCATAGCCCTAAAGGTCTACATCAAAAAGTCTGAAGGAGCACAAACAGACTACCTAAGGTCACACCTCAAGGAACTAGAGAAACAAGAACAAACCAAACCCAAACCCAGAAGAAGAAAGGAAATAACCAAGATCCGAACAGAACTAAATGAAATTGAAACAACAACAACAACAAAATACAAAAGATAAATGAAACAAAAATCTGGTTCTTTGAAAAGATAAATAAAGTTGATAGACTATTAGCAAGATTAACCAAGAAAAGAACAGAGAAAATCCAAATAAGCTCAATAAGAAACAAACCAGGAGATATTACAACTGACACCACAGAAATACAAAAGATCATTGAAGGCTATTATGAACATGTTTACACACATAAACTGGAAAACCTAGAAGAGATGGATAAATTCCTGGAAAGATACAACCCTCCTAGCTTAAATCAGAAAGAATTAGGTACCCCGAACAGACCAATAACAAGCAGTAAGATTGAAATGGTAATTTTAAAAATACCAACAAAATGAAGCCCAGGACCTGACGGATTTACAGCAGAATTCTACCAGACATTCAAAGAAGACTTGGTACCAGTCCTATTGACACTATTCCACAAGATGGAGAAAGAGGGAACCCTCCCTAAATCATTCTGTGAAGCCAGTATCACCCTAATACTAAACCAGGAAAGGATATAACCAAAAAGGAAAACTACAGACCAATATCCCTGATGAACATAAAGGCTAAAATCCTTAACAAAATACTAGCTAACCAAATCTAACAACATATCAAAAAGATAATACACCATGATCAAGTAGGTTTTATACCAGGGAGGTAGGGATGATTTAACATATGTAAGTCAATAAATGTGATATATCACATAAACAGAATTAAAAACAAAAGGCTGAGTGCAGTGGCTTATGCCTGTAATCCCAGCACTTTGGGAGGCTGAGGTGGGCGGATCACGAGGTCAGGAGATTGAGACCATCCTGGCTAACATGGCGAAACCCCATCTCTACTAAAAATACAAAAAATTAGATGGGCGTGGTGGTGGGCGCCTGTAGCCCCAGCTACTCGGGAGGCTGAAGTAGGAGAATGGCGTGAACCCTGGAGGCAGAGGTTGCAGTAAGCCGAGATCACGCCACTGTACTCCAGCCTGGGCGACAGAGCGAGACTCCGTCTCAAAAAAAAAAAAAAAAGAATTAAAAAAAAAAAAACCACATGGACCCCATCTCAAAAATAAATAAATAAATAAATAAATAAAATAAATAAAGAATTAATAAAAAACACACATGATCATCTCAATGATGCAGAAAAAGTATTCAAAATCCAGCATAGCTTTATGATTGAAACTCCCAGCAAAATCATCATACAAGGACCATACCTCAATATGATAAAAGCCATCTGTGGCAAACCCACAGCCAATATAATACTGAAGGGGGAAAAGTTGAAAGCATTCCCTCCGAGATCTGGAACAAGACAAGCATGTCCACTCTCACCACTCCTCTTCAATATAGTACTGGAAGTCCTAGCCAGAGCAATCAGACAGGAGAAAGAAATAAAAGGCACCCAAATTGGTAAAGAGGAAGTCAGACTGTTGCTGTTTGCCGATGACATGATCGTTTACCTAGAAAAGCCTAAAGACTCCTCCTGGAAAAAGTTTTAAAAAGTAACATATGAAGGTAACTAATATGAAATGGTTGTATTTGAAATGTATGAAGGTTGGAGTGGCACAGGTTCCATCATAAAATACTGTAAGGAATTTTCATTTTATGTGGAAGTTGGATCACAGCCATACCTTGGAATATATCTTTATTTGAAAGAAGTTTCCTAAACTCAGATTGAACATCTCCCAACTCTGCCTTCTAAATAATTTTTTTAAGTTAACAGTGTAGGAGCATTGACTCAGACTTCAAAGGAGAATAGAAAGTAAAAGAAAATGATGCCAACGTCAAACACAATGACACCACTGGGACATTCAGCAGTTCATCTTCCAAGCTGCTTTATTTGGAAAGACCTGTCCTGCAGCTGTCTATTTTGGGCCCCTAAAGCATTGAAGGCACAACTGTGTTATAATAAGATGTAGACTTTCTGGTAGTAGTTTAATTAATACTTTATATTCTTTTTATAATCTCAATTCTTTCATCAAAAGAGATTTAGGAGTGTTCAAAGGAAGGTTTTTATTGTAATAGCTATAAGAGGTAAAAGTGTTCATTGATCTTAGAGGGGAAATTAAGCTGTACAAAAACTTTTTTTTCTAAGTCAAATGTCAAGGTGGTGCAAGGATTGATAGTTAATATTTTAAACAGTTCATAATTTTATATTGTCTTAATTTACTAATTTCGTAAGGAAATTATTCATAAGGAAAGTCTGCTATTTCAGACTTTAGAAATTTCTTCAAAATAGCCTCTGAGAGCTATGTCAAAGCAAAATTGTTTGACATGGTTCAGTATGAGTTTTTAATACAAGGTGAATATATACTATTGGCTAATGAATCTAAGTTAAGTTACAAACTGTGGTCCAAATGTCATTTTGACAGGAGAAGCAGGCTGAACAAGTTACTGAAGATAGAGACACCTCTCAGTGTATTTAGGAAGTAAAGCGGCTTCCTCACTGGTAATGCTAATGAAAGGAAAATCCTAGAACTTGCTTTAAGCAGATTAATGGGCTGCTATATTTTGAAGCTGTCAACAGTTTGTTTTTGCATTTCAAGAAGTGCTATAGCATTCATGAATAGTAAATTATGAGAGATTAATGATCATTCAGTTTAAAATGAGAAAAGGGTGTGTTTGTGTCAAAGCACTTGATTTATGCAATCATGTTGGCAGTACTAAGTAAACATGCCAAACTTGGGAAACTATGAAGTGGCCATATAAGAACCCAGGAGGTGAACATGGTGGTGATCCAGGCCGTAAAGACACCGGCTACCTTTCATGTTTTAATTTGCATCGGTGCATTTGAGGTCCACAAGCAGAAGCTGTTCTCTGGCATCTGCCAGACAAACCCATGTGTTTTGTTTAGTTAGTTTGTTTTTTTAGAACATAAAAAAGTTATAAAGCATAAGGACTTCCAACAGCTGGGCTACAGTCTTTGCTGGACTAAGCCACTTCCTCATATTCATGAGTTTGATTTGCATAGGTCAAATTCTCATGTTTTGTGACTTCAGACTCTAGAATAAATTATAGGATGAGAATTGGCTCATTCTTTGAAAATAAAATCTATTAAGGTCATTCATTAATTAATTCCAAACCACTATCACACTACATTTGGCTTTCCCTTCCAAGAAAATGGCACTCAAGAAATTTGCCATAGCTCTAATTCTGTAAAACTAAGTCCTTTTTGTTTTACAGGATCATCATTGTAGGAATCTTTTATGGTTGTTTTTCTTTGCTGTTGGGCATGGATTAGTTTACCTTCCCTGCTTCCTTGAAGGTTTCATTTTATGTGGCAATGGCATCACAGAAGATCCTTTGTTTAATCATTTATTTATTCAATAATAGGTATTCCATGTCAACTGTGTGCCAGGCATTGCTCTAGGCCTGTGCCTTCCAATATGGAAGTCACTCCCCTGTGTGCCTGTTGAGCCCTTGAAATATAGCTAGTCAGAATTGAGTTGTGCTGTAAGTGCAAGCCACACCCTGGATGCTATAGAGATAGCAACAGAAAAGAAGGTGAAATATTGTTTTAATATATTTTAAAATATTGGTTACATGTTTGATACATTTTGGATATATTAGGCTAGATAAAATATATTATTAATATTAACTTCACTTGTTTCTTTTTAATCTTTCTAGTGTGGCTACTAGAAAATTTAAAGTTACATATGTAGCTTACATTACACTCCTACTGAACAGTCCTGCTTTATGAGCCTGTGTTACATCATGGAACAAAAGGTACAAAAATTCCTGCCCTGATGGACATTACCTTCTAATAGGAGAAAATAAACAAGAAGAACTAAAACATAAACACACACAACATTCAATGTCATAAATACATAGAAAGAGAAAATGAAGAACAAGTGAAAGGGGTTTTGGATGGAGTACAGATTGTAGTATTAAAAAGAATACTGAATAGGCCTCTTGGAGAACGTGAGGTGTGAGCAGATGTTGGGGAACAGAGTGTGTTCCAGGCAGAGGTGACAGCTAGAGAAAAGGACCCTAAGGTGGGACTGTATCTGGTGTATTTGAGGAAGAGCAGAGACTGAAGTTAAAACAAACAAACAAAAAACAAGGCAGTGGGAAAGGAGGGAGAGTAATATAGATGAGTCGGAGTGGTACTAGGAGACCAGGAGGCACTAGAACGGCATTGATTTAACTCTGAGTGAAATAAGTAGTCATTAAGGGCTGGCTCCGAGAAGGGTCATGGTCTGACTATGGTACATGAAAAAGACCTTTCTGGCTGCTACTGAGAGAGTCTACTGAAGAGGTGGAGGCCAGGCTGAGAGGTAAAAGTAGAGGGGACTGCTAGAAAGCTACATCCATTTCCTAGGGCTGCAGGATCAAAGTACAGTCAGCCCTTCCTATCTGCACGTTCTGCATCTGGATTCAACCAACTGTGGATCAAAAGTATGGGGGGAAGAAACATGAAGATAATAATACAACAATCAAGTATAATACAAATAAAAACAATATTGTACAACAACTATTTACATGGTATTTACATTGTATTGGATATTGTAAGTAATCTAGAGAGGTATTTGGCTTTCTGTTTGTATGTTAATTTGCTTAAAGTATATGGAAAGATGTACATAGGTTAAAAGCAAATCCTACACCATTTTATATAGGGAAGTGAGCAACCAAGGAGGATTTTGGTATGGCATGGGTGGAGGAGTTGGGGATGCGGGGTGTTCTGGAACCAATCTTCCATGGATACCAAGGGTCAACTGTACCATGCTTTAGGTGGCTTAAAACAACAGACATTTATTCTCTCACAGTTCTAGAGGCTTGAAATCTGAAATCAAGGTGTCAGCAGGGTCATGCTCTCTCTGCAGCCTCTAAGGGAGAGTCCTTTCTTGCTTTGTGTTAGTTTCTAATGACTGCCCTCAAACCTTGATGTTCTTTGGCTTGTAGATTTATTACTCTAATATCTGCCTTGGTCATCACATGGTCTTCTCCCTGTGTGTCTCTCTATAGCTCTTTTCTTTGCTTATAAGGACACTACTAGTCATTGGATTAGGAGTCACCCTAATCTGGGATGACCAGATTTCAACTAATTACATCTACAAAGACCCAGTTTCCAAATAAGCTCATCACATTGAGGTTCCACTTGGATGTGAATTTTTTAAGGACGTGATTCAACCCAGTACAGAAGGTAATTGCCATAATGCTGGAGAAAGGTGATGGTGGCCCAGATGCTGGTAATGGCAGTTTAGCTTGTGATCCATGCTGAGGACATAATATAGGTATGATACATCTGGAAATAGAGCTGAGTGTATTTCCTGTTGAATTGGCTGTAGTGTGTGAGAGAAATAGAGAGCTCAAGTATGGCTCTGGGCATGCCCTAAACACCTGATAAAATAGAGTTACCATGGCTGTGATGGAGGAGACAGAGAGCACCAAGTAGGGGGAAAGATTAAATGTTTAGTTTTGAGAATATTAGATTTGAGCTGTTTGGTAGGCATTTAAGTAGAGATGCCTACTAGGAAGTTGCATTTAAGCATCTCAAATACAGGGGAGAAATCACTGAAGCAATTTGGATTATATTTATTTTATTAATTAGGTTAATTTTAATTAAGGTCATTGGATGCTACAACTCATCTACAATATGTAACACTCCTCCTCCTACTGAATTCAGAACCATCTGAGAGACAGATGCAGGCAATCAAAACATCACCTTTATTACAGAAAAGCTTATTTTTTTTATTTTACTTAAAAATTTTTAGATTCAGAGGTACATATGCAAGTTTGCTACCTGGGTACATTGTGTGGTGCTGAGGTTTGGGCTTCTATTGACCCCATCACCCAAATTTTGAACACAGTACCCAATAGATCAGGGGTCCCCAACTGCTGGGCCTCAAACCAGTACTGTTCCATGGTCTGTTAGGAACCAGACCACACAGCAGGAGATGAACAGCAGGCCAGTGAGTGAAGCTTCATCTGTATTTACAGCCACTCCTCATCAATTGCATGACCGCCTGAACTCTGCCTCCTGTCAGATCATCAGCAGCATTAGATTCTCATAGGCGTGCAAACTCTATTGTGAACTGCGCATACAAAGGATCTAGGTTGCAGGCTCCTTATGGAAATCTAATGCCTGATGATCTGAGGTGGAGCTGAGACTGTGAGGCTAACCCTGGGGAGCAGCTGCAAATACAGATTAACATTGGCAGAGAGGTTTGACTGCACAGAAACCCTAATACATCAATTGCTTGCAGACTCATATCAAAACCCTATCAGTGAGTGGCAAGTGACAAGCTGCATCTGGTGGCAGGCTTTAAGTCAGAATCCAACACTTATTTTAGTCCACACATGGCCTGCTCATTATTTTATTTACCACTTCCATCTGCACCTTTTTCTTGCACTGCACACTTGTCTCAGTCACAGTTTTGGTGAGCCCACAGCTAACCCCTGGCCAAAATGAGTAAAATACAAACGTCACTGGAGAGCTTCTTTGAAAAGGGGGAAAGACCCAACGGTGAGAGAGCAGAAGACTCTAAGACTGCCAAAAAAAATAAAGCTGCATTTAAAAGAAAATACCAAGAGTCTTACTTAAATTACAGGTTCATTGCAACACGTGATTCACATTCTCCAAGTCTGCTTTGTATAATATGTGGTGACCAGCTATCCAATGAAGCCATGAAACCTTCAAAACTGCTTTGCCACATGGAGACCAAGCAGCCTGCATTAGAAGACAAGCCTTTGGAGTTTTTCAAAAGAAAAAAACCTATGAACATGAAGAACAGAAGCAATTACTGAAGGCCACCACTTCATCAAATGTGTCTGCGCTGAGAACATCATTCTTAGTGGCTAACCACATTGCTAAAGCTAAGAAGCCCTTTACTATTGGTGAAGAGTTGATCCTGCCTGCTGCTAAGGACATTTGTCATGAACTTTAAGGAGAGGATGCCCTTCAAATGGTGGCATATGTTCCTCTTTCAGCTAGCACTATAACCAGACAAATTGGTGAAATAGCAGAAGATATTGAGGCAATTGTTAGAATTAATGAGTCACCATGGTATGCAATCCAGGTTGACAAGTTTACCAGTGTTAACAACAATGAAACAATGCTTGTTTTTGTGGGATATATTTTTCAGGAGGATGCACATGAGGATATATTATGTGCACTTTTGTTGCCAACCAACACCACAGCTACAAAATTATTCATATCGTTGAATGATTAGGTATCAGGAAAACTGAATTGGTCACTTTGTGTCTGTATATGGACAGACAGATTGGCCGCCATGACTGGATGGCTTTCTGGTTTTACTACTCAGGTCAAAGAGGTTGCTTCTAAATGTGAGTCTACACACTGCGTTATCCATAGAGAAATGCTGGCTAGCTGGAAAATGTCACTGGAACTTAACATTTTGCAGAATGTGATTAAAATTATCAACCACATTTAAGTACATTCCCTTAACTCACATATGTTTGCTCAGCTCTGTGAGGAGATGGACACAGAGGACACATGTCTTCTCTTATACACAGAAGTAGATGGCTTTCTAAAGGTTGATCACTGGCCGGAGCTCTTGAGTTATGAGAGCAGCTCCAGACATTTCTGTTAGAAAAACAGTCACCACTGGCAGCACATTTCAGTGACATTGAATGGGTCGGCAAACTTCCTTACTTGTGTGACATATTCAACTTGCTAACCAAACTCAATTTGTTACTCCAGGGGAGAATGACAACTGTGTTCAAGTTGGCAGATAAAATGGCTTCATTCAAAGCTAAACTGGAATTATGGGGGTGATGAGTGAACATTGGGATTTCTGACATGTTTCAAACATTAGCAGAAATTTTGAAAGAGGCTGAGCCAGGGCCTTCTTTCTCCCAGCTGGTGCATGATCACCTGTCTTAGCCCAAGCACAAAGGACCACAGAACTGGGAAGGAATGGATCCGCCACCTATTTTTGAATAAGCCAGCTGAATCGACTTTGTCTGTGCTAGAGGAGGACCAACTGCTTGAGATCACAAATCATGGTGGCCTTAAAAGTATATTTGAGACAACTGCAAATCTCCATACATTCTGGTTTCAAGTCAACGAGGAATATCCTGAGATTGCCACAAACGTACTGAAAAGCCTGCTTCCATTTTCAGCATCCTATCGTTGTGAAACAGTGTTTCTGCAGTGACAGCAACGAAAACAAAATTAAGGAGCAAACTGGACATCAACACACTTCAGATATCACTGTCTCCCATCACCCCCAGATGGTACCATCTAGTGCAGGAAAACAAGTTCAGGACTCCCACTGATTCTGCATTATGGTATGTTGTATAATTATTTCATTATATATTACAATGTAATAATAATAGAAATAAAGTGCACAATAAACATAATGTGCTTGAATCACCCCAAAACAATCTTCCCTCACCCCTCGCCCAGTTCTTGGAAAAACTATCTTCCATGAAACTGGTGCCTGGTGCCAAAAAGGTTGGGGAGCCCTGCAATAGATAGTTTTTTCAACTCTTCCTTTTCTCTCCCTTTCCCCCTTCTGGGGTCCCCAGTGTCTACTATTCTCATCTTTATGCCTGTGTATACCCAAGGTTTAATTCCCACTTATAAGTGAGAATATGCAGTATTTGGTCTTCTGTCTGTGTGTTAACTTGCTTAGGATTATGGCTTCCAGCTGCATTCATGTTGCTGCAAAAGACATGATTTCATTATTTTTATGGTGGCATAGTATTCCCTGGTGTGTATGTACCACATTTTCTTTGTCCAATCCACTGTTGATTGGCACCTAAGTTGATTCCATGTCTTTGCTATTATGAATAGTGCTGCAATAAACATGCATGTGCAGGTGTCTTTTTGGTAGAATGATTTATTTTCCTTTAAGTATATACCCAGTAAGGAGATTGCTGAGTTGAATGGTAATTCTATTTTTAGTTCTTTGAGAAATCTTCAAACTGCTTTCCACAGGAGTTGAGTTAATTTACATTCTCACCAACAGTGTATACGTGTTCCTTTTTCTCTGAAGCCTTGCCAACATCTGTTATTTTGTTGACTTTTTATTAATAGCCATTCTGACTGGTGTGAGATGGTATTTCATTGTGGTTCTGATTTGCATTTCTCTGATGATTAGTGATGATGAGCATTTTTTCAATGCTGGTTGGGTCCTTATATGTCTTCTTTTGAGAAGCATTTGTTTATGTCATTTGCCCACTTTTTAATGGGTTTGTTTGTTTTTTCTTATTGAGTTTATTAAGTTCCTTATAGATTCTGGATATTAGTCCTTTGTCACATGTGTAGTTTGCAAATATTTTCTCCCATCATGTAGGTTATCTGTTTACTCTGTTGATAGTTTCTTTTGCTGTGCAGAAGTTCTTTATTTACGTCCCAACTGTCAATTTTTGTTTTTGTTGCATTTGCTTTTGAGGACTTAGTCATAATCTTTGCCTCGGCCCATGTCTAGAATAGTATTTCTTAAGTTTTCTTCTAGAGTTGTCATAAATTGAGGTCAAACATTTAAACCTTTAACCCATCTTGCGTTAATTTTTGTATATGGTGAGAGGTAGGGGTCCAGTTTTATTTTTCTGTATGTGGTTAGCCACTTATTGCAGCAACATTTATTGAAGAGTGAAACCTTTCCCCATTGTTTAATATTGTCAACTTTGTTGAAGGTCAGTTGACTGTAGGTGTGTGGGTTTATTTTTGGGTTCTGTATTCTGTTTCATTGATCTATGTGCCTATTTTGGTACTGGTACCATGCTGTTTTGTCTATTATAGCCTTGTATAGTTTAAAGTCAGATACTGTGATGCCTCCAGCTTTGTTATTTTTGCTTTGGGTTGTTTTGGCTATTTGGGTTCCTTTTTGATTCTGTATGAATTTTGGAATAGTTATTTCTAATTTCATGAAGAATGTAATTGGTATTGTGATAGTAATGGGGTTGCATCTGTAGATTGCCTTGGACAGTATGGACATTTTAAAAGTATTGATTCTTTCAATCCATGAGCATGGAATGATTTTTCATTTGTGTCATCTCTGATTTCTTTCAGAAGTGTTTTATATTTCTTCTTGTAGAGATCTTTCAACTACTTTGCTTGCTGTATTTCTAGATTTGGGGGTTTCTTGGTGGCTATTGTAAATCAGATTGCATTCTTGATTTGGTACTCAGCTTGAATATTATTGATAAATAGAAATGCTGCTGATTTTTGTGCATTGATTTTGTATCCTGAAACCTTACTAAAGTCACTTATCAAGTCTATGAGTCTTTTGGCAGAATTTAGAGAGTTTTCTAGGTATAGAATTATATTGTCAGTGAAGAGAGATAATTTGACTTATTCTTTTCCTATTTGGATGTGTTTCATTTCTTTTTCTTGCCTGATTGCTCTGACAATGTTACTGGAAGTGGTGAGAATGGGCATCTTTGTCTTGTTCCAGTTCTCAAGAGAAATGCTTTCAACTTTTGCCAGTTCAGTGTGATGTTGGCTGTGTGTTTGGAAGATTCATGAATTTTCATGTCATCCTTGCAAAGGGACAAGCTAATCTTTATATTATTCCAGTTTTAGTATATGAGCTGCCAAAATGAGCACCAGAAAAGCAAATAAAAAAACAACAACAACATGAAACATATCAAAGAGGAGGAAGATAAGAAAATAGTAAAGTACAAGCCTGAGATGAATATACATATGGGCAGGATTTGTCTGAGCAATGGATACTTTTGGCATCTTAACACTAAGAGGGATCCTAAAAGGAATTTGTATTATTTAGAATAGGTCCAACTGCATGTGAAAGATATGCCCAAACTAGAACTAGTTATACAAGTTCACAGTTATTTCTCTTACAAAGAGGAAATCCAGAGGGCTGGGGTAATGAGTCTACTCCACAGAGTCATCAGTGACACCAATTGTGTGCAGATCAGAACTCTGCCAATGCTAAAATATGGTTCTGATTCTGATGGTGTGAGATTCTGGGCTCTGATTATTATATCTGCATTCTGAATAAAATGGAGGAAGGAAGGAACACACACAACCATTTTAAGGAGTTTTCCCATAAGTCCCAAACAAAACTTTTTTTTATCCCTCATTGGCTGTAACTTTGGTTACATCAAGCTTCAAGGGAGTCTTAGAAATACAGTCTTGTAGTTAGATGGCAAGGTGTCCAACTAAAACTTGGAGCCCTGTTATTAAAATAAAAGGAATGAATGAATATTAGCCATCAATTTATAGTCTCAGCCTCAAAGTTAGACAAATAAACCTGGGTAAGAAAATAAAAAGGAACAAAAAGAACACAAGCATTAATTCCAGCAAACTGTGCCTGTCATGGATGTATTAAGTAAAGGAAAGAAACCAATTTAAGAACCACTGTAAGAACAAGGTTCAAATGCTAAACACTTGGAGGAAAATTAAGCACTAGAGACATATATTCTAATAGGAGAAAAAGATGTTCCATAGGAAAGTATTTCCACTGCATTCGAAAGAACTCGTTATTCAATGCCCAGAAAACTCAAAAGCTAAGGAAAAGGTAAGCTCTGGAGAAGAACACATGGCAGAAATATTCAGCTTTGTTAGATCTTTAGGGACCCAGATTTCAACCATAACTTCAATTTAGGAATCTCCAACTGAGACAATTGTAAAGAAAATAAAGTAACTGCCCCTATGAGGCAGGTTTCATGGGCCTAAGGAATGTCCTAGAAAAAGTTGACGGCAATAGCTATTATGAATAAAAGCACCAGTCCCACTTACCAAAACATATTGGAGTCTTTATCACCACACAATATGTTTCAACATCCCTATTCCTTTCCCTGAAATTATGTTTCCATAAATTTATATAGCATGTTTTTTCAGAGCACAGGATCTTTCCATTGACAGCATTGATATTACGCTTCTTGATGTTTTCCTAAATGCTAGCTCCTTCTTTGGGAGCTTGCTGTTATTACTGTTTATTTCATTCATTCAACAAATATTTTCAGCATGATGTCTAATAGTAACAAATTAATATTTTTCTTGGGAAACACCATGAACAAAACAGACAAAGATCTCTCCCCTCACAGATCTGAATTTCTAGTAGGGACAGAGAGATAATAAATAATAACAGAATAAATAGTATAGTCTGCTGGAGATTAAGAAGTATTGTAGAGAAGAGAAAGAGTAGAGCAGGGGTAAGTAGAATCAAGAGTGCTGGGGTATGGGCTGGTTACAGTATTAAATAAGGTGGTCAGGGTGAGCCTCATTGAGAAGAGAACATTTGAGCAAAGACTTGAAGTCATTGAGTAGTCAACCAAGCAGATAACTGTAGGAAGAGCATTCTAGGAAAAACAACCAGACCAAAAGCCTTCAGGTGGGAGCATCCCTGGTGTGTATGTGAGACAGAGGCCAATGCAATTGGAGTACAGTGAACAAAGTGGAAGGTGGTAGGAGAGTCAGAGAGGTAATTGTGGGGCAGCATGTAGGGCCAATTAGGTCACTGAAAGAATCTGGCATTTGTTTTGGGTGAAACATGGAGTGTTTGGAGGGTTTTCAGCAGAGAAAATACATATTCTGACTTAAAATTTAAAATAATTACTCTGTCCAATGCACTAAGAATGGGCCAGGAAGGTGGCAGGGATTGGAGCAAGGATGAAAGCAGAGAGGCCTGTTAAGAGGAGGATGCGGTTGAGAAATAATGATGGCTCAGACCTAGGTAGCCAGTGGACGTAAGATTATAGATATAATATGAAGGTATAATCATCAGAAATTTTGATGGATTAGATGCAAGGTGTGAAAGAATGAGAAGAATCAAGGCTGATTCATGAATTTAGCCTGAACATCTGGAAGGATGAAGACGCTATTTCAATGAAGTAGGGAAGGCTGCAGGGAAAGCAAATTTGAGATGGAATGATTGTTCATTTGCAAGTGAAGTAGCTCATTACAATATAATTAGCCTCAGCTAGCAGCTCCATCAGCAAGGAAATTAGGAGGGATGCATGCATAGTTCAGTCTCTGTTGTACTCAAGGGTATGCTTGGCTCACCCCATAATGGTAATGGCAAAGATCCAAGCATTCTGTAGTATACTTCTTTTTCATCTGACTCAGTATGAGATCCTGTTGATGTGCATATGGTCTCTTGAAATTACTGATTATATCTTGCAATTTCTTCTAACTATTCTTTGTTCCCTTCCTCCCACAATGTGATAGATTCTCTTTCTAATTACTAATACTTGCCTGTCACATTTTTCTTTATGGCATCCCAATTTTTTTTTCAAGGAATCCTCTTCCCCACTATTTCCCACATTATTAGTCATCATCTTGGTGAAAGCTAGAATCTGCTTCTTCAGCCTCCCATTCATTCTTTGGGCCCACAATATTCTTCTAATAAATTCTCTCTCCCCAAGATGGTCAGAGTTGGTTTTCATGATTATAATGAAGAATACTGGCAGATATAGTTATATCTTTATTTAAATGAAAGAAACAATAAAATGTATGTTTTAACATTAGAATTCCATATTACAAAGACTGTTGTACATTTACTTTAGAAAGATAATTAACATGCTTTATGCAGTTTTATATGAAATGAACCTCATGAGCTTTAATCCTGTTACATTGTCAACAAATACTATCAAAAAGTTCAAAAAGTATTATGAAATAGTTTGATAAAATGGTCCCTGGTAAGCTCCCTAAGCTGAGTTTTCTTTGCTCAGACTATGTAAGCAAAGTTGGGTTCATGAGCTTAGTTGTCTCTACAAAGACAGGTCTGAGGGGGATTTTGCATGAAATCATAGCTCAATGACCATTGGCATATATTCAGTCTTTTTATACCTTTCAACTTTGTCTCTAAACTGATGATTTAGTCTACATTTTGTCTTAACTTAGATTTATTTTTAATACTGTCCCCAGTCTGGTATCAAATTGTTCAATACAATGAATACAGCAATACAATCATTCCTAAGGAGAAAATGTTTCTGTTTCCTTCTTTTTTTTTTTTTTTTTTTTTTTTAGCTCCTGAATATAACCCTTTTTAGGTCCTGACTTACCATTATTTATCTTCTGGGTTCAATGAAGTATTTTTATTTCTTTAAAAATATTTTTAGGCCATTTAACATATAAATTATACAAGTAGGAATAAGGAGATAGTGAAAAAGAGCCATTAAAAATTTTAATAAGAATTTAAATAGTATTTCCATTTTCAAAATGCAATACTTTGAAAACATTTGGTGACACATTTTTGTTGAATGGAGCATTGCCACAGCTTCTTTCCTACATAATAATAAACCATTTTTATTTTTATATTTATAAATGCCAAATAGAATGATTATTTCAACGAGTTTCTTCATTTGTAAATTACATATTTCCTTCCAATTGCTTGTATACATGAGCTGTGCATACGCAGCTATTCTAGTGTTTTTTCACTTTTGACCATGTCAAGTAAATTTTGATGCAAAAACATTGTAAATACTCATCCTTTCAGCAAAACAGTATAATTTAGATTCTTGTTCTGAAATACTGTAAGATGAAGTCTTTCTTGCTAAATGATTAACTGAATGAGAAAACCATATTTTCTAATTGTCAATATACTTGTAAGCACTTTGTGTATATTAACTCATTTAATCATTTAATCTTCACAGCAACCACATAGAGTAGGGAGTCAACGTCCCATTTTATAAGAGAGGAAACAGATACATAGAGACTCAATAACTTGTCTATTGTCAAACACCTAGTAAGTGGCAGAGCCAAATTCAAACGCAGGCAATCTGCTCTTGACAACACACTACACTCTCTAAGAACAAAGAGTATAAACTTATGGCCCCAAAGAGGGTTTTTATTTTTTGTCATTGTATTTATAAAGATGACTATTCCATGAATTTTTCCTTTCTTAGAGATTTTTCATAGAACAAAGAGAAATGCTAACAAAACAAGGGAGGCTGGAGGTACAGGAGGGAAAGGGCTAGAAGATGGCTCAGATTCACTAAAGAGTAGGAAGGTGGAGGGAGTGAAGGAGGTCCAAGTGAAGGTATTACTTTGGTTTAATTTATTCTGTCACTTATTCATTCAACAAATATTTATTGGTCACCTACTATTTACTGAGCACTTGTTAGGCAAATAATAATAAAAATAAACATATATTCTTGTCCTTATGCAGCTTAGAGTGTATCAGGAAATGTGGCCATGAAACCAGTAAAGTGTGATAAATGCTGTGGAATGTCTTCCTCCCTAAACCCTTTCTCTTGATTTTCTTTAAGCCCCCTGAACCCCAGGGCTCTCTCCTGTGCCCTCTTAACTGCTCATTCAAAGCTTCTCGGCAGAGTCTCTCATAAATCCAAAAATGCCGCTTATCTAGTATATATGGTTGTCTTCCAAGTGTATGTCCCTTGCTCCATCTTTGCTCTGAGATTTAGACTGATATATTTTACTGCTTGTTCCAGTCTTATCCACTAAAGTCTAGCTGACATTTCAAACACAACTTGAGTGAAAATGAATTTGTTGTTTTTTTCTCAAAAGCTGTTTCTCCTAAGGTATTCCCAATGCTAATAAATGGTGATGCTATCTATCTATTTCCTAAGTGAAAAGCCTAGAAGTCTCTAAAGACACATTCATCTCCTTCAGCTTCAATCTCTGATCACCACATAATTCTGTCAATTGATCGTTTCCTCATTCCCACTTCTTTTTTTCAGACCACCATAACTTCTTGCCTGTATTACTGTAGTTATCTTTTGTGCTAAATTGTACAAGCAAGTGACAGGGCTCCTGATCTAGTAATATGTCTTTAGTTTTATTGTTTTTGATCACACACCATCAACTTTGCTATTCCTGCTTTTTCAAATTTATTAATATTTTCTTTGTGACACAAAAAAGTTAATTTTTCACAATGTGCTATTAGCATTGGAAAAACATGTGCATTTTTGGTTTTAGGGTGCAGAGTTGGATACCAATCAATTAAACAATAATTATGTTACCTTAATAGTTGGCTATTAGGTCATTCCTGCTTATACTTATTTTTTGGTCCACTTGGTCTTCTAAGAGAGAGGAAAAATAAAATTTTGACCATTAATAGTTTTCCTATTCTTTTGTATTAATTTTATTTTTGCTCATAAGTGTTAATGCTAATTCAAAGCTCCTTGTGATTCAAGTTGTTTCTGAGATTTCTTTGTTTTGTTCTTCTCTCCAGCCACCAGGCATCAGCCCTGTGGAACAGCTCGCCATGCAGAGCAGGCCTGATGGCCTCACCAACATTCCACTCCTGGGAGTGGAGCGGGTTGGTGTGATTTCTTCTTTTTCCAGGTTTCTTCTGGGTCCTGGGAAAGTCTTTCGGACAGTCCTTGCAGGCACTTGCCATTGTGGCCTTGTTTGGGTCTACTCAGGGAGCACGAGGTCTTGTTGAGGTTCTGCTCATGGAGCATCTTCTGTTTTGGAGAATATCACTCTGCAGCCTCCCCTGAGGTACAACTGTGGCCATGTGTCCCACTTGCAATGCCCCTTGTCTTGACATTCACTGCATCTGGGAGCCTTTGCCACACACTGTGCTTCAAACTTATATACAGTTTTGCTGAAGTTGTGTTTGTGTTTCTCCTTCTGTTTGTGGTTCAGGGGTAATTTTTGAAAAGAGAACACAGTACCTTCTTTTCTGTTTCACTATTTAGAACCCCAAATACATTACTATTAAGCTGGCTTCTCTATCTACAGACATTTTTTCTTTGAGTCAACTTCAGTATTGCTTTCAGAGTAAGCTTTCTCAATGAAAGATCTGATCACCACACGTGCTCGCTTAAAGCCCTTCAACAATTCCCCACCCTTTGCAAGTTGTGGTTCACAATATACAATACTATATTGAATTATTTGCAGTTTTCCAATTTTCTAATGGTTTTATTGTTTGTGCTTTTCTATATCCTATTTTCCTGGCTGGGAATAAATGTTTGTACTCAAATCCAGCATTGTATTCTTCAGTCTCTTCCTCATTCTGAGACCTCATTCTCAGTCTTTGTCTGTGTTGCTCTGATAGCATCCACATCCAACTATACCACTTTCCTCTTTTATTTATTCATTCTATTAGCAAATGTTTATTAAATGTTTACCAAGTGCCAGGTCCTGTTAAGGTCTTGGGTTTACAATAGTAAACAAAACAGACAAAATCCTGCCTTCAGGGCTTTATTAGATTATAATATATGGTGTATGTTGGTTAATCATCTTCTTCATTAGCAATTCTTGAGTTTTAAAGCCTTGTGTCCAAAGTGCATGGGATACAGTAGATCCTCAATAGATGTTTGCCAAATGAGCAAATAAATAAGAGAATGCCCACCTGCATGGGCTGTGGGATGTAGGTGGGCTTCCTCTTATTTATTTGCTCATTTGGCAAAGGCAACTATTACAATAATCTAGCTAAGAAGATATTGGTTCCTAATACTAAACAAGGAAAAAGTGGGCAAGTTTTTGGCACTTCTGAGTTGTAAGTGTTAAGTTTCGATGATGGAAGAATTTTAGCATAACTGGGCTTTTTAGATTGGGCTACTAATTGAGGGAACATGGAGGGAAGGGTGAGCAAGTTAGGAGTTGAGTTTAGTTTTGAACTCTGCAGCACATTCTGGAGGACATTTTATATGATACACATATAAATATGCATATGTGTGTGCATGTATATACATACATACATGTGTATATATATATATATATATGTATATATTATTTAACAGGATACCAAAATTGACATTTCAGTTGAACCATCATGATAGGGCATATGTTTTATTCCAAAAGGGATACTAGACCATATGTTAAAACTGCAAAGATATGAAAGAATCTAGAGAGTGCAAATAGAGAAGACTTTTATAAGGAAACATTTGGAAGAAGCTACAAAATATATCTCCTTTTTTCCTTCTTTCCTCTACCCAAGGTGGTTGTTGCAGATGGGGAGGCTGCTTCTAAACTCAATATAGAGTGTGAGGCACTCCAGTAGGACTACATGGAGAGCTTGCTATGTGTGCCCTGAAATTGGGGGACATAGAGGTTTGTTGACTGGCATGAGCCTGAGAAAGCTGGAGCAGCTCATAGTACCTGAACAGAGGAACAGAGAGTTGCACTCCCCTGCATTGGAGGATCAAAGGTGTTCCTGGAACCATGTGTGAAATCACAGGGAGGATTGGCAGCTGTGGATGTTTTAGAAATCGTGACCAAGAGGGCAGCCCCTTGGGGCAAGGGGACCCCAGTTTAAGGTGGACAGGTATTGTCCATAATACAGGAGTTGCAATTTGAGAGACTCAATAGGGTAGCCTTAAGAAACCCAAAAAAGTACATGTGAGAGAGCCAGCTGTTAGCATCTGTCAGGCCCATAGGGTGCGAAGCCAGTTTCCACAGTGACAGGTATCATCATTTCCTGTTTCTTTCAGCACTCTTCCTTTCCCTACCCAGACATGCTTATCAGGGAAAGACAAGAGAGCCAGGCCCCATTCTCCCAAGGCAAGTGACTAGCTCGTAGCAGGCCCCAGGAAGGGGAAAAAGAAAAGCTTTAATGTTAAATGAAGTTTGGAGTTGTGAATTTGATATTGATCTGAGAAGTTTAATTTCTGGATCTGACCTATGTGATTTTTGAGTAAGGCAAAAAGGGAGTTTTTTCAGTACCGTGAAGTGAGGATTAATACTGGTGAGTATTAAGAGTGTGAGCAGAGGAAGAAGAATGCAGGGAGTGAGATGGCATCGCCAAAGAGGCGGAGGAAGACAAAGAGTGGTATCATGGAAACAGAAACAGGAAAATCCAAGTTCTGCGGCCTTTGAAGCTTATTCAATTATAAGTAACTGAAGTTTATTCAATTATAAATAACTTAATCTTATTACATTACTAATACAAATTAGGTAAAAGGGGATATTTATTTATAAAGAGAAAGTAAATACCAAAACTTCACAAATCTAGGAAAAAAGAATATGATTTTTTTTTTTAGCTAACTGCCTAACACCTTTCTGTAGTATTTTCCCTGTTGTTTTTGACTGCATATTATTTGATTACTTCTCCTCTCTGGAAAGATGAGAAAATAATAAAATCTGTCCTCTGGGATGTTTGGTTAAAGTTCAATTTTCATTGTTTAGAATTTAGAAAAGTTTTTTTCAGCTTTATCATTCATTATTGGTAATGACAGATTTTTAGGATTATTATTAAATTTGAGGAAAGTTCTATACAATTTCTTCCACATGTAAGTATTAATTTTAGGGTATTTAAAGTATCCAATGCAGTTACTATGGCAATTTAAAATATGATTATGGAGTCTTTCACTCATTTCCTATTGAGAAGTGGAGGTGGGTGTCCCTTCCACTTGAATAGGGGCAGGATTGTTCCTGTTTTAAGTAATATGACATGGTGGAAATATCACTTCTGAGGCTCAGCAAAAAAGGGCCATGGATTTCCCCACTTAGCTGCTGGAACGCTTGCTATTGGAGCCCTAAGCCTCAGTGTTAGAAGTCTGACTACACAGAGGCTGCCATGCTTTGAGGAAGATAAAGGCACATTGCGAGGCCATGTGTAGGCTCTTTGGTTGACAATCCCAGATGAACCCAGACTTTAAATTATTCCACCTTCGATGCTAGGCATATGAATAAAGGCATCTCTAGAGAATTTCAGCCCCCAAGTACTTGATTCTTTCTAGCTGAGGCCCTGGGCATGGTGAACCAGAGATAGGCCATCTTTGCTGTGTATGTCCAAATTCTAAACCCACATTTAAAAACTCTGTTTTACACCAGTCAGTTTTATGATGGTTTGTCATACACCAATGGATAACATAAACAGTTGCTAAATTGCCTGAATGAACATAATCAACCAGTCAGGTGTCAATGTCTTTCTCATGATAGTGGTATAGAATTGATGTCATGTTATTTCCATGGAAATTTATTTGTCCTGTCAAATCAGCAGGAAATTAATAAAAGTGAGTACAGATGTGATTGATCAAGGCCATTGTAGGCTGAGGGAAGAGCATGAACAAAGCATGGACAAAGATATGATCTAGTGAAGATAGGAGGATACATTTGCATTGAGTGTGGTGAACACACAGGGTGTGTTGAAGCTCAGAAAAAGAGAAGGGAAAAGATGTCAAATGCTAGCATGTACCTGAGAATAGACTATGAAATACTGGTAAGTGGCTGAGGATAGAATAGACTGAATTAAGGAATTGGGGGCCTGATGATGAATCACTAAATCATTGAAAGGCAATATAGTGTTGTATTGAGATTGTTAACACTTGAGTCAGATAGTACTTACTTTTACTATCTCTGCCACTTATAGTCTGTAAAATCTTATTAGTTATAATTATGTATTAAAGTGCTTGTCATACACACAAATATATCCCTCTGATATGGTTTGGATTTGTGTCCCCACCCAAATCTCATGTCAAATTGTAACCCCCAGTGTTGAATGAGGGGCCTGGTGGGAAGTGATTGGGTCATGGGGGTGGATTTACCCCTTGCTGTTCTCATGACAGTGAGTGAGTTCTCACGACATCTGGTTGTTTAAAAGTGTATAGCACCTCCCACTTCACTCTCTCCCTCCTGCTCCAGCCATGTAAGACATGCCTGCTTCCCCTTCACCTTCTGCCGTGAAAGTTTCCTGAGGCTTCCTCAGCAGTGCTTCCTGTACAGCCTGCAGAACTGTGAGCCAATTAAACGTCTTTTCTTTGTAAATTACCCAGTCTCAGGTAGTTCTTTATAGCAACACAAGAACAGACTAATCCTCTAAATTTAAGCTAAATTCATTCTCAACTCAGTTTTTCCTTAGTTAGATCTCCAAAATGTCCATGGTCACACCAAATGCCACCTAATATGAAGGAAGTGTGATGGAGTGGGAGTCAATGTGGATAGAGAATATAGTATTAGTTGAGGTTTAATATCTTACTTTTTCAAGTTAAAAATATATTATTATATGAACACATTTCTAGAGCTATTCCCAGCATGTTGGAAAGGTCCTATGTAAGTGAAGGATCTTGAAGTTTAAACTTCATTGGCTTCATAATACTTCTCCCTCTGCTAATGGAGATGTGGGTTTTCATAATTGAATGATGTCAAAATTATAAAAGGAGTTAAATAGTACGATGATTGACAATCACTCATTGATTTTAACAATTAAGAGTCCACTGCTGAAATATGAAAATGGTTTCCATAAAGATTTGATGGGGTGTAGGAGTGGAAATTATATTGGTGAATGTTAAAGAATAAAGAGTTTAGCTGGGTAAAAACCTAGAAAAATCTTTCTGGACTTGAGGTCTAATTTTTTTGTCTTGTTCAATGCCCATAAAATGAAATTGTCTTTAGATGGTCTCCCATTATAAAAAAATTAGTGAAGTTCCTAGATCTAAAATGGTAAACACCTTTCTTTCTTTCTTTTTTTTTGAGACAGGGTCTCACTCTGTTGCCCAGGTTGGAGTGCAGTGGTAACATCACAGCTCACTGCAGCCTCAAACTCCTGGGCTCAAGCAATCCTCCCACCTCAGCCTCCCAAGTAGCTGGGACTACAGGCACAAGCCACTAGGCCCTAGTTTTTAAACAATTTTTGTAGAGACAGGAATCTTGCTATGTTGCCCAGACTGGTTGAGAAATCCTGGGCTCAGGCAATCTTCTTGCCTTGGCCTCCCAAAGTGTTGGCATTATAGGCATGAGTCACTGCACCTGGCCATCAACAGTTTTTCAATTGTTATAATTATGTAAGTGCTCTTTAAATTTTGAATAAAGAGGAGTAAACCAGCTGGGCACATCTAGTGGCAACTAATAGAAACCACAGTTAGCCTCATCAGAAAGAAAGTGCTTTGGCCCTTGCAGCAGCTTTGTTGCTCTTAGAATTCCTACTGCTGCCATAACTGCTGGATACTCTGATGCATGAGACTGCTTTTTATCTGACTAGCAAAAGATAACCCAGAATCTTAGGGGAATCCCAGAAGCACAGACTTCTCCACACTTTCAGAAAATTTGATTACGAAAGGCAATGAAAGAGAAAGGGCCTTGCATAGATAATAAAAGGTGGGGGGTGCCTAAGAAAGTTTCTTTTAGAACGGCAAAGCTTTGAACTTGTTTTTGACTAAAGGAGAAGAAATCAAAAGTGAACTAGTGATGGAAGAAACAGGTCAGTGAGGAGATAATTTGTGAAGCAGGGAAAATGGCAGAATAAAGGACAGATACGAAAGTTGAAACTGAAGATTGCAGTTATTTGTATTGCTATTGTTTTCCTACCCATTTTTATCAGATGTAACAACATCTAGATAGATTGGCTCTTTTATCATGATAAAATTCTCCTCTTTATCACTGGCAATTTTTCTTTTTTTGAAGCAGTGTCTCACTCTTTTGCTGAGGCTGGAGTGCAGTGGCACAATCATAGCTCACTGAAGCCTCAAACTTCTTGGCTCAAGTGATCTTCCCACCTCAGCTTCCTGAGTAGCTGGGACTATGAGTGCATGTCACTACAGCCAGCTAATTTGTATTATTTTTTGTAGACATGGGGTTCTCACTGTGTTGCACAAAGTGGTCTTGAACTCCTGGGGCCAATTGATCTGCCTGCCTCGGCCTTCCAAAGAGCTGGGATTACGGGTGTGAGCCACTGTGCCTGGCCTCCCTGGTAATATTTTTTGTTGAAAGTCTTTGCCAGATGTTGATATCGCCACTAAACTTTTCTTTTTTTACTGTTTATTCTCATAAGATTGCAAAACAACTGTTTATTTTTCATTGGCAGGCGTCATGTTCTGTACTACATTTAAGCAGGAACATGGTGGGAACTGTGTGAGTCTGTCTGCTGGTTCCTCTGGTTCTAAATAATGTGCTCTTCATCTTTCTCCTTACTACCAGGAACCAGTTCAATTTTGCTTATGCAAAGGGATGTATCTTCTCCTGGTGTGGAGAAATTTTAGGTATTTATTTATTTTTTATTTTTCCAACTTTCATCTTAGGTTCAGAAGGTACATAGGCAGATTTGTTACATGGGCAAATTTTATGTCATGGGGTTTGGTGTACAAATGATTTCATCACCAAGGTAGTGAGCATGGTACCCAATAGGTAGTTTTTCAACCCTTACCCTCCTCCCATCACCCCACTAGGTAGGCCCTGGTGGCTTTTTTTCCTTTCATTGTGTCCATGTATACTCAATGTTTAGCTCCCATTTATAAGTGAGAACATGTGTTATTTGGTTTTCTGTTTCTGCATTAATTCACCTAGGATAATGGCTTCAAGCTGCACCATGTTGTTGCAAAGGACATGATTTCATTTTTTAGGGATGTATAGTATTCCATGATGTGTAGGTACCATGTTTTCTTTATTCTTTTCACCACCGATGGACATCTAGATTGATTCCATGTCTTTGCTATAGTGAATAGTGCTGCAATGAACATAAAGGTACACGTGTCTTTTTGGTAGAATGAGTTTTATTTATTTGGGTATATACCCAGTAATGGGAATGCTGGGTTGATGGTAGATCTGTTTTAAGTTATTTGGGAAATCTCTTAACTGCTTCCCATGGTGGCTGAAGTAATTTACATTCCCACTAACCATATGAAAGTGTTCTCCTTCCCCTGCAAACTTGCCAACATTTTTATGACTTTTTAGTGTTAGTAATAGCCATTCTAACTGGTTTCTGAGATGGTGATTTCATCGTGGTTTTGATTTACATTTCTCTAATGATTAGTGATGTTGACTATTTTTTCATGTTTGTAGGCCACGTGTATGTCTTACTTCAAGAAGTGTCTGTTCATGTCCTTTGCCCACTTTTTATTTTTATATTATTTTATTTTAATTAATTAATTTATGTATTTTGTTTTTACTGCTGTTGTTCTGTTTTTATTTATTTCTGTTTTTTAAATTACACTTTTTCTGGGATACATGTGCAGAACGTGCAGGTTTGTTACATAGGTATATGCATGCCATGGTAGTTTGCTGCACCCATCAACTAGTCATCTACATTAGGTATTCCTCCTAATGCTATCCCTCCCCTAGCCCCCCACCCCCTGACAGGCCCCAGTGTGTGATGTTCCCCTTCTTGTGTCGATGTTCTCATTGTTCAACTCCTACTTATGAGTGAGAACATGCAGTGTTTGGTTTTCTGTTCCTGTGTTAGTTTGCTGAGAATGATGGTTTTCAGCTTCATCCATGTCCCTGCGAAGGACATGAACTCATCCTTTTTATGGCTACATAGTATCCCATGGTGTATATGTGCCACATTTTCTTTATCCAGCCTGTCACTGATGGACATTTGGGTGATTCTAAGTCTTTGCTATTGTGAATAGTGCTGCAATAAACGTACGTATGCATGTGTCTTTACAATAGAATGATTTATAATCCTTTGGGTGTATACCCAGTAAAGGGATTGCTGGGTCAAATGATATTTCTGGTTCTAGATCCTTGAAGAATTGCCACACTGTTTTCCACAATGGTTGAACTAATTTACACTCCCACAAACAATGTAAAAGTGTTCCTATTCTCCACATCCTCTCCAGCATCTGTTGTTTCCTGACTTTTCAATGATTGCCGTTCAAACTGGTGTGAGATGGTATCTCATTGTAGTTTTGATTTGCATTTCTCTACTGACCAGTGATGATGAGCTTTTTTTCATGTTTGTTGACTGCATAAATGTCTTATTTTGAGAAGGATCTGTTCATATTCTTCACTGACTTTTTGATTGGGTGGTTTGTTTAGTTCTTGTAAATTTGTTTAAGTTCCTTGTAGATTCTGGATATTAGCCCTTTGTCAGATGGATAGATTGCAAAAAATTTCTCCCATTCTGTAGGTTGCCTGTTCACTCTGATTATAGTTTCTTTTGCTGTGCAGAAGCTCTTTAATTTTGCCTTTCATTGACATTGCTTTTGGTGTTTTACTCATGAAGTCTTTGACCATGCTTTTGTCTTGAATGGTATTGCCTAGGTTTTCTTCTAGTGTTTTTATGGTTTTAGGTCTTGCATTTAATTCTTTAATCCATCGTGAGTTACTTTTTGTATAAGGTGTAAGGAAGGGGTCCAGTTTCAGTTTTCTGCATATGGCTAGCCAGTTTTCCCAACACCATTTATTAAATAGGGAATCCTTTCTCCATTGCTTGTTTTTGTCAGGTTTGTCAAAGATCAGATGGTCATAGTCGTAGATGTGTGGTGTTATTTCTGAGGCCTCTGTTCTGTTCCATTGGTCTATATATCTGTTTTGGTACCAGTACCATGCCGTTTTGGTTACTGTAGCCTTGTATTATAGTTTGAAGTCAGGTAGCATGATGCCTCCAGCTTTGTTCTTTTTGCTTAGAATTGTCTTGGCTATGTGGGCTCTTTTTTTGTTCTGTATGAAATTTAAAGTAGTTTATTCTAATTCTGTGAAGAAAGTCAGTGGCAGCTTAATGGGGATAGCAGTGAATCTATAAATTACTTTCGGCATTATGGCCATTTTCATGATATTGATTCTTCCTATCCATGAGTATGGAATGTTTTTCCATTTGTTTGTGTCTTCTCTTATTTCCTTGAGCAGTGTTTTGTAGTTCTCCTTGAAGAGGTCCTTCTCATCCCTTGTAAGTTTTATTCCTAGGTATTTAATTATCTTTGTAGCAATTGCAAATGGGAGTTCACTCATGATTTGGCTCTCTATTATTGGTGTATAGGAATGCTTGTGATTTTTGCACATTGATTTTGTATCCTGAGACTTTGCTGAAGTTGCTTATCAGCTTAAGGAGATTTGGGGCTGAGACGATGGGGTTTTGTAAATACACAATCATGTTATCTGCAAAGAGACAATTTGACTTCCTCTCTTCAAAAAATTTTCTTTTTTATTCTCAGCAAGGCAAGGTACTTCTATAGAAGGGTGCACCCTTACAGATGGAGCAATGGTGAGTGCACACTTGAACAAGGGAGGGGAAGGGGTTCTTATCCCTGATGCACGTGGCCCCTGCTGCTGTGTCATTCCCCTATTGGCTAGGGTTAGGCCACACAGGCTAAACTAATTCTGACTGGCTAATTTAAAGAGTGACGGGGTGAGTGGTTTTGTGGGGAAAATGGTTATGACAGAGCAGGTAATCAGAATGAGTCAGGGTGGAGTAGGTAATCAGAATGAGTCATGGTGGAGTAGGTAATCAGAATGAGTCAGGGTGGAGCAGGTGATTGAAATGAGTCAAGGTGGAGCAGGTAATCAGAATGAGTCAGGGTGGAGCAGGTGATTGAAATGAATCAGGGTGAAGCAGGTAATTGAAAAAAGTTGCTTTATCAGGAAGTTAAGTTTAAAATGAAAAAAGTTGCTTTATGAGGAAGTTAAGTTTAAAAGTAGAAGATAAAGAATTGAACATACTGACATATTGATTCTTGGAAAAGAAATTTAGAACTCATATCTAACAACCCCTCCCCTTATATTTCCTTACAGCTTTCTTTTCAAACTTTTTTTTAAAACATGTCTTGGCTTAGTTGTTTTGCTTGATTTTTCAAAAGAAGAAGCTTCTCTGGATAAGGTGAAGGATAGTTAAAGGAGGTTTTAGTAAGTGCTGTTTTTATGAGCCTCTGCATTAACCCACGGATGCATGGTATGACGCAGCACCCAACAAGAATAAGTACACACATTATATCTGTGAGGGAAGTAAGAATTGAGGCTATTATTCCTTTCCATTTACCAAACCACTTTTTTAGCCATCCTGTAAAGGGGTTATTTACCCCTGAGTTGCTGGCTAACTCATTGGACAGGGCAGTCAGACCTTGCAATGCCTTTGTTATATTTCCATTAGGGGTGGTGTTGTTTGGGATGAAGGTGCAACATTGAGTTTTAATCATGACACAAACTCCTCCTGTTTCTGTTAATATCATGTCTAGGGCTATCCTATTTTCCCCAGCCGTCTGTCTAGTGGCCCCTAATTGTTTAGCTGTTCCTTTAACAGCATCTCTAGTGTAGTAAATAAATCGCTGTTGGTTGTGGTAAATGTAGTTTATCCAATCTACATTTTTATTAATTGTCACCTACCAAAATATTGGTTCAAATCCTGCAGCTATTTGATTTCAGGCTTTAAATTGATCTGGTATTCCCTGTGGGACTCTAAGTGTGTCTAAATAGACGTGAGAGTCAAGACCCATAAGGGGCTTCTCTTGCTTTACGATGTCTTATTTTTCCTTCCTCTGGTTGATGAAATTCCTTGGTGAAAGGGATAGCCAATTGTACTAAAGCACAAGTGCCACTCCAGTTATTTGGCAGAGTGTCCAGTAAAGGTCCATCACAATACCATCACACATCCATTTGGGGATGAACAAGGGCTGCCTGATTGGTAAGCTCTTGAAAGTTCTTAAGCTCACTGCATTCCTTCAGGTCTCCAAGGAACACTAAGTTTCTTCCCTGCAGTGAGAGACATGAAGTGAACTTAGTTTTGGGAGGTGGAAGCTGGAGGGCCCTCGGGGGCTGACCCGCAGGGTGTTGGACTTCGGGACATGGCAGAGAGAGAGCTTGGCATGACTTGTTACCCCAGGCTGTAGAATCCTGCAAAACAGTTACCATGCAGCCCATGCCTGGTAGACTGGAGGACCACCCTAGTGGAAAGGGGACAATCTGGGCCTCTGGCCTGCTATGCGCACAAGCATAATAATTGCTTTTGTTTAATGTGCAGACAGAATATTTGATCCATTCCAACCAGGCATTTGCATCTTGGTATCCTGTCTTAATTGCCAAAGTTTAAGTCTTCAACTTTTATGATAGCTATCTTTGTCTTGTCGTTAGATGGAGGAGGAGCAATGGTTCCAGTGTGAGAGGTTTTGGAAGAAGACTTAGAGGAAGGTGCAGGTGGTGGGGGATCAAAGAAATGCATTTCAAATAATCTAATAGGGTTTGTCCCTGAAACCTCAGCCCCTATACCATAAAACCGGCTTAAAGAAGGGAACTGGCTTAGAAAAGGGGAAGAACTTTGAGGGTTTGAGATAATAACCTGTATAGAATTATACTGGTTTAGCTGACAATTAGAGGGGAGGGCTGTCCCTCTAGTAAAATTAATGTATGGTTTTAGGAAATTACAAAAACTTGTTGGGGTAGTCCATCCTTGCTCTTTAGTGGTCCACAGAATGTTGGACTAACTATGGCATAAAAGCTCTACATCGGGGAGCAAGACTTCCTGGTTGTCACTGGGGTCTTTATCGAAATCTCCCCGGATTAAATGGTCCCAATTAATTAATGCCTAGTCTGAGGAGAGTCAGGAGGGACAGAGGTACTTTTCTGAAGTAGAGAGCTCTTTTTGACTTGACAAGTCCCCATGGGGTATAACAAGGCAAGCATTAAATGCAATAGTTTGAGGCAAAATTGACTTGGTTATGTCAATAATTAGATGGTCAGCAATAGAGTGAGGAAAGAAGAAAGAGTAATAGGATAGATTAAAGAGTTAAATTTTTCTTAGCTTTAGTTTGGTAGGGTTCTTTCCCTGGGACCTTGGCCCACTACTCTGGAGGGGGCGGCACTTACTTGACTCAGGTGTGATGAGTCCATCCCTTTTCTGCTGTATGAACAGCAGTCTCGGTGGTTAGCAGCACAAGGTAGGGTCCTTCCCAGGCTGGCTGGAGTTTTCCTTCTTTCCACCCTTTGATGAGAACGTGATCCTCAGGCTGGTGCTGGTTTACTAGAAATTCTAGGGGTGGTACCTGTGATAAAAGACTTTTAGTTTTGAGGGAAACTAAAGTGGAAGATAAACCAAGTATATAATTTCTAAAAAATTTATCTTTGTTTTAAATGTGGGGACATCAGCAGTGGACTTTGTAGTCCTTGGTGCCTTCTTACTGAGAAATTTCCTTTAGCACCTATTTTTATTAGCTTTTAGACCAAAGAAAGCCAAACACCATTTTATATTTGACAATGCTTCCTGTATGATTTTTATACCAGATAATCTAAATTTCACCTTTATATTGGTGTTATTAATGTTAAACTTAATTTTAATAAAACTTTGTAGGCATATTTATTCAACTTTTAATGTCTGACCATAGGTAAGATTTTTATAGACTCTTTTTAACCTTTTATAATTTTTGTTAAAGAGTAGGTTAGTGCTTTAAGAAAAACCTGTTGTGCTTGTATTTTAATATCCATTTCACAGAAAAACTGGATGATACCCCTTTAACTTTAGCCAATATGTTTACACACAGAATTTCCTTTGCAATTAACATTTCAAAACTTGCTTAAACCTTTAAAACAAAATATATATGTTTTTAACCTTTTAATGTAGGTAAAAATCCACATTCTTATGCCTCCTTATAATCCTTTTACCAAAGGTATATTTTACTTTCCTTATACACCTTGCACATAAACTGTTTCTTCAATAGTTTTACAATCAGGAGGCCTAATTACTTTTAAATTATACAACATTTCTTGCATAAATTCCCTTTTATAACTTTTTTTTCCCACGACTTTTACAGACAATTCTTCCACATGCCTCAACTTTCTGACTTGTTGCAAACATCCCTTTCTTTAAACAGCCAGTTAATTTATTTTAGGACAAGAATTTACCACATAACATTCCTTTTTACATACATTCTCCCCCGACTTTTTTTTTTCTCAAAGATAATAACCATTCTTTTCCAAAGCAAACTTTCTTCATGTCTGTGGACTAGACTGTCTAAGGCCACAAGATCAGAAGTTAGGATGATACATGTTACACTGTTAACTTTTAGCAAATTACTTTTGTTGGAAACCTTATAAATTTGGGATTTCAATTATTCTTTGCTTTTAATAAGACCTTGTTTAGTCCAAATTAACTTATAATTGGTATAGACGGTTCCTGCCTGGTTCTGTAGGTACTTTAAGGCTTGGCTGAGTGCAAACAGCTCTCACAGTTGAGCAGACCAATTATTAGGCAATTTCCCTAACTCTGCATTTACAAGAGTTTCCCTATCAATTACTGAATACCCATTGTGTATCATCCTGTCCCTGAAGGGAGTTCCTCCTAGGTCTGGTCAGACCTTTGTATGGTAATTAATTAAGATTTAGATCCCATGTTAGGAAACCTGCCGGGTTAAGGGAATTATCAGTGGTTAATGTCAAATAATCTTTTTCTAACAGAATAGCCCCATACTTTAAGATTTTTGAGTTAGTAAGCTACATTTTTATTTATTTATTTATTTATTTATTTATTTATTCATTTATTTATTTATTTTGGACTTAGGATAGTTCTGACCTTATGAGGTGTGCTCACAATGAGGTTTCCTCTAAAAGTTATTTTTCTACTTTCTTCTGTTAGCAAACCGGTTGCCGCTACAGATTGAATGCATGTGGGCCATCCGCAGGTTATTGCGTTAAGGATTTTTGATTAGAAAGGCTATGGGTTGTCAGCGGCCTCAGTGCTTTCAGGCTACACCCTTGTTTATACTGACAACAAGGTGGTTTTGTAGTGTTATGGGGTCATGGAGAAGACCTTCAATTATCAATTATAGGTTTTAAATTTACCCTGGCTTTTAAAGGAATAGGGTACACTATTTTCTCTTTACTACTTCTATCTTTCTCTTTCTCTTTCTCTCTTTGACTTTGTCTCTTTCTCTCTCTCTCTTTGACTCCCTCTTTGCCTCTCTTTCTCTTCCTCTCTCTCTCTTTTTCTCTCTCTGCTGTTCTTTCCCTGCCTCTGCCAGCTGCTTATGCTGCTGTTCTCCCTTCCCCTTCCCCTTACCCTAGGGGAGGGACCAGTGGGAGTGGAGCTACTCTTTCTTCCCTGAAAAGAGGATGCCCAAGATGGACATTAACTCGACCCAAGTGTATAACTGAGGTCCTAAGAATTGGTCTGCTACTCTGTAAGGGTCATCTAGTAGTGGTTTAAGCTCCTTTTTAAAATCCTGGACTTCTGAACTGGTTAGGGGAGCATTTACAAAGCGAATGGCCCCCCTCCTTGTGGTACCTCTTTCAAAGGGAAGAGGGTCGGGGCTGACCTCTTAGGTATGGAGGGAAATGGGAAATTCTGAATATCTTTTTTACATTGTTCTACCTCACACTGGAGTCCTTTTAGAGAGGAGTATTTAGGTTGGGAGGGAACAGGTTAATGGGATGGTAATTCCCAAGAGTCAGGGTTATAAGGCTATGAGTAGAGGGGGAATTTGGAACAGGATCTGAGGTGGCCGTGGCTGTCTGTGGGGAAAGGTTGGGGACACTGAACAGGGGAAGATAGTCTAGGGGATCCCATGTGCTGAAATCTTTAGGCATGAGAGCTGGCTCCTCTGACTTTTCATTTTGAGGTGCCAGATTGGGTTCTTCCGTATTTGTTTTTAAGGGAAAAAGGAGGGCAGGTCCTTGCCTCCAACAAAGGGCATAGCCTAGTTCTTCTTGAGACACTAGAGTTTTATCATTAACATATCGGATTAGAAGCTGACACATTACATCCGCATTCGACCCAAACTTTGGCCAGAAGATTGAGGGTTTGAGGATGGGTCCCTGAGTCCAAATAAAACAGCAATATTTTATCATTTGTTGCTTTTTCCTATGTTTCGTCCTTTCATTATCCTTCCAGTGTTTTAGCATGAGACCTAGGGGGCTATCCGGGGGGATATCTTTGTTACCATCTTTATCCCCCTTGCTCCCTGTCTTGCTCGGGGTATTTCCCATCTTGATGGTTTTGGGGTAAGGTTCAAGTTTCAATTTCCCTTACTGGAAATTTCTCACCTTTTGGGGTGAGGCTCAATTTCCCCACTGGAAATTTCTTGCCTTTAGGGGTAAAGCCTTTTGGGGTGAGGCTCAATTTCCTCAATGGAAATTTCTTGCCTTATGGGGTGAGGCTCAATATCCCCCACTGGAAATTTCTTGCCTTTTGTGTTGAGGCTCAATTTCCCCACTGGAAATTTCTTGCCTTTTCTACTACTGGAAGTAGTGTGTGAGGTTCAATCCCCCCGAATGGGGATGTCTCACCTCTTTCTAACCTTTAAGCCACCCCAACCAAGGAGTACTTCACTGAACACCCCCATGGCTTTCTTACCTGGTCCCGACCACCAAGGAAATACTTTACCAGCTCCCGTGGCTTCTCCTTCCTTGATCTGTGCACAGAGTTGTCACCAAGTGTGTGAGGATCCTTTAAGCTAGGTTGCTGGCCATTTTTTTTTTCGTGTTGCTGAGAGTTTGGGTTATTCCTTGCACTGGGTGGGCTCAGATTTCTCACTTCTGAGGCCGCCACAAGGGAGCAGGGTGCGCCTCCTCACAAGAGAGAACCAGAGACCATCCCTGGAGGGGAATGTAATCATGGGTGAGCCCCCAAATTGTTATATATAAAGTTGTGGTGCCACAAAAGAAATTGCACTTGGATATAACATTTTCTTTTTGATTCTCAGCAAGGTAAGGTACTTCTATAGAAGGGTCTGTCCTTACATATGAGCAAAGGTGAGTGCACCGACTTCCTCTCTTCCTATTGAATACCCTTTATTTCTTTCTCTTGCCTGATTGCCCTGGTCAGAACTTCCAATACTATGTTGAATAGGAGTGGTAAGAGAGGGCAATCTTGTCTTGTGCCAGTTTTCAAAGGGAATGCTTCTAGCTTTTGCCCATTCAGTATGATATTGACTGTGGGTTTGTCACAAATAGCTCTTATTATTTTGAGATACATCCCATCAATACCTATTTTATTAAGAGTTTTTAGGATGAAGTGGTATTGAATATTATCAAAGGCCTTTTCCACACCTATTGAGATAATCACGTGGCTGTTGCCATTGGTTCTGTTTATGGGATGGATTACATTTTTTGATTTGTGTATGTTGAACCATCCTTGCATCCCAGGGATGAAGCCAACTTGATCATGGTGGATTAGCTTTTTGATGTGCTGCTGGATTCGGTTTGCCAGTATTTTATTGAGGATTTTCACATCGATGTTCATCAGGGATATTGGCCTGAAATTTACCTTTTTTGTTGTGTCTCTGCCAGGTTTTGGTATCAGGATGATGCTGGCCGCATAAAATGAGTTAGGGAGGAGTCCCTCTTTTTCTATTGTTTGGAATAGTTTCAGAAGAAATGGTACCAGCTCCTCTTTGTACCTCTTGTAGATTTCAGCTGTGAATCTGTCTGGTCCTGGGCTTTTTTTGGTTGGTAGGCTATTAATTACTGCCTCAATTTCAGAGCTTGTTATTGGTCTATTTTGAGATTTGACTTCTTGGTTTAGTCTTGGGAGGGTCTATGCGTCCGGGAATTTATCCATTTGTTCTGGATTTTCTAGTTTATTTGCATAGAGGTGTTTATAGTATTCTCTAATGGTAGTTTGTATTTCTGTGGGATCAATGCTGATATCCCTTTTATCATTTTTTTATTGTGTCTATTTGATTCTTCTCACTTTTCTTCTTTATTAGTCTGGCTAGCAGTCTATCTATTTTGTTAATACTTTCAAAAAACCAGCTCCTGGATTCATTGATTTTTTGAAGGGTTTTTCGCATCTCTGTCTCGTTCAGTTCTGCTCTGATCTTAGTTATTTCTTGTCTTCTGCTAGCTTTTGAATTCGTGTACTCTTGCTTCTCTAGTTGTTTAAATTGTGATGGTAGGGTGTGGATTTAAGATCTTTCCCACTTTTTCCTGTGGGCATTTAGTGCTATAAATTTCCCTCTAAACACACTGTAGCTACGTCCCAGATATTCTGGTATGTTGTGCCTTTGTTCTCATTGGTTTCAAATAACTTATTTATTTGTGCCTTCATTTGGTTATTTACCCAGTAGTCATTCAGGAGCAGGTTGTTCAGTTTCCATGTAGTTGTGTGGTTTTGAGTGAGTTTCTTAATCCTGAGATCTAATTTGATTGCACTGTGGTCTGAGAGACTGTTATGATTTCCATTCTTTTGTGTATGCTGAGGAGTGTTTTACTTCCAATTATGTGGTCAATTTTAGAATAAATGTGATGTGGTGCTGAGAACAACGTATATTCTGTTGATTCAGGGTGGAGAGCTCTGTAAAGGACTATTAGGTCAGCTTGTTCCAGAGCTGAGGTCAAATCCTGAATATCCTTGTTAATACTCTGTCTCATTGATCTGTCTAATATTTACAGTGGGGTGTTAAAGTCTCCCACTATTATTGTTTGGGAGTCTAAGTCTCTTTGTATGCCTGTAAGAACTTGCTTTATGAATGTGAATGCTCCTCTATTGGGTGCATATATATTTAGGATAGTTAGTTCTTCTTGTTGCATTGATCCCTTTATCATTATGTAATGCCCTTCTTTGTCTTTTTTATCTTGTTGTTTTAAAGTCTCTTTTTATCAGAGACTATGATTGCAACCCCTGATTTTTTTTCCCATTTGCTTGTTAAATATTACTTCATCCCTTTATTTTGTGCCTATATGTGTCTTGGCACATGAGATGAGTCTCCTGAATACAGCACACTAATGGGTCTTGACTCTTTATCCAATTTGCCAGTCTATGTCTTTTAATTGGGGAATTTATCTTGTTTATATTTAAGGTTAATATTGTTATGTGTGAATTTGATCCTGTCATTATGATGCTAGCTGGTTATTTTGCCTGTTGATGCAGTTTCTTCACAGTGTAGACAGTCTTTACAATTTGGTATGTTTTTGCCTTGTCTAGTACCAGTTTTTCCTTTCCATGTTTAGTGCTTCCTTCAGGATCTCTTTTAAGGCAGGCCTGGTGGTGACAAAATCTCTCAACATTTGCTTGTCTGTAAAGGATTTTATTTCTCCTTCCACACTTATGAAGCTTAGTTTGGCTGAATATGAAATTCTGGGTTGAAAATTCTTTTCTTTAAAAATGATTCTTCTGGCTCGTAGGCATTCTGCTGAGAGATCCACTGTTAGTCTAATGGGCTTCCCTTTGTGGGTAACCTGACCTTTCTCTCTGGCTGCCCTTAACATTTTTTCCTTCATTTCAACCTTGGTGAATTTGACAATTATGTGTCTTGGGGTTGCTCTTCTCAAGGAGTATCTTTGTGGTGTTCTCTGTATTTCCTGAATTTGAGTGTTGGCCTGCCTTGCTAGGTTCGGGTAGTTCTCCTGGATAATATCCTGAAGAGTATCTTCTAACTTGGTTCCATTCTCCCCATCACTTTCAGGTATACCAATCAAACATAGGTTGGGTCTTTTCACATAGTCCCATATTTCTCAGAGGCTTTGTTCATTTCTTTTCATTCTTTTTTCTCTAATCTTGTCTCCACACTTTATTTCATTAATTTGATCTTCAATCTCTGATATACTTTCTTCTGTTTGATTGATTTGGCTATTCATACTTGTGTGTGCTTCATGAAGTTCTCGTGCTGTGTTTTTCAGCTCCATCAGGTCATTGATGTTCTTCTCTAAACTTGTTATTCTAGTTAGCAATTTGTCTAACCTTTTTTTTGAGGTTCTTAGCTTCCTTGCATTGTGTTAGAATATGCTCCTTTAGCTTGGATGAGTTTGTTATTACCCACCTTCTGAAGCCTACTTCTGTCAATTCATCAGACTCATTCTCTGTCCAGTTTTGTTCCCTTGCTGGCCAGGAGTTGTGTTTCTTTGGAGAACATACATTCTGGTTTTTGGAATTTTCAGCCTTTTTGTGCTGGTTTTTCCTCGTCTTTGTGAATTTATCGCCTTTGATCTTTGATGTTGGTGAGCTTCAGATGGAGTTTCTTTGTGGACGTCCTTTTTATTGAGTTGGTGCTATTCCTTTCTGTTTGTTAGTTTTTCTTCTAACAGGCCCCTCTGCTGTAGGTCTGCTGGAGGTCCACTCCTGACCCTGTTTGCCTGAGTATCACCAGCGGAGGCTGCAAAACAGCAATGATTTCTGCCTGTTTCTTCCTCTGGAAGCTTCGTCCGAGAGTGGCACCCACCGGATGCCAGCCAGAGCTCTCTTGTATGAGGTGTCTGTTGACCTCTGCTGGGAGGTGTCTCCCAGTCAGGAGGCACGGGTGTCAGGGATCCACTTGAGGAGGTAGTCTGTCCCTTAGCAGAGTTCAAGCATTGTGCTGGGAGATCTGCTGCTCTCTTCAGAGCCAGCAGGCAGGAACGTTTAAGTCTGCTGAAGCTGCACCCACAGCTGCCCCGTCCCCCAGGTGCTCTGTCCCAGGGAGATGGGAGTTTGATCTATAAGCCCCTGACTGGGCTGCTGCCTTTCTTTCAGAGATGCCTTGCCCAGAGAGGAGGAATCTAGAGAGGCAGTCTGGCTACAGTGGCTTTGCTGAGCTGTGGTGGGCTCTACCCAGTATAAACTTCCTGGCAGCTTTGTTTATACTGTGAGGGGAAAACCACCTACTCAAGCCTCAGTAATGGCAGACGCCCCTTCCCTGACCAAGCTTAAGCATCCCAGGTTGACTTCAGATTGCTGTGCTGGCAGTGAGAATTTGAAGCCAGTGGATTTTAGCTTGCTGGGCCCTGTAGGAGTGGGATTCGCTGAGCTAGACCTCTTGGCTTCCTGGCTTCATCCCCCCTTCCAGAGGAGTGAACAGTTTTGTCTCACTGGTGTTCCAGGCACCACTGGGGTATGAAAATACACTCCTGCAGCTAGCTTAGTGTCTGCCCAAATGGCTGCCCAGTTTTGTGCTTGAAACCCAGGGCCCTGGAGGCATAGGCACTGGAGGGAATCTCCTGGTCTGCCAGTTGCAAAGACTGTGGGAAAAGTGTAGTATCTGGACAGGAGTGCACTGTTCCTCAAGGCACAGTTCCTCATGGCTTCCCTTGGCAAGGGGAGGGAGTTCCCCAACCTCTTGCACTTCTCAGGTGAGACAATGCCCCAACCTGCTTTGGCTTGCCCTCCGTGTGCTACACCCACTCTCTAACCAGTCCCAATGAGATGAGCCTGGTACCTCGGTTGGAAATGCAGAAATCACCTGTATTCTGCATTGATCTCACTGGGGGCTGCAGACTGGAGGTGCTCCTATTTGGCCATCTTGCCAGCCACTACTTTTAAGTTTTTAGTAGTTAAGTGGTTTCTCTACTTGTTTTAACGTGGAATTTTTCTCAGTCATATATTGTGTAGGAGGCTTTCTTTCTCTTTTCTTTCCTTTTTTTTTTTTTTTTTTTTTAAAGAAAGGGTCTTGGTCTGTCACCTAGGCTGAAGTGCAGTGGTGTGATTTCAGCTTACTGCAGACTTGACCTCCTAGGCTCAAGTGATCCTTCTGCCTCAGCCCTCTGAGTAGCTGGGGCCACGGGTGCATGCTACCATGCCTGGCTAATTTTGTATTTTTTGTAGAGATGGTGTTTTGCCATGTTGCTCAGACCATTCTTGAACTCTTGAGCTTAAGCAATTCACCTGCCTTCACCTCCCAAAGTGCTAGGATTACAGACGTGAGCCACCACACCTGGCCCCAGAGAATTTCAACTGGGTTCTGACTTTTTCTTGAAGAGGCTTGATCCATGTGTAGGAGCTAACTTAGTATGTCTATGGGGAAAGGATAGCTGGAGCCTTCTATTCCTTCATGTTGCAGAATTGACTCCTTTCAAATGCTTTTTTGTGTTCCATTTTTTTCTTCATTTTTTTCCTAATTTAAAAAAAGTCAGCATAATATGCACATTGAAAATAGTCATTTTAACTGTGTTGTCTGCTAATTTGTCATCTCTGTCATTTCTACTTCTTTTTCTGCTGATTTTTTTTTCTCTTTGGATCATATGCCTGGAATTTTTTTTTTGCATGTTTAGAACTTTTTTGTGGATGTCACATATTGTGAAGTTTTCATTGTTTTGTGCTTGATTGTGTTGTGGTTTTTAAAGATTGCTGAACCTTGTTCTGCTAGGCAGTTAACATAGATATCTGTGGTTTACGTTGATCCTTTGAAAGCTTTTTTAAAAAACTCTTTGGGGCAAGTATGGCGTGACCTTTATTTTAAGGCTAGCTAAGTCCCTCTACTAAGGCATACTTGCTAGAGGTCTCTACTCAATTATTTGTATATATAATGAGATCTGCTCACTGTTATTGTGGAACCTGAATGATTATTAACCCTGTGTGCTTGAAAACTGTTTAGCTTATAGCTTCCTGGAAATTATTCTCATTTTAGCTTCATAGTATTTCATTCTAGGCATTCAAACTTGTTATTCACCCAAAATCTCAGAGGACCTTTATGCAGATTTTTGGAACTACTTTTTTCTCTCTTCAGTACTATGCTCTACAAATTCTAGGCTTTGTTTTTTATTTTATTGTATTTATTTATTTGTTTTTGCCTCTCTTAACTGATGTATATCTTCTTAACTCAGCAAGTCTTGAAGGCTGTGTTTGCATTCTGCCTCCCTTGTTTATGTTAAAAATTGTCCCCAGGTAAAATCCAGGGCAATTGTAGGATCACCCCATTTTTTCTTTCTTTCTTTCTTTCTTTCTTTCTTTCTTTCTTTCTTTCTTTCTTTCTTTCTTTCTTTCTCTCTTTCTTTTTTTCTTCCTTTCTTTTCTTTCTTTTCCTTTCTTTTCTTTCCTTTTCTTTCTTCTTTTTTTTCTGGACAGAGTTTCACTCTTGTTGCCCAGGCTGGAGTGCAATGGTGCAATATCAGCTCACCACAACCTCTGCCTCCCAGGTTCAAGTGATTCTCCTGCCTCAGCCTCCTGAGTAGCTGGGATTACAGGGGTGCACCACCACACTGGGCTAATTTTTTGTATTTTTAGTAGAGACAGGGTTTTTCCATGTTGGTCAGGCTGTTCTCAAACTCCCGACCTCAGGTGATCTGCCTGCCTCGGCCTCCTAAAGTGCTGGGATTACAGGTGTGAGCCACCACACCCAGCCTTTCTTTCTTTTTTCTGAGGATCACATCCTGCATTGTTGTCCACATCTGAAAATGTTTTTTTCACCATTTTATTTGCTTTTCTAGTTATTTATAATGATGATAATTCTGCACCCTATTGCTCCCTCAGAGCCATAAGTGGGGGAAGATGCAGTGATTTTGTCAAATGCTTAAAAGTGCTGGCAATTTTTGGAAGTAAAGTTAAATATGGTATTATGAAAATATTATGTATATATTATTGAATGGCCTGATCTTATATTTTTATGCCCAGTGTGTAAAATAAAAGGATTCACAAAACAATATCGATATTATTTAGAATATGGTACTATATTAAATTCCTCATGATAGTGTCAGAATCCTTACCATATTTAGTATAGCACTTGTGTGCAAACTCATTTCTTTCTAACAGTGCTGAAATTTCCAGTAGGTAATTCAAATAAACAGGGGCATTAAGGAAATTTATTTTTTAGAAATTTGGTTTTTTAAGGGAAGCATTAAAGTTACAATAGAAAAATCAGGTTGTGGGCACTTCCCCACACTTAATATTCTTTGTGTGTGTGCACGTTTAATGATATCAGTTTGCAGGCTTTTCAGAATGTGTTTGGTAATTAGTGGTTCTAAGAGTCTTAATCTTTTTATCACAATTTTTTAAAAAAAGTAGAAGACAAGTTCAACTATAAATTTACTACGAAATACTCAACTCTTGATAGTTTCATGCAAAATTTGATGATTAAAGATAGAGATGCTCATGTTTTTGGTGCTCTTATAGCCTACTCTTTTGCCATTCTTTATTGATATCTTCAGATATTTATAATAATATCTAGCATATATAGCAGTTAGAGTTGATTTGGATCTTGTATTTCCAAGTCTACTTTCTTTCTTCAGCAATTCTTAGCTTCTAGGTAAAAGGTTGCATACTTTTGTTTTTCAGGCCTTAACCAGCCTGTACACATAATTTTTCAGCCTGTACATTGTTGGCCCATATAGTGCCCTTTCCCCTCCAACCCTCCGGAGGTTCTGAGATGCAACAATTTTTCAGAGCTGCCTACTTCAGATGGGGCATAATTTCTACAGGTTGTCATTCTCATAATAACTCCTCATTCTAGTCACTAACATTTATTTGATTCATTCAACATGTATTTGTTTTGGCCTTTTCATTCCCTTATGTTCATGCTTGATCCTTAGCCTAGAGTAAAAGAAAGAAAGAAGTAGAAAAAAAAAAGGAAGACAATTAAAAGGATTGAAAAGTAGCCTTTATATAGGTTTGCACATGATTTTTGTTGTTTTTATTTCAGCTTATGGATTTACAAACCTTAATGTTCTTAAGGAAGAAAGACCAAGAAGTTGTATTTTAACTCAGTGCTCACTTCCTCAAGTGGTTAAAAGTGAATAAGAGAACAGATAAATCTGTACTGCTGAACTGCAGAAAGTGGTTGAAAGAAACTGAAGAAAGTTTGAATTAGGAAAGAAGGTGGTAAGAATTAACTTTCTATGGAAAAACAGGCTGGAGGATGGAGTATACCTATTTCATTTTCCTCCTCCATCAGCCGGTGGCAAAAACTTGCTTTCTCTTAACTTAAACCTTTGTCATGGCAAGACAATTATTAAAGAGAAAACCCTGCTGGAGCCATGGTTGGTGATTCGACGCAGATAAAAATAACTAGGCAGAATATAAATTCCTTTTTAATGGATATAAATGGTAAATACATAAACGGAATCTATGTGAAGGTATGTAAGACTTTTATTTTACATTTACCTTAAAAAAAGAAAAAAACAGGTAGGCTCAGAAAACATTTTGTTCTCAGATTGCTAATTTCTTTCCCCATTAATTTGCTTTTCCTTCAAGCAGCAAGGATAAGCTGCATTGTGAAACATATTATGTTCAGAGAAACAGTACTATAGGTTGGCCCATCTGGTGAGAGAGCTTGTTCCCTTTTCTCGAAAACCTTGCCTATGTGTTATGACATCATTCCTCATAAAGGTAGAGATAGATTATTGTGCACATATAACATAATGAATTTATATGAGATATAGTGACTATCCCATGAGTGAGGGAACAAGACATAATTTGGAGTTGGAGCCTAGAGTGATTTATGAAGGTCATTGTCTTACAAATTCAGATGCTTTCCATATGGCGTTGGGGAAACCCCCTTATGTACTGTATGTATAAAACATATGTAGCAAATTAGTTTCACTTACATTTTATTTCTTAAATATGTTTTGGTTTAAAAATGACAGTGTCTTTTGTTTATCTGGTCCATAAAATAATTTTTTTTCTTAATAGAGAGGTTATTTGTTAATAAGGACTGAGAATTTTTAAGTAAAACAGAGAGAATTGAGTGTAAGCCCCTCTGACACTGGACCGTGCGTGTGCCTCGGATGCCAGAGTCTTCCATCTCATTGAATTTATGGCTTAACTTCTGTATCACACTTAACTCGAGTATGCTCAGCAGTATGACCCTGTCTAGGAAGAGGAAAAATGGATTGTTCATTTTCCAGCTGTAGTGTATTATATTACTATCTAACTGCATTTTAAAATAGTTGTGAAGATGCAACTACTTCCACTTAAAAGGAAATTGCTCTGCTTAAAGAAAAATGGAGAATGGATTTAGAGTAATACTCAAAATTGAAAATATTTTTTACCTAAAATAATAAACTTTTGTTTGGCCTAAGCAGCAATTCCACTGATGGCTTTTTGTTTGTATTATTGTTTTAGCTGTGGAGACTTAAAATACAAATTCCCTCGGTCTCCACTCCAGTGTTTCTAACCCTTCAGGAACTGTCTGAATTTGCAAAACTTCCCCCCAACCAGAATCTATGGCATACATATTCCACTTTAACACTAGAAGGCATGGATGATTTTCCCAGCATATCTTATTTGAAATATTTATAACACACTTTAAACATTTGGAAACTCACTGGGATGTCACAAAACCAAGACTTAAAATCATTGGAAATATAACTCTAAAGCATGATACTACCTAAAGATTTCTGTTGAAGAGTTTCTTGTGTTTTTAAAAGTAAATCTCACTGTTGATTTGTATCTCACTTGTGGCATCTATCAAAACTAAAATATTCAGCTAGAGATTATACAATTTTCATAGTTGTATAATCCCTAAATCATGCATCGTAATGGTGTAACAATTGTTCCTTGATTTGAAAACCCTGAATGAGCATTTGAAAAATATACTTTGAAGATAAAAGTCAAACAAAAAATATATGACTTTATTTTTAGTTGGGCCAGGGCAAAGTACCAACACAATGATTATATAAGGTCTGTGTGCATGGGTGGAGGAGATGAGATTTGAACACTGATATCTACCACATAGTTTTCAATCTGCAGATTGAATTTACAATAAATATGTATCTATGTATATGCACACACATTCCAATTCCACAGTGATATAAAATTATTACTAGGTGATGGATTTGTGTTAACCCATATTGGCAAGCTGTGTACAGGCTTAAATCCAATGCCACCAAAGCCTGATATTGTACCTTAATTCCTATGAGACATTCAGGGTCTATGACCCAGGATATGTGGGTTATCTTCTTATTTCTGGAGAAAGAAATAATTGTTGCAGGGACATTGTAACAATTATTTTGACAACTAGTTTCCTAAATAATGATTTCCCTGTAGAAGGGGTGCTAGTCTCAGAATCACTATGATTCATCTACTATAACGAAAATTTCCCTTCATGTAAGCAGGGATATTTTGATCTCAGCATAAATCTTTCTCTCTATTTTCATTCTTCTTCTAGCAGACAGCTCCCACTGCTGTGCATTGTATCTCCATCACAAAGTCATTTGCAGCTACAGGATTATGATTTTGGATGTGAGGAAGTAATACAGTAGCAGGTCCTCTGGATGTCTTTCTCCTCGTTCTATGTATTCTAACTGTGTGTGTGCCACATTGCTTAGCAGAGTTCCATGGGGTTCTGGTTGGCTTTGGAGATTGAAGGAGGAGGAAATAACTCTGTGAAGTCTGAACATCTGCTAGAGTCATGATGGCTTTGGGGATGAGCTCATCAGCAGGTAGGTCATCTAACAGCTCAGCCCAGCTATCATCAGCCAGATTCACTACTGTCACCCCATTGAGAATTACTAATGTGTCTCAGTGGACATGAGATTAGGTAGTCAGCCAAAGAACTATTTTCCTCCCGTCTTGAGGTGGGAGTAGGAATGAGAATAGGAAACAAGTGGAAATGTGAAAAGCTATTTCTGGTGCTCTGTTTGAGTTGCTCACGCCATGGTGTGCAAAATAAACTGAAGCAAACCAAACAAACAAACAGCAGTAACAACAACAAGAATAACAAGCATACTTTCACTGTTATTTCTCCAGAGGAGGACTAGATCTTGAGGGAGGACATCAAACCCAGATTCTATTTCTGTCTTTGACCAGTCATTTCCAAACTGCTCAGGGAGAATGCTGGTGCTCATCCAACATGGTTTATCATGAAAAGTTAATAAAGCACTTTCTCCTGATTCACAAATTAATTTTAAAAAGTAATAAAAGGAAAGTATGTAAAACAAACTGATACAGTGGCTAGATTCTTCTCAATATTACTTGTTTTCTCCCGTAACTGTATTTTAAATGTTTCAAATCAGGTCCACATTTATAGAATATTACTATTTGCCAGGTGAGTGGTAGCTTGGCAATGTGAAAATGAAACGTACACATTTCCTGTCTTTGATGATCTTCCAATCCAATGGAGCAGAGAGACACACAAATAGGTTCATTACATCGGGGAGCATTTGCTGCTGTAGATGACCCAGCAGCAAATTACTGTGAATTGAAAAATTTAGAAATTAGATTTTCGTAAATGCTTTTGGAGATGCAGTGATTTATATACATATAATATAAACTATATTTTCCATTCATCAATATTTTTCTACTTTTTGTGATGGCATTAAATGATGGTATGGGGAAAATGTAGCATCTTAGGAACTGGGCTTAAATCTCAGCTTATGAGCAGAGTGAATTTCTGAGCTTCAGTGTCTGCATCTGCATTACAGGGTGGCAACACTTTTGGTGCAGGATTATTAAGAGAGGCAAGGCACAGAAGGTACCAGCACCTACCTACTGATGTACAAATCCTCTGCCAAAGCTTAGCTAGGTGATAATGCAGCATGTTTTTGGATACTCTAGTGAGGGGGAACAAATTTTCTGGTGATAAAATAGTCATGGCTAGAAAGAAATAGGGACTTAAATGTTAATGATTTCATAAGAATTGTGAGATGAGGCATAAAGTAGGGGTATAGCATTGCTAGGAACTGGGAAATTTGCTAACTTTTAACTAAAAATTTCTTCAAATTATTACCTGTGATAATTGGTATCTCACTATTTTGTCCTTATTCTTACTTTTGTGTGTCTTTTCTTTTCTTTTTCTTTTTCTTTTTCTTTTCTTTTTTTTTTTTTTTGAGATGGAGTCTCGCTCTTTTGCCCAGGCTGGAGAGTGCAATGGTGCCATCTCAGCTCACTACATCCCTGATTCAAGTGATTCTCCTGCCTAAGCCTCCTGAGTAGCTGGGATTACAGGCACTTGCCATCATGCCTGGCTAATTTTTGTATTTTTGTAGAGACGGGGTTTCACCATGTTGGCCAGTCTGGTCTTGAACTCTTGACCTCAGGCGATCCATCCACCTCGGCTTCCCAAAGTGCTGGAATTATAGGCGTGAGCCACCGCACCCAGCCTTCTGTGTGTATTTTCTTATGATGTAGAATGAGTGATAAAGCACCATAGGAGTCACCTAGTGTTGCCTTTTCCATTTTTGAGTTGATAAATGGAGGTCTCAGTCTCTGTTAATTAGTGGTACATCTGGGAAAAGTCAAATGTGTTGAGCTCGAAGGTGTTGGTTTGTTTGTTTTTCCCACCAGGTCTCTTAACTGTGCTTGCTGCTGGTGACCTACCAGTTGTTGTGTGACCTAATTTGCAGCATGCACATGGTACCTTACACATCAGACTTCTAGGTGGTGATAATAATTATTATTAATGTGGTTAGTTACTCTCCTTATATTCCCTTTTACAGGAGGTTATTTCCTTAATTTTTCAAATCAGTGCTGTTGCTGAACAGATATTTTCCAAAGCGGCCTTTATTGCTTACTTAGATTGGAAACATGAGTGGTCTTTAAGGCTATGGTGAAAAGAAAACTGTGTTCATATTTTTTAATAGACTCATTTTCCCCCACTAACAGCTGGCTTTGTTTCTTCTCAACTTTTAAAAGCATGTCCCTTTTCACTTGTTGTGTGTTAATGTTTTTCAGAAATGTTCATTAAACGGATCAATTTTTCCACTCCTTTCAACACTAGAAAAACAAAACAAGTTGAATCATGTCAAAAGCAACTAGTCTACAGGGATAATACAAGCATAATGCTCTTCTGGATATAATTTAAAAATTTGATGGGCGTGTCATTTTGTGAATTCCACAGAGGCTGGTTAAATACCACTAGGGAAGCAAAATTTGTTATAGAGAAATCCAAATACATTTTTGTAGCTTTGTATCTCTGAACTCTGAAGAATATATTATTAAGGTAACTCAATGATTCATAAACTGAAATTTTTACACTAGGTTATCAGGTTATGAATCAAATAATCTGTCATAAAATACAAAACAATTATTTTAAGATTTATTGCTTTAAACACACATAATAAATTTATACCTATATAGAATATAAATTCTCTCACAACATATTATTATGACTAAATAGTTGATTGAATATATTCAAGTGTGTGGAAAGTTTGTACTCTCAGCATTTCAAAGCACCTCATTGCCAAGATGTAGCTACTAAATAAATAGTTTTTCAGAGAAAAAACTGTCCTAGGAATTGCCTTCCTTATAAATAACCTGAGCATTCTAGGAAGGGGTTATTATAATCTATGATAAAGGCTCTGCTGATTCAATGAAGCTATTTTCTGTGTGTTTCTGGCATTTTCTTTATAAACTTTTATGTACAATATTCAGTTATATATAAATGCAGTGGATATATTTGTTTCCTACAGGTCTATTATTTTGATAATTTTAAGGTTATTGCTCATATAGTTCCATTCTGTTGAGGAAAATGTAAAAGAAAATGGAGAACACACAAGAATAACAGGAGAGTTATTGTCAGCAGTGTTTGTCAATAGTTATTTCCCAAGTTTCCCAAGAATCGCAAGACAATCCATTAAAAACTTTGCTGGATGAATAAGTAAAGAGACTGCTTTTGAAATTTAAGTTGCAGTTCTAAGATCAAATTTGTGCAGTAAAGTGATGTGGAATTCTTTCTTTCATATCTGTTGAGGTCAGAAACCTTATGAAGCCAGGTGGTCAAGATTTGTCATATCCCCTTCTGAAGGGCATGTTCATTCCTGAATCACAAAACACCATAACCCTACTTGGTGCCCCATGAAGATGAATATAAGGCTTTTTAGTGAGTTGCCTCCAGTGAGTTCCTAAATAACTTTCCACATGTGCTGTAACTTTCCATATGTTTTGGGAGTAGTTTATTTAGGATTTGGTTATGTAATATGATTTAATAAGAGGAACAAGGGACTACAATCAGAAGATCTGCATTTTACCCTTGGTTGTGTGGCCTTGAATCTTGATTCATCTGTAAGATGGGGATAATCTCTTCTTAGCTTTCCTCACTGGGAGACTGTAAAGGATCAAGTGAGATAACATGGGTTCTTTGTAGGCTGTGATATACTAAAATGTACATAACAATTGTTATTGGTAATGTAGAACTGGCATGTTTGGCTTCTTCCTTTAATCTCTTTTTATTGTGTTTTGCTTACCTTAGCATTTGCCTGATGTTGCTACAGTTACTGCAGTGGTTAGAAAAGCTGAGTTTTGTATGTGTTCCAGGCCTCCATCATGGCATGCTTTCCTTAGCTGGTATCAGTGTAACCTTTCATTCATATGAATCGAGGTAATCCTTGACATAGTTTCTTAGCCCCTAAGTTTGTAAGTTATTCCAAGAGTCCATTCTTTAGGCCAATTAAAGACAGCACTATGGTTATGATTATAACTCTCCAATGGCTTCCATCTTTCAAAGCTCAAAGTTCTTCCTGTGGTGTACAAGGCCACTGCATAATTTTTCTGGACTCTACCTACTGTTCCGATCATCTTTTGGCATTTTCTGCCTTGTTCACTCTGTTTTAGCCACATTGGCCTTTCCATTCCTTCAATAAGCCTAACACGTTTCTGCCCAGTGCATTTGTACCAGCTGTTGCCTCTGCTTGGAAAGCTTTCTCCTCCTCCCTTCTCCTTCAGGTCTTCTCATGATTTAACTAGGCCATGGGATGACCAGAGTAAACATAATTTCTGGATGTGTCTGTGAGTGTACTTCTGAATAACATAAACATTTGAATCCAAGGACTTAGTAGTGATGTTGGTGGGCACCACCCAATCTATGGAGGGAACAAAAATAGAACATATCAGAGGAAGGAATATTTTGTCCCCTCCTGCCTGTCTGCCTGAGCTGACATTTGAAGAACTCATAGAAGATTTAGAAAGAAATTAGTTTGTCCAAGATTTTTTTCCAAGTTACAAATTATTTGCCTTATTCCATATTGCAAGGTAAGGCAATTTGTTTAATGTTCCCAATTTTTCATTTTTTACAACACTACAAGATTTGTTTTAATATTAAATATTATGCATCTTTTACTCTGATTGTGATATTTTAATTAATAGGGCTTACTTCTTTCAAGCTTAGACATTTAACAGTTTGCCCAACTCAAACCTGTAAAGAGAGCACAGGCAAAGTAGTACATACTGGATGGTAATGTTGAATGACTTCCAGATAAAAGGAACATATGGCTGATATCACATCTTCTGCCCATTCCTTCCATGAGTATAGATGTTCTTAGATTTGTGGCAGCCAACTTTCAACCATGATAAAACAAAACAAAAGGCTCTCAAAGTTGCTACTTCTGACATATTTGATTAGCCGATGTGTATTTAACCCATTTATACTTGAGGTTGTAATTTTTTGAATTTTTTTAATCAGACTTTGGCGATGACCTTGAGCAGTAGGATGTAAATAACTCCCACATGCTTAGGGTTCCAGTAATGGAACACTAGGCATAAATGGGTTCTTACCATGTGAGAAACAAACAAACAACTAACAATTGTGTGTTTGGCAAGCGTGTTGAGAAGGGTACTCCTACAAAACAAGTTGGAAGAAAGAGAGGGAGCTATTTTAGGCAAAAAAAACTTTTGTTAAGGCAGCTGGAGTTAATTAAATCTCATGTTGGCCTTATTTATTTGATTTCTTCTCTCTACACCTCTCTCTTTCAACTTAATGTTGGCTACCTTGAACTTAACTGGCTTGAATGGGAGGACCACACCCTTAATTTGATTTCTCCTGAGTCATTTCATTAAATAAAGACCTTTTACTGGGATTTATTCTTCAAAATCTTTTAAAATGCCATTTCTTACTGTGTCTAGGAAACAATTTCAGTGTGGTTACTGGCTCACAGAACATGGAACTGACTAGAAGAAAAAAATTAGAAGTTCACTGAGTATTTAAGGCAATTGATTTCCCCTCAAAAAACACAACATTAGTTTAGAAAGTCTTTGATTGATGGAATCAATGCAAACATTGGAGCTCCAAATTTTCATGTGTAGAATGCAGCTTCAAAGATTTAAGAGCCTTCATAGAGGGCGTGTTCCTCAATACCTACTTTAGATAGATATCCTCCTCAAGGGCCAAGGAGAACTGTGGATGAAGGAGTTCCTCAATCACAACAGAATCAGAGTTAGATCAAGAAAACACCCCTCCTCCCTGACCCCAGAGCAGGGGCCAGCACAATGTTTCCCTAGTGACAACCACATACCACTCATTCTTCCTCTTTCTGAATGAAGGTGTTTATTGAAGTTATCCATCCTTGTTCCACCACTGAACATATTGAATATTGAGTACAAGTGGGGAAAAGAAATGTCATTTTAGTCAGTTGGACATTGAACCATACATAGTCATTTATAGACTTGATTGCAGAAGACTAAGCATCACCTGAGATCTCAGATTCTATGATTGAAGAGAATTTTGGAGGGTAGTGCACCTCTACATGGGTCATGCATTGCTTCTCAATTTTAGGGACATAAGTTTAGTTGTAGGTCTAGAATTAAAGGGGGGTGGTGAGGGTGAGTCCCGAGAAGGTTCAGTATTGTCTTGCATGGCAGTTGCCTCAAAGGAGGTAATTACTGTTTCCTCAGGCAATGCAGGGTTAATTCTCTCAGACAGAGGTAGAAAGGCCAATACCACTGTGACTGGGGATACCACTGCCATTGGGGGTGGAGTGATCACTTCCACTGGGTTTGGGTAGGCCATTTCTGATGAGGGTGGAGATGCCAGTTCTGCTGGGAATGGGGAGGCTGCTTCTACTGACAAAGAAGACTCGTCAGAATTTAGGGGCTCAATGTCCCCCATTTCACCTGGATCTTCCCACATATCCCCATCCCAACTTACAAGATGCCATTCTTTCCTTTTCAGTACCTTGACTTTAACATAGACTCCCTGAGAGGCTGGAAATTAACTCGTGTTGAAATTTAGCCAGTTATTGGAAGAGATTCTGTGTTTGATTTTCAGCAATTTCAGCCCTGCATTATAGGAGATAGAGGTCTCCCTCAGGACACAGAAAGAAGCTCTTAGGTTATTTATGAGGCACCAGAGCTGGGAATTTGAACCCTTGAGTGCATCTTTTACTTGCGTCACTTTTTCCAGCAACATTAGAACCAACCAGCCAATGTCATTATATTCATTTGTTTTCTAAAAATGTTAGAAAGTATCACATATAGAGTCATCCAGCTTCTTGCTTCATATAAGTAGTTGACAACGAGTATCCGATATCAATATTTTACATATCTCTGTTGCCAGACTGTACCATGAACTATCCATGCTCTCTTTACTACTTGAAAGAGAGTCCTGGACAGGCACGGTGGCTCACACCTGTAATCCCAGCACTTTGAGAGGCCAAGCTGGGTGGATCACCTGAGGTTAGGAGTTCATGACCAGCCTGGCTAACAAGGTGAAAACCCATATCTACTAAAAATATTTAAAAAATTAGCTGGGAGTGGTGGTGGGTGCCTGTAATCCCAGCTACTCGGGAGGCTGAGGCAGGAGAATCACTTGAACCCAGGAGGTAGTGAGCCAAGATGGTGCTGTTGCACCCCAGCCTGGGCAACAAGAGTGAAACTCCGTCTCAAAAAAAAAAAAAAAAAAAGAAAAGAAAAAAAAAGAATGATGTCTCAGCTCAGGCAGGCAGGGAGGAGACAAAGCATTGTTTCCTCCAATATGTTCTATTTTTGTTCCCTTAATAGATTGGACGGTGCCTGCCAACATCACTATTTTACTGAGTTCATGGATTCAAATACTTATCTTATTCAGAAGCGTACTCATACTCTGGTCATCCCGTGGCCTAGTTGACACATGAAATTAACAACTATACAGTCTCGTTTATATTAAATAAATAATATATATTTAAATCTATTTTATCTTATTTCATAAACTACAAATCATACGTTATATAATAAAGCATTTTTTTATTATTGTGTTCTTTTACAACCAAATTATCTAAACCCTGGAAATAGCTTTTATCCAAAGTTGGTCATGTCTCTGGCCTCAGGTTTCTAATTTATATTGCTGAAGTAGAAAGCTCAAGCTGTGTTGCTTTATGGTCTTTAGGCCACTGTGAGACATAGAAGACTAAGCAAATAGCATCTTCACTTCAGCCCCATTTTTAAATATGAGGCCGAATAATGATGATATGAGGGGAGTCGTTATGTGTCCTGTAGCCTTGATAGTGATGCCAAACCATCAGAAATGGAATCCTTGGAGGACCAAGGTCTTGTACCTCCTATGCCTAAAGCTTTCTATTAGGTGTTTAATGTATATATAAATATATAGCAGGGTAAAATGGGACTTTCTTTCTTTTTTTTTTTTTAATTGAGATAGGGTCTCGCTCTGTCACCCAGGGTGGAGTGCAGTGATGCAAACTCAGCTCACTGCAACCTCTGCCTCACAGGCTCAAGCGATACTCTCACCCCAGCCTCTCAAGTAACTAGGACCACAGGTGTGCCCCACCACACCCAGCTAATTTTTTGTATTTTTGGTGGAGAAGGGGTTTTGCCATGTTGCTCAGGCTGGTCTTGAACTCCTGAGCTCTAACGATCCACCCACCTCAGCCTCCCAAAGTGCTGGAATTACAGGCATGAGCCACCAAACCCAGCCATAGATGGGACTTTTTTGTTGTCTTGGAAGTTCATCTGAAGTTCTGACCTGAGGACAGTATTTGATGACTACCCCCACATTTTAGAAAAAGCTTCTGAACCATACTCATGTATGTACAAATGTTAGCTCATCATCCATTTCCATGCTATGTAAAAAAAAGACTAGAAATTGATCAGTGACAAAGGAATATAATTTAATATATTTTAAATTACATATATTATTCTGTTCATGTATATTATTGATATGTATCTATGTATTGATATATATTCTATTCATATATGTTGTGTATATATATTATTCTATTCATATGTATTAACCAATTATATATGTATATAGTTGACCCTTGAACAACATGGATTTGAACTACACAGATTCACTTATATGCAGATTTTCCTCCACCTCTGCTACCCCTAAAACAGCAAGACCAACCCCTCCTCTTCCTCCTCCTCAGCCTACTCAATGTGAAGATGACAAGGATGAAGGCCTTTATGATGATCCACTTGCATTTAATGGATAGTAAATCTATTTTCTCTTTCTTATGCTTTTCTTAAAAATATGTTCTCTATTGTTAAGAATATAGTATTTAATACATATACAAAATATGTGTCAATTGACTGTTAATGTTATTGATAAGACTTCCCGTCAACTGTAGGCTATTAGTAGTTAAATTTCCGAGGAGTCAAACTTCTATGTGGAATTTTATTTGTGTGAGGGGTCAGCACTGTTAACCTTCATGTTATTTAAGAGTAAACTATCCCTGTGTGTGTGTATGTGTATGTGTGTGTGTGTGTGTGTGTTGTCAGAGCTGAGATTGAGACTGATTTACTTCTCCTGAATCTGGACTTTTCACCACTGCTCTGTATTGCTTCCTTTGTCTGAAGTGCCTCTACAGAGAGCAATCAAAAATGGTAGTGCAGAAAAATAAAACTGTTTTCTGACTGCACCCCATTGAGTTCAGCCCATTTAACTGAATTTTTAGGTATGCATGAGAATGTGATGTCAGTGATAACTGACAAGGATCAGTGATAACCATAAAACTGGAGATAAAATAATCATGGTTCTGGAAATATAGATCTGGTATAATACCAAAAAACTAAGAGAACAAATGAATTTCTTAAGGAGTGGATACAAGATGTTCAAGTCTGAATCTGTTGATATATTTGCTGTTAATCAGCATGAATCGCTATAGAATGGGGAGAAGTAATGGCAATGGGCATGCTGTAAGAACAAAGAGCTCTGAGAAGAAAAGGAAAGTTGAAGAACATCCTTGGAACCAAGGCTTACTAGAAGAGGCATCAATTTCATTAAGAAAAAAAAAGGATGCTAGTGCAAGTAATCATGAATAGGCTTTTGTGAGTTCTTTTCCATTTTTTTTAAAGGACACAGATTTTGTCTTGTTAAAATCAATTTCCTGACCATAGAATTTGAGTTTCTTTAATTTCAAGGGCAAAATGATAGTCAAGTTCAAATAAAATAATGTTTTCTTTCAGGCTGTATCTAGACTAAGCCGGACATTTGGCTAGACCTTATCTGAACCACATCCAGCAATGGCAAATAACCCTGGTATATGTGGTGCTGTCTTGTTTTATTACAAATAACTTGCCTTTTATGGCTCATAATTGTGGGCTTCTCCAAAGAAGCAAAAGGGTATCTGAGGCTTTTCCTGATAGGGATAAACATAATTGAAAATAAATCAAGACCTTCCTTTTCCCCAGTGAAATGAGTCCAGTGTTGCAAGTCTGGGTCAGAAACTAGGTTTATGACAGGGTGTCCCAGATGTCTCTGCAGCTTCCTCCTTGCATCAGATGCCAGCATCCAGTGACTCGATCCAGATGGTTGCTGATCTGTGCAGCAGATCCTCCCACTGTGTCTCTTCCTGGGTAGCCATTGCTTGGGTTGTACTGTGGCTTTCTGAGCTCACGTGCCACATCCTCACAGACTAGGGAGGGAAAGAAAGGTCAGGTTGCTACCTTATAAAAGTGGGACTGCCACAACTTGAGATTAGATCCATGGAATAAATGTACTGGATTGTTGAGAGCATAAAATGACAAACTAGAGCAAATAAGCACTGATGAAGCACATTTCTCCTACTTTTTTGTTGGTTTGTTTGTTCTGTGCTTATTCCTCAAATGTCAGGTTCACTTTGTTCACTTTCACTTTGAAGGAGCTGGCCTCCTTTCTGGGTGATTTCAAGGCAATAGCTTTTAAGCTTTTTTATTTTTGTTTCTTTGTTTTGTTTTTTAAACTGCAGATGCGGTCAAAAAGGTTTTGCTTTATTACTTTGTTATTCTCTATTTGGAACAAGAAATATAAACTTTTCCAATACTTTTTATAAGTATTTATTTTAAACACGTAGACTCACTGTGAAGGTATCCCTTTCCCATAGCACACCACCACCACTGAGAGGAGCCTGCAGTAGAAAATGAGAATGGCAGAAGGCAGGCTATATCTTTCCCTAATTAGCTTAGAATGGTCCTAATTTAGAGGAACAAAGTCCACACCCTGAAACCTAATGAATTTAGCTTCACAGTGAGCTTCTCGTGGCTTTAGAGTCTTTAGTTCACTATATTGTTATGATAAGGCAAGCTATCATATGTGATGAGTGCTTATCTTGTACCATATTAAAGAACATTGTCTAAAGAAATCATGAACTTAATGCTTCTAGTGCCTGAGTTGCTTGCTCATCTTTTACATTTTCCTAGATATCCCCAAGAAAGTTTTTTCTTACATGCACTACTTCAAGTACCTTACTGGAGTAGTCTAAAAGAGGTACCCGAAGAGGAGTCCAAATTAGCCAGGCCTAATTATAGAGCTCTAAAAGGTATTGTAAATAAATAGGTCAATTTAGTGAATTTTCTATAAGAACTCTACTTGTCCTTTGATTCTCAGTGTTTGAACAAATTCATGTTTTCCTGCATAGAGACAAAAATCCATGCACAGATTGGTAAGTCCCAAGTTCTGATCAATTATTCAGGGTTCTGTCTGCATATCTCTTCGAAACGCTACCTTCTTAACTAGAATCCTAAAGGAGGATCATGAGGAACACACAAAAGAGATGTTGAACATTCTTTGAAAAAGCTTAACTTTTTATAATGATTTAAGTGAAAACAAATCAGAGACACATGGATTACATTTGCCTTGGAATACACATGGGTTTGAAGAACTAAGAGAAAAAAGGCTTGGCACGTTGTGGTTGGGTATTACTGATTGCAAAACATTTGGGGAAAATATTTAGGGTTTTTTTTTTTTTTTTTTTTTTGACAATCACCAAAAGTGACCAAGCTAACTCATTTGCTCCCACCTCCTTTGCCTGTAGGATTGGCCTAAAGTTGGGAGGCATTTGAGGTGAGAGAATACAGGAGACTCTGTATTTCTTTGTCAATAAATGAGCCTTGCCCTGTCTTTTTATTCCCCCATCTTTACCTCTCTTCCACCACATAAGGGAATGAATAATTACTTACTTTGAAAAGTGAAATAGTTCTGGGACAGTGTGTCTTAGAGTTAAGTAAATTCACATTGTATTGACCTCTATAGATCCCTGGGGGTGGAGGAGGGAGGGGCGATAAATCCTTATAGAGCCTGGTGGACTGAATAGCTTAATAGAATCAGTTGTCTTTTAGTTGTATTATGTGGTTGTTAGCTGCATTGTGCCTTGCTGCCAACTCTTCCTTCCTTCCTTCCTTCCTTCCTTCCTTCCTTCCTTCCTTCCATTTCTTCCTTCCTCCCTCCCTCCCTCCTTCCCTCCCTCCCTCTCCCGTCTTCCACAAATACCTATTGAGCACCTATTATGTACAAGGTACCATGCTGAGTACTGCCAGGAGCTGAAGATTTGATCTTTAGGTATTTCTCAGTGGTGACAAGCTTAGTATAAACATGTGTTAGGTAAGCACTAGGTTGGGTGTTTTGAGGTTTCATTTCTTTTAGTATTTGCATATGATAATGGATGATCTATTATTTGCTGTCTTGGTATTCATCAAATCTTCATTTATGTGGTGTTTCGGCCAGATAAACCTCTTTGATAGACATATTCTATAGTAGAAGAAACTAATTTATTCTTAAATAGGTGGTCTAATTCTATGTACTTCAATAGTGTTCTAAATGTGGATCTGAAGGCAGCAAGCCATCCCACGGTATTGTCACAAAGGATATTATGGCCTAACATCTTAAAGCTTAGCATTTTAAACTCTACTGCAGTAACCCCTCATCCTCCCATTCCTCATTACCAAGGTCATGGGAATTATAACTTTAAAAAAGTAAGAGCAAAAACAAGCTAAAGAAATAAGAGATGATACATAGCTTATAATAAGAAAGACAATTGTAAGCAGCCTATTATCCCAAATTAAGATCAGGTAGATTTGTCATTACAAAGCAGATAAGTCTACTTTTCTGCCCTCAAGTACTGCATACACAGAATTTAGAAACAAAGGCTCCTGGAAGTGTAGAGTCAATTTTTTAGGTATTTTGCAGGGGATCTTATGATTCTCTAAATTTATTAGGCCTGTAGAAATAGAATTCATACAGTTTTAAAGTCTGACCCACTGGGTTATGAGGGCTGGAAAATTGACCTTTATTTACTTAGTCTTAACAGTAAACATGATAGAATGAGCTGCTTACAGCTGGTTGGGGAGCAGGCAGGTAGTGAGGCTTTCCAGAACAAGAGAACATCAAGACCCTGTGAGAAAGTCAAAAAGAACTTCTCAAAGGACATGACTGTTCTACTATCTCTAGTGGTGTCTCTGTTCTTGCTTTTCTTTCTCCTCTTTCCAACAGATGGTCCCCATTGGACAAATATCTCTTTGCTTAATGGTCCAGTCAAATTTTGCAATAAGTGAAAGGTGCTGCCAAACATTTGAATGATGAGTTAGACACTTGAAAAATAATTTGCTTACCCTTTCCCTGTCTCAGAAGAACTTTGTTTTCATGACTTTGTAAGATGTTGGATGATGGCAAAGAAATTTTGTTTGCTTTTATGGTCTCTTCACATTTTAATTCATTAAAAGTCACCAACTAGATATAGAATCTATATTATGTGCTCCTCAAACTTTTAGTTAAGCCAAGATGAGTTGATTTTTAGTTCTATTTGAAAGTTTTTAAGGCTTTAAGGATTAAATTCAAATCTCAGTAGAAAATTCTATCTTGCACGTTTTTTGTAAAAAGCTGTGAGAAAACATAGCAACCATTCCTTGGCAGTATTTCATAGAATCAACTATATGTGACACTTTTCACTATTGCATCTTCTTCATCTACATACCATCCGTGGTCCAGTCTCTTTACAGCAAAAAAGAAAAGGAAAAGTAAAAGTTCATAAATAGTTATCTATTTATTGGCAAAATGTAAGACTTGTAAAAAAATGACTACAGAATTGATGAATTTTTCTAATGGTTCATCCAGAGTTTTAAGAAAACACAAAAATCACTGTTCGTTGTGATGTCCACTGAGGCTTATAACTATCACTTATTTGTAACAAACCATGCTTTTTTAAGGCCTATAATTTTCTCTCAGATAATGTTAGTAAAAACTCTTCAGAATATATACACGCTCTTTAAGTCTATTTCTGAGTTCTTATTCCAGTTAAACGGGTTTATCAGAAAACAGATGATGCATGCAAAACACCAAATATATGGGAAAAGCAATTAACATTCTTGAGGAAGATGATATGGACAATTTTAGGTAAAAAAATCTTGCTACAATCATTGAATACATAGGTGGTCAATAAATATTTGAGTTAATCCTAGATGTATGTGTCTGAATGTGTATTAGTTATCTATTGCTATATAGCAAATAACTCTGAAACCTAAGAGCTTAAAACAGCAAACACAGATTATCTCACTTTCTATGGGGCAGGAGTTGGGTGTGAAGGATCTGCGTGGATTTGGCTCAGTCTCTCGTCAGAGGAAGCTGTTAGCCTGAGCTACAGTCATGCTACCCTGAAGATTCAAATAGGGGAGGATCTGATTCCAAGCCCTGGCTGTTGGTCAGAAATGGTATTTTTTTTTAACCCTGTGGGTCTCTTCCTGGACTGCCTGAGTGTCCTTATGACATGGCAGTTGGCTCCCCTATGCAAATGAAATGAGAGAGAGTGAGAGAGAGAGCACAAGCACACACTTAAGATGAAAGCTGCAGTTTCTTATACCCTAATCTGAGAAGTGACAGGACCATCACTTTTGCTGTATGCTGTTGTTCATACAAAAAAACCCTGCTACGTGTGGGGAGAACTACACAAGGGTGTGAATCCCAGCAGGTGGGTCTGAGCTGGCATCCACAGTTTGTATGTGGGGTGAAAGTAGCAGGGTGTGCTTTTTCACTACAGACATGTGCTTGTCAATGTTTATTTTCTTTCCCAACTATCTATTTTCCAGGTCATTAATCCTTTACGAACATTATTTTTAAAACTCTTTTCTTCATTGGTGTTGGGAATAATGCTCAAAATCCTAAGGAGATTGAACACTCAAACAAAGGATTCTTAGCAAAGCAATTTTACTTCTGCACAGAGGGGTGCTTCTCCTTGCCCAGTCGCCATGAGAGCACACCTGAACAAAGAGGCACAAGAGCCTTTATTCCTGATGCAAGTCCTGCCCCTGTACCCTTTCCCCATTGGCTGTGGCCGGGTCACATAATCTGAACTAATCCCCGTTGGCTAGACATTTGAACTTTCTTTAGATAAGGTGGGCACGTAAGGGAGAGAGGGGAAAAGGGGAAGGGGTGTCTGCAATGAGCTAGAGAGCTAGTCTTCTTTCCAAAAAAGGAAAGGAATGTGAGCTGGTACTGATAAGCCTGGTACTGTGACGTCCCCGGGCATGTAGCAAAGGCAGAAAGGAGAAAAAGAGAAAAAGGAAAATGGGGTTGGGGGGGGGCACTATGTATTAAAGAATAAATGATCGATCAGGCTATTTGAAGAGAAACCGCACCATATCCCACAGCTTTCCCCTTCTTCTTTTTATAACTCTTTCTCTACAAATCTTTTTAGCATAATTTGGCTCCATTGTTCTACTTGGTCTTCTAGAAGGAAAAGCTCATTTGAATGAGGGGGAGGAGGATCATAAGAGGTTTTAGTGAGAGCTGTTTCAATAAGTCTTTGTATTAATCCTCAGGCACAGGGTATAATACAGCATCCTACAAGAATAAGCAACCCTATTCTGATGGCCAGAGAGATGAGGATTGAGGACATAAATCCCTTTCATCTACCGAACCAATTTCCCATTAAATTTGTGAAGGGATCTTTTAGTCCAGAATTTTTGGCTAGCTCCCTTGATAAGGCAGTAAGACCTTGTAATGCTTTAGTTATGGTCCCACCAGGAGCAGTATTATTAGGGATATAAGTACAGTATTGGGTCCCGATCATGACACAAACTCCACCCTCCTTTGCTAGTATCACGTTTAATGCTATTCTATTTTCCCAGGCCATTTGGCTGGTGGGTCCTAATTGTTCAGCTATCCCTTTAATAACATCTCTAGTATAATTAATAAATTGTTGTTGATTGTAGTAAATGTAATTTATCCAATTCACATTTTTATTTACAGTTAACCACCAGAAGAACGTAGATTCAAATCTGGCAGTTATTTGACTTTGGGCCTTAAATTCATTTGGCACTCCTCTTGGGACCCCAGTGGCATCTATATAAACATGAGAACTGAAGGACCAATGAGGGGTTTCCCTTGTCTGACGGTGTTTGGTTCCTATCCTTTCTGGTTGATGAAACGCCAGGGTGAAAGGGATGGCCAATTGAATTAGAGTACAAATTCCACTCCAGTTACTTGGCAGAGTGTCCAGTATTGGTCCACCATGATACCACCACACATCTGCTCAAGGATGGCTAAGGGCAGACTGATGGGTAAGCTCTTGGAAGGGCTTAAGCTCACTGCATCCTGTTAAGGCCCCCAGGAATGCCAAGTTTTCTCCCTGTCGTGAGAGACACAAAGTAAAATTGGCATTGGGAGATGGATGCTGAATGGCCCTTGGGGGCTGACCTGCAGGGAACAGCAGGGAACAGCAGAGAAAGAGCTTGGCATGATTTGTTGCCCCAGGCTGAGGGGTTTTGGAAGAGAGCTACCATACAGCTCATGCCCAGTCAGCTGGAAGACCATCCAAGTGGAAAGGGGACACTCTGGGCCTCTGGTCTACCATGCACACAAGCATAACATTCACTTTTGTTTAAAGTGCAGATGGAATATTTAATCCATTCCAGCCAAGCATTTGCTTCTTGATATACTGTCTCTAGAGCTATAGTTTGCCTTAAGTTTTCTACTTTCGCAACTGTTACCTTGGTTGGATCATTTTGGAGATGGGAGGAAGACATTGGACTCGCTATACTTGGGGAGAGTGTTGGGTTCCATGTGTCTCCTGGACTCTGGGTCTGAACTCCTTTATTATTATTAACTAGTGGTTTAACTAACCTTATGGAGAAGATTCCTATAGGGTCCTGTCCTTCAAAGTCTGCTCCTAACCCATACCGTTCAAATATAGAGAGTTCTTGGGCCATTGTCCAGGGATTATTTATTACCAGCAACAAGGGGTTACAGTGCAATGGCTTACAATTTGGTGGGCTGGGACCACGAACTACTTGGAGTTTTCATTTTAGTCCCTGTAACCTATTTGAAGCAGGGGGCTTGGCTGTCCACCCTTTGTACTTAGTGGTCCACCAAACATCTGCCCAGTCACTACAGGGACCTTTTAAAGCTCTATACTTATACTTGGTTGACTCTTTGCAGTATGGACATAGATACTTACCAAAATGGGATAGCTTCCTTGAGCTTGCTCATCTCCGCATGGGATGACTGAACAGGCGTCAAGCTGAAGGGTTAAAGGATGGCTAGCCTGAGTTACATTGATGACAAGATGACCTTATGTGGAAAAGAAAAAAAAAATAAACAAGTGATTATGAAGCTCTTTTTAGAGTTAGTTTGGTGTGGGTGAGCCCTGGAGTGACAGTCCATGATTCTGGAGGTGGTGGCGCCTTTTGACTTGGGTGTGATAAGTCCGTCCTCTTTCCACTGCTCAGACTGCAGTCTCAGTACTTAGGAAAACAAGGTCCTTCACAAGGTGGTTCGAGTTTCCTTTCTTTCCACCCTTTGATGAGGACATAGTCTCCAGGCTGATGCTGATATGCTGGAAACTCCAGGTGTGGCACCTGTGCTAGGAGACCTTTAGTCTTAAGGAAAGAGAAAGTAGAGTCTAGAGCAAGTATATAATTTTTGAGGAACTGGTCTTTTGTTTCAAATGTAGGGATGTCAGCATTGGAGTGTAAGTAGGGCAATCTATAAAGCGTTTCATAAAGGGAAGGCCAATATCTCTCCGAGGGGCAGTCTTGATTCTTAACAAAGCAATAGGAAGACATTTAATCCATGGCAATCGAGTTTCTAAAGCTAACTTAGTTAAGTAGTTTTTTAGAGTCTGATTCATCCACTCTATTCCTCCTGAGGAGGATGGATGTCAAGGGGTATGGTATTCCCAATTTATATCTAGTACCTGGGCTAACTTCTTAATGACATGTACAGTGAAATGGGTTCCATTTTCTGAATCAATATTTTCTACTAGTCCAAATCTGGGTGCAATGTTTTCAATTAACACCTTAACTACATTACTGGCGGTTGCACTTGAGAATGAGATAGCCTCTACCAAGTGGGTAAAGTGGTCTATTATTACTAATAAGTATTTTAAATGACCAATTGGGGGCATTTCAGTATAAACAATCTGGACACTTTGAAATGGTCTTAGCCCTGGATTCCTTCCTCCAAGGGGTGATTTCCTTAGAATCTGCTTATTAGTCTTTTTACATATTAAGCAACTATCTACAACTTGTTTAGCCAGGGTGTAAATTCCTATACACCCATAAACCTGGAGAACTGCATTGCACATTGCTTGGGGTCCCCAGTGGTTCCCCTGACGTAATAGACACAAGACCTCCCTCATGAGAGGTTTTGACATCTCCGTTTGATCTGGTGATATCCATTTCCCTTCTGCATTCTCTTTAGTTCAATGGAAGAAAAAATGGAGGTTGCAGTAGGAGAAGGAAGGCATGGAGTTAAATGAAAAACAGGCGTTTGAGAAGAAATGGCAACTTGCTTTGCTATCTGATCTGTGAGATTATTTCCCTGACTTGTGAAAGACAAGTCCCTTTGATGCCCTGGGACATGCACAATAGCTATCTCTTCTGGCAATTGGAGACTGTTAAGGACATGGGCAATTAGTTCTCCATGAACTAAATCTTGGACTCTACTATTGATAAGACCCTTCTCCATCCAAATTTTTCCAAATGTGTGTGCCATCCCAAAGGCATTCTTAGAGTCAGTATAGATACTTCCTTCTTTGTTTTGTAAATGTTCTAAAGCTTGGTTGAGTGCAGACAGTTCACATGTCTGGGCAGACCAATTGTTAGGCAGTCTTCCTGATTCTACTTCTTCAAGCATTTCTCCATCAATCACTGAATACCCATTATGTCTTTTCCCTTCAATTACCTTGGACGGCTCATCTATGAATATATTAGTGCCACCCTGTTTTGAAGGGAGTTTCTCCTAATTCTGGTCAAACTTTTGTATGGTAATCAATAAGATCTAAACAGGCGTGCTCTCTTTTTAATTTTGGATTCCCTGTTAAAAAGCCTGCTGGATTAAGTGAATTATCAGTAGTTAATATTAAATCATCTTTTTCCAGTAGGATAGCCTCATATTTTAAAATCCTTGAGTCAGTGATCCACCTTCCTGCTTTCTGATTTAAAATAGTTCTAACTTGCTGGGGTGTGCCTACTGTTAATTTTCCTCCAAAGGTTAATTTCCTACTTTCTTCAACTAATACTGCTGTAGCTATGATGGACTGGCTACATTGGGGCCACCCACGAGTGACTGGGTCTAAGACCTTTGACAAGAAGGTCATGGGCTGTCAACAGACTCCATGCTCTTGGGTAAGCACTGCTAGAGCTACCCCATTATTTACGTTAACAAAAAGGTGAAATGGCTTTTCTAGGGAGGGTAGAGCTAGAACAGGGGTGGTTATGAGCATCTCTTTTAATTCCTCAATTTGCTGGATTTCCTCAGCAGCCCACAAGAGGCAATCAGGCTTCCACTGGGCAAGTTTCTCATATAGAAGTTTACTTTTTAATGCATATGAGTCAATCCATAAATGGCAATATCCAATTAGTCCTAAAAATTTCCTGAGTTCTTGTTTAGTTTGAGGCAGGGGTAGGGAAAAAATTCCCTCCACTCTTTCGGGTCCTATTCTTCATTTACCTGCACTGATTAGGTGACCTAAGTATTTAACTTCAGGTTCTATATATTGAAGTTTCTCTTTTAAGATCCACAACCCCTCACATTGCAAGTGATTGAGAATATGTATAGAGAAGTCACCTACTTCCTTTATATCTTTACCAGATGTAAGAAGATCATCCATGTACTGAAGCAGACATATCTGCTTAGGGACTGTGACTTTCTCTAGCACTTGTTCTAGGATCTGACCAAAAAGGTTGGGGGAGTCTGTGAACCTTTCAGGCAAGACTGTCCATTGATATTGTTATCTCCACCCTGAATGGGGGTCTTCCCACTCAAAAGCGAATATATCTCGGCTATCCTCAGCCAAGCAGCATGCCCAGAAGGCATCCTTTAAATCTGTCACTGTAAAACCACTGATGATAGTATGGAATTTTGCTAAGAATGGTGTAAGGGTTAGAAACAGTGGGGTGAGTGGTCTGGACTATTTGATTAATAGCTGTAAGGTCTTGCACTAATTGATACAACCCATCTGATTTCTTGACAGGCAGGATTGGAGTATTGCAAGAAGACATACAGGGTTCAAGAAGCCCATCTTCAATGAGACCCTCAATTACAGGCTTTAGCCCTACTCTGCCCTCTTAGTTTGATATTTATTGGAGGGATTTGGAGTTTCCCTTGATTTCCTTCCTTTGACCACACATCAGGATGAATATATTTCTCATCCACAGCAGTAAGTAAATGTAGTGAAGAGAGGAATCCTTTAGGACCCACTTGAAGCCTTATACCTAGCCTTAGCATGTAGTCCCTTCCTAGTAGATTAGTTCCTGCTTCAGTAATTAATAAAAATTGAAAATGAGTAAATCGATCTTGATATCTGACTTCTGTGCATTCTAAAATTTTTGGCTTAAATCCTTCTCCTTTTACCCCAGAGACTAAAAGTTCTTCTGAAGAGCAGGTAAGACCAGGTGGAGGGAAACAAACAGAGGAGCATGAAGTCCCTGAATCAGGTAAAAAGGTGATAAATTCATGTTTAGGTCCCACCTCCAAATTTATCAAGGGCTCCTGGTGGGGCTCAAAATAAAAGAGGCAGAGCCCCTGACTCCCCTATTGTTCTTCCAAAGTCATGAGTGTGAAAGTTTCTCTCTCTTTCTTTAGTTCAGGACATTCCCTCTTGAAGTGGCCTGTTCTTCCACATCTGTAATATCTATCTTGTCCTTCCTCCTTCTCAGTCTTAGCATTCTCTGCCCTTGCTCCCCTATACCCCTTAGGGGGCTTATTAAATGAGGGCCTTGACCCTCCAGATGGAGGCTTGGATCCTCTCAAGGAGGGTTTAGGCCCCTTATAATCTCTGGCCCCTTGAAAGCCTTGCTTAGGGATATGCGGATTTGGAGCTATCTGTTGGAAGGTGGATAACATAAGTTTTGTCTTTTGTTTTTGTTTTTCCTTGTCTCTTCTTGCATATACTTTTTGAGCCTCCCTGAGCAATTCACTCAGGGGATGGTCCTCCCAATTTTCTATCTTTTGTAATTTTTTTGAAATGTCTGGCCAACTTTTAGTAACAAAGTGAAGTTTTCACATTCCTTGTCTGAGGGGTTTTCCAAATCAAGGCCTGCATGCTGTCTCGTTTGCTCCCTCAATCTATTTAAGAATCCAGTGGGTTCCTCATCTTTTTCCTGTTGAATATCAAATGCTTTAGAAAGATTTTGAGTTTGGGGTACTGATTCTTGAATTCCTTTTATTATCATCTCCCTTAGGTCCTGCATATTTTCCCAGTGATTTGCATTGTTACTGTCCCAATGGGGGTCTTGAGTGGGAAATTTATAGCCCACAGAAAGAACATTTTGACCAGGAGGGTGCTCACGTTCCCAAAGTGCCATAGCAGCCCTCCGAATCATACTTCATTCTTCCTCAGAAAAGAGGATGCCCAAGATGGACATCAACTCAGCCCAAGAGTATATGTGAGGCCCTAGAAATTGATGAGTTTGATCTGCTACTTCATAAGGGTCATCCAGTAGTGGCTTAGGCTCTTTTTAAAATACCTGACTTCCGAACTAGTCAAGGGGGCGTTCACAAAGCCAATAGCCCCCCGCCCCATCCTTGTGGTACCTCTCTTAGTGGAAAGAGTCAGATCTGGCTCTCTAGGTGTGGAGAGAAATGGAAAGTTTTTAATATCCTTTTTACATTGCTCTATCTCACGTTGAAGCTCCTTTAATGAGGGATACTTAATAGGTTGGTGGGGGCAGGCTCACAAGATGGTTATTCCGCAAAGTCGGGATTATAGGGAGGAGGAGCAATATGAGTAGAGGCACCACAAGTGGGTGAGGGATCCATAGCAGCAGCTGGGGGAATAGAACACCGGCAAGTAACACAAGTAAGGCAGTGGCCTGAAACGGCTAGGGAGTAACCCAAAACCACAGCCGGAGGGAAGGCACAGGCTGGGGAGTGGCCTGGAACAGAAACCGGGGGAGCGGGATCGGAAAAGCTGGAAGAGGGATGCAAGCACGGGAAGTACCTGAAATGGGAACCGGAGGGGCGGGATCAGGGACAGCAGGAAGAGGAAGCAGGGGAGGGACCTGAAACGGAAACCAGAGGAGCGGGATCGGGGGCACTGAATGGAGGAAGATGATCTAGACCCACGTGTTAGTGGGTGTGGGTTGTCTAGACACCGGTCTTTCCCTTCTAGAGAGGTTGGTTTTTGGCTTTCTCCCTCTAGATTCTAAAGAGTAAAGGAGGACAGGCCCCTGCTGCCAACAGAGGGCGTAAACGATTTCTTCCTGGGAGACAGGACTCTTATCCTTAACACGCTCGATTAAGAGCTGACAAATCTGCTCCTCATTAGACCCAAATTTTGGCCAGAAATGTGAGGGTTTAAGGATGGGTTCTCGAACCCAAATAAAACAACAACATTTTATCATCTACTGTTTTCGTTTATACTTGGTTCTCTCTTTATCTTTCCAGTACTTCAGCATAAGCCCCAAGGGGCTATCAGAAGTAATTTCATCACTTTCTAGACTCTTTAGTTTTCCTGTCTTACTTGAAACATTCCCCATCTTAGAGGTTATTGGTGGGGAGGGGCTACAACCTCTCCTGTTAGAGGTGTCTACCCCCCTCTTTCTGGAGGCTCACTGCAGCTTTTAAGAAGGGGTCCAACCTCTCGTGTTAGAGGTGTCTCACCTCCCCCTTTCTGGAGGCTTACTGAGGCTTTTAAGAGGGAGTCCAACCTCTGGTATTAGAGGTGTCTCACCTCTCTCTTTCTGGAGGCTTAACCTCTCCCATTAGGGGTTTCCTGCATATCCTATAGCTCATCCCTCTGGAAGTTCCTTGCATCTTTCTTTCTCTTTGTCTACTCTGATTGTTCCTGCCCATAGTTGATAGATGGCAGCACAAAACCGCAGAGAAGACTCACTCCACACAACCATAATGCTTAGCCCCATTTACACACTCTCAACCTCCAAATTATCCCAATCACCAAGGAAATACTTTGTCGCCTTTGCAAAGTCTCCTGCCTTATTCTGTGCACAAGAATTACCTGGTCCTCTTATTGCCTCGGTCTTACAAGCATCTCCTCCCCGCTTTGCTGAGAATCCAGATTTATTCGTCACAACGGGTGGGGCCTGATCTCCCTCACCCTTGGGCCACCATAACTATAGACAGTGGGATGCATCTCCCCTGGGTGGGGTGACCGAAGACCCCCTTCCCGAAGTAGAATATTCAAGCCCCAAAGTTGGGCACCAGAATTGTTGGGAATAACACTCAAAATCCTAAGGAGATTGAACACTCAAAGGATTCTAAGCAAAGCAATTTTACTTCTGTGCAGAGGGGTGCTTCTCCTTGGCCAGTCACCATGAGAGCACACCTGAACAAAGGGGCACAAGAGCCTTTATTCCTGATGCAAGTCCTGCCCTTGCACCCTTTCCCCACTGGCCAGGGTCAGGTCGCACAATCTGAACTAATCCCGGTTGGCTAGACATTTGAACTTTCTTTAGATAAGGTGGGCACGTAAGGGAGAGAGGGGAAAAGGGGAAGGGGTGTCTGCAATGAGCTACAGAGCTAGTCTTCTTTCCAAATAAGGAAAGGAATGTGAGCAGTATGGATAAGCCTGGTACTGTGGCATGTCCAGGCATGTAACAAAGGCAGAAAGGAGAAAAAGAAAAATGAGGTGGGGTGGGGGGTACTGTGAATTAAAGAATAAAAGATTGATCAGGCTATTTGGAGAGAAACCTCATCATATCCCACAATTGGTCACAAGCAAGAATTGCTGATATCTAAGTCCTTTACTCTGCCATTTCAAAAAGGTCTTGAGATTTTTGTAGAATTTAACCAGCAGATGGAGCATGAAAACCTATTTAATAACTACTTCCATTGGGTTACATGGAATACTTTCTGCCTTATAGTCTTATAGATTTGGAAGCTGTCTTGGGTTTAACCCTTGTCAGAGTTAGCACTAGAGTCCAGGTCTTAAGACTTCCTGCATTTCCCCCTACACCACCTGCCTCTGATGGAATCACTAGATGTTGCTCGTCCCAAGGGCATTAAACTCAATTCATTTCAATTAGTCATTCAGTTTCCATTGTGTTGCACTCATACAAAGATCATTAAAACAATCCCTGTCCTACAAGAGCTTATGTTCTAATTGAGGAGACAGGTAAGTAACCAGCAATTTCAAGATAGTACGCTAAGGGCCAAGACACCCCAGAACTCAGGGCTGTGATACTGATATGGGAAGGGGACAGGAAAGTGCTGGGCAGAGAAGCACAGGGTCCCTGGCAAGGGTTCCATCCTCGGGCCTGTGCCCATGGACCTAAGTGACGACAGGCACTCCTGTTTTCATGCCCAAATGTTGCATTTTCCAAGACCACTCTGGCTCACCCTGCCCTTCATCCTGTGTCTATAGAAACCCCGAGACCCTAGCAGGCACAGACACAAATGGATGGACATAAAGCGAAACACACCGGCAGAAGAACACACAGACAGACACTGGCAGTACACTGATGGCAGAACAACATGGATGCCGATGGGAATTCAGCAGAGGGTGGTTGGAGGAGATCCTGGCTGCTGAGTGACACCACTCCAGGGGGAACCACTTTCCCACTCCATCCCCCTACTGTCTCCCCATCTATCTGCTGAGGGCTACTTCTACCACTCAATAAAACCTTGCACTCATTCTCCAAGCCCCCAATGTGATCTGATTTTTTTGGAACACTAGGGTAAGGACCCCATGATACAGAAAGCCTCTGTCCTTGCTGTAAGGCAGAGGGTCTAATTGAGCTAATTAAATCAAGCTGCCTGTGGACAGCTAAGCTGAAAGAGCACACTGTATGTAACACATGGCTACTGGGGCTTCCAGAGCTGTAAACACTCAACCCTAGACGCTGCCATGGGGTCAGAGCCCACGCTCCCAGTGGGGGAGGTGGCAGAAGGTGGTGTCAGGGAGCAATTCAGGTAGTAGATACATTGTACATTGAGACTGAATGAATTAGCAGGAATTATCCAGGCAGAGAAGAGTTTGGGTGATAGAAGGACATTCCTAAAAGAGGGAAAACTTGAGGAAAGGTGTAAAGGAGAGAAACCACCTGATGTATATGGGAACGAATAGTTCCTGGTTTATTTCTAGAGCTCAAAAGAAAAATTAAAGTCTCAAATTTACTGAATATAGCTTATACTGTCACTATTAGAGGACAGCTAGCCCTATAATCACCTCATAGCGGTTTGGAGACTTCTTTGTCAGGAGCATATTCAGTCAAGAAATAGGTTTTGAAAACCTATGTGCCAAGCACTGTTCTAAGTGCTGGGAATACAACAATAAAAAACAAAGATAAAATCCCTGTCTCACATGGAACTTACATAGCAAATGAGAAATTACAGAGTAAAAAGGGCTTTGAAGAAAAATAAACTAAGGTAAGGGGAGAGACAGTGCTGAGGTAAAGAGAAGTATAATCTTAAGTAAGGTAATTAAGGGAGACCTTGCTGAAAAGGAAAGACCTGGAGAGATGAGTTGTCATTTAATAGACTGGTTGAGATGATCATAGGCGTCTTGTGAATTATAAGATGATGAAAAAATTATCACAAGTGGAACTGAAAGGACTGTGAATCAGAAATGTCAGAAGAGACAATATATACTATTTATGCAATATGCCATACATATCTTACATACGTACACTATAAAGAGAGTAGGTTTGCCAATACACTGATGTCCAGATGAGGGACAAAGTCTGGATGTTCCATGTTTCCTGAAGTTCATTTTATTGATGCCAAAGTGAAGCGGATGCTTCTGATAATTTCATGCCCATGTTTTAATCATTGCATAATTGATTCATACTTTATTTCATTCAGATAACATTTGTGAGTGTTGATAAGTTCATAGTACTGTATTAAGTGTTCTTATGTGCACTATGTATGGCCAAAAAATGGCCTGGCCATATTTGGGTGTATTTTAAGACTGATTACAAAAAATTATTTAAGATTTTTTTACCTCTCAAAAAGTCTTTAGAAGAGTACATATCATTTTAGAAATGAGAAATGCAAAGAGGAATGTCCTTTTAAATCATCACCTGCTTGTTCCATATATAAATATATATGTGTTTCATATACATGTAGATATTTCCAGAAACATTTTATTCCAAAAAGATACAATGGGCATTGAGCAACTACTGTATCTTTTCATAGTCCATAAAAAAGATGAAAAAAACTTTACGGCTTTGAGTTGCTCACAGTGTAGGGCAAATCATTAAATCATTGCAAGAAATATACACATATTCTCTTTAATGTTTAAACTACATTTGCTTTTCTCTTTTTCTTCCCCTCTCAAAGCTCCATGAAAGGCAGAGACTGTCTTAGTTGGTCATTACTGTGTTTGTAGTATCTTGCTAAATGCCTGGCACCAACACTTAGGAAATGAATAGTGGAACCTATTTGAATTGTTTTCTTTGTTCACTATTTATATGAAAAAATCCATATAAATCAATCTGGAGTGGTTTAGGTAAACCACGGTGTTATGTGCTGGGTATATACTCAATCAAAGATGGTAATAATTGTCCCAATGATTTCAGCTCTGTTTCTACTATTTTTCTGTTTCACTCAGGCTAGGCCTGCTAATTACTTTATACCCAAGTGCAAAACCATTAAAGAGCATGCCTCTGAAACAGCAGGGGTAAGGAGGATAGAAAAGCACACTTGCAGTGTCCCTCTTTGGCTTATGATTTATGAGTCTTTAACTGCCAATCACTCTTGATATGTAAACACATGGTCTTCGTATGTTGATGAATTCAGTTAATTTTATTTGTGTATTTTATTGTGTAATATCCCATTAAAAGACCATATTATATTGACACTAGGGGGATAAATTTGGACAGACTTAGAAAAGAGTGTTTTTTATGATCTCTTTGGGATTTGCTGCTGATGTGGTAATTTGCTGACTTTTTTTTTTTTTGCACCAGAAATACTGTCTCTGCATTGAAATGGCAAAAAGAGAATAAAGTTCAATCATCACTATTTCTTTCCTTGCTGATTTCATGCTACAATTTTAAAATTACAGAGGGATTCAGAGTCACAAGTAACTTCTGAATTAACTCTTAAATCATTAAATTGGACTTCAACATGCATTTTGATTTTTAATGGGAGTTTTTATGAGAGTTTTATTTGTTCAAAGAGGAAAGTGAATGATAAAAGTGATTGAACAATCCTGCTTTTTTATCTTCCTAGTTTCTGGAACCAAAAATTTGGCTTTTATTTTACTAATTAAATCATGAAAAAAAGATATATCTTATTCTTAAACTTGTCCATCTTTTGCTAAGAAACCCTTTGGGAGGTGTGTGTGTGTGTGTGTGTGTGTGTGTGTGTGTGTGTGTGAAGAAGGGGGAAGCAATATTAAAGGATCATCAGATTGTAACAATTAGATTAAATTAGTGAGAAGTCCTCATTTTAGACAATTCTTTCTTTTGCTTTCAAACCATTTACATGAGATTACTGAGGCAAGGTAACAGTAACAACCACAAAAGCAGAGTCTTCTGTTGCTCAGTCTCTGTTCAGTTTTCTGGGTGATATGATTTCTAAATCTTCTAAGCAGATAGACTTTCTAAATCATAATATTGGGATACTAATAGACTCAAATATGCTCTGAAATTATTTGTTTTGGGACTTAAAATGCTTTATTATCTTTAAGAAGAGTTTTAGATTCATGCAAAATTAAGAGAAAAGTACAGAGATTTTTCATATACTAGCTGCCCCACAAATGTACAGCCTCCTCTGTATCAATATCCCCACCAGAGTGGTACAACCATTACAACTGATGAACCTACATTGACACAGTGTAATTGCCCAAATCCATGATTTACACTAGGGTTTATTCTCGGTTTTGTATATCCTATGGGTCTGGACAAATGTATAATGACATGCATTGGTCATTATAATGCCATATAGAGTGTTTTTACTACCTTAAACATTCTCTGTGCTCTGCCTATTTATTCCTCTCTACCCACCCCAAATCTCAGCAACTGCTGATCTTTTCACTTTTGTGTATAGTTTTGGCTTTCCCAGAATGTCAAATAATTGGAATCATATAGGATGTAGCTTTTTCAGATTGGTTTCTTTTACTTAGTAACATGGATTTGAGGATCCTTCATGTCTTTTCATGACCTGGTAGCTCATTTCTTTTTAGCACTGAATAATATTCCATTGTCTAGATGTAGAATAGTTTATTTATGCATTTAGTTACTGAAAGACATCTTTGTTGCTTCCAAGTTTAGGTAGTTATGAATAAAGCTATTATAAAATTCTGTGTGCAGATTTTTGTATGTGCAACTCCTTTTTGTAAATTTTGAGGAGCATAATTGCTGGATCATATGGTAAGAGTATGTTTAGTTTTACAAGAAACTGCCAAACTCTCTTCCAAAGTGGCTATATCATTTTGTGTTCCCCACCAGCAATGAATGAGAGTCATCTGGCTCTGCATACTTGCCAGCACTTGATGTGTTTTATGTTATGGATTTTGGCCATTCTAATAGGTATGTAGTAGTATCACATTGTTATTTTAATTTGCATTTCATTGATGCTATATGATGTTATACACCTTTTCATACACTTATTTGCAATCTGTATATCTTTTTCGGTGAGGTGTCTGTTTAGGATTTTTGCATGTTTTTAAATTGAATTTTTTGTTCTCTAGTTGTTGAGTTTTGAGAAGTTTTTGTGTATTTTGAAGAACAGTCCTTTATCTGGTGTGTCATTTGCAAATATTTTTCCTAGTCTGTAGCTTATCCTCTCATTCTTTTGCCATTGTCTTTCATAGAGCAGAAGTTTTTGATTTCAGTGAAGTTCAGCTTATAAACTGTTACTTTCATGGACAGTCCCTTTAGCTATACAATGAACAGCTAACATTACAGCTAGCAGTCTACTTATACATTTAATTGGAGGGGCCATGCCAGTGCTAACATCAGTTAGCTTTCCTATAGCCTCAATTATATTTACATTTATTATTTTAGTTATGTTAACTATTTTTGAATTCACTGTAGTCCTATTTCAAGCATACATTTTTACAATATTAATACACCTAATCTAATGACTCACCAAACCCAAGTCTACCATATAGTTAATCCTATCCCCTCATCACTAATGGGGGTGCTTTCAGCTCTGCTCATAACACCTGGTCTAGCGATATGATTTCACTTAAACTATCATGTAAATGGTATAATGTTTTTAATTTTAAATTCCACATGTTCATTTCTGGTTATAGGTGTATTAGTCAGGGCTCTCTAAAGGGACAGATGTAGTAGGATATATGTATATATGAAGGGAAGTTTATTGGGAGAATTGATTCACACGATCACAAGGTGAAGTCCCATAGTTGGCCGTCTGCCAGCTGAGGAGCAAGGAAGCCAGTCTAAGTCTCAAAGTCTGCCAACAGTGCAGACTTCAGTCTGTGGCTGAAGGCCCAAGAGCCCCTGGCACATCACTTTTGTAAGTCCAATAGTCCAAAATCTTAAGAACTTGGAGTTTGATGTTCAAGGCCAGGAAGCATCCAGCCCAGGAGAAAGATGAAGCCCAGAAGACTCAGCAAGTCTGCTGTTTCCAATTTCTTCTGCCTGCTTTATTCAAGCCGTGCTGGCAACTGAATAGATGGTGCCCATCCAGATTGAAGGTGGGTCTGCCTCTCCCAGGCCACATGACTCAAATGTTAATCTCCTTTGGTAACACCCTCACAGACACACCCAGGAACAATACTTTGCATCAAGTTGACACTCAGTACTAACCATCACAATAGGAAAGTGATTGACTTTTGTATATTACCCCTTTATTCATCAGTCTTACAACAAAATATCTAAAAAATTATTGCCATACCCAAGTTCACCCAGGTTTTCTCCTGTTATCTTCTAGGAGTTTTGTAGTTTTGCATTTGACATTTAGGTCTATGATTAATTTTGAGTTAATTTTCATGAGGGATGTAAAGTCTGTATTTAGATTTTTGTTTGTTTGTTTGTTTGGTATAGGGATGTCTAGTTGTTCCAGCACCATTTGATGAAAGATTTTATTTGCTCCATTGTATTGCCTGTGCTCCTTTGTCAAAGATCAGTTGATTATATTTATGTGGGTCTATTTCCAGGCTCTCTATTCTGTTCCATTGATCTATTTGTTTATTCTTTCACCAATGCCATATTGTTTTTATTACTATAGCTTTATCATAAGTTCTGAAGTTAGGTAATATCTGTTCTCCAACTTTATTTTTCTCCTTCAGTAATGTGTTGGCTCTTCTGGGTATTTTTCTTCTCTACATAAATGTTAGAATCGATTTGTCAAAATCCACAAAATAACTTGCTGGGATTTTGATTGGAATGGCATTGAATCTACAGATCACTCAAGTTGGGAAGAACAGACATCTTGGCAGTATTGAACTTCCCTGTTCATGATCATGGAATATCCCTCCATTTCTTTAGTTCTTTAATTTCATTCATCAAAGTTTTATAATTTTTCTTATAAATGTCTCACCCATATTTTGTTAGATTTATACCTAAGTATTTCATTTTTGGGGGTGCTAAAGTGAATGGTATTGTATTTTTAATTTTAAATTCCACTTGTTCATTTCCAGTATATAGGAAAGTGATTGACTTTTGTTTTTTTCCCTTGTATTTTACAACCTTGCTATAATCATTTATCAGTTCTAGAGTTTTTTTCTGTTGATTCTCTCAGATTTTCTATATAGGAAATTGTGTCATTTGTGAACACACAGTTTTATTTCATTTTTCTCATTTTGTATCCCTTTTCTTTCCTTGTTTGTGTTACTACATTAGCTAGGCTTTTTAGTCCGTTGTTGAAAAACAGTAGTGAGGCCGGGCGCGGTGGCTCACGCCTGTAATCCTAGCACTTTGGGAGGCCGAGACGGGCGGATCACGAGGTCAGGAGATCGAGACCATCTTGGCTAACACGGTGAAACCCCGTTTCTACTAAAAATACAAAAAATTAGCCGGGCGTGTTGGCGGGCGCCTGTAGTCCCAGCTACTTGGGAGGCTGAGGCAGGAGAATGGCATGAACCTGGGAGGCGGAGCTTGCAGTGAGCCGAGATCGCGCCACTCACTCCAACCTGGGAGACACAGCGAGACTCCGCCTCAAAAAAAAAAAAAAAAAAAAAAAAAAGAAAAACAGTAGTGAGAGGATATATCCTTGTCTTGGTTGTAATCTTAGCAGGAAAACTTCTAGTTTCTTACCTCTCAGTTAGCAGTAGATTTTTGTAGACATTCTTTATTACATTGGAGAAGTTCCTCTCTTCTTAGTTTGCTGAGAGGCTGTTATTAATAGGTGTCAGATTTTGTCAAATGCTTTTTTTGCATTTATTGATATGATCATGTGATTTCTTTAGCCTGCTGATGTGATTGATCATATTAATTGAGTTTCTAATACTGACCTAGACTTTCATATCTGGGATAAGTCCCACTTGGTCATGGTGTATAATTCATTTTATAAATTGTTGAACTCAATTTGGGAATATTTGTTGAGGATTTTTGCATCTATGTTTATGAGAGATATGGGTCTGTAGTTTTGTTTTTTTTGTAATGTTTTTGTGTAGTTTTGGTGTTAGGGTAATACTGGCCTCATAAAATGTATTAAGATGTAGTCCTTCTGATTCTATCCCCTGAAAGAGATTGTAGAAAATTGTTGTAATTTCTTATTTATATGTTTGGTAGAATTCATTTGTGTGTACCCACCTGAGGCTGGTGCCTATTCAGATTGCCTATTTCTTCCTTTTTTTTTTTTTTTTTGAGATGGAGTTTTGCTGCTGGTGCCCAGGTTGGAGTGCAATGGCACAATCTCGGCTCACCGCAACCTCTGTCTCCCAGGTCCAAGTGATTCTCCTGCCTCAGCCTCCTGAGTAGCTGGGATTACAGGCATGTGCCACCATGTCTGGCTAATTTTGTATTTTTAGTAGAGACGGGGTTTCTCCATGTTGGTCAGGCTGGTCTCAAACTCCCAACCTCAGGTGATCTGCCTGCCTCGGCCTCCTAAAGTTCTGGGATTACAGGCATGAGCCACCATGCCCAGCCACCTATTTCTTCTTATATGAGTTTTAACAGATTGTATCTTTCAAGGAATTGGTTCATTTCATTGAGGTTATCATAGAGTTCCTTACAGTATTCTTTAGTATCCTCTAAATGTCCATAAGATCTGTAGACATGTCCCCTCCTTCATTTCTGATGCTAGCAATTTTTGTTTCCTTTCTGTTTTTCTTAGCTTAGCCAGAAGTTTACTGATCTTATTGATCTTTTCAAAGAAACAGCTTTTGGTTTTGTTGATTTTCTATATTAATATCTTGATTTCAATTTTATTGATTTCTGCTGTAAATCTTTCTTTCTTTCTTTTATTTATTTTTTGAGACAGAGTCTCACTCTGCTGCCCAGGCTAAAGTGCAGTGTCACGATCTCGGCTAATTTCAACCCCACTTCCTGGGTTCAAGTGATTCTTGTACTTCAGCTTCCTGAGTAGCTGGGATTAAAGCCATGTGCCACGATGCCCAGCTAATTTTTTGTATTTTTAGTAGAGATGGGGTTTCACTATGTTGGCCAGGCTGTCCTCAAACTCCTCTCAAGTGATCTGCCCACCTTGGCCTCCCAAAGTGCTGGGATTACAGGCATGAGCCACCACCCCTGGCCACTGCTCTAATTCTTATTATTTCTATTCTTCTTCTTGCTTTGGAATTATTTTGCTCTTGTTTTTCTAGTTTCCTAGGGTGGAAATGTAGATTATTGATTTTAGTTCTTTTTTCTTTTCTAATGCATGAACTCAGTGCTATAAATTTCCCTCTAAGCACTGCTTTCACTGAATCTCAAAAATACAAGTTATTTTTTCATTTTCATTTGGTTCAAAATATTTTTAATTTTCGGCTGGGCGCGGTGGTTCATGCCTGTAATCCCAGCACTTTGGGAGGCCGAGACGGGCGGATCACGAGGTCAGGAGATCAAGACCATCCTGGCTAACACGGTGAAACCCTGTCTCTACTAAAAATACAAAAAAATTAGCCTGGCGTCGTGGCGGGCGCCTGTAGTCCCAGCTACTCCGGAGGCTGAGGCAAGAGAATGGCGTGAACCTGGGAGGCGGAGCTTGCAGTGAGCCGAGATCGCGCCACTGCACTCCAGCCTGGGCGACAGAGCGAGACTCCATCTCAAAAAAATAAATAAATAAATAAATAAATAAAAAATATGTATTTTTAATTTTCTCTTGAGATATTTTTTCTTTTCTCACCTGTCATTTAGTAGTGTGTTGTTTAATCTTCAGGTATTTGGGATTTTCCAATTATCTTACTGTTACTCATTTCTAGTTTAATTCCACTGGGGTCAGCATGAGAGCAGACACTATATAATTTCTATTCTTTTAAATTTGTTAAGGTGTGTGTTATGGTCCTGAATGTGGTCTACCATGGTAAATGTTCTGCGTAAGCTTGAGAGGAATGTTTATCCTGCTGTTTTCGGATAAAGTAGTCTATAAATGTTAATTATATCCAGTTGATTGGTGGTGGTGGTGAGTTCGATTACGTCTTCACTGATTTTCTGCCTGCCTCTGAAGTTTAAATAAATGAGCATATCCGTATCTTCTAAAATGAGTTCCAAATTTTTGCTTTGGAATGAAAGTTATTTTTACTCTTTAGATGACTTAAATTAATTTTCTTTGAGTGTTTCCTTTAACATTAATCAGGCAATATTTACTTAATAATACAACTTTATATAAAAATAGCATAATATAATATAATTTTAGTTGGTAATAATTTTAGAGAACTTCTATTCCAATGGCACATTTTATGAAAGAGGATTATATTAGTTTGCAACAACAAAATACCATATATGGGGTGGCTTACACACTGACATTTATTTCTCACAATTCTGTAGGCTGGGAAGTTCAAGATCAAGGTGCTGGCTGATTTGGTTCTTGGTGAAGGCTCTCTTCCTGGCTTGCAGATGACTGGCTTCCTTCTGTGTCTTTACATGTCACAGAGAGTGACATCTCTCTCTTCTTTTCTTAAAAAGCCACTGATCCAATTAGGAAGCCACACTCTCATGACCTCATCGCATCCTACTTCCTTCCCAAAGGCTCCATCTCCAAATACAATCACATTGAATGTTAGAGCCTTCATATATGAATTTTGGATGTCACACAATTCAGTCCATAGCAAGGATTCTGAAGATTAGAGAGGTAAAATGATATGTTCAAATTCACACAGCAGATTAATTTTCGTGTGTTTTATTATACTATGGATTTCCCGGTTCAAATTCAAAATAGGTGTATACAAAATCAAAGAAATATCCAATATTTTTCATCTTCTGATGATAGAATGTTCATGTCAGTGTTCTTCTAATGCTTCAATTAAATGGAGAAGTACTGATTGCAGAACTACTCCTGGAAGCCATCGTGATCTTTGCTATCAGGTCTGTAGAAGATATTCTCTATGTTTGGGAGACATTAACTGGGCAATGGGAAAAGACTGGACAACTCTTCCATTTCTTTTGCAAGCCCCCTCCCTTAATTATAACAAACTATAAGAGTGCAGATAGGAATGTTCTGCAGGCAAATGTGCCAAAGAGACTACTAGATGAAAATGAAAATTGCAAAAGTTAGCCTGACAGGACGTACAGCCAATTATATAGCTCAATTGACTCATGTAGTCTTAAGACTGGGCTTCACTACTGAATAAGAAAAGGCCATGTGGAGAGAGATCCTGAAGGATGACAGGCCATTTGGCTGTTTATCCTCAACTGAGATCCCTACTGAATATTGTCTAATGAGGGATCTCTGCTATGTCATGTTGTGCAGTGTCACTACCCAACTCAGCCTAGTCAACTCACAAAATAGTGAGAAAAAAAAATGGTTTTAAGAAATTCAATTTTTAGATGATATGTTACATAGTGACAGATAACTGAAACAGTTTATAAAAATTGTACATTGGCTGTGTATATTTTTTATTCTGTGCCTTGGAGTAATCTTTATTGCTATGATTTTCCTAACTGGGCTAAGAGAAAACAGAGTTCTATCTGTTAATTTTTTATTTATTATCTGGTTTGTTCCTTTGTTCCTTTCTTTCTAACCTCTAATAGTTTAGCTTATGGAAGGACCTACTTATTTTCCCAGTTCCTGCACTAAGATAGAAGTATATGAAGCTGGGTGCAGTGGCTCACGCCTGTAATCCAAGCACTTTGGGAGCCCGAGGTGGGTGAATCACCTGAGGTCAGGAGTTCGAGACCAGTCTGGCCAACATCGCAAAACCCCGTCTCTACTAAAAATACAAAAATTAGCTGGGCATGGTGGCACGTGCCTGTAATCCCAGCTACTTAGGAGGTTGAAGCAGGAGAATCACTTGAACCCAGGAGGCAGAGGTTGCCATGAGCCAAGATCGTGCCACTGCACTCCAGCCTGGGCTATAGAGTGAGACTCTGTCTAAAAAAAAAAAAAAAAAAAAAAAAAAGTATATGAATAGTCTTCACATGAACACATCTCACAGTCATAAATACTCAGCAACTATGTGGCTGTCATTGTTTCTTCCCGTTACAGCTGTGCTGGAGACAATCAGACTGAAACCTGGGTACCTGAAACCTGGATACTGAAACCTGAAACCTGAAACCTGTAATTGGGCCCAAGGCACCTGTTCCATTTCCAAGTTGCATCTCTTCCACGGAATCAGGCTTCTGCCTTGATTTCACAGTCTGTAGTGTTTCTCCTTTCACTTTCCTGAACTGGAAAATCCTCCCACTAAATCCTAGCTGATCACTGGAGCATCAGTTTCCTACTAAGCTCCTGATCTTCTTTGTCCTTAAAGACGGATCCTGTTGCTAGCCCTCCAAAGTTGGCAGGTGAACAGAATATAAAAGAAGAGTTTGTAAAATATACATAGGGCCAAATTCTTTAGGATGAGTATCAGTGTTGTAGAATAGAATGCATAGATTTTGGAGTCATACAGACCTTGTTTATATTCCAGACTGCCATTTACCAGCTCATGATTTTTTCATAAATAACTTGGTCTTTTTAAGATTCAGTTTTCTAATTTGTGACATAGGTACTCCAAATAAATTTTAGATGTTGTTAATTTCTATCACATAACACTGCTTCTGCAGCACAGTTAGTTCCCCATCCTTCACTGTGGTGGAAGATTTCCTACTTCTCCCTGCCAACACACATTGCAGGTTCCAGCTTGCCTCACACCTAAACCAGCAACATCTAGACACTCACAGTTACATGATAGGTTACCAAAGAGTACTTAATTGATTCCTTTTATGTCTTCTGCTGGATTTCCTTTAGACTTGGACTGATTTTCATTAGGTATTGTGCACATGAACATATTCTAATTTATGTGTCTGCTCTGCTAGTTCTCATTCTTTCTCCTATGCATCCTTTGGAATCCTAGTTAATAGCTTTAATTGAGCCCTGAGAGAAAATAATGCTTTGTAATTTTGAACAATTTCTATATAGTGTACTAGTTGCTCTACAACTTTCCCTCTACACTATTAAGGACTTTGTGAGTGTGTGTGTGTTTGTACTTAAAGCCTAATGTATTATACAAGCTGTCAACATTTGGGGAATAAAAGCAAATAAAATCTATAATTTTGGTAAACAAAGCCAACCCATTTTTATGCATACAAGTTTGCAAATTGTTTTAATTGTGTAGGAGAAGACAAAATACTTTTGGGAATGTTTACTTGATTCTTACTCCAGAACTGCATGTGCTGGATGTCCAGCTGACTGGGAGTGGTGTAGAAGAAAGGAGGCATTATGTAAATACACTAATCAGATCAATGCAAATCGCAGTAATGTATTCCTTTACAGGGTCTGGGGGCCAGCTGTGGAAAACAAAGTGATTTTCATTTTCACAGATTTTGGTGAAACTCTTTAGAAATTCCATTCCCTTACTCTGTGATTCTAGCACAATTGGGTTTTACTTTGATTATTTTTCCCTTTTGGTTTTTGTGGGACTACATATGGTAGAAGTTGGCACTTCAGGCATAAGTGGCTAGTTTTATTTTCTTCTCTTTGTGGTCGATTGGTTTTAAAACTTTTGTTTCCAATAACTTAGCTACAAAACCACACGCGCATAGCTTTTGTGAGGTTTAATGCGTGACCAAAGTGGGGGTTGGTAATCTGACAACTATTTTGAAGGTTTTCTTAGAAAAGCACAGGTCTTCATCTATGAAGAAGGATTTTTGTTTTGTTTTGTTTTCTTTTGTTTTCCTAAAAGATTCAACAAAATTTTTTAAGTTTAGCAGACTTGATGCCATATTTTCAATGTTTTAATTAGGTCAAAACTTCTGGCCATTTGTTTTTTTTTAAGCAAAATAATACAAAAAGAAAAGGATTTGAGGCAGTATAAAAGCATTTTCATGGCAAGATAAAAGTTTTAACGGTGCAATTATGTGATACCTAATACAGAATTTTTAGAAATAAAGTTTTTCTGGATCTTTCATTCCTAGGTGGAGGAACCTGGAGTAATCTCTAGGAATAAAAGAAACCAGACCCCTGAGAGATTATTCTGCAATGCAATATTGATGATATGAGATGTTTAGGCATATGTCTATAAGGTTCCTATTCTTGTTTCCTGGGGGGAGAGTAGATAATGGGAGTAGAGGTCTCTTTTGCTGAAACTTTGGAAGAATAGAAGTCTATCTTTTCTGGATATAATTCTTCCTAGAGGTAGAAGGACAGATAGGATTACCTGATACAGTTTTCAGCGATTAGATGCCTATAGATAATTCAATCTGCTTAAAGAAATGAGCATTGACACTACTACACTTACCTCCTCATGTACATTTCTATTTCCTTCTCTGCCTGTTACATGATTAACAAGACAGAAGGCTCTACTCCTAGCAGATGCAGTTAATACATCTAAAAAAACAAAAATTTCATGGAAACCAAAAGGGAGTTGAAAAGCAGTGTGAGGACACAAGGGACATTATTGATTGCTAAAGAAGAAATGAAATATCTAAAGATGTGTACTTTTGGAATTCCGAGTCCTATTGCATGTATCACCTCAAACTCTTCTGAACCAACTTCTTTCTACACCTGCTGCCATTTCTGTAGTTCAGGTCAATGTTATTTCCTCCCTGAATTACTTAGACAGCTTTTAATTGAACTTACTCCTGTCCTGCCTCTCATTCCAACCCCTTATCTGCACTGTAGCCATAGCAATTTTTTCAATTGTCCATTGGCTCAAAACTTTTCCGTGGTTCTACACTGTCTGTTAGATCAAGTAAAACCTCTTCACATGGCACACAAGTCCATCGTGCCATTTCCTGGCTTATGCGATCCACATCACTGCTTGTCTGGTTGCTTGCTAAAGCATAGCAAGAATCACCTTTATTCCAGTTCCTAATAAGTTCTGCATCTCCCTCTGAGGCCACCTCAGCCTGGACTCCATTGTCCATATCACTATTAGCATTTTGGTCAAAGCCATTCAACAAGTCTCTAGGAAGTTCAAAACTTTCTCACATCTTCCTGTCTTCTGAGCCTTCCAAGTCTCTAGGAAGTTCCAAATTTTCCCATATTTTCCTGTCTTCTTCTGAGCTCTCCAAACTGTTCCAACTTCCTCCTGTTACCCAGTTCCAAAGTTTCTTCCACATTTTCAGGTATCTTTATAGTAGTATCCCACTCTCCATGGTACCATTTTACTGTATTAGTCCATTCTCACACTGCTAAAAAAGACATACTCGGCCGGGTGCAGTGGCTCACACCTGTAATTCCAGCACTTTGGGAGGCTGAGGTGGGCAGATCACCTGAGGTCAGGAGTTCAAGACCAGTGTAGGCAACATGGCAAAACCCTGCCTCTACTAAAAAAAAAAAAAAATTAACCGGGCATGGTGGTGTGCACCTGTAATCTCAGCTATCCAGGAGGCTGAGGCAGGACTATCACTGGAACCCAGGAGGCAGAGGCTGCAGTGAGCTGAGATCACACCACTGCACTCCAGCCTGGACGACAGAGCAAGACTCCAACAAAAAAAAAAAAAAAAAAGACATACTCAAGACTGGGTACTTTATAAAGGAAAGAGGTGAAAGAGGTTTAACTGACTCAGTTCAGCATGGCTGGGGAGGCCTCAGGAAACTTACGATCATGGTAGAAGGGGAAGCAAACATATCCTTCTTCACATGATGGCAACAAGGAGAAGGGCAGAGAGAAGGGAGGGAGCCCCTTATAAAACCATCAGATCTTGTGAGAACTCACTCACTATCATGAGAACAGCATGGGGGAAACTGCCCCCATGATTCAATTATCTCCACCTGGCCCTGCCCTTGACATGTGGGGATGATTGCAATTCAAGATGAGATTTGGGTGAGGACACAGCCAAACATAGCCATGTTGCCCAGCTGGTCTTGAACTCATGGGCTCAAGAGATACTACCACCTTGGCCTCCCAAAGTGCTGGGGTTACAGGTGTGAGCCACCATGCCCAGCCCGTGAAGTGACTTTTTAATCTCCTTATTTTCCCCTATCCCATCTCTTCCCCAAAATTAGTTCTTATGTATTTAAACAAACAAACAAATAAAAACAGAACCCCCCAAACAAAACAGGACCCTATGGTTATAGAGGGCTGGTGAGAGACTTCTTTTGAGGACAATGCCATGGTTATACTGTCATCATGTGCTGTATTACTTTAGGCAGAAGAACCCCTCTCTCAAACATTCAATACTTTTTACTTGCTCTTGGCAGAAGGGGAAGTTAGTTACTTTTCACTTCAACAGGTCTCTAGGTGGGTTTGGCTGCATTTCAGTGAATCCCTGCTCCAACACACATGTAATTCAACTTTAGCAATGGGCATAAACACTTTATAGAGTTTTTGAAGTTACTAGGAAGGCTATGCAATATGTAGAATAAGTGGCATAGGAATTTCCCTTTATCACATCCAAAACCAATTCATTCAGAAACCTAAGGCTGCCTGTCATAACTGAACTAGCAATCAGGTCTTGTTTATCTTTCAGACCATCCCTGCCTGAAACTTGTTCTTCCGCCATTCAGCTTTTTCTTATTTCTCACTCCCCTGCAGTCTCCTAGCACCTTGGGTATACCCCCGTCAGAGAGCACTCATCACAAACTATTTGCTGATGTGTCTGCCTTTTCCAAGAAACAATGAATCTTGAAGACAGATCATGATCATTCATCTTTGTGACTCTCAGACATAACATAGCAGGTGCTTGGTAAATGTTTATTGAGTGGACAATACTCCTTTATGTTCAGAATATGGAAACCAAATGAGGTGATGGTTTCAAATAAAAACACAGCAACAACAACAACGACGTTTTTCTCTCCCACTTTCATCACTATTTTCCTTGAGAGAAGGAGTTTCCTTCCTAATATTGCACACTTATTTGTTCAACAGTATTTTCAACATGGCAACTATGCACTACTGTGCAAAAAAAAATCAAAAGCTATAGTTATGTTTACATACAATTTTTATTATAAAGAAGCAGAAGCTGTAAAATATCCAATTAGGACAGAATTTAAAGATAACGTGTAATTGAAAACAGGTGGTAATGAAATTTTTTTACAGTAAATTTTAGCAAATCTCCTTTACCGATTTTTAATTGTCTTCTCAGAAAGGACTTATGTTCTCAAGAGTTATTCTTCTATATTTAATAATTTATCAAACTCATTTATTTATATATTTCATGTATGTTTTCAATAACCTCCTAAGCATAGTGGATTGAGGAATTATGAGGAGAGAAAAGTGTGAAAAAATACATTTTTTCTCAATAAGTATGTAATCTGGTTTGTGAGGTAAAATCCAGAGCATTAATCGATTCAAATATTTATTGACTGCCTATTAGCTATATAGGAATGAGAAGACTCTATAAGATAAAATATTTGTATTTTAGGAGTTTACCATATGGTTGTAAAAGTATGAAAATGAAATACAAACAACTAAAGAAGAGTCAAGAACCAGCTCAATAAACAATGCAAAATGTTGCAAGGCATTTTGTAATTGTCAATGATAGACAGGGCACTGTGTAACTATTTGCAAATTTTTAGCGATTTAGCGACTCTTTGAAGGAACAATTCTGTCTCCCTTTTATAGACACGGGCATACCTTGTTTTACTACACTGCACTTTCTTGTGCTCCACAGACACTGCATTTTTACAAATTGAAGGTTTGTGGCAATCCTGTGTGGAATAAGTCTATTGGCGCCATTTTCCAACAGCATGGGCTCGCTTTGGGACACTATGTCACATTTTGGCATTTCTTGCAGTTTCCAAACTTTTCATTATTATATCTGTTATGGTGATCTGTAATTAGTGATCTTTTATGTTACTATTTTAATTATTTTGGGGCACCATGAACTGTGCCCTTATAAGACAGCGAACTTAATTGATAAATGTTTATGTTCTGAATGCTCCACTGACTTGTTGTTCCCCTGAACAACCTGGTCCTGAGCTTTTCTTCTTTGGGAGGAGGATTTTAATAACTATTTTAATCTCTTTATTTGTTATGGGTCTGTTCAGGCTTTCTATTTCTTCCTGATTCAATATTGGTAGGTTAAAAAATAAACAAGTATTTTTCTTAAAAAGGAGGTACTTGTACTAAATCAGGGATAGACTAAATCAGCATCAATAACCCATTGAGAATAGTTGATGGAGTTGTGAGGAGGGTAAGGTGTGAAGGATCAAAAAACAAATTACATCTTTCCTCAATAAATTTGCAATCTGGAAATTTACATGCTTTACTTTCCCCCCTTGCACTTCCTTAGGCTTTTTGATAATTTCCAACCATCTTCACCACAGACCCATTTTCCAGTCTCAGAACTCTGCTCAACTTAGCATGCCGGGAGGATGCTGTCAATTGAAATAGCTCTTGAAATGAAGGTGTTTATCACCACTGGACTAGATTATTGCTTTCCAGGTTTAAACATTTTCTATGATTATATGATTCATTGCTTAACAAATGTTTGCTCTGGTCACCCCATCATAATATTACTTTAAGCCATTACCCCTTGTTCTGTAGGATATGTAATGTTTTCCATCAGTTATCCTAGATTCCTGGGAGCTTGCATTTCCATGATCACCTCTACAAGAAGTTCCTGCTTTAGGGGAACTCCTGCTCTTAATACGTTTATCAGATCCGGAGACAATTGGCTTCTCTAAGCTCTGGGCTCTCCAGGGGGTATAATTCAATCTGTTTTCTTGATTTCCCAACCCTGACCCCCTATTGTTTAATAACATATTTAGATGTTAGAGTTTTCATTGAAAGTTTGAGATGATAGGGAAAGGCTTTACATTATGACAATGCAGTCGTTGTGCTTTTTAAAGTAGCTGCCCATTTATAACTAATCCTAGTTTTCTTTCAAATAACACTATACCACTTCAGAGGTAATGAATCTAGCCATGTTCTTATATTTAAAATGGGTTTCTTGTGGAGAACATAAAATGCAATCACTTAAAACTTAATATCAAACATCCCTAATTATTATTTTAGTGATATTCCTGGAACATCTGCTTTGTGACAGGCATTGTCCTGGGTGTGGGGTTTCAAAAGTAAAGGAATACAATTTTAAAACCCTTCTCATGCTCTGACATTTCTCATTTTTCTATGTTGCTTTCAGCCTCCTGCCATTTTTGGGTCCATGCCCTCTTTTAACACTCATTCTTCTCATCTGTCAATTTCTCTCTCTTATATTTCCCTACAGTAACTACTCTTCCAAACTCAGTTCCAGTCTTCATTAAAACAGTTCTGCTCTCCAGGCCCTATCAGGCTTGGTATAATCAGAGGGTCAACAATATGTCCTGTTAAGCAGAGTGCCACGTCATCTAGTCCCTCTGGCAGAAACATTGAGAGTTCACTGTTTTCTTCTTTCTTCTGCCAATCTCCTTAATTGGTAGGAAGTAAATGTAGAGACATATCTTCCTACCAACATGAATTATGCTAGTCAGCTCTGAAGACAGAAGAACCTATAATAAATTTTGGGTTTAAATAATATTTTTAAAATCTAACTTCTTTAATAAAAACCTGGTACAAAAAGATTATTTTAGATTTATATGGGATGGAGAGAAATGAGAGACTAAAGAAAGATAACACATTTTTATACTAATTTAGAGTAAGGTTATATAAAAATCCAAGTGTTACAGGTATGCAAGAATTACTCAAGGATGTTTATTGTGTTATGATTCATAGTGGCAGCAAACTGGAAGCATCCTGAGTATTCATCAAGGGGGAAAAGATTAATAAATTATGTATATTTATACTATGGATAATATTAAAGTATTTAAAAAATATATTAGGCTTATATATGTTGACTAGAGAGATGCTCTAGTGTTTAGTTAGTGAAATACTCATTTTGGTCAAAATAGTCAAGGACAGGAACCGCTAATTATAAATTCATATGTTTGTATATATTTAAATGTGCATGGAAAACTACTAAAGCAATATAAAACAATGTTGATATCACTGACCATCTGGCAAGGAGGTGGTTTGGAAATAAGGAATAGAAAGGAGGTAGAGAAGAGAGATGATTACTTTTTTCTTTAAACATATTATTTTATCAGTTATAATAAATAAGCATTACTTTACAATTTTAGAAGAGAATGTTAAAATCATTTCTGGAAATGATATCAGGTTCTATGCAAAAGTAAAATGATATTGGAAAGAAGTGATTGATACAAGAGGTGTCATTAAAAAACAATACTTTTGTATTTAGATTAGATATGAGGCATTCCAATAAGAAAAACAAATCACTTACAGGTGAAGTTGTAGAACTTCAAGCACCAGATTACAATTAGACAGAAATTTTTGAGCAATTATATTAAAGAGCAGGCTTAACAATGAAATTCATTTTAAACATGACATATCTTATTCTTTCTCAAAATATTAAAGCATGCAATACAATGTCAGTATATTTCTAATCACATGATAAATTTAGCTGATGTAGACAATTTTTCTCTCCACAAACATGGTGAAATGCTGGATAAATGTGATGTAATTTTTAATAAATTATACAAAGCAGCTTGAAAAACAGAAAGAGAAATCTCCAGGTGACAGAACAGAAGAGAGGATTCAAATCCAGAAAAGCAAGTGAAAGTAGGCCCTTTGACTACTCGGGGATTATGGAAGGAATATATATAAAGGGCTTTTCATACCCACTAGGGAAAAAAGATGTGGCCATAGGTCTATTCAAGCTGGAAAGCTGGAATTGAGTCCTCTGAATAAAGTCCAGAGTCTTGAAGGGTTACCAAGTTATTTATTTAAAGGAATCTAGATGTATCTGCTTAATGGCCTGGAGAAATGAAAAGGTCACTTGCTATCTATTGGAGGTCATGAATGAATAAATAAGTCAATCGCAATTAATCAAAGTTCTATACCCATGAGACCTAAAAGGCTTACAATTTAATGACCTGCAAAGGTTAGGAAACAGAACAAAGAAATTAATATTAAAGCTAGTTTAGGACTGTGTAAACTCTACAGCAACACTGCACAATAGAACTTTTGTGATATGGAAATGTTTTGTATCTGCAGTATCTAATATGGTAACTACTGGTCCTATGTGGCTATTGAACACTTAATGTGTCTAGTGAGATTGCAAAACTAAATTTTAAATTTTATTTAATTTTAATTAATTTCTATTTTAAAATTTACATATGGCTACTGGCTATTATATTGTAACCCTAGAGCCTAGCAGAAAAAAATGAGGAATAATTCTGTGGGTACATGTATATAAACTAAAGCAAATGCAGCTACCACAGGACAGAGTATTAGTGTCTTAAAGAACTCGAGAAAAGACCCACTGTAGTGGAATACCAGGAAATATTATATCCAGGAGATTAGCCTTCCCAAAACTGAAGATTTAAAAAAATAAAAATCTAAAAAAGACGATAATATAAGTAGATTTAAAAGGATTATGGAGATAAAAGAATACAAAATAAAAAATTGAATTAAAATTAATAACAAAATATTAGGAGTGCTTGAAAAACTGTAAGCAGTTTTTTTTTTTTTTTTTTAAATTGAAAAAGTAAAAAATATTTATTATTACATTTTAAAATAAAACAACAAACCTGTTGCATGTTAACATAAATAATACTTTTGTGAAAATAATTATATTTTATAAAACAAGTACATAATGAAAAGAGTGGTATTACTTTATATTTTTGCAAATCTCTTTAATGTCTAGGCTTGATAAAAGACAACTGAATTCTGCTATCTGCTTCTACATTCAATTTATTATGATACATTGTTTTTGTGGAAATATAAGAAAATCTAGCCTCACAGATATACATAGTTGAAAATAAAGGCCTCTTCAGATAATTGTGGAAATTCTTTTCTGATATTATATCAGAACTGGACAAGTGGCAGTTTTTTAAAAATAATACTTTTTTCTGGCGTTATTGAGGTACAATTTACAAATGAAAATTGTATATATTGAAGACATACAACATGACGATTTGGTATGCATTGTGAAATGATTACCACAGTCGAATTAACATGTCCATCACCTCACATAGTAACTATTTTTTTGTGTGTGTGGTGGTGACACTAGAGATCTATTCTCAGCAAATTTCAGGTTTACAATACAGTACTATTAACTATTAACTAGAGTACATCCTGTACTCTAGAATCCCAGAAATTACTCATCTTATAAGCAAAAGTTTGTACCCTTTGATCAACATCTCAGCATTCCCCCACTCCTAGCCCCTGGCAATCACCCTTCTACTCTCTCTCTGAGTTCCAATTATTACTGTATTTTGAATTTTACCAGTAAAAATGTTGTGGATCTTTATTTTTTCTCTAGTTTTATAAATACCTACATAGTAGCCTCAATTTTGCTTCTTGACTTGCAACACCAGAAATATGTACTATCTAGCCCTTTGCAGCAAAAACTTGCCAGCCCTGTTCTTTTCTCTTCTTTTCCTTTCTTTTCTTTTCTTTTCTTTCTTTTCTTTCTTTCTTTTTTTTTGTTTTATCTTAACAAAGATGCTTTTCTCTTTTATTTTATTTTATTTTATTATTATTATACTTTAAGTTTTACGGTACATGTGCACAACGTGCAGGTTAGTTACATATGTATACATGTGCCATGTTGGTGTGCTGCACCCATTAACTCGTCATTTAGCATTAGGTATATCTCCTAATGCTATCCCTCCCCCCTCCCCCCACCCCACAACAGTCCCCGGTGTGTGATGTTCCCCTTCCTGTGTCCATGTGTTCTCATTGTTCAATTCCCACCTATGAGTGAGAACATGTGGTGTTTGGTTTTTTGTCCTTGTGATAGTTTGCTGAGAATGACGGTTTCCAGCTTCATCCATGTCCCTACAAAGGACATGAACTCATCATTTTTTATGGCTGCATAGTATTCCATGGTGTATATGTGCCACATTTTCTTAATCCAGTCTCTCATTGTTGGACATTTGGGTCGGTTCCAAGTCTTTGCTATTGTGAATAGTGCCACAGTAAACATACATGTGCATGTGTCTTCATAGCAGCATGATTTATAATCCTTTGGGTATATACCCAGTAATGGGATGGCTGGGTCAAATGGTATTTCTAGTTCTAGATCCCTGAGGAATCGCCACACTGACTTCCACAATGGTTGAACTAGTTTACAGTTCCACCAACAGTGTAAAAGTGTTCCTATTTCTCCACATCCTCTCCAGCACCTGTTGTTTCCTGACTTTTTTTTATTTATTTTTTTTATTTATTTTTTATTTTTTATTTTTTTTTATTATACTCTAAGTTTTAGGGTACATGTGCACATTGTGCAGGTTAGTTACATATGTATACATGTGCCATGCTGGTGCGCTGCACCCACTAATGTGTCATCTAGCATTAGGTATATCTCCCAATGCTATCCCTCCCCCCTCCCCCGACCCCACCACAGTCCCCAGAGTGTGATATTCCCCTTCCTGTGTCCATGTGATCTCATTGTTCAATTCCCACCTATGAGTGAGAATATGCGGTGTTTGGTTTTTTGTTCTTGCGATAGTTTACTGAGAATGATGGTTTCCAATTTCATCCATGTCCCTACAAAGGATATGAACTCATCATTTTTTATGGCTGCATAGTATTCCATGGTGTATATGTGCCACATTTTCTTAATCCAGTCTATCATTGTTGGACATTTGGGTTGGTTCCAAGTCTTTGCTATTGTGAATAGTGCCGCAATAAACATACGTGTGCATGTGTCTTTATAGCAGCATGATTTATACTCATTTGGGTATATACCCAGTAATGGGATGGCTGGGTCAAATGGTATTTCTAGTTCTAGATCCCTGAGGAATCGCCACACTGACTTCCACAATGGTTGAACTAGTTTACAGTCCCACCAACAGTGTAAAAGTGTTCCTATTTCTCCGCATCCTCTCCAGCACCTGTTGTTTCCTGACTTTTTAATGATTGCCATTCTAACTGGTGTGAGATGATATCTCATAGTGGTTTTGATTTGCATTTCTCTGATGGCCAGTGATGATGAGCATTTCTTCATGTGTTTTTTGGCTGCATAAATGTCTTCTTTTGAGAAGTGTCTGTTCATGTCCTTCGCCCACTTTTTGATGGGGTTGTTTGTTTTTTTCTTGTAAATTTGTTTGAGTTCATTGTAGATTCTGGATATTAGCCCTTTGTCAGATGAGTAGGTTGCAAAAATTTTCTCCCATGTTGTAGGTTGCCTGTTCACTCTGATGGTAGTTTCTTTTGCTGTGCAGAAGCTCTTTAGTTTAATTAGATCCCATTTGTCAATTTTGTCTTTTGTTGCCATTGCTTTTGGTGTTTTGGACATGAAGTCCTTGCCCACGCCTATGTTTTGAAAATAGAACCAAATTGAACTTCTAGATATAAAAATATAATCACAAAAATAAGTTAATTGGATGGGATGAATAGCATATTAATGTCAATTAAAATGAGAATCAGAGAACTGAAAGATGGAGTTGAGTAAACCTCTCAGAATCTAGCAGAGAGAGATAAAATGATTAAAAAATTATAAAAAATGTTAAAAGATAAAGAAGATAAAGAGATAGAATGAGATATTCCAGAAGAGAAAATAAAGGATAAAAGGGAGAAAAAGTATTCTAAGAGATAATAGTTGGGGAGTTTTCAGAATTAAAGAAATACATGAACCCTGATATTGAAAGAGCATAATTGATCCTCAGCAGCAAAAACAAAACAATACCAAACCCGAAATGTAAATAACCAAACAAAAAATACAACCCATACCATCATGCATTATAGTGAGATGAAAATCTTTTTTCCAAAAAAAAGCCCAAAAATTCAGATAGAAAAAGATATTTCTTCTAGAGAGGAATATAATTAGGCTGACAGCAGACTTCTCATCAACAACACCAACACTAGGAATTGGATGAAAATGAAATAATATATTTAAAGTACTGAGGAAAAGTAACCATCAATCTAGAATTCTAAACCCACCCAAAACAATCATTCCAGACTAACGGCAAAATAAACAACATTTAATTTTGTTTTTGAGGGGATTTGTCAAAGACCTGCAAATCTACTAAAGGATGTTCTTCATTCAGAATGTGTGTGCGGCAAGCCACCCAGGTGCCAAGGCAAGAGACCGACGGCATGAGCTGTTCCAGTGTAATAAAGAAAATATATAAAATAAGAATAGTTATACTAGATATAGATCATAGATATGATTATATATGAATATCATTAATCATTAGTTTGTAGAAATTACTCTTTATTCCAATATTATAATAATCCTTGCTCTACAATCATAACCTAGGAAAAACCAGGCCATACAGAGATAGGGACATGGTGAGAAGTGACCAGAAGACAAGAGTGAGCCTTCTGTCATGCCCGGATAGGGCCACTAGAGGTCTCCTTGGTCTAGCGGTAACACCAGCGTCTGGGAAGACGCCCGTTGCCAAGCGGACTATGGTCTAGCGGTAGTGTCAGTGCCAAGGAAAAACAGCCGCTACTTAGCAGACCGGGAAAGGGAGTCCCCCTTTCCCTGGGGGAGTTTAGAGAAGATTCTAATCCACCACCTCTTGTGGAGGGCCTGACATCAGTCAGGCCCGCCCGCAGTTATCCGGAGGCCTAACCATCTCCCTGTGATGCTGTGCTTCATTGGTCATGCTCCTGGTCCGTTTTCATGTTCCATTCTGTACACTTGGCTCTGCCTTCTAGATAGGAGTAGCAAAATTAGTGAAAGTACTAAAAGTCTCTGATATGCAGAAATAAATGGCATAAGCTGTCTTCTCTCTCTCCGCCTCAGCTGCCAAATAGGGAAGGGCCCACTGTCCAGTGGACACGTGACTCACGTGACCTTATCAGTCATTGGAGATGACTCACACTCTTTACCCTGCCCCTTTTGCTTTGTATCAAATAAATAACAGTGCAGCCAGGCATTTGGGGCCACTACCGGTCTCTGCATCTTGGTGGTAGTGGTACCCCAGGCCCAGCTGTCTTTTCTTTTATCTCTTTGTCTTGTGTCTATTTCTATGATCTCTCTTCTCCGCACACAGGGAGAAAAACCCACTGAACCTGTGGGGCTGGTCCCTACAAGAATGAAATCAATAAAGCAGTAGAGTGCAAAGAACTACGTCATGTAAAAAAAGTGTAATCCAAATAAACGTTGACAAAAATATGATGAAATAATGTCTAACTAGCATGACATTAACAAATTGAACTGGAATGATAAATGACAATAATATGGAATTTGAGAGGTAGTGTTTAAAATCAAACACTCCAAGGACCTTGCATTGTATGAAAGAAGGTGTGAAACAGAAATAGCTTACATAACTCAAAACCAATAGGAGTAAAGTTAGATTAAAGAAAATTGGTTGAATCCAGTAGAAGTTCTGATTTATGAGTATCAGGAACTGCAGTCCTGTGCATGATGCCTTTTTACCTCCACATAGCTGCATAAGAATGGCCTTGGGTCTGGAACACTTCCATACCAAGAGTGCAAAGAGTGATCCCATGGTGAGGGAGGAAGCCACTGGGAGGCCCTAGGTGCTTTTTACCTACCAGTTCTCAAGGGGAACTAATAGAGGGAGAACTCATTCACCCTGAGAAAGAACATTAATATATTCATGGGGGATCCACCCCCAGAACCCAAACACCTCCCAGCAGGCCTTCCCTCTCAACATTGCCACATTGGGGACCAAATTTCCACATGAGGTTTGGAGGTGCAAAGGCCCAAACCGTAGCACATACACACAAACTGAAAGTATAATAATAAGAAAAAGATACCATTTACAACAGCAAAAAAAAAAAAAAAAAAAAAAAAAGCAAGATATCTAGGAGTAAATCTTACAACATATATTGAATACCTGCATGGAGTTACAACTTTAATAAAGATATTGAAGAAACCTAAGTAAATGGAGAGATACATCATGTTCACGAGTAGATATCAGAAAGACGTTAATTCTTTCCCTTGTGATCTATTCAGTAGAAGAACCATATGAAATTGTCATCTTTGTAGGTGAAAAACAGTTTAATGTTAATGTCAAAAGATTTAAACTAGTATCTAGTAATTACAATTCTAATTCACATATAAATAGAGGTTTTATAGGAAATTAACACATTGATTCTATAATGTCTATGAAAGAGCAAAGACCTGGGGATAGTCAAGACATTGCTGAACAAGTGTCACAAGACAAGTGGATTTGCTGTATCAGGTATTATAACTTATTATCTAATATTTTTAATTAAGATAGTGTGGCACTGACCTAGGGAAAGACAACTAATTAACAGGACATCATTGAGAGCTACCAAAGAATCCTATGCTTATACATCTGTGTGTAACAGATTTCATCACAGATGCCTGAGCAATGGTGCACTGTTCAAGAATGGTAAGGGACAATCTAAAAACTGTGTTAACAATTAGATCTCAAATCTGTAGACAATACTAAGCTTTTTAAAGCAAGAAGAAATGATGATCTATGGAAATTATAGAAAGGGCTTTCATGGCCATTGATGTAATCACCCAACAGGTTCACCTTGCCTCCTGCTAGACAAGAGCCAATTTATCAAGACAGGGGAATTGCAATGGAGAAAGAGTAATTCACATATTACTGGCTGTGTGGGAGACTGGAATTTTATTATTACTCAAATTAGTCTCCCTGAAAACTTGGGGATCAGAGTTTTTAAGGATAATTTGGCAGATAGGAGCTTGGGAAGTGAGGTTGCTGATTGATTGGGTTGGAGATGAAATCATAGGTGGTCGAAATGAGTTCTTTCTTGCTGACTTCTGTTCCTGGGTGGGATTGCAGAAGTGGTTGAGCCAGATTACTGGTCTGGGTGGTGTCATCTGCTGCATTGGAATGCAGAGTCTGCAAAATATCTCAAGCACTGATCTTAGGTTTTGCAACAGTGATGTTACCCCCAGCAGCAATTTGGGGAGGTTCAGACTCTTGCAGCTGAAGGCTGCATGGCCCCTACACCATAATTTCTAATCTTGTAGCTAATTTGTTAGTCCTACACAGCCAGACTGGTCTCCGGGCAAGAAGGATTTTTTCCCCCCTTGGGAAAGGGCTATTACCAATTTTGTTTCAGAGTCTGAACTGTAAACTAAATTCCTTCCCAAGGCTAGTTCAATCTATGCCCAGGAATGAACAAGGACAGCTTAAAGGTGAGAAGCAAGGTGGGGTTGGTTTGGTCTCATCTCTTTCACTGTCATAATTTCCTCAGGTATGATTTTTGCAAAGGTAGTTTCATTGATGCAAGAGTGGTAGATGAGTTTCATATTTGTTTAATATCTGCCTATCCCATGGCACAGAAGCTATCCTTTAGTGTCCAGGTCTGGATCAGGCACACATAAATTTCTTGTTTTTTAAAATTTTTTAAAATTTTTTAATTTTTTTAATTTTCTGAGCCCTCTTTCCTAGACTTCATGTTTGTGGGCTTCAGGCCCATGGATGTGTCAGAGGCATTCTAACCAGAGTGACTCCATCTTGAGTGAGAGCTAGGACAATGAGGCTGGGGCTTGCTGGGCTGCATTCCCAGAAAGTTAGGTATTCCTAGCCTCTAGATGTTTATGGTTAAGAGAACAGATTGATAATGTTTACTAAACAGACTCAGACTTGGGAGTGTTCTGATACCCTGATACCTTGAGAACAGAAGCATTCCTACTTTTGCTTTAAAGATAACAATATCAATTCTTGCAAAATACAGAAATTAAGAAAATTAATCCTTTATCACAAACTTTTGTAGCAGAACACATCTCCCCATGATCTTTTTTAAAAAATCTTATATAGAAACAAGTATTGTATCTAGGGTGGACACATTCCTCCTCTTACTTTTGGGAATGCCCTACTCTGTCTATGGAGTAGCTGTTCTTTCACTACTTTACTTTCTTAATAAACTTGCTTTTGCTTTGTACTGTGGACTCAACTTGAATTCTTTCTTATGCAAGATCTAAGTACTCTCTCTTGGGGTCTGGATCAGGACCCCTTTCCTGTAACAGATATATTGGGAAGTAGGGATAGATCCAGGTTGCAAGATACATAAAAAGCTTTTGATAGACTTTCAAGGAATAGGCTCTAAACACACTTAGTTCAGGTTTCAGCTCAGAATGTTCTGGGCCCATCACAGTCCAGCACATCTATCTTCTCGAGTGCATAACTAACTGGAGGTTCACTTTTGTAAGTGAATATCAGATGTTCTTTGAAAAGTGAATCTGGTGCAATAAATATCTTACAAAATAATTCCAAGGGAAAATAAAATATTTTGTTGTTATTTGCTCTCTAGAAATAAATATTAAATAATAAAGTTGAGCTCACTGGGATGATGTCTCTGAAATCTTAAACCAGCTCATTAATAGAAGTGCTTTAGGGGGCTAATGGAGTAAAGAATCTTTTGTCTATTTGGATACCATAAAAGGTTGTACAATTATATTGTAATATTATATTGTTAGCAATGTAAATGAGGTAGCTAAGAAAGTAAATAATTTAAAAGCATTTGATAAAAATTAAGATGCCAACAAATATTATTACTGTGGATCCAATCACAGCTGAGTAGTTTCAAGCAAAAAGAGACTTTCCAATCTCTACAAAGGAATCTGTACCAATTACCCTACATGAAGCCAAATATTTGTATCAACTATCTCACATGATCTGTCCAAACATCTGGACTATGCATCAACAGTTTAGATATGAAATTTGCATTCAAAAAATTATTACAATCTAGGTGTTTAAATCTCAAGCTAAATATAGTTCCTCAACTAAACAACCCATCCAAGAGTATGTAACAGAATTAAGATTTCAAATTTACCACAAATCCCAGAAGTTTACATCCCCCAAATAAATGCATTCCATTCAAAAGCAAACAAAAATAGATTTTCAATATAAGTCCTTTGAGTTTCAAAAAACCCCACCAAACCAAGTAAGTACTTAATCATGCAAATCAACTGCTTTCAAGGAGAAGCCCAGTAAGCAGCATGCATGGATGACAATGAGAAAAGCAGAGACTGTTTTCATTTTCTCAGCAGGATAGATTTCTCACACTACAGATCAAACCCCCCACCCCAACCCTTTTTCCATCTATACATCTTGAAAAGAGACATATAAAAAACTTTTAAAAAAGACATTTTAAATGAAGTAGGTTTCAACTAAATTTCTTTTCCTGTGGCCTCTGAGTTAGCATTAAACAGATCAGTTGTGGTAAAGTAGATATAGGCAAATAGTTGCGTTCCTGAATGTGGTGGCCAATATGATTCAGTCATTGGGAAAAATTCTGGAGTCTTAGAAATGGATATAGAGGGTTATGTTCATCGATGTGGCCAAAGTCTGCCACTACTGAGTGCATTGCTAATCTATTTAGTTACTGAAAAGTAGTATTAGGCTCTGATTGTTCAGATTCCAGAATGAAGAGAGGAGACAGGAAGAGAGGGCTGTCTGTGGTTGGAACTATGACTGATTCTTAAGATAGCAGTGCTAATGAAAGCCCAAGCTATGCCTTTGGGGGCTGTGGGGGAGGGGAGTGTTCCATTTAGAAGGCACATCATGGATAAAGGCCTTATATGGGCATAGATGATGGGGACTAAGGTAGTAGAGAAGAAGTGAGTTAGATACATTTTCCCTGCTTGGGGTATGATACTCCCTGGAGATTTTTAGGACAGAGAATTAAGAAGGCAAATAAAGAATTTAATAGGTGTACTGTATGTTTGAATTCAGTTTAATTTTTAGAGAAATGCAAATAAAATTTTTGAGTTGTTTCTAAATTTATTTTATGGTCAGCACAAAATTTTGTTGAATGTGACCCTACTCCAGAACTCCACTACAAAGATTTCCAAGTACATAAGGAATTTTCATTCTGCATAATGATGAGGAACCTGGCAGGTCAGTGTAACTTGCTGTAAGGTCCTTAGAGAAGGCTTCTACAAGACTGGCTTGATCTCAACAATGCAATGCAACGAGCAGACCACACCTCAGTCACTATGCAGCTATGGTGAATTTTGATTGGAAGATCATTTGCAAACATTCTATCCCATAAGACAAGGAAATCCCTTAGAGGCTTTGAGAAAGCTGGCAAGGGAATCAAGTAGTTATTACTCTGTGTTTCATCTTAGCAAGAAAAAATGTTGAGAAGAAAAAACTTTGGACTTAAAGTCAGGAACACACTACCCTCACAACCAGAGAAGTAATAACATTGAGTAACAACCTATAAAACTTAGGCGCACCACTTAACTGCCCAGTGGGTGCACATTGCCTGCTGCGTACACAGAGCCTATTTATCAAGACAGCGAAATTGCAATAGAGAAAGAATAATTTATGCAGAGCCAGCTATATGGGAGATTGAAATTTTATTACTCAAATCAGTCTCCTTGAAAATTCAGGGATTGCAGTTTTTAAGGATAATTTGGTGGGTGGGCTGCTAGTGAGTCAGGAGTTAGGATTGGTCAGGTTAGAGATGAAATTACAGGGAGTTGAAGCTGTCCTCTTGTGCTGAGTCAGTTCCTGGGTCTGGGGCACAAGATCTGATAGGCCAGTTTATCGATCTGGGTGATGCCAGCTGATGCATCCTGTGCAGCGTCTGCAAAATATCTCAAGCACTGATCTTAGGTTTTACAATAGTGATGTTATCCCCAGGAACAATTTGGGGAGGTTTAGAATCTTGCAGCCTCCAGCTGCATGACTCCTAAACCATAATTTCTAATCTTGTGGCTAATTTGTTACTCCTACAAAGGCAGTCTAGTCCCCAGGCAGGAAAGGGGCTTTGTTTTGAGAAGGGGCTGTTACTGTCTTTGTTTCAAAGCTAAACTATAAACTAAGTTCCTCCCAACGTTAGTCTGGCCTAAGCCTAGGAATGAACAAGGACAGTGTGGAGGTTAGAAGCGAGATGGGGTCAGTTAGGTCAATCTCTTTTACTATAATAATATTTTCAGTTAAGAATTTTTACAAAGATGATTTTACCACCTGACTCAGGAGCCTCCCTAGAAGGAAGGAGTTAGGATCTTTCTTGAAGTAAGTATAGGCAAGGCCAGAAAATGAACTTTGTCCATATTCTGATCATTTACCCACAGTATACCCAGTCTTCTGTCTGTCAAATCATGCTAGTAGAATTGTTTGTCCTCCACTCCCAAAAAGTTTAGTTGCTGTTTGGAAATTTGCCTTGACCCAGTAGTCTTACACTATAGTAAAACTATTATTTTTTAAAAAATCCGGAATCTGTCTACAGTATCTATCTTTAACTGAGTAATGATTTGTAAAATGATGATATTATCACTAAAGATTTTTAAATGACCTTTAAATCCTCAGAAAAATATGAATTTTTTAACATAGATTTTGTCAATACATTTCTTAGTATATTTTGCAATGCTATGTTAGCCAAAGTCTCTAACTAAACAAAGCACTCTATTCTTTACCATGTCATATAAGAGAGAGTTCATTGTCATTTCCATTTGTATACTAGAAACAAAATTGTGAATTTCTAAGGAGCCATTCCAGATCAAGAATTACAGTGGATGAAGATGAAGTCAGCATTGGCTATTAAAATAGCAGATGCTACCATGAAGTTCACTGAGCCCAGTGTAATAGTCTCTCTTTTCAGCCTGTAGGTTTTCCTACTTGCCGATGAGGTAAGGAATAAAATAGTACATGAGGGTTCTGTAGCAAGAGATTTACACTAGAATACCAACTTCTGCCCAGGTGGGAGACAATCCCTGAAAGGCAAATATCCATGTTTTGGGTCAGAAAATGAACTTTGAAGCAAAAACTTATTTTACTTTAATCTTAGCTTAATGATTTTTTCTAGTGGGTTTTACTGCACTAAAATATTTACTTTAAACTTCAGGAGAGTGGAATATAGGAATTATGGAAGGCAGATATATTTACAATCTATAGAGTAATCAGAATTCTTTTTAATGTTTGAATTGTTGGGCTCATGGCCAGATCTTTGATTTCTAACTGAATCCATTTGCTTCTAAAAACCTATGAGTCTTCCGTATTTGGTGATTAGAATGTCTAAGAATTCTTCTAAAACATTCATTGGTTTTCTTTCTAAAAGACACATTTTTCATTCTATTGATTATGTTTTTTCTGTATTTGGTTGCAAAAACAATTTGATTTAATGTCTTTTATTTACTGAAGAATTATTTAATGAAAAGAACAAAGTAATAGTGACTTTTCTCCTAGAGGCAAACATAATTTGTTAAAAAAGTACTAGTTTTTGAGTAAGAATAGCTCAAAGAACATTTCTGAATTTGGTTTTTCATTTTATTTTGGAGATTATTATTTCCTGGAGTAAATTCTGCAGTTGATCAAGGAATGAAAATTGAATGAGAAAAACAGATACACTGAAGAAAATTATCTACAATGAGATGCAACTGTTATCTTTCAACTTTTTTTATGAACTAAAACAATGCCTCATTAATAATTAAAAATATTATAAATTTCTCCTTACTATATCTTATTTTCTAAGACTATGATAAATACAAAAAGTTTCCTCCACAGTCCTTTCCTGAGATTTTGAAATTAGGATTTGGTAACAAGCAGTGAAGGAACAGATGAAACTACAGGTCACCAATAATTTGCCTGCTAAAGGAAAAATGAATCTAGCATAGAGCCTTGCACATAATAGGCACCCAATAGATGGTGACTAGGTAAATGAATGAGACGAATAGGTTATTTTAGTGAATATTTTGATATTTTAGGTTTGCTGTGGTTCAACAGTTTTGGAAACTTAAGCTCTAGGTCTAATCTAACTTATGAAACCTTTTGGAAACATAATATGTAAAAACAAACAATCAAATAAAACATTTTAATTTGTTCCATTAAAAAATATTTTACAATTTCTTCTTGGAAATATCTTCAGCTTCATTATTTTCTATTTTTATTCCTCTTTTCCCCAGCTTAAGTTATGTCTCCTAAGTGGTTTGTTGATCCTTTCTTTTTTCCATTCTAACCAACAAGTTTAAACACTAATTTTAGTATATTACCTCCTTGATAAAAATATTCAATGAATGTATTGACCTCAGGATAAAAAGCAACCTTTTTATTAGCTTTCAAAGCAAAGTTCTTCAAAATTTGGCTTCACTCAATTTGTTAAATAAAGTTTATTACTATAAAAGATTCACTTATTATTTTTTAAATAAAATAAAACAAAACAACCTCCCACAAACACAAAGCTACTTCTTGTTTCCAAGTCTGAGTTTTTTCTTTTGCTCACTAACTCTCCTTTTTCTATCAAAATTCTACTTACTATTCATGTAAGTATTTTTTTAAATGTTGAGATGCCTCTCTTCATAAGGCATCTGCCAAGGCTCAGAACACCATGAGAGTGCCACACCCCAGAACAGGACTCTTGCTGGCCGTCTAAGAACCACCTATCAGTCAGAGCATCTCCTTTCCAGCCTCTGATAAAAGCTTACTCTCTTTTGAGTCTCACTCCATCAGGCAATATGATTTTCTCCTCTTCCTTATTGATGTCATTTATTGATTACTTGATCATTTCCCTTTACCCTTTGAAGTCTTTTAGATGATGAACATTCCCAATTGTCCTCTTCGGTTTATCTCCTGTCATAGCTGAAGCCAGTGCACTTGTAGAAAGCAATCAAGTTTTAAAATTCTAGCCTTCTTTTTCTTCAGTTAATTTTATCTCTACTCTGTCATTCATTTTCAAAGCTCCATTATGAATTGTTTCAATACATGAATGTATGAAGATCTTAATTTTATATATCTTACCATGACCAAAATCTCTTCTCTGTTAAGATTCTCTTCATGCTTGTTACTACTATAACCGCTCTTAGAACTCTCTAGTCTCTGGATTTCTGCCATTTTCTCCCATCATCTAACCTCCTCCAGGCACTTTACCTTTCTTATTCAGTCTCACTCAATGGAAAGACAAGTGTATGATCTTTTTCCCACTAAGTAGCCTTGATTTCCTTGAACCCCTATCTTTCCGCTGTACCAGTAGCATCTAGTAATCCAACCCAAAATCAGAGACATAATCCTATTTCTTGAGACCTCTAAGTAGGTGGTTGAAGGCTAACAGCTCAACCCATACATTCATGCGATTTCGTACTGCTCAATTTTATGAACTTAGCACTGTGCATATTTTTTCCCCATGACTTTGGTTAGCTTTCTTTCTCTGGCCCTTCTATATTTGTTTATGATATTTTATATACATGTAATCATGCAATATGTGATCTTTTGTGAGTGGCTTCTTTCATTTAACATGATGTTTTCAAGGTTCATCCTTGTTGTCGGGTGTATTGGTAAATGATGCAATTGCTGGTTATATGGAAACTCTATGTTTTGAGGAGGAGTCAGTGTTTTCTAAACTGGCTGCATCATTTTACAATCTCAGCAGCAATGTATGAGTATCCCAATTTCTCCATCTGCTCACTAACACATGTTATTTGCTATCTTTTGATTCATCATTCTAGTGGGTGTGAAGTGTTGCCTTACTGTGTTTTTTATTTGCATTTGATGTCTAATAATGTTGAGCATCATTTCATATATTTTTGGTCATTATATATCTTGAAGAAAAGTCTATTCAGGCCCTTTGCCCATTAACAATTTTTTAATTGACATATAATCAATGTACATATTTTGGGGGTACCTGTGATAGTTTAATACATTCATATAATTTGTAAAAATCAAATCAGTGTAATTGGAATATCAATCACCTTTAATATTTGTCTTTATGCTAGAAACATGTGAATTATTCTCTTCTAGCTATTTTGAAATATACAGTAGATTATTTTAAACAATAGTCACCTTACCCATCTATCAAACACTAGGTCTTATTCCTTCTATCAAACTATATATTTGTACCCATTAACCAATGTTTTTTCATCCCCTTTCCCCTCTTACCTTTCCCAGGTTTTGGGAACCATCAGTGTACTTCTATCTTCATAAGATCTCTTTCGTAGGGCCCACATATGAGTGATAACATGTGGTATTTGCCTGTCTGTGCCTGGCTTATTTTACTTAATATAATGACCTCTAGTTCCAACCATGTGCTGGAAATGTCAAGATTTTATTCTTTTTTATGGCAGAATAATATGGCATTGTGTATATATATCACATTGTCTTTATCCATTCATTTACTGATAGGCACTTAGGTTAATTTCTTATTTGGGCTATTGTGAGTAGTGCTTTAGTAAACATGAGAATGCACATATCTCTTCATTAAATGGATTACTTTTCTTTTGGATATATACGCAGTAGTGGAATTGCTGGATCATATGGTAGTTATATTCTTGCTTTTTTGATGAACCTTCATACAGTTCTCTATAGTGGCTGTATTAATTTACATTCCCACCAACATTGTACGAGGCTTCCTTTTCCCCACATCATCTCCTGCATCTGTTGGGCCCAATCTTTTTGATAAAAGCCACTTTAACTGGAGTGAGATGATATCTCATTATGGTTTTAATTTGCATTTCCCTGATGATTTGTGATATTGAACATTTTTTCATATACCTGCTGGTCATTTATATCTCTTCTTTTGAGAAATGTTTATTCAAATCTTTTGTCAATTTTTAAATTAGATGATTTATTTCTTTGCTATTGAGTTGTTTGAGTGCCTCATATATTCTTATCAATAGTTCCTTGTCAGATGGATAGTTTGCAAATATTATCTCCCATTCCCTAGATTGTCTGTTTACTCTATTGTTTTCTTTGGTGTGGAGAACTTTTAAGCTTAACATAATCCCATTTGTATATTTTTGCTTTGGTTGCTTGTGCTTTTGACACAAAAAATCCTTTGCCCAGAACAATGTCTTAGAACATTTCTCCAGTGTTTTCTTCTAGGAGTTTCATTGTTCTAGGTCTTACATTTAAATCTTCAATCAACTTTGATTTGATTTTTTAATATAGTGAGAGATAAGGATCTAGTTTCATTCTTTTGCATATGGTTATCCAGTTTTCTCAGCGCCATTTATTGAAGAGACTGTCCCTTCCCCATTGTATGTTCCTTATGCTTTTGTAGAAAATCAGTTGGCTATAATTGTGTGGATTTATTTCTGGGTTCTCTGTTCTCTTCCATTTGTCTATATGTCTGTTTTTATGTCAGTACCAAACTGATTTGGTCACCATAGCTTTGTAGGATAATTTGAAATCAGGTAGTATGACACCTCCAGCTTTGTTCTTTTTGCTTAGGATTGCTTTGGTGATTTAGGGTCTTTTGTAGTTCCATATAAATTTTAGGGTTGTTTTCTATTTCCATGAAAACTGTCATTTATATTTTATAGGGATGAATCTGTAAATTTAGAATTGTCATGATAACAATATTAATTCTTCCAATCAATGAACATGGAACATCTTTCCATTTTTTCTGTGTCCTCTTCAATTTTATTCATCAGTGTTTTGTAGTTTTCCTTGTAGAGATCTTTCACTTTTTGATTAAATTAATTGCTATGTATTTTATATTTTTCGTAGCTATTGTAAGTGTACTTGTTTTCTTTTTTGAGGCAGGATCTGGCTCTGCTGCCCAGGCTGGAGTGCTGTGGTGCTATCTCAACTCACTGCAACCTCAACCTCTGCCTCCTGGGCTCAAGCAATCCTTCCACCTCAGTCTTCTGAGTAGCTAGGACAACAGGTACATGCCACCATGCCTGGCTAATTTTTGTAATTTTTGTAGAGATGGGGTTTCACCACATTGCTCAGGCTGGTCTCCAGCTCCTGAGCTCAAGCCATCTGCCTGCTGCAGCCTACTAAAGTGCTAGGATTACAGGTGTGAGCTACCATGCCCAGCCATGATTGCTTTCTTGATTTCTTTTTCAGATTGCTTGCTATTGGCATATGTATATATCTGTGTGGGTATATGTGTGTGTGTGTGTGTGTGTGTGTGTGTATGCTACTGTTTTTTAAATGTTGATTTTTTATTTTGCTACTTTACCAAATTTATTAGTTCTAAGAGTTTTTTGTTGGATAGTTCAGATTTTTCTTAGTATAAGATCATGATTTCTGCAAACAAGGCTAATTTATCTTCTTCCTTTCTAATTTGGATGTTCTTTATTTATTTATTTATTTTTCTTTCATAATTGCCCCTGCCAGGACTTCCAATATTATATTGAATAATAGCCTTTTTCTAGAGGAAAGGCTTTCAATTTTTTCTCTTTCAGTACTATGATATCTATGGGTTTTACATATGGCCTTTACTATTTTGAGGCATGTTTCTTCTATGTCCAATTTGTTGAAGGTTTTTATCATAAAGGAATATTAAATTTTATCAAGTGAGGCCTATTAGATCTAGTGTGTAGTTGAACTCCTGTGTTCCTTTATTGATGAAATAAATATGTGGAAAATTTGTTCATTACTGAGAGTGGGGTGTTCAAATCCCCTATTACTATTGTATTTAATCTATCTCTCCCTTTAGACTTATTAATGTTTGCTTTATATACTTGAGAGCTCCAGTGTTGGATCCACAGATATTTATAATTGTTACATTGTCTTGCTGGATAGACCCCCTTTTCATTACATTGTGACCTTTATCTTTTTTTTCACAATCTTTGATTTGTAGTCTATTTTCTCTGATATAAGTATAGCTACTTCTGGTCTTTCTTGGTTTCCAGGTGCATGAAATATCTTTTTATACCTCTTTGTTTTCAGTATATGTGTGTATTTATAGGTGAAGTGGGTTGCTTGAGAGTAGTATAGAGCTAGGTTTTGTTTCTTTATCCATTCAGCCACTGTATGCCTTTTAATTGTCAATTTGAGTCCATTTACATCCTATGATGTTAGCAATAAGTAAAGACTTGCTACTGCTATTTTATTGCTTGTTTTCTGGTTAGTTTATAACATTTATCTTTCTTCCTTTCATACTGTCTTCCATTGTGGTTAAGTGATTTTCTCTGGCAGTATTTACTTTTTATTTTTAGTGAATTACTTTTTATTTTTAGTGAATATATTATAGTTTTTCTGCGTTGTGATTACTGTAGGCTTATACAGAACATCTTATAGATATAACAAATTATTTTAAAAGGATTACAACTTAGCTTAAATCCTAAGAAAATAATAACAACAATAAAAAGATTTTGAATATCCTCTGTACTTGAACTCAATTTACCCCACATTTTGACTTTATGTTGTCTCAATTTACATGTTTTTATATTGCCTATCTCCTAACTGGTTGCTGTATGTGTTATTGTTTTTGATAGATTTGTCTTTTTGGCCTCATACTAGAGTTATGAGTGAATTGCCCACCACAATTACAGTATTAGAGTATTCAGGGTTTTCTTGTACACTTAATTTTTCCAGTGTGTTTTACACCTTCAAATGTTTTCTTTTTCTATATTAGTGATTTTTTTATTTCAGATTGAAGAACTCTTTTCAGCATTTCTTGCAAAATGAGCCTGGTGGTGGTGAATTCTGTCAGCTTTTGTTTATCTGGGAAATACTTTAGCTCTCCTCCATAAAAGGATAGCTGTGCTGGATACAGTTTTCTTGAATGGCAGTTTAGTTTTTTCTTTCACTACTTTGAAAATGTTGATCCACTTTCTACTGACCTGTATGGTTTCTGTTGAGAAGTTTGTTGCCAGATACATCAAAGACCCTTTATTTGTTATTTCCCTCTCTTTTCTTGCTGCATTTAGGATCCTCTCTTTGCCCTTAATCTCTGAGTGTTTGATTATTATACGCCTTGAATTAGTCTTACTTGTACTAAATTTGTTTGGTATTCTCTGAAGCTCCTGTATCTGAATATTTCTCTCTTTCAAGTTTTGAAAAGTTTTCTGTTATTATTTCTTTAACTTAGCTCTCTACCTCTTATTCTTGTTCAACTCTCTCTTGAACACTAATAATGCTTAGATTTAGTCTTTTGAGGTAATTTTCTATATCTTGTAGGTGATCTTCATTCCTTTTATTTTTCTCTTTTTCCTCTGACTGTATATTTTCAAATAGCCTGTGGTCGAGCTCACTGATTCTTTCCTCTAGCTTAATCACTTCATCTGTTGAGAGCTTCTTTTTTTTAGTTCGTGTTTCTGTCCTCTGTTTGCTTTTTAAAAATTATTTTAATCTTGTTAAATTTCTCTGATAAGCCCCTGAATTGCTTTTCCGTGTTACCTTAAAGATTACTAAGTTTGACTAAAGCTGCTATTTTTACCCTTTGGTTACAGAGTTCACATATTGCCATCTAATTAGGGTCAATCATTGGTTCTTTGCATTGTCCATTTGAGGAGGTCATGGTTCCCTGTTTGCTGTTGTTTCTTGTGGATGTAAATCTATGCCTTTGCACTGAAGGATTAGTTATTTATGCCAGTCTTCCTTGTCTGGCTTGTTTTGGTTTTTATTAGATATGCTTGCTTAGATTTTTTTTGTAATTTCTTTGTTGATTTTCTTTCCTTTAAAATATTTTTCCAGTAGAGTGCTGTCTCATTTATGACACTAAACAGCACCTTAAGCCAAGGTTTGCCTTGATTCTAGTAAACAGTGCTGCCTGTCCCAAATTGGGGAGGCCCCAAAGGGGATATCCTGGTAGTGTTGTAAGATTGCTGAAGAGTTCTTGCTCAGGAGACTGTGGAACAAACCTCCTACAGTCTCTAATTTGACATCTTCCTTGGCTGAATCACAGAAAGGAGTTTTCAGGGCTGGGGATGGTAGTTTCACCTCCCCTCTTTTTTTCTGGCTGTCCTCAGGGCTATTTCTCCCTTTATGCACTCTTGATGCTTTCCATGGGTTGAGGCAGAGACAGGTCTCCTGTCAGGAAACCCAAGATGTGGGGAGAGCTGGATGTCCACATTAATCTCACTTTTTCCAGTGTAGAAACTGTGAGTTTATGAGAAATTTTCTGCATGCTTGGTGTGGGGCAATTTGGAGAGAGGGGCATTGTGAATATGGGAGTTAGATTTACTTAACATTTGCTTGGAGTTTTTAAATTTCTCTGTGGTCCTGGGAACTGTCTCATCCCTGTATTTGAGTTCTGGAATACTGCTGGTGGTAATATCAGTACTGTGTATTTGTTTCTGGTTTTCTTTGGGAAGTGGTGGGGTGGGGGGAAATGAAGCCAGCCTTCTATGTCACAACTTTGGAACCAGTTTGATTTCTCATTTTAAATAGGGTTATTGTCTTTTTATTACTGAATTGTATAAAATTTTTATATATTCTAGATACAAATCCTTTGTCAGATATATAATTTACAAACATTTTCTCCCATTCTGTGGGTTATCTTGATGGTCGTCTTTGAAGTATAAAATTAATTTTTAAAGTTCAGTACATTTATTTTTTCTTTTGTTGCTTATAATCTTAGTTTTATATATAAGACACTATCGATAAACCCAAGGTCATAAAAATTATTTCTAAGTATTCTTCTAAGAATTTTGTAATTTTTAGCTCTTACAATTCAGTTTATAATATATTTTGGGTTAATTTGTATGTATAGTATGAGCTAGGGGGTCCAAGTTCTTTCTTTGGTTATCCAGTTGTCTTAGGATTATTTGCTAAAAATATTATTCTTTCTCCATTGATATTCTTGGCATCTTGTGAAAAATCAGTAATGTAGGGGTTTATAATAGAATATCACATTCTATTCCATTTATCTACATGTTTATCATATAAGCTTCCTACTGGGGTGTTAACAAATTGCCACAAACTTAATGACTTAAAATAACACAAATTTATTATCTTAACAGTTATGGAGGTCAGAAGTCTGAAATAGTTTCACTGGGCTAAAACCAAATTGTTTGCAGGCTGTGTTCATTCTGGAGGCCCTAGGACAGCCATGCCTTTTTTATCTTCTATAGATTGCATGCATTCCTTGACATATGGCCATCTTCCATCCTCAAAGTCAGTAATTGCATTACTCTGACCTCTGCTTCCATTGTCATATCTTCTCTGACTCTCATTTTTCTCCCTTTTTAAATCACATATAAGGACCATTGGGATTACACTGGCCCCACCTGAATAATACAGGACTATTTTCTGGTCTCAATATCCTTCACTTAATAACATCTGTAAATTCTCTTTTGCTTTGTAAAGTAACATATTCCCAGAATCATGGGATTTAGAACATGGACATCTTTGAAGAGGTCATTTTTCTGTCTACCACATATACTTATAAGAGTATCACACTCTTAATTACTGTTATTTTTTTGTAAGTTTTAAAATCAGGAAATTTGAGTTTTCCAACTTTGTTCTTCTTTCTCAAAATCATTTTGGCTAGTCTGTGTTCCTTGAATTTCCATGTGAATTTTAGTGACACTTTGTCAAATTCTACAAAAAAGCTAGCTGGTGTTATGATAGGGATTGTGTTGAATCTATAGATGCTAACAATATTAATTCCTCTACAGGTCTTTCAAGTTAAATCAGTCAGATAAAAATAAAAAAAAGAATTTAAAAAATAAAAAAGTCATGGAGAAGTATGGTATTATGTTAAATGACTGAACCTACAAGTTATACGTATTCCTGAAGAAGAAAAAGTAAAAAGTCTAGAAAACCTATTTGAGAAAAAAAAATGAGGAAAGCTACGATAGTCTTGTTAGTGATGTAGACATCCAGATACAGGATACTCAGAGAACTTCAGGCAGATACATTGCAAGATGAACTTTACCAAGGTATATAATAATCAGACTATCTAAAATCAACATTAAGGAAAAATAATTCTAAAATCAGCCAGAGAAAAATGTCTAATCACCTATCAAGGAAATCTCACTGGACTAACAGCAGGCTTCTCAGGAGAAACTTTACAAACCAGAAGAGATTGGGGTTTTGCTTTTAGACTTCTAAAGGAAAAAACTGTTAACCATGAATTTTGTATTCTGCTAAACTAAGCTTCATAATTGAGGGAGAAATAAAGTCTTTGCAAGACAAGCAAATGCTAAGGGGATTTGTAACAACGGGACTCTACAAGAAATGCTCAAGAAAATTCTAAATGTGGAAACCAAAGGTTGATATTTGCCACCATAAAAACACATGAAAGTATTAACTCACAGGTCTGATAAAACAATCACACCATTGAGACTACAAAGCAACTAGGTAACAATTTCATGACAGGAATAAACCTCACATATAAATATTAATTTTGAACATAAAAGGATTAAAAGCTCCACTTAAAAGATAAAGTGGGCTGGGCGTGGTGGCTCACGCTTGTAATCCCAGCATTTTGGGAGGCTGAGGTGGGCAGATCACTTGAGGTCAGGAGTTCAAGAGCAGCCTGGCCAACATGGTGAAACCCTGTCTCTACTAAAAATACAAAAATTAGCCAGGCATGGTGGCAGGTGCCTGTAATTCCAGCTACTCAAAAGGCTGAGGCAAGAGAATCGCTGGAACTCAGGAGGCAGAGGTTGCAGTGAGCTGAGATCGTGCCACTGCACTCCAGCCTGGGGGACAAGGTCAAGACTTTCTCAAAAAAAAAAAAAAAAAAAAAAGATAAAGATTGGTGGAATGAGTAAACAAACAGGAATCAACCATACACTTCTTATGAGAAACCAACTTTACTGATAAAGACACTTACAGACTCAAGGCAAAGGGGTGTAAAAAGATATTCCATGCAAACAGAAACCAAAAGTGAGCAGGAGTCACCTTACTTATATCAGATATAACAGATTTTAAATCTAAAACAATAAAAAAATTACAAAGGTCATTATATAATAATAAAGGGATCAACTTAAGAAGGTATAACTATCCTAAATATATGTGTACCCAAAACTAGAGTACCCAGATTCATAAAACAAATAGCACTAGACCTAAGAAAGAAGACAGATGGTAATATAACAATAGTGGGGGACTTCATCACCCCACTAACAGCACTACACAGATTATTGAGACAAAAAATTAAAAAAAAAACCACTGGAGTTAAATTGGACTCTAGACAAAATGAACCTAACAGACATTTACAGAAAATATTATACCTAACAACCACAGAATATACATTTTTCTCATTAGTGCATAAAACATTTTCCAAGATAGACCTTATGTTAAGCCACAAAACAAGTCTCAACAAATAAAAAAAAATAAAAATCATACCAAGTATTTTCTCAGACCACAGTGGAATATAACTAGACACCAATTTTAAGAGGAACTCTCAAAAGTATACAAATACAAACAAATTAAACAACTTGCTCCTGAATGATCTTTGGGACAAAGATAGTATTAAGACCCAAATTAAAAATAGGTTTGGAATGGATGAAATTGGAGACAGAGCATACCAAAACCTCTGGGATAAAGCAAAAGCAGGGCTAAGAGGGGGAGTTTATAGAGTTAAATGCCTACATCAAAAAGATAGGTCACAAATTAATAACCTAAAATCACACCTCAAGGAATTATAAAAACAAGAATAAACCAAACCTAAAGGTAGCAAAATAAAATGACAAATATCAGAGCAGAACTAAATGAAATTGTGACCCACAAAACAAAACAATACAAAGCATGAAAAAAGTGAATTTTTGTTCTTTGAAAAGATAAACTAGGTAGATCAACCAAGAAAAGATTCTAATAAGTGCAATCAGAAACTAAAAAGGAAACATTGCAACTGATATCACAGAAGTACAAAAGATCATCAGAGACTACTATGAATACCTCTATGCCCAAAAAATGGAAACTCTAGAGGAAATGGATGAATTCCTGGAAACAGGAAGAAATAAATATTCTGAAGAGATGAATAATGAGTAGAGAGAATGAGCTACTAATAAAATATTTCCCAAAAACAACAACAACTCAGGATCAGATAGATTCACAGCTGAATTCTAACAATACAGAAAGAACTGGTATCAGTTCTACCAAAACTGTTCCAAAAAATTGTGAAGGAGGGATTCCTCCCCAACTCATTCTACAAGGCCAGTATCACCTTGATACCAAGGCCAGGCAAGGACCAAACAAAAGAAAAACTACAGACAAATATCCTCGATGAACATAGTTTCAAAAATCCTGAACAAAATAATAGCAAACCGAATCCAACAGCACATCCAAAAGATAATACACCATGATTGAGTGGGTTTTATTTCAGGGATGCTAGGATGTTTCAACACATGCAAATCAATAAATGTGATTCACCACATAAATAGACTTAAAAACAAAGACCATATGATCAGATCATCTCAATATATGCCAAAAAAACATTTGAGAAAATTTAGCATCCCTTCATGTAAGAAATTCTCAATGAACTAGGCATGGGAGGAACATACCTCAAAATAATAAAAGCCATGTACTGTTGGGGTGATCAGACCCAACACCAGGTCGTGGGGGTGACAAAGTCCGGCCGAGTCAAAGGAATGAGAAAAGACAGTGTGAAACAGAAAGTGGGTCCAGGGGTCAACGCGAGTATGGAGGCTGTGAAGGCCCCGAGCTCTGGAAGCCCAGACTATGTATAGTGATCAAACAAAGAAATGGGTGTTGAGAATGTGGGGGTGAAAGGGCAACCACATGACTGATCTACAGCTGTGATGGTTTAGCATTTCCCCTTGAGGCCTATGGAACATGTTCTGCTACTTGAGATAATGGGAGCATGTTCTTCTAGTTTAAGCTAGAAGCAAGGGGCCAGCAAGTCTAGACTCATTCCAGAAGCCATGAGGGGTTTTATGCCCTGAGCCCTGGACATTATGTCAGACATGCAAGCCCTGCCTCAGCCTTTTTTTCCCAAAACTCAGCCTTTTCCCAACATGCCCCCCTTCTCTTTTTTGTAAAACTGCCACAGCTGTCATTATTACTAGCATAAAAGGTGGCCTCTTTTTGTTTTTAAATTAATTGAGCAAGGCAATTGCAGGCTGTGCAGCCCTTAATTGCAGGTTGGTGATACAGCTTCATTTTTCTTAGCCCTTATTAAAAATGGAGTCACTCTGGTTTGAATGCTTCCCAGTTCCCACATATCTCCCCTTTCCGTTTTACAAGAGGACCCTTAATCCTAGGGGTTGCAGAAGGATGAATGTCCATCTTCTGTAACTTCTTCATGCTGAATAGGGGCGATGATATTCCTGGCCTAACTAATTAGGGTCTCTTGTATTCAGGGTAGAGAGGAGCTCAGTCAGAAAGCATTGGTCTTTTAAGCATCTATAGGTAAAACCCTGGTGCTCCAGCAGTTTCTCAGCTTCCTGTGCAGTTTTCTTGATCTGTCCCTATGTTATGGGGGTTGCACCCGCATGGTTTGTTCATCTCCTGCAAAAACACAAGCATACCCTCAACCCCACATTAGTAAATCTAGTGAAACAGAAGCAAAAACTTCTGTGGTTATAGGTGGGAGGCATGCCATTGCTGAAGCATTTGTTAACTCAGCTTCTGCCTCTTTGGTTACTTACCATGAGGTAAAACTTTCCACTAATAATGAGAAACAGGTCCCTTCTAACAGAAGGCACAGAGAAAGCAAATCAAGTGTTCTCAAACCTTCAATTTGCACTGTGCAGGTGGGTCCACTAGATGCTGTGGCTCATGATAGATCTTCAGATGTTTAGTGGGCACCCACACAGGCACCTGATTGTCACCTGGAGAGACACAAGAAAATCCTCTTCCCCATATAATTATCTTTCCTTTTTTCCAACTCTTTGTATGTACATCCCTCCACCATATATCTTGTCCAGCCTTTTTATTTTCCTTTTGTCCTGTCAGGTGTTGTTCCGCTGCAGTTATGGGTTGATTTTTTTGTAAATTTAAAAAATTTAATGTTAATAAAGCTAGATGCAATTGATGCATATGCAGTGTTTTATATTCTGCTCTCCTCCCTTTTGCTTTTGTATTTGAGTTTTTAAAGTATGATTAGCTCTTTCCACTATTGCCTGTCCTTGTGAGTTATATGGAATACCCGTAGTATGGGTAATATTCCACTGTTGAAAAAATGTAGCCATGGCTTTACTACAGTATCCTGGGCCGTTATCAGTTTTGATTTTTTCTGGGATTCCCATGACAGAAAAGCAAGATAAAAGATGTCTTTTAATACGAGCTGTAGCCTCTCCTGTTTGACATGTGGCCCAGATAAAATGTGAATAGGTATCTACTGAAACATGAACAAAGGACAATTTTCCAAAAGCAGGAATATGTGTTACATCCATCTGCCAGATGGAAGTTAGAGATAAACCTCTAGGGTTAACTCCTGTTCCTTGATGTGGCAGATGCAGGACTTGGCAGGCATAACAGTGTTGCACCATTTCTTTAGCTTGTTTCCATGATAAACCATATCTTTTTCTAAGGCCTGCAGCATTAAGATGGGTTAAAGAATGGAATGTTTGTGCATCAGCAAAGACAGCAGACACCAATGCATCCTCCTTTTGATTAAGTTTAGTTAAACGGCCAGGGAGGTTAGTATGTGCTTTCATATGAGTGATATAGAAAGGTGAATGCCTTTGTTGTACTACTTACTGTAAATAATGAAATAAAAGATTAAGTTGTTCATCAGTCACATTTTGAATTAAGGCACATTCAATATTTTGCATGGCTTGTACTACATAGGCTGAATCAGAAAAAATGTTTACTGGCTGTTTAAAAGTTTTTAACACTGTTATCACAGCCATAAGTACAGCCCTTTGAGCAGAAGCAAAATCAGTTTGCAAAACTTGTTGTTGAGGTCCTGCAAATAAGGCTTTTCCATTACTAGATCCATCCGTAAAAACAGTAATGGCCCCTTCAATAGGGGCTTTCTGAGTAATAGAAGGCAATATCCAGGATGTTAATTTTAGAAACTGGAAGATTTTAGACTTAGGATAATGATTATCAAGAATGCCAACAAAACTGGCCAAATTAACCTGCCATTCTTGGGAATTAATATAGGCTTGTTGAATTTGTTGTTTAGTTAATGGACCTATAATTGATTTGGATCATATCCCATTAGCTTTGTTGTGCACAGCCTCGCTTGTCCTACTAGCACAGCAATTTGATCTAAGTACAGAGTGAGCATTTTGGTTGTATTGTGAGGTAGAAAAAGCCACTCCACCAGATCATCCTGTTGAACTATAACTCCTGTAGGCAAATGCTTAGTAGGAAAAACTAAAAACTCTAATGGCTGTATCAGATGAGTTTGTTCTACTTGTGCTTGCTGAATTTTTTCCTTAATTAATTGAAGTTCCTCCGATGCTTTTTTGGACAGGGAGCATTTACTGTTAAGGTTAGAATCACCTCATGAAGTAGAAAAGAGGTGAGACAGCATAGGTAGGAATGCCTAAAGTTGGATGAATCCAATTAATGTCTCCTAATAATTTTTGAAAATCATTTAAGGTTTTTAAATTATCTCTTTGAATTTGAACCTTTTGAGGCTTAATAGCACTTTGTTCTATTCTAAATATTGAAAGGGAATAGAAGTTTGGATTTTTATTGGGGGCTATAATCTGCTGCATTTACAGTCTTTTCTAACTGTTTGTAGCACAACATCAATTCTTCCCTAGTTTCAGCTGCACACATGTATTCAGCTTCCCTAGTTTCAGCTGCACACCATGTAATGGATAATATAACATTTTTTAAACTCTTCTATAACTGGCTTAATAGCTTTCCCAATATGAGTTTGACAAATAATCGGGCTACTTAGCATGCCTTGTGGTAGTACTTTCCAATGGTATCTGTTCTTTATTATTTACGGCAGGAACATTAAAAGTGAATTTTTCATACTCTTGGGCAGCTAAAGCAATGGTAAAAAAAACAGTCCTTTAGATCTATTGCTATAAGAGGCCAGTAGTTTGGAATCATTGTTGGGAAGGGCAGCCCTGATTGTAGCTCACCCATTGGTTGAATTACAGCATTAACAAAGTCTGTTAGCATTCTCCATTTACCAGATTTTTTCTTAATGACAAATACAGGAAAATTCCAAGGGGAGAAAGTAGGCTCTATATGTCCCTTTTGCAATTGTTTCTGCACCAGTTCTTTTAAAGCCTCCAGTTTTCCTGTTTCAGTGGCCATTGTTCCACCCAAACCAGTTTGGCAGCTAGCCAAACAAGAGGAATGGGAGCCAGAGGCTCAACAATGGCCACTCCTAAAAATGACACCCCAATCTGGTCTGATCTGTTTGTCTTTTTAATTCTAAAGATTCTGATTGGCCATTTTAATTTTTTCCTAGTCCTTCTCCCAGGTGATATCCCATATTTTTCATCATTTGTCTACTATTATTACTATATTGATCCATAGGAATAGATATTTCAGCATCCCATTGTTGCAATAAGTCCCTACCCCATAAATTGACAGGAATAGGTGTAATAATAGGCTGAATTGTCCCTTCCTGGTCATCCGGCCCTTGACATGGTAAAATCAAGGAACTTTGAAAACCTCTGGGGCTGTTCCTATGCAAATGATACCCATGGAAGCCTTTTGTCTGGACCAGTGTCGGAGTCATTGATTTAGAGCAATAATAGAGAAATCAGCTCCAGTATCTACTAGTCCTTCAAAATCCTTTCCCTGAATAGTTATGGTACAAACAGGTCTTTTGTCAGACACTTGATTAACCCAATATACAGCCTTTCCTGCTGGATTAGTACTACCAAAGCCTCCTATTCTTTTCACTGTGCTGCTTCCTAGTTTTATGTAAGGTCACAGCAACAACTGATCAATTCTTTCTCCTGGGGAGGCAGACCATGGGGTCAAGGAACTAATAGCTAGTTGAATTTCTCTAGTATAATCAGAGTCAATTATTCCCGTATGCACTGTGACACCTTTTAAATTTAGACTAGACCTTCCAAGTAATAGATCAATTGTTCCTGAGGGTGAGGGTTCCCTAAATCCCGTGGGGACCTTCTTTGGTGGCTCCCCAGGAAGTAAGGAGGCGGGAATTGTGCTGCAAAGGTCTATGGCAACACTGCCTGCTGTGGCGGGGGACAATTGTTGTACATTTGTAAGCGCACTGGCTGTGCCGGGTATGCCTCGGTTTGTTGAGGGGCCCAAGGCGGGCCCCTATTCCTGCTTCCCAAAAGAGGTTGTTCATGTTTGCTAAATTTAGAACGACACTGATTTGCCCAGTGATTGCCTTTTTTACAATGGGAGCATACACCAGGGCTTTTCTGTTGATTGATGATAATAGTCCTTGCATTTTGATTTCCTCTTCTACATTCCTTTTTTGTGTGTTCAAATTGCCCACAATTGAAGCAAGAGCCTGAGAAATGGGGCATATTCTTTCCAACTCTTAATTCAGCCATAGCCTGAGCTAAAAGAGTAGCCTTATGTAAGTTACCTCCAATGCCAACGCAAGCCTTCATATATTCAGCTAAATGAGTTTTCTCTCTCAGGCATCTAATAGCAATTTGACATTCTGCATTAGCATTATCATATACAAGAAGCTGTATTACAACATCCTGAGCTGTTTTATCAGTTATGGCTTTATACACAGCCTCTTGGAGCCAAGCAATAAAATCAATATATGGTTCTTTAGGTCCTAGTTGGACAGAACTGAAAGAAGGGTATTTTTCCCCTGTAACATTTATCCTTTCCCATGCCTGTAAGCACACAGAGCCAGCTGTTCAATGGCAAAATCCTCCATTACTGCTTGATTTTCTAATCAACTCCAATTAGGGCCAACTCCCATGAACTGTTCAAAGGAAACAGGCACAGGTGGCTGTGCTTGTGGGTTTTCCCTTGCCTGAGATTGAGCTTCATCAGCCCACCAGGTTTTAAACTGCAAGTACTGAGATTGAGTGTGAATAGATTTTTTCAAAGTATCCCAATCATGTGGTATTAACCTTTTATCAAGAGCCATATTTTTTAACAAAGTTTGCACAAAAGAAGAGTTTGGCCCATATTGACTAATGGCTTGCTTGAATTCCTTTAACAATTTAAATGGAAAGATGGCCCAATTAGCTATATTCTGTCCTCCTTGCTGGATTATAGTAACAGGAAATTGCCATGCTTCAAGGTCTCCCTCAGCTCTAGCCTTTTGAATAGAATTTTGTATAGCACCACCAATTGCTCCAGGTTTTAATGTTGCAACTACAGGAGCTATAAGTTTTTCATCTAATTCATTTTCTCACCTATTAAGGGGAGAGAGAGGAGGTGGCCATTCACTTAATTCAGCAAGTGGAGCCGACGGGCTAGTAAAACATACTTTTTTCAGTTTTCCTTTCTTTTCTTTAATTTCCTCCAGTTTCTGTTCCTCACATTCAGAATCTGAAGTTAGTTTTTTACACTTGTCCTCCTCTTCCTCATCTGAATCTGCCTTATCATCTGTTTGAAATGGCTCAAGAGCTGCCTTTATTAGCATCCACGTTGACCAAACAGAAACTGGAATTTTTGCTCCATCTTTATACGTCTTTTTAAAATCTCTGCCAATTCTCTCCCATTCATCCAACTCCATAGTCCCTTTTTCTGGGAACCATGGGCAAAACTGCTTTACTGTACTAAAGACTGATAATAAATTCTGAGTACTAACTTTCACTCCCCCTCTTTGTAGTAAATGCCTTAAGAAATTTAAATAAGCAGAATGTTTGCTTTCACTTTGTCCCATTGTTACCCTGGTTCTTCTGAGCACTCAGCTTTCCCACTGAGCTTCCTTTAATCATCCTCAGGTGTCCTTTGATGATGTGTCCTCTGCTTTTACATGCTCTAGCCTTCCTTCACTGGGGTCTTTGTCGCCGCACGTTGGGCACCAGGAATGTTTGGGTGATCAGACCCAACACCAGGTCGTGGGGGCAATGAAGTCCAGCGGAGTCAAAGGAATGAGAAAAGACAGTTTGAGAGAGAAAGTGGGTCCAGGGGGCCAACGTGAGTATGGAGGTTGCAAAGACCCCGAGCTCTGAAAGCCCAGACTGTTTACTGGTGATCAAACAAAGAAACAGGTGGTGAGAATGTGGGGGTGAAAGGGCAAGTAAATGATCTACAGCTGTGATGGGTTAGCATTTCTTTTGAGGCATATGGAACATAACATGTTCTGCTACTTGAGATAATGGGCAGCATGTTCTTCTAGTTTAAACTAGAAGCAAGGAGCCAGCAAGTCTAGACTCATTCCAGAGGCCACGAGGAGTTTTATGCCCTGAGCCCGGGACATTATGTCAGACATGCAAGCCATGCCTCAGTTTTTTTTCCCAACACTCAGTTTTTTCCCAGTGTTGTACAACAAAGCCACAGTCAAAGACTATGAGCTGGAGCAAGACAAGGATGCCCACTGTAACCACTCCTATTCAACATAGTACTGGAATTCCTAGTCAGAGCAATCAGGCAAGACAAAACAATAAAAGATGGCTGGACACAGTGGCTCACACCTGTTATCTCAGCACTTTGGGAGGCTGAGGTGGGTGGATCGCCTGAGGTCAGGAGTTTGAGACCAGCCTGGAAAACATGGTGAAACTCTGTCTGTACTAAAAATACAAAAATTAGCTGGGCATGGTGGCGGACACCTGTAATCCCAGCTACTCAAGAGGCTGAGGCAAGAAAATTGCTTGAACCTAGGAGGCGGAGGTTGCAGTTAGCTGAAATCATGCCATTGCACTCCAGCCTGGCAACAAGAGCAAGACTCTGTCAAAAAAAAAAAAAAAAAAAAGCATCCAAATTGGAAAAGAGGAAGTCAAATTATCTCTGTTCTCTGAGAATATGATTTTATACACCCAAAAAAACCCAAAGATTCCTCCATAAGACTCCTAGATTTGATAAATAAATTTAGTAGAATTTCAGGATACAAAATCAACATAAAAAAATTAGTAGCAGTTCTATACAACCCTTCATGTATAATTCAATTCCTTTCACAATAGCTACAAAAAAATTGCTAAGAATACATGTAACCAAGAAGTTAAAATATCCCTGCAAGGAGAATTACAAACACTGATGAAAGAAATCATAGATAACATAAGCAAATGGAAAAATATTCCATGTTCATGGATTGGAAGAATCAATATCTTTAAAATCACCATACTTTCCTAAGCAGTGTACAATTAATGCAATTTCTATCAAATTATCAATGTCATTTTTCACATATCTAGAAAAAACAATCCTAAAATGAATAAGGAACCAAAAAAGAGCCTGAATAGCCAAAGAATTCCCAAGCAAAAAGAACAAAGCTGGAGGCATCACATTACCTGACTTCAAATTATATTGCAAGGCTATAGTAATCAAATACCATGATGCTGGTATATAAATAGACATATAGATCAATTGAACAAAATAAGGAACCCAGAGATAAAGCCACATACCTACAACCAAGTGATCTTTGACAAAGCAGGCAAAAACATACACTATGGAAAGACACCCTATTAAATAATTGGTGCTGGGAAAATTCAATAGCCAAATTAAGAAGAATGAAACTGGACCCATACATTTTACCACATATAAAAATTGCTAAAACTGGATTAAAAACTTAAATTTTAAGACCTGAAAGTATAAACATTCTAGAAGAAAACCTAGGAAAAATTCTTCTGGTTGTGGCCTAGGGAAATAATTTATGATTAAGACCTCAAAAGCAAATGCAATAAAAACTAAAATAGTTTTTTGATATTTGAACCTGTGATATCTCTCCATTTATTTAGATTTCTCTCAGTTTTTTCTACAATACAAATAGTGTTCAGTGGACAAGTCCTGCATTTCTCTGTTAAATTTATTCCCATTTCTATCCTTTTAATGTTATGGCAAATAATTGTTTTCATAATTTCATTTTGGAATTGTTTATTGTTAGTGAATATAAATACAATTTACATTTGTGTATTAATCTTATACCCTAAATCCTTGCTGATATTGTTTCTTAGTTATAAGAGTTTTTCAGTGGTTTTAGAATTCTGTCTCTTCGAATGTATATATATATTCAAATATATGTATATATACACATCCATATGTGTGTATATATATATAAAATATATATTTTATATATATATTATTTATTCTGTCCATGATGGCACATAGTTGTTTAAGTCCTTAAAATTATTTTTTCTTATTACATATTGAAGTATAATTTATATATAGTAAATTACTCATATTTTCAGTGTACCATTCTGAATTTTGATAAATGCTAAAAAATGGGTACACATGGCCATACAGAGTGGAAAAAGAAACATTGGAGATACCAGAGGGTGGGAGGGTGGGAGGGCTTTGAAGGTGGAAAGTTTACCTATTGGATGCAATGTTCACTGTTTGGTAATGGGTACACTAAAAGCTCAGCCTTCACTATGCAATATATTCATGTACTTGTATCCCCTAAATCTATAATCACAGAAACTGACCTTATGCCTTTTCCAGTTTGCCCTCTTCCCTCTGTCCAAAGTAAATATTTTGATTTTAAACATTATAGATAACTTATGCCTATTATTGAACTAAATGTAGCTTGAATAAAAATTGTGTACCCTTGTGTCTGACTTCTCTTGATCAACAACATGTTTTTGAGAGTCATCCATGTTGTTTGAAATATCAGCAGTTTGTTTTTTGTTATTGCTAAGTAGTGTTTCATTGTGTAGTTGTTTTCCAGTTGATAGATATTTGTGCTTTTTAGTTTTTGACTAGAACAGAGCTGCTGTATATGAAGATTCATTTATCATGGGCACAGGTTGACTATCCTTTTTCTAAAGCGTTTGGAACCAGAAGTGTTTCAGATTTTGAATTTTTTTCAGATTTAGGAAAATTTTTGTTATACTTACTGGTTGAGCATACCTAATTAAAAAATCTGAAATCTGAAATAACCCAAATGAGCATTTCCTTTGAATGTCATGTCAATACTCAAAAAGTTTTGGATTTTGGAGCATTTCAGATTTCAGATTTTTGGGTAAAGGATACTTAACCTGTAATTGCCTAGGTGTGAAATCACTGGGTTATAAAGTCAATGCATTGGTTCCTGTATAAAAAACTGCCCACATGTTTTCTGAAGTGATTGTTACCATTTTGTACCCCACCAACTAAATATGAGGGTTCGGGTTGTTCAAAATACATGCCAGCATTTGGCATTGTCAGTCTTTTTAAAATTGTGATAATTCTAGTGTGTTTGTGGTGGTATCTTTTTATGGGTTTTATCTTAAAAACAGATTTATTGAGATATAATTAATATGAAATAAAATGCACAATTACTAAGTTTAGACATAGGAATACACTTGTGAAATCATGACCACAATCAACATGATTAATATATCCATCATTCTCATGTACAGTTGTAATTCCTCTTTCCTGGCTTTTACCTTCCCCCTCATCTTTAGGAAACCACTGATCTGTCTTCCATTACTATGATTTACAACTGACTCTCCATATTTGTGGATTTTGCATCAGCAGATTTAACCAACTATGGATCAAAAATATTTAAAAAATTAAAAAGTAACAATACAACATAAAAATAATACAAATAAAATATAAAAAATATTTACATAATATTTACATTGTGTTAGGTATTATATAAGTAATCTAGATATGATATATAGTGTATGGGAGGATTTGCATAGATTATATGCAAATACTATGCCATTTTATATAAGGTACTTGAGTATCTGTGGATTTTGATATCTATGGGGGTCCTGGAACCAATCCCCCATGGATACCAAGTCATGGCTGCAGTTTCATTTTCTAGAATTTTCTCTTAATGAAATTATAAGACATCTACTCTATTATTTTCTGGCTCCTTTTTTATTTGCTCAGCATAACTGTTACTAGATTCATTCATGATGTTATATGTATCAGTAGTTTATTCCTTTTTGTTGTTTAGTGGTATTCCATTGCATAGATATATCACAATTTGTTTACCTGTTCATTTATTGATGGATATTGGGGCTGTTTCCAGTTGTTTCTATTGCAAATTAAGTTGCTATGAACATTTATGTACAAGCCTTTTTATGGAGATATACTTCCATTTCTCTTGTATAAATACCCAGGAATGGATTGTTGGGTCATAAAATAGGTATATGTTTAATAGTTTAAGAAATTGCCAAACTGTTTTCCAAAGTGGCTGTACCATTTTGCATTCACAGAAGCAGTTCTTTAGAGTTACAGTTCCTCCACTTCCTTGTCAATGCTTGGTATGGTTAGTTGTTTTAATTTTAGACATTCAGAAAACTATGTATTGGTATCTCACTATGGTTTTAATTTGAATTTCCTAATGATTAATAAAGTTGGATGTCTTTTAATGTGCTATTGGCCATCTATACATCTTCTTTGTTAAAATGCCTATTCAAATATTTTGACCTTTTAAAAAATTGATTTGGGTAGCCAAGATAGCCAACTAGAAGTAGGTAGTGTGTGTGGTTCCCATGCAGAGGAACAGAAGGGGTGAGTAAATACAACACCTTCAAATGAAACATCCAAGTACTTGCATTGGGATTAATCAAGGAAACAACTTGATCCACAGGGAACAAAGAAAAGAAAGACAGGACAATGGCCCACCTGGGAGCAACATGGAAGCAGGGTACCCTCCCCTACCCAGGGAAGTGGTAAGTGAATGAATGACCCTGGGAAACCATGTTTCTCCCAGAGATCTTTGCAACCCTCAGGTCAGGAGGTCTCCTTGTGAACCCACTCCACCAGGGCCTTTAATCTTCAGTCTGACAGACAGAGCTACATGGAGTTTCAACAGAGCAGCCACTCAAGTATACATGGAGACCCTGGAGCCTTGAATACTTGGGCTTTCCAGCAAATGTCACTGCAACTCTAGCAAAGTAGGTTAGACTCCTGTACATACCCCTAGGAAAGTGGCTGAATCCAGGGGGCTAAGCAGCAGCCTGCAGGTCCCACTTTCATGGCACCTCACAAGATGAGACCCAATGGCTTAGAATTCCAGCTAGCTACCAGCAGCAGCATTTCACCTCCCTAAGAAGGAGCTCCCGGGTGGAGGGGTGGGGTGCCATCTTTGCTGTTCAGAAGCCTTAGTGTTCCAGCCTTCAGGCTTTGGAGTGTCTGAGCCAAGCTGGGGTGGAAGGGATCCATCGGCATAGCACAGCTGCTCTACCAAAATGTGGCCAGACTGCAGCTTTAAGTGGGTGCCTGATCCTGTTCTTCCTCACTGGGTGGGACCTCCCAACTAGGGCCTCCAGCTACTGCGGTCCAAGCTCTCCAGATGACAGAGATCTGAAATCCCCTTGAGATGGCACTCCCAGAGGAAGGGGTGGGCCACCATCTTTGCTGTTTTGGGTGACAGAATAGAGATCCTAGAAATAAGGCCACACATCTATGACCATCTGATCTTTGACAAAGCTGACAAAAACAAAAATTGGGGAAAGATTCCCTATTCAATAAATGGTGCTCAGATAACTGGCTAGCCATATGCAGATGATTGAAGCTGGGTCCCTTCCTTACACTATATGCAAAAATCAACTCAAGATGGCTTAAAGACTTAAATGTAAAACCCCAATCTACAAAAACCCTGTAAGACAACCTAGGCAATACTGTCCTGGACCTAGGAACAGGCAAAGATTTCATGACAAAGACACCAAAAGCAATTGCAACAAAAGCAAAAATTCACAAGTGGGATCTAATCAAACATAAGAGCTTCTGCATAGTATAAGAAACTGTCAACAGGGTAAACAGACAACCTACAGAATGGGAGAAAATACTTGTAAACTATGCATCTGACAATGGTCTAATACCCAGCAACTATAAGGAACTGAAACAAATTTACAAGGTAAAAGCAAGCAACCCCATTAAAAAGTGGGCAAAGGACATAAACAGAGACATCTCAGAAGAAGACATACATGTGGCCAACAAGCATATGTAAAAAAGCTCAATATCACTGATCATTAGAGAAATGCAAATGAAAACCATAATGAGATACTGTCTCACACCAGTCAGAATGACTATTATTAAAAGGTCAAAAATAACAGATGTTGATGAGGTTGTGGAGAAAAGGGGACCCTTATACACTGTTGGTGGGAGTGCAAATGAGTTCAACCATTGTGGGAAACAGTATGGCGATTCCTCAAGGAGCTAAAAGCAGAACTGCCATTCATCCCAGTAATCCCATTACTGGGTATATACCCAGAGGAATATAAAGCATTCTACCGTAAAGACACATGCATGCAAATGTTCACTGCAGCACTGTTCACAATAGCAAAGATATGGAATCAAGCTAAATGCCCCCAATGACAGACTGGATAAAGAAAATATGGTACATATACATCATGGAATACTATGCAGCCATAAAAAAGAATGAGATCATGTCTTTTGCAGGAACATGGATGGAGTTGTAGGCTTTCATCCTTAGCAAACTTATACAGGAACACATAACCAAAAACTACATGTTCTCACTTATAATGAGAACTAAAGAGCTAAATGATTAGAACTTATGAACACAAAGAAGGAAACAACAGACACTGGGGGCTACCTGAGGGTGGAGGTGGAGGGAAGAGGAAGAAGAACAGAAAAGATAACTATTGGATACTCAGCTTAATACTTGGGTAATGTAATAATAGGTACAACAAACCCCCATGACACATGTTTATCTATGTAACAAACCTTCACATGTACCCCCCAAACCTAAAATAAAAATTAAAAAATGTATTTATTATTGAGTTTTGAGAATTCTTCACATATTTTGTATACAAATCTTTTATAAAACATGTAATTTGCAAATATTTTCTTGTAGTCTGTTGCATGTCTTTTCATTTCCTTAACAATTCCCTCCAAAGAGCAGAAGTTCTCAATTTTGAGGAATGACTTAACAAGTTTTATTTTATAGATCATGATTTTGGCATTGTGTTTATGAAATCTTGCTAATGCAAGGTCAAAAGATTTTCTTCTAGAAATTTTATAGTTTTGGTTTTACAGTCATTTTTATGATGTATTTTGAGTAAAAATTTCAAAGATTTTTTTTTGTGAGTGGTTGTTTCAGCACCATTTATTAAAAATGTTATCTTTCTTTATACAGAATTGCCTTTATATCTTTGTCAAAAATCACTTGACCACATATGTGTGGATACAATCATGAACTTCATTCTGTTTAATTAATATATTTGGCTATACTTATGCCCCTATTACACTGTTTGATTATAGTAGCTTAATAGTAAATTTTGAAATCAGGTACTATAAATCTACAACCTGGATTTTTATTTTTGGAAACTGTTTTAAAATTGTTTTGCCTACGTTAGGTTCTGTGTATTGGAATAAGAATTTGAATTAGTTTCTGCAAAAAGCCTGCAGTGATTTTTTTTGTATTTATTTTATGATTTTTCCTGTAGGTTTTCTTTTTATATTATCTTTTCTGACTGTTTTTTATCTGGTTCTCCTTTGCAAAACTCTTCCTTTGTAATCACTGAGTCCATTCCATTTCCCTACTTTTACTATTTTCTTGGGCATAGGACTCCATTTTAGTCTTTTTCATCTTTTCCTTAGCTGAGCTCCAATCTCCTTTAATCTAACCCTTTATTTATTCTTTTGCCATTACTCAGTATAAAGAACAAAAATGTAAGACTGCATGAATTTCCCAGAGGATGATATTCTGAGAACAGGAATCCAGGATGGGCTTATAACTTAGCGGCGCTTTCCTTTAAGGCGTTCTTGAATTCTCAAGAGAACTGTGGGTTGTACTCATTTATTCTTTAGGATACATTGCCTCAAAAACCATCCTGGGAAAAAACAGAAGATAAATAATAAATAAAGTATCCTTCTAGTACCAGTCTTTCATTTACCAGGTGTGGTTTAAGGAACTTCTGGTAATCCTGGATATGGGGCATTAAGGCAGATCTGTTATCTATTATTAGGGCCTGGATATAGGAAGCCCATTTTTGGATGGTTTCTTCCCCCTGGGTATCTTGAACTGGGTGTTAAAGAGTGAAACATATGTTTTAGATGTAGAAATTCATGAATAAAATGGCCTTTGGGTAAGCCTAGGTATTTTAAACATCTGGTCCTCAAATGCAGAAATCAACTTTGTGTTTTCTTGATGTAAGAACCATCACGTTGCAGTTAGGGGGAAATTCCAGGACCATAGGAAAAGCATTCTAACTGATCTCATTGTCTTTATTCTGTCCTCAATACTACCATATATTAATATTTTTATTTTCTGATAACATAGGATTGTTTCTCTCTACCTTTGAAAGATTAGTCTTTAACATTCTATTTCCTTCAGAATAATGTTGAATTCTCACCACGTGGCATTAAAAGCCTTTTACCACTTGTTTTCTTTCAACTTCATCACCGTGTACATCTTCTACAGCTCTCTGTTGCAGGCAATGTGGCTATATGTATTTTCATATCTCTCTTTGCTTCTTCAATTTCCTCTGCCTAGAATATCTTTTTTTACTTCTGATTTTTTTTGTATCTTTCAATACTCAGCTCAACCTCTGTAAATTCTAGCCACAAGTTTCTTACAATGCACAATTTCCACTTCTCTGGCTGTTCTTCTGGAAATATAATAGCTAGAATTTACTGTACACTTATGAAAATTTGGGTACTATTAATACCATCACTTTATGGTTAACAGGCACACAACCGGTAAGTGACAGGATTCAATTTTAAGGTTTCTCACTCCAGCACTAATACTTACATAATCTGTGACTCAAGCATGTCTTGTGCCTCTTACTATGACACTTAAAACTGAATGTATTGCATTTTACTTTAAAACATGTTTGCCTTGAGAGTAGAATTGTTTTTCTCTTCCATCAACTGTTTCACAATGCCTTGCAGAGTGCCTTTTATCACAACTATTTGATAAATACAAAATATGCATGGTAAATTCTTTCTAGTTACACCAGACATCCATTCAGACTAGTCTAAACAAAAGGAGAAATCTATAATAAGAAAATCAAGAAATTAAAGGGCCATAAATGAGAAACTGAAAGGTATTAGAAAACAAGGCAACCAAGCCTTCAGATTCTTTCTGGAGTTACATGCTTTCTTGTTTCTCTTTTTAAACACTCCCTGTCTTCCTTTCTTGCTTCCTCTGAGACAGGAAACGGCTGCCCAGCCATGCAGTGACATTGTCTGTGCTCCACTGCCGATAATTGGCTCACTGGCATTCCATGTTCTCAATTTCAATTAATAAAAGAGGAAATCTGAATAGGGCAGGTGCCCATCTTTGGTCTAGGCACCTTTGGTCTAGGCACCTTTAGCCGGAGGACAATGAGAACACTACCAAATGTCCTCATAGTTCTAGAGGCAGTTCTCAGAGAAGGGTAGACCTAAGAAGATACCTCTAAAATAGTATTTAAATAATTTAATGGTCCTATCTTGGTAAGTTCATGATTTATTCGTTCTTTATTATGTGTGATTTTGGTAAGAATATTCTGTTTTGTTGCTTTTTGAGTGAAACAGTGAAAAACAAAAGATGATTTTCTAAATTTTAATTCCAGGGTCTTGCTCTTTAAATCTCATTGAGAAGCACACAGCAAAAGGAAGAGATACCCTTATTTTAAGGAGAAATAATTGTCCATGTTGCCTATATGTTTGAAAATACTTTGTACTCAGTGGCTGGAATTTTTTTAATTTTAATTATATATAGTGATATATGCTCTTGGTGTTTTGTAAGTGACTGGGTACCATGCCATGCCATATTGATATTTAAGAAGTCTCTAATTTTCCAAGGAGCAAATAATCCCTTGGAAAAACCCACTTGGATGTAAGAGGACATAAATCCTTCTTGATGCATCTTTCAAGGTTTCATCAAAAGCTATGTACAATTTTACTGTCTCTGACAAGCAGTGAAAAGAAGTTGTTTTTCTCACTGCTTACCTCCTCGGTAAGCCTGGTGGTTCCTCATATAGAGGATTTTACCCCCGACTTGAGTGAAGTGTCAGATAGTTTTCATCATTTCAGAGTAAACATCAGCCAGATCTATCATTGCACAGTGAGCCATGCCAAAGGGAAGGATGTCCAGGAGTGGACCACAAATTGCCTCCCAAGACTTCATATCATTGCTTATTAATTGAGTGTTGACAGTGTGTTCACCTCTCTTTTAAGTGAGGGAGAAGAAACAGATCCACTTTTTGAGTTCAAGGTCTGAGTCAGTCAGGCAGTGCAGGGGAGGTTGAAGAGTTCTGCTTGTTACATCTTAGGGTATGAGTTGCTTTACTTTCAAGATATAATTTCTTCTTATGCAACCACTAGTGGAGAAACTATGATTTCATAGCATTAAAAAGGTATGAAATTTAGAAAAGCTTTGAGAGATGAAAAGGAGTTGCTTAGCCTAACAACAACAACAACAACAACAGAACAAAACAAAACAAAACCTCTAATTCTTTCCATTTCCTTTTGTGATCTAAATCTCTGTTTTCACCCTCAGAGTGGTTAACTAAAGCAATTGGCTTTTATGTGTAGAAAAGAATGAGTCTCAGAAATGAACCCAAATTCATTTCACTTCCCTGGAGATTTGTGGTTTTTAAATATTAGTACAGATTCCTTGCCTATATGATAAGAGGTGAGAAAGGGTGAAAGTCAAACTGAGTCATCATAACATAACCATGCCTTGCAAATGCCAATTATTCTAATTGGATTACTTCCCCTGTTAACAAGTCCCTTTGCTGCTTTAGACAACTATGGAGGGAATTCCTCATAAATTCTTCCAATCTCATATGACCCAGATGTTACCTATATAAGAATAAAAATGTGAACAAATGTCAAAAAACTTGAAACAACTTTAGATTGTTAGATTCCCTTGGAGCTGGATAGCTTAAGAATGTGTTGCCTTCAAGTCAGTGGTGACTGATGAATTCAATAACAGGATTTGATTTTTGATAGAAACTGCTTCTTGGAACAAGTATTCATGAATCATGGAAGACAGCTAATTGCACCTACATGTTATTCTGAATCCGTGAGGATGAACATGCATTTGTTTTATTATATGGAGTGAAGAAGAAGGAAGATAGAATTATGGTATAGGAAATGAGAGTCAAAGTGGAATAAAATTGTTTATTGGCAGATACAGTGGTGTAAGGGTTACAGCTAAAAACACAAACTATGAATTTTGAGTTTCTAGGATGAAGAGAATGCTTTTGACCATCAGGTAATATCACATTGCTTCCAAATTCTTTCTTTATGGTAAGATTTTTTTTCTTATATCTTGGTGTAGAAGTTAAAGATATAATTTCTTTTGCAAACCAACTATGAATCCTGTACAGTAAATCATATGATTCATAAGTGATTTTGGCTGTGACTGATTTCTTCTATAGAAACACAATTTTGGCTGAGGTTTTCTTCTTTTTGGCTGAATATTATATATTTCTTGTGTACCTATCATGTTCTGCACTGGAACTTGGAACTAGAGTGTACGTTCATTTTATGATTGTGTTTTCTACACTCCTGATTGCACTCCTAATAGAAGGTAAATTTAATTCATAGGTTTTAAACATCCCACCCTACTGTAACTCTAATACAAGATCAACCTATTTCAAGCCATTTTCTTGATCCTGTCTACTATAAAAATATTCTGGCCAGCAGAACTGTTGTGGGATTTGAGCTATGGCTTGTTGTAAGTTGACTAGTATGAATGTCAATCCAAAGGCCATTCACTGTAGCAGAGCAGCCCTTGGGACTCAGAGCACTTTGGATTCTTCCTCCAAAAGCATCTATAATGAACAGAGTTATTTTGAAAGTATTCCCTGCAGTTCATGTCTTAATTCACTCATCTGGGAATAGGAAAGCAGATCCCTCTCAATACACCACTAACTTGGATTTCTATGGTATTATGCACAATCCTCTCATTTATTTTTACAGTGATAGAGTGGTTTCTGAGCCAAGTTCTGCAGGCGTTTTGGGGAGAAGAAATTGGTTTTAGGTGGCTCCAAATTCTTTGACAATTGATATTTTTTGTTTTCTTGGTCTTCAGAAAGAAAAACACACATGGTGAGCTGCACACCTTAGAGCAGAAGGATGCAATTCTTGGCTTCTTGGCTCATTTTGGCAAAAATATACTTTTCTGATTTAAAAATATTTGTTTGTACCACTTTTCTTTAAATTTTGTTGTCTGTGTTCTGAGAATTGCTTTTTTGGCTTTTTCTTAACTTGCTTTATTACTTTGAATCAGAAAAGTAGAAAAGTAAAATTAAACTATATAGGAGAGGTAGATTATGAGACCTAGTTACATTAATCATGAAAATGGTATCTGTCATCTGCTTTAGCATTTGCTTAGCACATTCATAGAAGTGACTGCTTCTTATTAACATTCTTTTTTCCTAGAGGAGGTAATTTATTGAGAAGGGATTCTGATTGATGAATCTTCTGGTAATGCTCAGGTATACATGCAATAAATTATTATATGGAAATGAGGTCAGTAAACTCATGGTTGATTTTTGTTTAAGAAAATCCTTGTTATATAAACAAGAAACTCCAGTAATCTAGCACTTTGAAATTTACTCATAATCTTTCCCCAATTCCCCTCCTTTTTGTTTTGAATTATTAACTATGACCTCAGTATTTACTGTGCAGTGGAGATAAATTGATGATAAGGCACATTTTAGATCCAGCAAAATACTCATTGACTATATATTTATTAAAGAAAGTGAAAATGATGATAAGAAACAAGTCTGGAAACTTTTATGGATAAATATTAGTAAGCAAGAAAACTTTATTATGGGAAATTCCTTTCTTCATACATAATGACATCCCATTAAGTGATTTTAACTGGGACTACAATGACTTTACAATATTAGCTCCCACAAGTTATTTCCAATGTAGAAAACATCATAAATATTTCTATTCAGTATTGAGCTGAACTAGAACCATGTAAATATGTCTGCAGCATCCAGGAATAATGTAAAGAGTAGGAGGAAGTTTATTATTCTGCAGTAGAGTTGAAAACAGCAAGAATAAAGGTTAGCTTTGTTTCCTAGGAGTGATCAACTCTGGAGGAAATTTTACTCCTATAAAATTCTAGATTATTCTATATTTGTTTGGTATAGAAATCCCCAAACACTAGGTTTGAAGGAGATTCAAAATTAGTTAACAGTAGATATTCAAAGTAATGATGGTAATAATGACATAAGTAAAATTTTATTCCTTTAAGACAATGATATTTTTGCAGAATTAGTGGGCTCATCTGAGGCAGTCCTTACATAAAACAATAAACTTGTTGATGTAGTTAAATTGTATATAGGGGATTATATCCCAGAGGTTTTGACATAGTGATCATTATCAGAGTAATGGCCTCTTAGGAATCACAATTCACCTCTGCCAGTCTGTCCTAGAAACCCAGGATAATTGAATGAGAACTGAAAGCTATTATTACATTCTCCTGCCTCATCTACCAAAGTTCTGGCAGTTGTTTAGAAAACTGGATGTAGAAATGAATGAATGAAACTGTGGCTCTAAAATGAGAGAGTCTGAAAGAACACATGGATCTCTCCCTACTTCCAAAAATGATTAGCTTCTTGAGGCAGACCACCTGCATTGCTATGAACATAATTCATAATTTTCATTTCCAGTAGGTGCATGTGCCAACTTAACATTGAGTTAAAAGGTGTAAAATTCTGTTACACATAAATGACTCATCTAAATACAGGTGGTTCCCAACTTATGATGGTTTGACTTCATAAGTCAAATGTTTAGACTTTACAATGGGTTTATTGAGATGTAATCCCATCAAAATTGAGGGACATCTGGACTTACGATGATTTGATAGGATTTTTCAAATTTTTGATGGATTTATTCGGTATTAAATGTATTCTCAGCTTACAATATCTTCTATTTATGATGGGTTTATTGGGATATAACCCCATCATAAGTTGAGAAGCATCTGTGTTCTCCTACAGAATATAGCAAAAATAATATATATATATATATATATCTCCCTTGCAATCCAAAACCCTAAATATCAATAAGAGACTGAGTTACTCTAATAATTTTGGTTAGGTTGTGCCGGTGCCTGGGGGGAAAATGACTCAGAAAACACATTGAAGTATCATGTTTCTAGTTTCTATGAGATCTCTTTCTCTTTCTTTACCTGTTTTAATACCTCTTCCTAAACTTGGCAACAATCAAATTTTGAAAAGCACAGGTCATAGGAGGAATTCCTATGGAATTCTGTTCCCTTTCCTTATTCCTTAAACTTGTTGCAAGGGACCCTGATTGTTTGCCAGGTATACGTTAAATTTGGTTTATCAAGTGGTTTTAGCATGCAAAAAACATAAAATGAAATGAGAACCCAGAATTTCATAAAAATGGCACCAATAGAATTCTGCAAGAGAAAAATGTCACAGAGTGAGTTAGCAAAGTGAATAACACTTCTCATTCCGATGTCCAGAGACACTGTGGTTCTACCATTTGGGAAGGAGAAGCCCTTAATTGATGTTCAGTCATTCTTGGCTTGGCAGATCATAGGGAATCTCAATATGCTCAATACTGAATCTCAATACGCTCAAAATCTGGGTTTGGTGCTAATTCAAGATATAATCAATCTTTGGCTTGGGCCCATGTAAGAGGAAACCTAAACTGATACTTCATCTTTAAAGCCTTTTTCAAATTTTTAGTATGAGGGCTCAGATTGACACTGAATTGATCTCTGGAGGAGAGAAAAGAGAAATGTTTCTCTGGAAATCCTTTAGCATGGTCTGTCTATGAAAGGATTTGTGACTATTTGACCTGAAGTTTAAGTAACATTAGCATAACATTAAGTAATAGGCGCAACAGTTGCAAGCTGACTGCTTTATGAGTGTGATATTTATACAAGCCTCAGCCAAAGTCTTGAACATATTTTTTCATATGTTTTGGAGGCAAAAAATAAGGAATCAGTAAGTCTTAGTGACCCCAGAACCAAGAGTTGAGACAGTCAAACTGACAATGTTGAAATGTAATTTCAACAATCACAGTACTTGTAATAACTTGTGTTACCTTTTATGCTTTAGAAATATTTCAACTAAAGAAACACACAAAACAAAAAACAACTGTGGTACATCCAGACAATGGAATATTATTCAGTGCTAAAATGAAATGAGCTATCAAGCATGAAAAGACATGGAAGAAACTTAAAAGTATAGTATAGTATTAACAGAAAGAAGCCAATCTGAAAAGGCTGTATCACTGTAGGATTCCAACTATACGACATCCTGGAAAAGACAAAACTGTGGAGACAGTAAAAAGATTAATTGTTGCCAGGGGTTCGAGATGAATGGTGAAAGCACAAAGGACTTTTAGGGCAGTGAAACTATTCTGTACAACACTACAATGGTGGATCTATGTCATTATACATTTATCAATACCCATAGAATGCACAACACAAGAGTGAACCTTAATGTAAACTATGGCCTTTGGGTAATGCATCATTATCATCTGGATGTTTGGCTCATTGACTGTAAAAAATGTATGGTGCCCCATGTCAACAGCGAGAGTGATTGTAATTGTTTGGGGACAGAAAGTAAATGGAAACTGTGTACTTTCTGCTCAATTTTGCTGTAAACCTAAAACTGCTCTAAAAATAGTACACTAATTAAAAAATACTTAATCATTTAGTCTTAATTTTAATAATCCTATAAAGTAGTTAAAGCGTGTTATTTTTACTTTTAACAAATAGTGATTGAGTGCCTATTCTCTTCTCTAGGCGCTAGGATTGAGGTACCAAGATGTCCTTGCCCCATGGAACTTATACAGCTCTGTTGATTTAACTACTAAAGAATTTGATTTAAAACTCAAGTCCAGATCTTCACATTTCATACCACAGCTTCTTTGTGACTGAGCTGCACTGGGCAGAGCTGAGTATGAAGGATGTGAGACAAGATTATAGTTACGTGGTCAAGCAAAACATTCCCAGTTAAAAATCACCAAAAAAAAGACATCAAGCTATCATGTACTATACCTAGGCAAGGCGGAATCATGATGAGCTATGTAAATACCTCAAAATGTTGTCAAGTATGAAATATTGAAAATTTTTTTTAAAAAATGCTTTTTGATATGATGGTGCCTTAGACACACTTTTTTTTAATACATGATTGTTTTCATAACTACAGAAAAGAGTAATTTTTCAGAAGTGATTCTAGTATTTCCATGTCAGATTTGACCAACATGTGGTCATTTATAGCTTGGCTGTACGATGAATATTTTTTCTTTAGAAAATATGTCATTTTAAACAGACTGTCTGGAAGAACTTTAAAGGAAATGTGTTGATAGTTAACTCTATTGTAACAAACATTAGATGTATTTAAAATCCTTGTGTCAAAATCAGTCTAGATCTCATCAAGATTATTTTCTATTACAGAAATTCATTTCATCAACATCATTCCTTTATCATCAGGATATGCCCCTGCTTTGACTAAATTAATATTTTTCAAAACCACAATTTAATTATTTTTGAATCATCCATTAAACAACCCCACCTTAAAAATTGGAATTAAATCCAGATTAATTATAATAAAAAGAATCCTTGGCATTTCTCTGGGGCTCCACCCTAGGATTTTCCAGTTTTATCACATAAAAAATAAGCCAAATTTTGGTGCTTAATTAAGTAACACTGACTTCTAATGTTAGGTGGTAGAAAGAGCATGGCTTTGGAAGCAGATCTACTTGGGTTTGAATCCTAACTCTACATTTGTGTTGCCTTGAACAAATTGCTTAGTTTCTCTATACATTCTCTAATTTATCCATGAAATTATATAGTAAATACCTTCTGTGTCAGAAGATTATGTGATCCCATCAACATAAAGCGCCTGCCTTGGAAGAGAACATTCATCAAGATACAGTTCCTTACTTATTACCAAATAGAAGGAAGGATAGAGTTCATATTATTTTGATTTATTTTGACAATACAGAGGCATTTTTGTTAGTTTGTATTTTAGCTTCTCACTGTAATGATACTTTTATTATCTCATGCAGGACTTGCTTGGGGATCCCTGACTTTCTCAAAGTTCTTACAGGATACTCTTGGATTCATATGCTCAGTCTCTGAACTTTATTGGACTTGCATTTCTGTCTCCCAGAGACAATGATTCTCTATAAGAACTTCTAACCATCAGGGAGATAGAGGCAAGGGGGAGAAAAGAACCAAGAAAGTTTAAATGGCAGCCTCCTACCAGATTACTTTTTCTCTCTTTACTGATGTTAGTCATTATTGCTCTGTGATTTTATTTTCATTCCAACTTTTACTTATTGCCTACAATTTGCAGTTCAATAGCAGGATAATTAGTAGGTTGTGATTATTGTTCTTTTTCATAATCCTGCCTGATATGGTTTGGCTCCGTGTCCCCACCCAAATCTTGTCTTGAGTTGTACTCCCATAATTCCCACATGTTGTGGGAGGGACCAGATGTGAGATAATTGAATCATGGGGGCGATTCCTCCATACTGTTCTCTTGGTAGTGAATAAGTCTCACCAGATCTGATGGTTTTATCAGGGGTTTCCGCTTTTGCATCTTCTTCATTCTCTCTTTGCTTGCTGCCATCCATATAAGACGCAACTTGCTCCTCCTTGCCTTCCACCATGATTGTGAGGCTTCCCCAGCCACGTGGAACTGTAAGTCCAATTAAACCTCTTTCTTTTGTAAGTTGCCCAGTCTCGAGTTCGTATTTATCAGCAGCATGAAAACGGACTAATACACTGCCCTTCCAGCATCTTGCCAAAGGTGCTTATGATCTCACCATAACAACAGATATTTTACTACTTGACAAAACTCTTAGGTAGTTTTTTGATATTTTCTTCTATATTGCCATTAACTATCTATCTTCCCCTCCCTATAATGTGCTACATTGCACTAATCATTTAGCCTCGAATCAGGTATCTCTTTAACAGAATTTTGAGCTAAATAAAAATTCTACTTTTTCATATTAACCAGATTGTATAATACATGGACACATTTCAAATGTTTCGCAGATTTTTTCTATGCAATGGTTTAATTCTTGGTGAGACTTAGTTAGGCATTTCCTCACAAGTTTTTGTATCTGGTAACAAAAGAGGAAGAAAGAACATTCTAAAAATTGAACTCAAATTCTTGTTGGAGGGTTGAGCTACGACAGAAGACAATTTTTTAAATAAATAGGCATTAGATTTTGTGATTCATATTCATTTTTTCTTCAAATGAAACCAAAAATTGTTCTAGGAATTTAAAAAATTTACAGAAAACTACAACAGAGAAAGTGTAATATAATATTAATTCATTTTCCCACCAGTAAGAATGAACCATTGTTGACAATTTTGGTGCATTTGCTTTACATTTTCATTGGTTTTTAACAAAAAATAAATCATGGTATAGGTTTTATGAAATTGTTGTGTAACTCATACTACAAATTCAAATAGCACAGGAAATGTAAAATTTAAAGATTTTAAAAAATTCTACTACTTCTACCACCCAAAACCCAACATCATTAGCATTTTGTAAACAACATTACAGATATCTTTTTATTCACATAAATATAGAGAAGAAAGATAAAGAGATATAAATACTTTTATAAAAATTGGATTATGTTGTAGATGTTACTTTAAATAAAAGTTTATATATAATTTGAATCAATTAAACATAAGAAAATCAAACTGAATCTAAAGATAAATCTTAAAACTTCATGTATATGGATATATATACACCCACAGTACGTATATACATATTTATGTATAAACATGTATACAGATGTCTACAGTTATATCGTAATGTGTATATCTTCATCACAAGCAATATTCTTCCTAAAAGATTCTGCTAAAATACTTAAGGAAAATAGGTAAACAGAATAGAATATAAAGAAGTTGAAGTATTTGTGTTTTTCAAATTTTCTAACTATAGTATTTGGTTCAATTTCAGACAGTAGCAGTTGGTTCTCTTCAGTAAAAGAGTTGGTCATAAGCCAATATCATTGTGAAAAATCTATAGTTTTTCTTCGTTGTCAGGGCAATCAAGACCCATTTGTTGCAATAATCATACTTCTCCTAGTGTTTTAAAAATTAATTCCATATTTTAAATTACCATCAGGGCATCGTTATTCCTGAGTTCCTTATTTTGAGATTTGTTTTGAGTAGATATATTTGTCAAGTAGTTTTTTGAAAGGCTCATGGATTGTGTATTCTCCATCTTGTTTTATATTTTTACAGTGAGGTAATAACATAAATTCTAGATCATAAAAGCTTAAAAACAAATAATAAAGCATTAGAATAGCGTAGAAAGGAAATTCAAATATAAAATATTGAGGGTAAAAACAAAATGTTTTTGGAATTAAAATATAAATTTCAAAGAGCAACAAATTCAAGAGAATGATTGCCTACTTATTGCCTTCATACATAAACACCATTTAAGCTAAGTATAATATTCTTGTGTCAAACTTTCCCTCAGAATTTTATAGCTAGTGCTGTATTGTCTCCTAGCATAAAATATTGCTGTGGAAACATTTGAGGCCAACCTGATTTCTTTGCCTTGTAAATGATTTGCTTTAAAGCTTGGATGCTTGCAGAGCGTTTTCCTTATTCCATCTTATTCCTTATTCCATCTTAAAGTCTAAAACCTTAACACACACACACACACACACATATATATATATATATATATATATAAACACACACATATATACACATATAGATACACATACATACACATATATGCACATACACATACACATATATACACATACACATATATATACACACACATACGTGTGTATATACGCATATGTATACACATACGTGTGTATATACGCATATGTATACACATACGTGTGTATATACGCATATGTATACACATACGTGTGTATATATGTGTATATACACATGTATACAAACGTGTATATATACGCATATGTGTGTATATATATGTGTATATATACGTATATATAAAAATACATATATATGTATATACATATATGTATATATGTGTGTATATATATGTATATATGTGTATATATATGTGTATGTGTATATATGTGTATATATACACACATATGTATGCGTATATATGTGTATATATACACACATATGTATGCGTATATATGTGTATATATACACACATATGTATGCGTATATATGTGTATATATACACACATATGTATGCGTATATATGTGTATATATACACACATATGTATGCGTATATATGTGTATATATACACACATATGTATGCGTATATATGTGTATATATACACACATATGTATGCGTATATATGTGTATATATACACACATATGTATGCGTATATATGTGTATATATACACACATATGTATGCGTATATATGTGTATATATACACACATATGTATGCGTATATATGTGTATATATACACACATGTATGCGTATATATGTGTATATATACACACATGTATGTGTATATATGTGTATATATACACACATATGTATGTGTATATATGTGTATATATACACACATATGTATGTGTATATATGTGTATATATACACACATATGTATGTATGTGTATATATGTGTATATATACACACATATGTGTGTATGTGTATATATGTGTATATATACACACATATGTGTGTATGTGTATATATGTGTATATATACACACATATGTGTGTATGTGTATATATGTGTATATATACACACATGTGTGTATGTGTATATATGTGTATATATACACACATATGTGTGTATGTGTATATATGTGTATATATACACACATATGTGTGTATGTGTATATATGTGTATATATACACACATATGTATGTGTATATATGTGTATATATACACACATATGTATGTGTATATATGTGTATATATACACACATATGTATGTGTATATATGTGTATATATACACACATATGTATGTGTATATATGTGTATATATACACACATATGTATGTGTATATATGTGTATATATACACACATATGTATGTATATATGTGTATATATACACACATATGTATGTATATATATGTGTATATATACACACATATGTATGTATATATGTATATGTGTGTATATATACACACAAATAGCAGTATTGTAATTTCTGGAACACATTGCATTTATTTTTCCAATAGAAAATTCAATTTTTTATTTCAAAACTTTATTTATTAAATCAGTGAATACAAATTTTATTCCATTTATTGAACTTTTAACTTTGTGAATAATAATCCTTAACTGAATCATCTTTGCTTTTCTCTCTTACTAATTGCTTCCCAAATGCCATTACTTCTTTTTCCATGTGCATCTTCCATGATTATCTCAAGCTTTCCCTCTGTAACAATAATTAGCTTTATAGTGGTGACTATTGAATTCATTGCTCTTTGAAATTTATATTTTAATTCTAAAAACATTTTGTTTTTACCCTCAATATTTTACATTTGAATTTCCTTTCTATGGTATTCTAATGCTTTATTATTTGATTTTAAGCTTTTATGATCTTGAATTTATGTTATTATCACATTGTAAAAGTTTTTCTTCTGTTCTTCAGTTATAATTTCTTATAATCTGCATCCATGGCCTTTTAATATAATCCCTCTCTGTATTTCTTTAAGTTTCTCTGTTATTTCTTAGGATTTTGATTATGCTTGGGTGGCTTTGTCTATATATTCAATTTGCTGTTGTATAGAATGGGTGACTTCTTGACTCTATTCCAACATTATTGTATTCTCTAAACTATAGGCTATTATGGGAAAGAGGGAAAGCACAAGAGGAGAGGAAGAGAGGGAGGAAATGTTTAGTCTCTTTTAGAACACCTGGGCTCTGTTCTCTTTTCTGAAATGTTTGGAACTTTCAGGTGATTCCTCTTCTGGGAGCAGTAGTAGAATTCTTAATTCTGTAGGAGAAAGTCAAAACTATTTTTTAACTTTCTGTACATTTCATTACATTTCAGGAAGAGAAACAAGAGAAGGATACACATTTAATGTTTTTCTACCCAGGTTTGGAGTATTAATACAAATTCTCATGACTAACTTTCAACAATGTGAATTGTGGTAGGTAGTTGGGTTTAATTGCTGAGTCTTTATGCAGCATTTTCTGTTTCTTTTTTTTTTTTGGTAGTTGGATTTTAAAAATAATGCTGTGTATAACAAGACAGCTATTGTATATACCTTTGCCTTTGTGGTAGGTTATAGAAAGAGACAGACACAAATTCCTTCCATACATATAGGTGCATCCTTTTCCAATATGTCTTTGCACTCTTCCTATCAAGAAAATGACATCTATTACTCCACACCTTGAGTCTGACCTTTGCCAGTTGCTTTCTTTAGTCAATGGGATATTAGCAAATATGGTGCAAGCAGGGGCATGAAAAGCAGTTGAGCAGTGAAGTCTGTTCTTTCTTGATGTTCTTGGAATTCTATGGCCACTATCTGTAGAAGTCTAGACTGCTCTGTTAGAGGATGAGCAACATGTGGACCAGTTGCTCCAATATTCAGGATGATAGACTGCTAATTGCCAGACATATAAGTGAAAGGTCCTAGGCTATAGAGTCATCAGCAGACCAAATAGCTAAACACAAACTCATAAAAGAACCCAAGAGAGAGCAATCAAACTGGTCCAGATCAGAAGAATGACACAGGTGACCCACAGAATTTGGAGATAAGTAAATGGTTATTGTTTTAATGTTTTGAGGGGTTATTGTTTTAATGTCTTGAGGGGTTATTGTTATGCAGCAAAAACTAAGTGATCCAGTATCTTTTGTTGTTATTAGATTCAGGGAAGTACAAACTTCTAAAATGGAATTTTAGAAGAATTTTCCAATACTTACTTGTTTAAGGTCGTTAATTAGGACATATCTTGATATTAATTACAATATAAGTTTAACCAAAATTACTTGTTAGTTAACTAATACTTTGGAATCCACCAAGATAAATTCAGGGACTTCATACATTCAAAACATTGTTCTAGCTATATCTTTGTTTGTTTTTTTTTTTTGAATGAAAAAGTCCAGGAAATCAAATGGATATTTCTGGTTTATTTTTTTCTAACTAGGATAGTAATTTGTATAATCTTTAGTAATCTGTGCCTCCAATTTCATGTGGACAAAAAATACAGTTAATTGAATACAACTTCTCTATTGTTTATATTCTTATCTTTATTACCCTATTTTGAATTTTATTCAGAAAGGAATTAATCATACATCAAAAGAATTTATGATGAATTTATTTTGGCCTGTCAATATGAGAAATCTCAACACAAATCCTACAAAGGGGCCACAGAAAATAATGGCAAACAAATGCTCAGAAGCAAATAGTTATTGAATGCAGCGGAATGTCACGTTTGTTTTCAGCCTCAAGGGCTTAAGATCGTTTTAATGGGCTTTGTTGGAAAAGATCTGAAAGCTTTCAGGTCACACAGCCTGGAAGGTTGATAATTTTGGCTCTATTCCAGCCTGACCTATTAATCTGTAAGACAGCCTGGCTGCAGATACCGTTTTAGTGTTTGGTGTTGGCAGACAAGGTTAAAAGTCTAAGCTGGTATCTTCAATATTGATCTAAATGGCTCCAAACCCCTAAATTTGGCTAGTCGTGGATAAATTCTAGGCTCATTTTCATGTTTCAGCCCTACTACTCAGGTCAAAATTCATACTCTCTCTAGCTTGGAATTTGTACCAAATATTGGAAATAGAAATTTGACTTAGTGAAAAGAGACTCCATCTGAAGTCTTCAACTTATGATTTGGACTTGTCTCCACAACTTTAGATGGGCAACCTCTCATGAGTCTCTTAACAAAATTGAACCTCAATTTTCCTAACTGTAATGTGAGAATTATAGCACATTATTTCCCATGAGGGATTTTTGTGAATCAAATGAATCATTTTATGTAAGTACTTTGTAAACTGTAATGCTGTGTATAATAAGACAATTATTGTATATACAGAATCTCTGGAGAAATAATCTTTTGGTTTACTGGATAGCCTTTAATTTTCATCTTTGAATGATCCTTAGGCATTTGTCCCCTTTGTGATAGTTCCAAATTTATGCATCTCTAGCCAAGATGCATTTTCTGTATTTCAGAACTATTTATTCAGCTGATCACAGGTTATCTTTCTTCTTGGATACCACTGAGGCACCTCAAACTCAGCAAGTGAGAAGAGGAACTTGTCACTCTCTCTCTGAGATTGTTCCTCCTGTGTTTATTATATTGATTAATGACATCACCATATACCCAGCTTCCCAGGCCAGAAATCTTGGCATCATGCAAGGAGTAATCTTTTCCCCCTATTACTTACACGCCAATACAGGCATACTTCATTTTTCTGCACTTTGCTTTATTGCATTTTGCAGATACTGCACTTTTTATGAATTGAAGTTTTGTGGCAACCCTGGTGCAAGCAAATCTAGAGGTTCCCTTTCCCCAGTAGCATGTGCTCGCTTGTTTCTGTGTAACATTTTGGTAATACTTGTAATATTTCAAACATTTTCATGATTGTTATATCTGTCATAGTAATCTGTGACCAGTGGTCTTTGATATTACTTTTATAATTATTTTGGAGTCCCAAAAACTGTCCATATAGGATGACAAACTTAATCTATAAACTTTGTATGCTGACTCCTCCACCAACATGCTGTTCTCCATCTCTCTCCTTCTCCTCAGGCCTCTCTTTTCCCTGAAACACAGCAAATTGAAATTAAGCCGATAAATAAACCTACAATGGCCCCTAAATGTTCAAGTGAAAGGAAGAGTCACATATCTCTCATTTTTAGTCAAAAGCTAGAAATGATTAAACTTAGTGAGGAAGGCATTTCAAAAGCCAAGATAGGCCAAAGGCTAGGCCTCTTGTACCAAACAGTTAGCCAAGTTATGAATGCAAAGGGAAAGTTCTTGAAGGAAATAAAAGTACTAGTTTGATGAAGACATAAATGATAAGAAAGTGAAACAGCCCTGTTGCTGATGTAAAGAAAGTTTTAGTGGTCTGGATAGAAGATCAAACGAACCACAACATTCCCGTAAGCTAAAGCCTAATCCAGAGCAAGGCCCTAAGTCTCTTCAATTCTATTGGAGGCATAGAGAAGGAGTCTTCAGATGAAAAGTTGGAAGCTAGCACTGGTGGTTCATGAGATTTAAGGAGATAAGCCATTTCCATAACATAAAAGTGCAAGGTGAAGTGGCCAGTGCTGACGGAGAAGCTGCCAGAAGATCTAACTAAGATCATTAATGTAGGTGAACATACTAAAGAGCAGGTTTTCAATGTAGATGAAACAATCTTCTACTGAAAGAAGATGCCAGTTAGGACTTTCATTGCTAGAGAAGAGAAGCCAGTGCCTGACTTCAGGCTTCAAAGGACAGGCTGACTTTCTGTTAGGGCCTTATGTAGCTGGTGACTTTAAGTTGAAGCCAATGCTCATTTTCCATTCCAAAAATCCCAAGACCCTTATGAATTATGTTAAATATACTGTCCCTGTGCTCTATAAGTGAAGCAGAGCCTGGATGACAGCACTTTTATATTATTTTATTTTTTACAGCATAGCTTACTGATTTGTTTTTTTTTTTTTTTTTTTTTTGAGATGGAGTCTCACTCTGTCTCCCAGGCTGGAGTGCAGTGGCATGATCTCAGTTCACTGCAATTTCTACCTCCTGGGTTCAAGCAATTCTCCTACCTCAGCCTCCTGAGTAGCTGGGATTACAGGCACACACCACCACCCCCAACTAATTTTTGTAATTTTGTAGAGATGGGGTTTGGCCATGTTGGCCAGGCTGGTCTCGAACTCCTAACCTCAGGTGATCCACCCGCCTCGGCCTCCTAAAGTGCTGGGATTACAGGCATAAGCCACCATGCCTGGCCAGCTTACTGAATAGTTTAAGGCCAGTGTTGAGAACTACTACTCAGAAAAAAAAATTTCTTTCAAAATGTTACTGCTCATTGACAATGCGCCTAGCAATGCAAGAGCTCTGATAGAGATGTACAGGGAGATTAATGTTACTTTCATGACCACTAACCCAACATTCATTCTGCATCCCCTGGATAAAGGAGTAATTTTTACTTTCAAGTCTTATTATTTAAGAAATACATTTCAGAAGACTCTAACTGCCATAGATAGTGATTCCTCTGATGGATCTTGACAAGATAAATTAAAAACCTTCTGGAAAGGATTCACCAAACTAGATGATATTAAGAACAATTGTAATTAATTCATGGAAGGAGGTCAAGATATCATCATTAACAGGACTTTGGAAATAGTTGATTCCAACCCTCTTGGATGACTTGGAGGGGTTCAAGACTTCTGTGGAGGAAGTAATTGTAGCTGCTGTGGAAATGGCAGGGCTTGAGAAGATTGACTCCAATTTTAAAGAAATTCTACTGTGTGTAAAATGCTACCAAACAGCATTGCATCCTACAGACAAATTATTTATGAAAGGAAAAATTGATTGATGTGGCAAACTTTATTGTTGTCTTATTTTAAGAAATTGCCACAGCCACCCCAACCATCAACAAACACTACCCTGATCAGTCAGCAACCATCAACATTGAGGCAAGACCCTCCATCAGCAAAATGATTATAACTAATTGAAGGCTCAGATGATAGCATTTTTAGCAATAAAATATTTTTTAATTAAGGCATGTACTTTTAAAATACATAATGCTATTACACACTTAGACTATAGTATAGTGTAAACATAACTTTTATGTGCGCTGGGAAACCCAAAATTCATGTGATTCATTTTCTTGCAATATTTGCTTTACTGTGGTGTTCTAGAACTAAATCTGCAATGTTTCCAAGGTATGCCTGTAAGCACCGTTGAATTTGACCTTCTTGGTAGCATTCAGATCCATTCACATCTCTCCATCTGTCTTACCAAAATCCTGGTTTAGCTCTTCAATGTCTTATCTGGATTAACACTACAGTTTCTTCTGTCATCTTGCCTCTAGGCTTCCATTTCTTCTCTTATTTTTTTCACACTGTATGTAGAGATCCTGTAAAAATGCAAATTTAATCACATAACTTTCTTTAAATGCTCTGTGTCTCCTTTAGCCTATTACGTACAGTTTAATATGTGAGAGCCACAATAACTTGACCTTGGCTCATCTCTCCAGCCTTTTCTCTTACCTCCTTTCCCCTTGTACAGTGTATTCTACTCGGTTCTTGAACATACCATGAACTTTTTGCCAGTAATCTTGTGCATGCCTGGAATAACCATCTCCTAACAGTCTCATCTGAATAACTTGTTTCTCAGATCTCACATCCAGGTGACTTCACTAAGAAGCCACTCTTGACATACCTCCATTCCCAAATTCAGATTGGATTGGCAGCTCCATGAATTCACTTTGCATTTTATGTGTATCTCTATCATAACAATAAGTCACATTATATTGCAATTAGTTTTTCACTTGACCTGACTTAAAGGCAGAGGCTAGCATTATTCATCAGGTCATTAACTATCACTTCCTATCTACTTCTGATATGTCCTTCTTTTGCAGTGGTTCTGCTAATCTGCTAAGGAAGTAGCATAGTATGACACTTAATATTGCTGGATTTGGAGTCAGACACATAGGAATTTAAGCCCAACTTTTCTTTTCTTTTCTTTTTTTCTTAGATGGTGTCTTGCCCTTTCACCCATGCTGGAGTGCAGTAGCATGATCTTGGCTCACTGCAACCTCTGTCTCCTGGGTTCAAGCAATTCTCCTGCCTCAGCCTCCCAAGTAGCTGGGATTATTGGCACACACCGCCACACCTGGCTGTTTTGTGTGTGTGTGTATTTTTGGTAAAGATGGGGTTTTACCGTATTGACTAGGCTGGTCTTGAACTCCTAACTTCAAATGATCTGCCTGCCTCTGGCCTCCCAAATTGCTGGGATTACAGGCGTGAGCCACCACACTCGGTCAAAGCCCAAATTTTTAATCCCCTGTTTCCTCATCTGTAGAACATGAATGAAAATAATATGTTTCATACAATAAAGTGTTCGTCCAGTAAGAACTCAAAAACTATTATTATTTCTTATTTTAATTTTCTTCAGAAAAGAAACCTGAATATCATAGTCACTTCTATGAATTAAATACATGGGTTCTGAGGCATGGATTTTGAGACATCCTTACTGATGCTTCAACATACTGATTGATTACTTCCTGGTTCTTGGGTATTTAACATTGCCAGATTAACTGTACTCTGGATAAGTTAGGCTTTGTTAGATTCGAGAATTTTTGTTCAGATTGCATGACTAGTACACATCTAATTTCAGATTTTGGAACTCAAGTCTAAGCAAAACAAAGTAACACTAAGTAAAATAATAACAAAACTCAAACTTAAACGGCTTAAACCAATGAAACAAGAGTTTAGAGAGGGCATTGGAGATTTAAAACTTGATCATATTTTCCTATGTAAACATTTCCTCAGCATATGTACTTCTATCTGGGCACACAGTACAGCAGCCCCTCTAAGAACCAGAAATGAATGAATCAGCAGGCTAAAAGAGGCTAAATTTATGTCAAACTCACCTAAATGCTGCTAGTTCACCAACGCTTCTGTCTCCTTGTTGACCTGCTGTGGCTCTGATTCATTCATTTATTCATCCCACAATTATTAATTGAATACCAACTGTGTGCCAAGACAATGGTAAGCACAGGCTCATGACTGAGTGTTTGTGTTATATTCTGAGTTACACTTCACTGCTCATGATCGCATGCCTCCCCTAGAGTTCAGATTTCCACTGGTATAATTCATGGAGTAATGAACACCAAGGAAATCTTCAGTTCAGTGGCATGTTTTGCCTGCTTCTCCTTTGTTTATGAATTATCTTACAAACTCTCAGTCTACAGTAAAATTAGCTGTATCTCCCTTTGCATCCTGAATAGTCTTCCTGACAAATGTCACCTTTCAGCAATGGGACCATGAAGAGGCCTTGATTAGATCATTGCCATGGACACAGCTCTCTCCTGTGTTTTTATCTTGGAACCTAATTAGCCTCGCTAACCAGCATTGGCTAACCTTTACATCCATTTCTCTAAGACAGCATTTTGCAATAGAAATATAATGCAAACCATACATGTAATTTTAAATTTTATAGCAGCAAATTTTAAAAAAGTTAAAATTAATTTTAACAACAGATTTTGTTTAGCCAAATATATATAAACCATTATCATTTCATTATTTAATCAATATAAAAATTTTTCACTAAAATTTTTTTGGCTACATATAGTTTACAAAACCCAATGTATATTTCACACATATAGTACATATGGATTTGAAGTAGCCACATTTTAATTAATTAATTAATTTATTTATTTTTTGAGATGGAGTTTCACTCTTGTTGCCCAGGCTGGAGTGTAATGGCATGATCTTGGCTCACAGCAACCTCCGCCTCCTGGGTTCAACTGATTCTCCTGCCTCAGCCTCCCAAGTAGCTGGAATTACAGACATGCGCCGCCACACCTGGCTAATTTTGTATTTTTAGTAGAGACAGGGTTTCTCCATGTTGGTCAGGCTGGTCTTGAACTCCTGATCTCAGATGATCTGCCCGCCTTGGCCTCCCAAAGTGCTGGAATTACAGGCATGGGCCACCACTCCCGGCCTTAGTAGCCACATTTTAAGTGCTCAATATCCATGTGTGGCTGATGGATACCATATTACCATGTTGAAGAGGACAACTCTAAGGAGTATGTTTTCATCTGTTTAATCATCTATTTATCAAAACATTTTATCAAAGCTTTTCCTTGACCAGAGAGATGACAAGTTTACAATATAATTTAAAGCAGTTTAAGTATACAACGTAAGTCAAATTGTGTTATAAACTATTTTTAAAAGATTATATAGACCTATGCAAAGTCACAACTAATCTTAAAATTGATAGTGAAAACAACAGAAGTTTCAGTAATACAGAATAAGTTTATTCTATTTTTTTATAAAAATAAAAAGCCCAGGTCACAATAATGGCAATTTCTCCTCATACAAGGAATAACGACTGTAGCATTTGCAGGTGTAAAAAATTAGGCAGAAATGAAAATTATGCCCCCAAAATGTTTTCTTCTTGATTAACTTTTTTCTGTAGCTAGAGTACATTTTTATCATATAGTAGAGATCCCTTTCCTTTAGGCTATCTGCTATTGAGTATGGAATGTGCTTTTTAGATTCAGACTGAAGTCATTCAGTAAATTCAGGAAATATCTATGTAAACTAATGCCAGAGAAGTGGATCCCTGGACACTGGGGCTCTGTTAGAGCCATTTATAGGGGAAAATCTGCAGACCTAACTGAAGGGGTTCATTTAGCAGATGTACACCTGGCAAGCAGTGAGACAGGGAAGAAGAAAAAAGTAGTACATTGTGTGACAAAGGACAGATGTAGGGTGAGTTTGAGAGCTGAGAAAGCAATGGGTAAAGATTCTAAATGGGAGGATTAGGGTTAAACTCGAGGAATAGAAAGATGAAGTAAGAGGTTGTGATAGATTTTCTGATTGTTCTCCAAATTTGCTGCCTCTTTCTGTTTGAGGATTATATGTCTGCTTAGCGGATGTCAGGTTTGACCTTGTGTGACTTACTTAGACAAAAGAGAAGTGAGTGGATGCATGCCCCTTTGAAGTGGAAGCTTTAAGAACCATTGCAGATGTTGCCATCTTTGTTCTTCTTCTACAAGGTGATCAGCCTATTTCAGATAGGTGTTGCCAGTGAGGTCCATGCAATGTGAGGGAGAAATTAATTTTTGTTGTTGAAAGCCACAAGGATTTTTTTTTCTGCAGCATAACCTAACAAAAGCTGATTAATAAAGGTCAAAAGTGAGCAAGCAAGAATATTGTGGACAAGTCCGGGGCTGGCTTAAGATGAAGCTTAAGAACAAGAGTTCTGGTCTCTGGGTTTCTCCTAATGTTGTACCTGCCAGACTGTGTGCTTCTCTACAGTGCAGTGTGGTATCATGGTTATAAAAATATGGACTAGGCATCAAGCAGTAGCTCCTCTACTCAATAGGCACATTATTTAATGTCTCTTTCCCTTTGTACTTCAGCTTGCTCTGCAATTGGGATAACAAAACCTACCTCCTGGCGATTGTCATAAGGATTGAGCAAAGTAATAAGTGCTTCACAGACTCTCTGGCACACAGAAAGCACAAAGTAAATAGTAACTATAGTCATTATTTTAGTTTTACACAATGAAATATGCTTAAAATTGAGAATACATGAAAGGTTAATGCATATAACCCATTCAATGAAGGAATACATTTTAATGAAATTACTATAATAGATATTTGCTCAGTTTTTACCTAAGCACTTACTATGATGGCTGTTTAGCTAGTTCAATGGTGCTTCTCAAAAAATAGAAATAGATACATGGTTTTCCAAGTTAAATGTATGGTTTATTGTACATTATGACATTGGCATTGACTTTCATTTATTAAAGCAAAGTATTGTTTATTTTACTGCCACAAGACAAAGCTAACTGATTAGCCTCTGATGAGTGGTAGAATAATTGATAAGAGTACCAGACCTATTGTAAAGGATGGAGAATAGTTTTTAGAATAGGAAAACATGAATTTAAGCAAACATGTGTGGTAGGCAAAATAATGCCTTCCCTAAATATGTCCACATTCAATCTTTAGAATTTGTGAATATGTTAGGTTATACAGAAAAGGAAATTAAAGATGTAGATAGAATTAAGTTTGCAAATCAGCTGACTTTGAGATGAGAATAGCCTAGGTTATACAGATGGATTCAATCTAATCAGAAATTGCCTTATAAGTGAGAGAGAAAGGCAGCTGAGGGAAAACCCGAATGATGGCTATTTGAGAAAGATTTGGGCTGACATATTGGCTTGAAGACAGAAGGAGATCTTGAGCCAAGGAATGTGGGTAGCTTCTTGAAGCTATTAGGTTGGTGCAGAAGTAATTGCAGTTTTTACCGTTACTTTCAATGACAAACCACAATTACTTTTGCACCAACCTAATAGAAGAGGCAAAGAAATAGATTCTCCCTTATGGTCTCCAGAAGGAACAGCTCTGCAAACACCTTGATTTTAGCCCACTGAGACCTTTCAACAAATAGAGCTAAAAATTTAGATATCCACTTGAAAATAACAGATTTGAATCTATAATTAATTAAATTGAAAAGGAATAATAGACCTAAGTGTAAAAGCTAAAACTATAAAACTTTCAGAAGAAAACATAGGAGGATGACCTTGTGTTGGGCAAAGATTTCTTAGATACCACATTAAAAGTAAAGTCTATATAAAATAAATTAGACTTCATCAAAATTTAAAACTTTTGATGTTTTGAAAAGAATCCATAAGAGAATGGAAGATAATTCATATTCGATGACAAATGTTTGCAAACTTTACATCTGATGAAGTCCTTTTATTAAGAATGTGTAGAAAACTCAAAATTCAATGAGAAAATAAACCAATTAAATCTGTGTAAAATATTTGAATAGACATGTCATCAAAGAAAATACCTTAATAATAAATAAGCACATAAAAATATGCTCAATAGAGAAATGCAAATTAAAACCACAATGTCATACTATTACTACACCTCTATTAGAATAGCTAAAATTAAAGAACTGACCATAGCACATGTTGACAAAGATGTGGAGGAACTGGAATTCCCAGACACTGTTGGTGGGAATTTGAATAGTCTGAGCCCAAGCTAAGCCATCATATCCCCTGTGACCTGCACGTATACATCCAAATGGCCTGAAGCAACTGAAGAATCACAAAAGAAGTGAAAATGGCTGGTTTCTGCCTTAACTGATGACATTACCTTGTGAAATTCCTTCTCCTGGCTCAGAAGCTCCCCCACTGAGCACCTTGTGACCCCTGCCTCTGCTCACCAGAGAACAACCCTTTGACTGTAATTTTCCATTACCTACCCAAATCCTATAAAACTGCCCAACCCCTATCTCCCTTCACTGACTCCTTTTTTGGACTCAGCTCACCTACACCCAGGTGATTAAAATCTTTATTGCTCATACAAAGCCTGTTTGATGGTCTCTTCACACGGACGTGCATGACATTTGGTGTTGAAGACCTGGGACAGGAGGACTCCTTTGGGAGACCAGTCCTCTGTCCTTGTCCTCACTCTGTGAGGAGATCCACCTACGATCTCGGGTCCTCAGACCAAACAGCCCAAGGAACATCTTACCAATTTCAAATCAGATAAGCAGTCTTTTCACTCTCTTCTCCAGCCTCTCTTGCACCCTTCTATCTCCCTCTGTCGCTACCCTTCAATCCCCCTGTCCTTCCAATTCCAGTTCTTTTTCCTCTCTAGTAGCGACAAAGGAGACACATTTTATCCATGGACCCAAAACTCCAGTGCCAGTCACGGACTTGGGAAGACGGTCTTCCCTTGGTGTCTAATCACTACGGGGATGCCTGCCTGATTATTCACCCACACTGCATTGGTGTCTGATCACCACAGGGATGCCTGTCTTGGTCATTCACCCACATTCCCTTGGTGGCAAGTCAATTGCGGGGATGCCTGCTTTGGCTGCTCACCATCCCCCTTCTCCATGTCTCTACCCTCTCTTTTCTCTGGGCTTGCCTCCTTCACTATGGGCAACCTTCCACCCTCCATTACCCCTTCTCCTTTAGCCTGTGTTCTCAAAAACTTAAAACCTCTTTGACTCTTACTTGATCTAAAATCTAAGCGTCTTATTTTCTTCTGCAACACCGCTTGGCCCCAGTACAAACTCGATAATTGTTCTAAATAGCCAGAAAATGGCACTTTGGATTTCTCCATTTTACAAGATCTGGATGATTTTTGTTGAAAAATGGGCAAATGGTTCTGAGATGCCTGATGTCCAGGCATCCTTTTACACATTGGTCCCTCCCTAGCCTCTGCTCCCAATGTGACTTGTCCCAAATCTTTCTTCTTTCTCTCCTGTCTGTTCCTTCAGTCTCCACTCCAAGCTCTGAGTCCTTTGAATCCTCCTTTTCTACGGACCCATCCGACCTCTCCACTCCTCCCCAGGCTGCTCCTCACCAGGCCGAGCCTGGCCCCAATTCTTCCTCAGCCCTCAGCCTCCACTCCCCCACCCTATAGTCCTTTTATCACCTTCCCTCCTCACACCCAGTCTGGCTTACAGTTTCATTCGTCAACTAGCCCTCCCCCACCTGCCCAACAATTTCCTCTTGAAGAGGTGGCTGAAGCTGAAGGCATAGCCAAAGTTAATGCTCCTTTTCCTTTATCTGACATCTCCCAAATCAGTTAGAATTTAGGCTCTTTTTCATCAAACATAAAAACTCAACCCAGTTCATGGCCCATTTGGCAACACCCCTTAGACGCTTTACCGCCCTAGACTCAGAGGGGCCAGAAGGCTCTCTTATTCTCAATATTCATTTTATTACCCAACCAGCTCCCGACATTAGAAAAAGCTCTAAAAATTAGATTCTGACCTTCAAACCCTGCAACAGGACTTAACTAACCTCGCCATCAAGGTGTACAATAAAAGAGGCAGCCAAGTAGCAACGTATTTCTGAGTTGCAATTACTTGCCTCCACTGTGAGAGAAACCCCAGCCACATCTACAGCACACAAGAACTTCAAAATGCCTGAACCACAGTGGCCAGGCATTCCTCCAGGACTGCCTCCCCCAGGATCTTGCTTCAAGTGCTGGAAATCTGGCCACTGGGCCAAGGAATGCCCACAGCCAAGGTTTTCTCCTAAGCCATGTCCCATCTGTGTGGGACCCCACTGGAAATCGGACTGTCCAACTCACCTGGCAGCCACTCCCAGAGCCCCTGGAACTCTGGCCCAAGGCTCCCTGACTGACTCCTTCCCGGATCTTCTCAGCTTAGCGGCTGAAGATTGATGCTGCCCAATTGCCTTGGAAGCCTCCTGGACCATCACAGACACTTTGGGTAACTCTTACAATGAAGAGTAGGTCTGTCCTCTTCTTAATCAATATGGAGGCTACCCACTCCACATTACCTTCTTTTCAAGGGCCTGTTTCCCTTGCCTCCATAACTGCTGTGGTATTGACGGCCAGGCTTCTAAACCTCTTAAAACTCCCCAACTCTGGTGCCAATTTAGACAATATTCTTTTATACACTCCTTTTTAGTTATCCCCACCTGCCCAGCTCCCTTATTAACTCAAGATATTTTAACTAAATTATCTGCTTCCCTGACTATTCCTGTACGACAGCCACACCTTATTGCCACCCTTTTCCCCAGTTCATAGCCTCCTTTGCATCCTCCCCTTGTGTCTCCCTACCTTAATCCACAAGTATGGGACACCTCTACTTCCTCCTTGGTGACCCATCAGGCATGCCTTACGATCCCATTAAAACCTAATCACTCTTACCTGGCTCAATGCCAGTACCACATCCCACAACAGACTTTACGAGGACTAAAGCCTGCTATCACTTGCCTGTTACAACACGGCCTTTTAAAGCCTACACATTCTCCTTACAACTCCCCTACCCCACCTGTCCAGAAACTGGACAAATCTTATGGGCTAGTTCAGGATATTCACCTTATCTGCAGCACCTCTTACAAATCTTCCCAACAGGACACACTCCTGCTCCTCCAATATCTATTCTCAAAGGGATATCACATATCCCCCTCCAAAGCCTAAGTTTCTTCCTCATCTATTACCTATCTCTGCATAATTCTTCATAAAAACACATGTGCTCTCCCTACTGATTGTGTGTGGCTAATCTCCAAACCTCAACCCCTTCTACAAAACAACAGCTCTTTTCCTCGTAGGCATGGCTAGGTACTTTTGCCTTTGGATACCTAGTTTTACCATCCTGACTAAACCATTATATAAACTCACAGAAGGAAACATAGCTGACCCCATACATCCTAAATCCTTTCTCCACTCCTTTCTCCATTCCTTAAAAACAGCCCTAGAAGCTGCTTCCACACTAGCTCTCCCTAACTCATCCCAACTCTTTTCATTACACACAGCCAAAGTACAGGGCTATGCAGTTGGAATTCCTTACACAAAAGCCAGGACCGAGCCCTGTAGCCTTTCTGTCCAAACAACTTGACCTCACAGTTTTGGGCAAGCCCTCATATCTCTGTGTGGCAAAGGGACTATGTGTCAATATCTACACTGATTCCAAGTATGTCTTCCACATCCTTCACCACCATGCTATTACATGGGCAGAAAGAAGTTTCCTCACTACACAAGGGTCCTCCATCATTAATACCTCTTTAATAAAAACTCTTCTCAAGGCTGCTTTACTTCCAAAAAAAAAAAAAAGCTGGAGTCATTCACTGCAAAGGCCATTAAAGGGCCTCAGACCCCATTGCTCAAGGCAACAATTATGCTGATAAGATAGCTAAAAAAGCAGCCAATATTCCTACTTCTGTCCCTCATGGCCAGTTTTTCTCCTCATCAGTCACTCCTATTTACTCTCCCACTGAAGTTTCCACCTATCGATCCCTCACCACTCAAGGCAGATGGTTCTTAGACCAAAAAAGAATCTCCTTCCAGCCTCACAAGCCCGTTCTATTCTGTCGTCATTTCATTACCTCTTCCATGTAGGTTACAAGCCGCTAGCCCACCTCTTAGAACCAACCTCTCATTTCCTTTCCATCATAGGACTCTATCCTCAATGAAATCACTTCTCAGTGTTTCATCTGCTATTCTACTACTCCTTGGGGATTGTTCAGGCCCCCTCTCTTCCCTACACATCAAGCTCAGGGATTTGCCCCTGCCCAGGACTGGCAAATTGACTTTATTCACATGCCCCTAGTCAGGAAACTAAAATACCTCTTTGTCTGGGTACATACTTTCACTAGATGGGTAGAGGCCTTTCCCACATGGTCTGAAAAGGCCACAGTGGTCATTTCTTCCCTTCTGTAAGACATAATACCTCGGTTTGGCCTTCCCACCTCTATACAGTCCAATAATGGACCGGACTTTATTAGTCAAATCAGCTAAGCAGTTTCTCAGGCTCTTGGTATTCAATGGAAATTTCATACCCCTTACCGTCCTCAATCTTCAGGAAAGGTAGAACGGGACTAATGGTCTTTTAAAAACACACCTCACCAAGCTCAGCCTCCAACTTAAAAAGGAGGACTCTGTCAAGGATAGAGCCCCAAAATTCACCAACCAAGCAAGATATTATGCTGAACCCCCTTGGGCACTCTCTAATTGGATGTCCTGGGTCCTCCCAATTCTTAGTCCTTTGATACCTGTTTTTCTCCTTCTCTTATTTGGACCTTGTGCCTTCTGTTTAGTTTCTCAATTCATACAAAACCGCATCCAGGCGATCACCAATCATTCTGTATGACAAATGCTCCTTCTAACAACCCCACAATATCACCCCTTACCACAAAATCTTCCTTCAGCTTAATTTCTCCCACTCTAGGTTCCCATGCCACCCCAATCCTGCTCGAAACAGCCATGAAAAAAATCGCCCATTATCTCTCCATATCACCCCCCAAAATTTTCACTGCCCCAATGCTTCAACACTATTTTGTTTTATTTTTCTTATTTTTCTTATTAATATAAGAAGACAGGAATGTCAGGCCTCTGAGCCCAAGCTAAGCCATCATATCCCCTGTGACCTGCACGTATACATCCAAATGGCCTGAAGCAACTGAAGAATCACAAAAGAAGTGAAAATGGCTGATTCCTGCCTTAATTGATGACATTCCACCATTGTGATTTGTTCCTACCCCACCTAAACTGAGCAATTAACCTTGTGAAATTCCTTCTCCTGGCTCAGAAGCTCCCCCACTGAGCACCTTGTGACTCCTGCCCCTTCCCACCAGAGAACAACCCCTTTGACTGTAATTTTCTGCTACTACCCAAATCCTATAAAACTGCCCAACCCCTATCTCCCTTCGCTGACTCCTTTTTCGGACTTAGCCCACCTGCACCCAGGTGATCAAAAAGCTTTATTGCTCACACAAAGCCTGTTTGGTGACCTCTGCACATGGATGTGCATGACAGAATAATAGACCTAAACATAAAAGCTAAAACTATAAAACTTTAAGAAAAAACATAGGAGAATGATGTTGTGTCGGGCAAAGATTTCTTAGATACCACATTAAAAGTAAAGTCCATATAAAATAAATTAGACTTCATCAAAATTTAAAACTTTTGATGTTTTGAAAAGAATCCATAAGAGAATGGAAGACAATTCATATTCTGTGAGAAATGTTTGCAAACTTTATATCTGATGAAGGCCTTTTATTCAGAATGTGTAGAAAATTCAAAATGCAATAAGAAAATAAACCAATCAAATCTGTGTAAAATATTTGAATAGACATGTCATCAAAGAAAATACCTTGATAATAAATAAGCACATAAAAATATGCTCAATAGAGAAATGCAAATTAAAACTACAATGTCATACTATTACTACACATCTATTAGAATAGCTAAAATTAAAGAACTGACCATAGAACATGTTAACAAAGATGTGGAGGAACTGGAATTCCCATACATTATTGGTGGGAATTTGAATAGTAAAACCACTTTGCAAAGTTATTTGGCAGTTTCTTAAAATGTTAAACTTAAAAAAACCCAAATGTTCAGTAACAGGTAATTGAAAAAACAAATCGTGTTATGTCAATGTAGTGGAACACTGCCCAGCAATGAAAAGCAGAAAACTACTGGTACACACAGTATGAGTGAATCTCCAAATAATTATACTGAGCAAAATAAGCTGGACAAGAAAAAAGGATATAGTGTATGATCCCATTTATAAAAAGCTCCAGGAAATATAAATTATTTTATAGTGACAGATAGCAGATTGATGGTGGCCTGGGGATGGCACAGAGAGTGGAGAGGAGGAAGGAAGGAAGACAAAGAGGCACAAAGAAAGTGTTAAGGGTGATAGATATGCTTCTTTAAAAAAAACAAAAAACTTTTATTTTAAGTTTGGGGTACAAGCACAGGTTTGCTACATAGGTAAAATTGTGTCATGGGGGTTTTCTGTACAGATTTTTTCATCACCCAGGTATTAAACCTAGTACCCATTAGTTATTTTTCCTGATCATCTCCCTCCTTTCACCCTCCACCCTCTGAGAGGCCCCAGTGAGTGTTGTTCCCCTCTATGTGTCCCTGTGTGCTCATCATGAAATCAACCTAAATGCCCATCAATGATAGACTGGGTGAAACAATTCTGGTACATAAACACCATGGAATACAATGCAGCCATAAAAAAGAAAGAGATCATGTCCTTTAAAGGGACATGAATGGATCTAGAGGCCATTATCGTTAGCAAACTAACACAGGAACAGAGAACCAAATATGCTCACTCTTTTGATTATAGGAATGGCTGCCTAGGTGAATTCATATGCCACAACCGATTAACTGTAAACCTTATATATGCTCACTTTATTTTATATCAATTATATTTCAGTAATTAGAGAAAAAGATACTGTCCTTTTCTAATCCTTGCATAATGGCAAAGCATAAGACCATCTGGGAATACAAAAAAAAAATTGAGTCTGGGTTGACCCTTGGGTTTAACAATATGATTTCTCATTTAATTGAATTGTGAGACTAACAGAAGTTAAAAAAAATCTATACACACATTCATACTCACTCATGCGTACATTTTTTGGGACCAGCTCTTTCTCTTTATCTCCATCTAGCCGTTTCATGTGAGAATCTGCTAGCATTTTACAGAAATAATTAATTTTTGGATTCCCAGTTTAAAGATTTTAAGTAGTAATCTAATTCAGCATGCAATTAATGTTTTATGAACCACTGGGATTTTCAAGTAGCAATTTTCCATAGTAGGATTTTTGAATTTCTGGCCCAACAGGAATCACTCTGGTTTTTGTCTTTGTACATCAGATGGCAGGAATCCCCAACCTTTCTGTGAAGCAGCTCTACAAATATATTTTGGCTAAGCCATTTACAAACTAAAATTACCCAGAAAAAAAGATGTGCAGTCAAGTCACCCACCATAGGCAACATGGTGAAACCCCATCTCTACAAAAAAAAAAATACAAAAATTAGCTAGGCATGGTGATACACACTAGTGGTTCCAGCTATGTGGGAGGCTGAGGTGGGAGGATTGCTTAAGTGCAGGAGATGAAGGTTGCTGTGATCCAAGATCATGCCACTGCACTCTAGCTTGGGTGACAGAGTGAGAACGTCTAAAAAAAAAAAGGAGGTAATACATATTTAAATTAGTCTATTACTTATCTTTTCTTTTTTGTGCTTCCTTTTTGTTCTCCGGGGGCAACTTCTCTGTTAAGTCTCCTTAAAGCTATTGCTTCTTTTACTAACTTGATGATATATTTCATACTTGTATTTTCTGTCGTTACCTAGCTGTTTTAAGTTTCTAAATTTTTAGACTGATTTACAATTCATGTATTTTTGTGGCATTTTGTAAATTATGCATCATCTCTGGTCTTTAAAAGGCATCATGTTACAAGCGTGCTGCAGTGACTTGGTGACAACTAACTCTTCCCAAGTCAACATGTGCTTTACACAAAAACAGTATGTCTTGCATCCTAAGCTTCTTTCATAGTCTGTACGTTCTCGCTCCCCTCCCCTCTCTCTCACTCTTTCTCTCACGCTCACTTTCTTCCTACTTTAAATTATAGTTCCATGTTATGCTGTTTTTCTCAGAGTCAGCCTAAACAAAATGCTTTTTATTGTTTTATGGGCAGTTGTTTCCTCTAAGTACTGATAACTCAATTATCCCGCCCAATCATATACTTGTGCCTGATTATTGCAAATCCTAAACTTCGTGGGTTTTTTTTTTTTTTTGACATTTATGGCCTTATAGCAAGTGATTGCCATGCAGAATAATTAAAATTACATTAGTGATGTTGGTAATTGACTTCATTGCCTAGATCCGTAAGCTCTCTCTGGTTTGGGAGGTAATGGAATTTAAAGTTTTGCCAGCTAGGCTTTCAACTTTGGCATTTTCAGATTGAAAGATGAAGACACCCCATATGAAGTATTCTTGACTTTCCTTATCTCTTCCTCAAAGAGAGTACTAATCTTGAAACAATAGGTGAAGATTTGATTGCTACAAATGCTTAGGTTTTGGGGGCAGGTTACCAGGAGAGATCCATTGTAAAAATGCTGACCTAATAGGTAACTTCACAAACACGGGCTTCATCTAAGATCTTAGTGCATTAATAAAATTAGACAATTTTAAAGTAGTCCAGCATAGGATAGTTTATGAGGTTATACAAAGCCTCTTGTTTATTTTTATTAAAATTATAAATTTAAATGAAATAAAAATTATATTTTCATGAAGCCACTCATTACATAACTATCCATCTTTGACACATTGTTACCTGTAACCTGTTGTTTAAAAAATGTTTATGGGTATATAGTTGTGTGTGTGTGTATATATATGCATATATACGTGTGTATATATACACATACAGATACACCTACTTATATATATGTATATACACCTACACATGTATAGGGTTTCTGTTTCTCACTTTTGCTACTCTTTCAAATATATAAGCTATATACACACACACATAAATATGGGAGAAGCAAAGTGGACACCTACCCCATATATATATATATAAATAAAATAAGACAATTTCAAAGTAGTCAGCATAGGATATAAGTATGGGGTACATGAGACATTTTGATACGGGCATGCAATGTGAAGTAAGCACATCGTGGATAATGGGGTATCCATCCCATCAAACATTTATCTTTTGAGTTACAAATAATCTAATTACATTCTTTAAGTTATTTTGAAATATACATTAAGTTATTGACTATAGTCACCCTATTGTGCTATCAAATTGTAACTTGTTTTGTTCTCAGTGAAAAGTGAAATAAAATTACCTGGAATGTTCATAAAGATGGAACTATCATTAGAAGAGTATTGTAAGAATGAGGGCTTTGTGTTTGATAGCCTAGTTAAATGGAAGCCTTAGTTGACTCCATGTTTTATGTTAAGTGAGTTATTTAAGCTCCTGATCCTCTGTTCCTCAATTCTAAAATAGACGTCACAATAGTTAACTATGAGATAATGATCTCATAGGGTTTTTGTTAGTATTGAATGAGATAATGTAAATAAATTGGCTAGAAAAGTGACTGACCTGTGAATGTTAATTGTTATTTTTAACAAATATCCTTACAATGTTACAAATATTTGCTTTACTCTGTTTGATAATGTAGCCTCTCTGGTTCATAAACTCCCATCAGTAAAATAAAGGAGTTGGATTAAATTTTTTTTCAAAATCATGCTAGTTGTTTCGAAAGGATTTTACTGGTCTTCTCTCAGTTACAGAATTAGAGTTTTCCAGGGGATGGTATTTTATCTCTCTTTTGCTTCTCATAATTTAGTTGGAAGATAGTCTCTACTCATCTGAAATCTGATAATGATTTCTATATTGATTTTAGTTAGCCTTTTTGTACAAGAGACACGTATATTTAATCTTAATTATTCAGTCTTTTGGCTTTAATTTTATAAAACCTCATTCTCTGGTCAACACTTTGGACAATCTCCCTTTTATTTTATTTTATTTTTTCTTCCCTGCTTACACAAAGTTAATGTACAGCTATCTTGAAGAAAAGCATGTAGGACATTTTTAAAATCTGTGCAGAGATTGTGGGATTTAAGCAATAGATTTATCTGTGGTTTGGGATTCTTTCTTTCCTCAGATGTTATAATCCATCTTCCAGTTTTCCTAGTCTCTTAATCCTGAAGTACATTGTTAGCTTTAATTTTTTTTCCTGAGAGTTGGAGTTTGCCTCCACTTTGCTTCTCCCTTATTGCCCTGGCACCCGCACCCCATGCCAATTCTCTGTGTACTGGCATTTGAATGGTTTTCTATCTTGACCTGGAAAATGTTAAAGTATTCAATAGAGCACTACCTTAACATGCAAAAGAGCAACAGCAGCTAAAACAAATAGGGGATTATTTTTCTCATGTAGGAAAAAGTCTGGAAAGAAGTAAGTCTATGCTGGTGCAGTGGCTTGGTGACATCAGTAAAGACTCAGGTGCTCTTCACCTTTCTGCTCTGCTCTCCTTGGTGGTTTGGCTTCTCAACTCCATGATACTGTTGCCTTCTAGGGATCAGGGCATCACATTTGCTTTCAAAGCAGGAAAGCGACAGAAGAGTAGAACCAGTCACAAATACCTCTTTCATTGGAAAGCAAATTAAAAAGGATGCTTGTGGCCAACATTGTTGGCTCACTAAATATTCATTCCCAACCCCTTCTGCTTTGCCACCTTCCCTCATAAAGGATTAAAAACCTAAATACTCATTTTTTTTTCTACTTCCCAGAGAACAAGGAATGGCCATGTGGCACAATATGACCAATAAGACATAAGAGAAGAAAAATCTGTTGGGGGTAAAAAAGACTGGCTTCTGGCACCTGCGCCCCTGAAAATACAAGTTGAATTGTGCCTTTACTAAAATGGTTATACAAAGTAATACCTTATCATATCTTTCAGTCTAAGACCAATTAGAGTTGGAGTCAAATGTAATTCTCACTCCATTCATTTTTTTTAAATAAACATTGTAAGTTCTCTCTTCACATTAAAGAGCATGGATTGGACAAAACCCACAGAAAAGGCTTAATGCTAATTTGCTTTGTTACTTCTTTCACAGTTCTCCTTTCAATTTTATTTTGTTTTACTTCATTTATGTCTATAAGGGACCTTTGCATATGCAGGATATTTTTGAGAACTCTGTAGGCACAAGATGTCTCTTAGTCTGAGTTATGATAAACTGAATGGTTTTGCAGTATGAAAAAAGTCATATCTTAAATTATTTAATGAACACACAATAATTTGTGTATTATGATTTTACATCCATAACTCATGTGTTTGCATATTTGGTGGAGGTTACCTTATACAATTTTGGGACTTTTTAATGTCAATTTATGTTAAAAAATCCACTTCTATTGGATCTTTTCTATCTGATTACCATCTAATTGGATGTTTTATATCTAATTTATATCTATGAGATGTTTTATATCTAAAATCTTATTATCTATTGTCTTATAGCTTATATATTTGAAAGAGTGGCAAAAGTGAGAAAGAGAAACCCTATGCATTTATCTTTCTCATGTTTGCTACTCTTTTTACTGGGAATAGTGTAAGGGTGTTTCTTTTTCTCATTTTCTTTGTTCCTATTCTTTCCAGGATCATCCAACCATTCAGGTATGATGTGACATCATGGTTAAGTGTATTCTTTAATTGTGTGGTTTAGTGTTCCACAACCAATATTACACTCTGGGGTTGTAAAAGTCTCTGAGTCAACATTATAGTAGAGTGGCAAGAAGCAGGATAATAGGGGACAGGAAAAGATTAAACTGGGTACCAAATTCTCGTTAAGGCTACAATATTTCTATTTCTACCAAGAGGGCAATTGTGCTGCATCTCATATTCATTTTTCACAGGGGTGTTAACCATCTGGTTCCTCTTGTTTTCCCCTTCTCACTCATTCACATCTGTTGCTTCTTCATTGTTCTACACATGCTTACATTCCATACTTGATGTTCATTTCCATAAAAATTCATATTCATGAGAATGCCTAGATTTTACCTATAGTTCTTTTAAGATAATCACAGTGAAACAGCAGCCATGGTCACAAGAAAGAGCATATAGAGATTTGACATGCTCACTGCCACGGAAATCTATGGCAAGGAATAGCTGCTGGTCATGTTTTGCCTGTCTAAACACTCATTTGAAAGGAGCACCAGAGCTAGCAGTCTGACACATCCTTCCTGGTTGGGTCACCACATTAAGTGTGCTTAGCTATTTGTAAAGCTATCTGGAGAGAAAGAGCATGTTAAATTAGAAACAGATGGGAAGAATGACACACATAGCTCTGGAATTCACAGTGCAGGGCGGCAGAGTTCAGTCAGGTTCTTGACATCCTGACAATCTTGTCTCTGCAGGAAAAGGAAAGAAAACACCTGGAGATCCTGCGTTTGGTGGTGGTAAGTTCACATTTGGGGCCATTTGCTTTCTGAGTTGCTCAGATTGGTTTCCCTCCGTTTTTCTTTAAGTGGATTTCTTCATCTGTAGTCTTTTTTCTTTCATCATCCTCACTACCCACTTCTTGCCTCCATCCTGTCATTCCTGCTACCCCCCAAATCAATTTAAGTTAAAGTAATAACTCTGGGCAACAGGTTAAAAGAAATGTAAAAATTCCCAACTTTCTTTTTCTTGGATGCTGGAGTTTCTTCATGCTCTCTGTCATTACCAAGCTTACTAAATACTATTATATTAAAAATAAAACATTCCAATTAAAATTTTATAAGGCTATATTCATATTGTCTGACTATAAAGCCAGTGAAGGGGCAAAGTGATAAGTAAAAATCAGTAGTTTTGATTTCTGTAAACAACATCTTGAGACATTTTTAGTGTCAGAGCAAATACACAAATATAAAAAGCAAATGATACCAAACAACTTACTTAGAAATTAACACATTTAACTCTATTTTTAGATATAATTATATTAAATCATTAATATGATAAAGTGTAAATGCATTTGGACATTTTCTCAGGTAGGAGGTGATGTGGTATCTTACAAATAATAATCAACTGGGAGTTAGGAGGCCTTGTGTCACATCTTGGTTTTGCTATTAACTTGCCATTTTCATTTTACTTTTTAAATAAGATGAGTGGATTTATATTAAATGTTCATTAAAATCCTGGCTAAGTTCAAGAGAACACAGTGGCCTCAAATGGGATAAGTACTTTTGGTAAGTTAATGAGGGAAGAGGGAGCTCTATGAACATTTGATTTAGGTCTGTGTTGGGGAGGTTGTCACAAAGGTTACTAACCTGTAGAGGAAGGTGTCATTAAAGAGGTAGGGTACAGAAAGGTATTTGAATAAAAAACAGTGGAGACTTTCCTGAGCTGTCACAAAAGGCAACTCAAGCTTTAAAAAGATAATAAATAAAATATCCAGGGGCAAATGGAAATTAGAAGCTGAAGTATAAGAAGAGGAAGTAAATAACAACTTAATAGGACAATCTCAAACAGAATTTTCAAGTGAACAAAAAATAACCTTTGGAAAAAATCAGATTAAGAAGATTTTTGCTTATGATTTGTTCAAAGCAACATGTCACTGCCTAAACAGTGTGTCCTTCTAAATCAGGGTTCTCAACCTCAGCACTGTTGACATTTTGAACTGAATAACTCTTTTCTTTTCTGGGGGTGATCAGGTGCATTTTAGGATGTTTAACAGCATCCTTATCTATATCCACTAGATGCTGATAACATCCATATCCTAGTCATGGGAATCAAAAATGTCTCCAGACATTGCCAAAACTGTCCCCAGTTGAGAACCACTGCTTTAAATGAATTAATAATTTTTGGGAGACCATATGGCCTAATGGTTAACAGGTTGGGCTCTGGAGACTGAGTTCCAGGACTGGATTTAAGTCCAAGTTCTATTACCTTATCCACCGTGGGCCTTGAGTGAATTACTTACAAAGTAACTGCTATTATGTGAGTTACTTCCTAAGACTCACTTTCTTAATTTGTAAAAATGGACTAATATGAGTACCTACCTGCTAGGGTTATTGTGAAGATTAAATGAGACAATACATATGGAGCATTTAGTGGTATATGGCATGAGGCGGCTTCTCAATAATGCTAGGAATTGTTCCGTTATTTGACAGTTATGAAAGGGCACCAAGTAAGAAGAGATGAACATGGTTATTTCTGAAAGCAGACTTTTGGACATCAGAGAGCCATGGCAAATAAATATCTGGATTTCATTCCACAAAAGTCTTTAGAGGAATTGGCCTGGTAAATCAGCTAGCAAATATTGTTTGATAATCTCTTCAGTGCCAAGTACTATTCTTATGTCAAGCATGTAGACATGAGCAAGATAGACAAAGTTCCTGCCTTGAAGATCTTGTGTTAAGTGGAAAGATGGAAACCTACTGCAAGTGACTTAAAACTAGTGTGCTACAGTAGCCATTGCTAGCTGTCCATCAAAGTTCATTCTCCAGTTTTTCTACCATAATAGGACATGTGGTTTCCCAACTACACTTAATTTCTAAATTTCAATACAGTACATAGTGCAGTAACCATTTGGGTAAGTTCTTTCCAATAGTCTACGAGAAGAAGTGAAGTGTGCCACTTCAGGTCTTTCTCACATGATTGTTAGTGCTTTTTATTTCTTTTTGTGAGCTGTAAAGTCACAACAATGAGTAGAGTAACCAAAGGAATCTTGGAAGTCACGTGTTAAAAATGGTGGCACTGCTGTCAGCCTGGGTCCCCAAATGACTGTGTGGAGCAAAGGCTCTTGCTTTGGCTGCAACCTGCAAGATTTGCCTGAACTATTCACTGAGAGAGAAGTTAACCATTACTGTGTTTGAGCCATTACGTTTGGGTTTATTTGTTAAGTAACTTTTGTTACCAAATGAACATAGGTGATCTAGAAAGGTTTCTGGGAGGAGAGAAAGTTTGTGCTAAAATCTGACAGAAGAAAAAAAGGCAGCCGTACGTGCATCCAGAAGATTATTTCTAGGGGGAAGAATAGCAGATGCAAGGGAGCTGTCCTTGACAAGTGACTAGAGGCTATCATTAGAGCCCCTACAATATAGAAGGTTCACACCAGAGAGTAAGGTAGGGGCATATAGATAGAAATGGCATTAGCACAAAATGCAAATATGGCCTGTGGATCTACTTGGCTTATAAGCACTCCATGATAACCGGAAATACTTCTTTCTCTTTTCCCAGATAAATAACTGGCTCAATTCTGCCCAAATCTTTTTTGGAAATGTGGCATTTTAATTAGCACATACATCTATCACCTAGTAGTTACATGTTGTTTAAATAAAAAAAAAACAATTGAACTTAAATTGAGCAAAGACCATACATGAAATCATTTGACATAGATTAGTGAGGGTTTTTCCTGCTTCATGTGATATAGATTAATAGAGAATCTATTTTTCAAGTTCTTCTAACAAAATGGCCAATTCAAGTTCTGAAGTGGCTGGAACATCCTGGTAGTTCTATGCTGTTCAAATTATCTGGAGGTCTCGAGAAGATAGATACATTTTCTGAAGTATTAGTATTTCTTTTATCAGGAAAATTCATTTGTGCTCTGTACTGTGTTGCCAACCCCCTAGTATGGCTGTTTATGTAAAATAGACAACACTTTTTGGAAACAGCTAATATAATTTAATTCTTTTAATTAACAAAAATCATATAGATGTTCTACAATACTTTTAATGTTAGGTTGAATATTCATAGATTAAATAAAATTGAAATAAGTTATAAAGAAACAACATTACTATATGCTGGCTTCTAAAATTCAGTGTAATTCTCCCTTCAAATTTCATGTGACTCAACATGAACCCTTTGGTGCACCCATCTTAGATTTGAAAATTCATTATCCCATTGACATATAAATCAGCAAGATTATTGCAAACAGATCTATGGACTTGTGGTTGAAAGGCTTGAAGGTCTGAAAAGGAAAGTGAAGAAAGTTTAGTGTGTAACACTGCAATGCTATTCTCAGTGACTTAGTCTCATAAGGAACTTATGAAGAATAATGTGTGAAGTACTGTTATCAGTGATCTTTGTATGGTTACCTTCTCCTGTTCACTGCTGTTTTCTTAATGCCAGGACACAGCTCCTGTTACATGGCAGACATAGAACAAATATTTGTTGAAAGAGAGGAAATGAATTCTTTTGTAATATAGAAGAGAATGACATACTAGGCTGATGACTCATGGTCAGATACCTAAGACTTTTGAGGGATTTGATGTTTCCCTTTAAATTTTGTTATGTGACACTGAAGATCTATTGATTCCTTAGAGAAGAATCAGGCAAATATTTTCTTTTAAAGTAGCTCTGTCCATAGATTGCATTTCCAGTTTCTATATTCTCTGCCTGTTTTTCATGGTGTATTCTAAAGAAGCACAGTCCCTTCAGATGGGTGTAGCCATAAGAGCATATCAACCAAAAGTGATCATAATGGTCTCATTTCTTGCTCTCTCTATATCTCTCTCACGGGTATGGAGTTCTTACTAAGTAGAACTAAAGATGAATCTTTGACAGAGGGTTGAACCCCAGGATGGTTTTCAGTCCCTAAATCTTTCACATCAAATTCTACAGCTTCCAGAAATCAATTTATATTCCAGCATATACTTCTTATCCACAGGAACCTTCTAAACCAGTTTAACCTGTCATCCTAACATATCTATATTTTAAAAATTCATTTGTTGCTGCAGAACATTTACTGCCGTGGTTAAGAATGAATCTACATTTTGTTTCTGTGTAGTGTTAAAATGGCAGTGGTTAGTATCAATCCGATAGCATCTGCTAGGATGTCTGGAAGGACAAAACTGACTTCTTTCAAGTCTGTTATAAAAACGAAGCAGACAGAAAGCAACTCAAACCATTTCTTAAAGTTGAAAGCTAAAAGATGCAGATGTAAATGGTGAAGATATGAGTAAAACAAATTGTATCTCTTCCCTCAGACCTTGAACTACCCTAATATACCACCTCTGTGCTTCAGACAGGAAGCAAACTCCCTTTCAGCCCTTTTTTCAAAATAAGTTTCAAATTAGTGGCTGGCACTAGGTGGGTGTTATTGAATGGAGGCCTTTTGGGTTTTGATCCTGATGATTCATCCAAAGTTTATGAAAAGTATATGTAGACATTCAGTTAAAAGGTATGTTTTGGAACACGAGATTTTAAGTTTGTTTAGGTTATTGACCATGTCTAAGCTCTGTTATGTAAATTCCAGAGGAACATCTGAGATCAAAGGAGAAAGATCCAGCTCTTTCTGTAATAGGAATACAGTTTTGTTTTCTGCAGACTCTAGCATTACTTTTTTGGGGTTTGGAAATGGCTCTTCTCCTTTTCGTAAAGTACCTTGTATGATGTCATGCAATGCTAAGTATATTTTGATTGCTATATTTTTATATAAATGGAAATTACTTGAATATAACATTTCAAACTTAAAAATTCACAGAAATGCTTATTTGAAAAGATAGCAAAATCAGTCCTGTAAATTTTTTCAAAATAAATTGATCTTTAAAAAGTTTGAGAATGCTCAGTTTTCTCATGTCTATGATCCATGCAAGGCTACCTGTGTATTTTGCTCCTTGTACGTAGATGAGATGATAATTTATTTTATCCCAAATAAATAAACAAAACAAGAACTGAAGACTTTACAGAAGTTTATGCAAGTTCTGAAATAGGGGAAAGTGATGAAGAAAGTTAAGTGTGGATTCATTGCATGTTCTCTAGATAAACTATCATTTCATTTAATGCCTCCCCTCACCACCACTTTTCTAGTCCTGGCTATTAAAATGTTGGTTCATTCTAAACAAGAGGTGGAAAATAGGCAGCAGAAAGGAAAGGAAATAAGCTAATTCAGTTAAACAACATTTTTAAAAGCTATCCTCCCAGCTAGGGCTTTGACCATTTCTACAGCCTCTGGGCCACAATATCAGTTGTTGTCAACACCATTTATGTGGAAAATTGCATTCATGTAGAGTAATTGGTTCTGACATATAATTATAACAGAATGAAGCAAAATAGCCCATCTAGAGTACTCAATACTAGAATTAGCCAGAAGTCCAGACATAATGTAAAACTCGGGAATTGCACTTCAAAACATGTATTTTAGAAGTGATGTGAGACAGGGTGTGATAAAAGGAAGGTTTAGATATTTTAAAGTTCCTATTTTTTTTAAAAGTTTCTAGGAATAGTTTCAAATATATTAAAAGAAAGAAGCAGTGGCAAAGAATGATTTTGGAATGCTAATTTTTCTTTCACCACTTTGGGACTTGAAAGATTTACTTTTCCCAATATTTAATGGACATTGACCTAGGTCATCTGGAGCTAGATATGGTGCCTTGAAATGAACACTCTGGTGGACTGCTGACAGAAAGATAGGCAGGAGCCGTGTCTACTTTTCTGATGAGAAATTTTATTTCTGCTCTTCTCAGATAAGAATAAGTAAAGACTAAGATGACTAAAACCCCCTGGACAAGATTATTTGTTCTGAAATCATTAAAACCAATGGCTATATATTCAGTAAAATGATGATTCCTTTTATTACTAACAAATAGAAATAAAACTTTGTCAAATTTTTCTTCATCTCATTATTTTCAGCCAGTGTCTCAGTTCTTGAGTCACTTGTTCATAACCCGATCCAGTGTATTTCTAAATTGCTGCTACTGTACCATGGTGATAAGAATAATTAAAGTGATATTATTCCTTCCCTGGAGAAATAAAATGTGCCAGTTTTTAATACCTGTGTGATTATCACAGCAAGATTGTCAAACACACATAAGACATAAGATTTAGATGGACAGGCATATACACATTTATTGTTCAATAAAAATGCATATTCTACATATATATTATATTTTATTGTATATATAATCTTTTCCACTTGGTATATGCCCTTTTAAAATTGTAGGGGAGAACCTAAGGCAATTATGTTAATGTAGAAAGATAAACATGAGTATTAATATTAGTCTACCTATAAAGCAAGTTCTTTGAAATATGAAATTTATTGGTGAAGATATTTTTGGCTTATAGATATGAGATAACATATTTATTTGAATTTAATCTCAATTGGGGCACAAGTTTAGCTAAATTTTCATATTACCTGTTATAGAAGGAAAGGGGAAATATTAAACATGAAAATTATAAAGATTACAATTCTAATTGTCGTGTTCTTAAGCTAGCACAATGGGGCGGGGATGCAGTCCTCCACTGAAAACATTCTGGAATTCAAACAGTTGCCTTGAAGCATATTATGTATGCTATATCACAACATCAGAAACATAAATCTTGATAAAGGTCAGTTGACCTGCTTTCTATTCCTTTCTTTCCTTTAAGATATTTATTCTCTGTGGTTCCACTATTTAAATACAAGCTATTCTGACCACTAATGGTAATGACTGAAATAAGTATTTTATTTATTTTTTCCTCTGTCACAGTCCATTTAAAGTTCTCCTTATAATACTCCAACAAATTCTGTTACTTCATTCTTATACAGCCCTCTCCTATTTTTCTAAATGCTCAAATACTAAACCACGACCACCTGGAAGCTGCATAATTCTATGAAGGTCAAAAATATTCAGTTATTTCCCCAAAGTAAAACAGCCTTTATTGTAACCAATTCTTACATTCTTCTTCCTATAATAGAGATTTACTACCCAAAGAAATTAATAGCCCAATGTGGGGGGAAAGAATTCACATTTATTGAAAATTACTTTATGTTAGGCATTTCACATGCTATTGCATTTCAATATTTCAATGGTCCTGTAAGATGAAACTCAGAAAGTTCAAGTAATTGCAAAACTTATGAGTAGTTGAGCTGATTTGACAACTTGATAAATCCACTTGACTCTAAAACCCATGCTTTGACCAGCATAAAGCCTGTGGCTTATAAAAGAAAAGAACCACTGATGCTTGAAAACATACTCAACAGAATTGAGAAACACATACCTTGATTTTGAGTTTGTATGTACAGTCTGAGAAATGACTTCAAAGTTGACTTGCATTTTTGTTCTTGAAACATATAGAGAAGCGTTTCTTAAGCTTTTTTTTTCATTATCACTCCCCTAAAGAGACTTTTAGACATTTTTCCTGAAGATTACTTCCCTGTCCCATGAAAATTTAAAACCACAGATATAGTGTATATCCTATTATGTACTGTGACTCTTTGGAGGACCACAAAACATTGTAATAAGAATGTACACCCCTTTGGGTGAGACGTTTAGACTACAGGGCATTGATGATTGCTATAATATCCCCTCCCTCCTCCTAGCTCATTACTAGGTTATTTACAGGAGCAGGCAGAGTGGAGCAAGCACAGCTCTGGACCTGAACAAATCCTGCCTAGATTCTGGTCCTGTCATTTGTTCCTTTTGGGAGGTAGGGCAAGTGACTGGCTCTCTGAGCCGAGTTTGCTCTTTAAGAAAATGGATTTATAATTCCTAACTTAAGAAGTTGTTGTGAGAGTGAAAAATGATGGCATCTTTAACATACCTAGCAGGAGACAACAGAGTTCTCAAAAAGGGAGGTCTTTTCCTTTCCTTCTGGAGATATCACTAGACTCTGTTTTCTGGGAAAAGGTCTTAGAGTAATAGTCTAGAATCTGGAAAACTTAAGATCTGACACAAACTCTACTAACTAGACATGGTTTTTCTCTCTGTAACATGACAGGGCTCATTGCTAAGTGTCATTTTAAGCTTTATAATCTGTGGTTTTGTAATACCATAGTAGGCCCTCCAACATAAAATGATTAATCACATTTAAATTTTTTGTTGGCACTTTTAATCTCTATGCCAAAAGTTTTGTGACAATGTTTTCCCCCTTCACACATCCTTCAGGCCTTGAATATTAAGAGTTAAGAACCACATGCAGCAATGAGTGACACCAGTTGGACTAATAAGAATACATGTTATTTGGACTGGAAACTGTATTTAGTGATTTCCTCAGGATCATTCTTCTGGAAATATAGATGAAAGAAACATAGCCATGTTTCTAATTTAACTTTATTTCTATTAATAGCTATTATAGAGTAGACACATACATGATATTAGATGACAGCTTATTTTAAGGAATAAAAACCAGTTTTCAAGGTAATGATTTTTCTCCATATACGAAAGTGTTAACATTAGTTAGAATTCAGTGCACAACAGAAAGAGGCAAACTTTGAATGAGCAAGCAACTTGATCATTGACAGTGTGATTATGCCTCCCGGGGAACACTAAAGAGCTAGCTTAAGTAGGATAGCAAAGAAAAAACACGGAGAAACATGGAGATAGTTTAAAGATTCTCTGGGATTGTGGAATTATTTGGAATTATTTCAGACAAACAAAAATGTGTAAATAACACTTTAATGAGCAGCCATGTATTCACAAGTAGTTATCCAAAGAAAATGTTACAGATCCTGTTGAAATCCCTCACGTGCCTTTTCCTAATTATACTCTCCTCCTTTTCCTGTTTAGATATATATTCTCCTGAGTTTGGTACTTGTTATTCACATGCATTTCTTTCTTTCTTTTTTTTTTTTGCATGTACATATCTCTCTTAGCAATAAATTGAGTCATATTGCATGCTTTACATTCATAAGGTAGATATCACAATACATGTATTTTTCTGAAATTTGCTGTATGTCACCCAGTGTTGTGTTTACAAGATTTACTTTATCTTTGAATGTTTTATTTTGAATAGCTAAGTGATTTTCTGTAATGATATATTCTTTTACATTAAATCATGTTATTATTACTTTTATCAATAAATAATTGATTTGATTCACATTTAGTTGCATGTTTATAAGCCACTTTCAAGGTGACGGGCTTTTAAATCTCTTTTGAAATAATTCATTCTGAAGTACAATCCATCTATTCATTTATTTATTGGTAAAATGATATTTAAAAAACTTTCTAGCCTGTGACAATGCTAGGTATTAAAAATACACTGGTGAGCAAAACAGACGTTGTTCTTCTTTTTATGTACCTTACAGTCTAATGTATAGACAAGTCTTAAATTAACACCAATAATAATATATGATTCACTGAACAGAAATCTATTGATCACCTTGTATGAATTTAAACAGTGAATCAAACAAAAAATATCTGATGTTGCAGAACCTACATTCTAATTGGGTGGTTGTGGGAGAGTGGGGCAGGCATATAGTAAGTGAGATAAGCTTAAAGTAATATAATTAAAAATTATATAATTAATTAAATATTTTAATTAAGAAATCTGTAAGCCGGGCATGGTGGCTCACACCTGTAATTCCAGCACTTTGGGAGGCTGAGGTGGGAGGATCACTTGAGGTCAGGAGTTCAAGATCAGTCCAGTCAGCATGGTGAAACCCTGTCTCTACTAAAAATACAAAAATTAGCTGTGCATGGTGGCGCATGCCTGTAGTCCCAGCTACTTGGGAGGCTGAGGCAGGATAATCGCTTGAACCTGGGAGGTAGAGCTTCCAGTGAGCCGAGATTTTGCCACTGCACTCCAGCCTGGGCCACAGAAAAAAAAAAAAATCTCAAAATAAATAAATAAAAGGAAATAAAAAAAATATAAAGTATGTTTAAAGGTGATATATGCTATGGGGTAAAATAAATGGAGTTAGAGCCAGGCTAGGCAGTAAGGGAAAGCTGTAGTTTTAAATATACTGATCACAGTATATTAGTTCTCACTGAGAAGGTGATGTTTGAGTAAATATATGGAGAATGTGAACAGAGGTGAAAGACTGAGCAATGTGGAGATGCATATGGAGCAATCCAGGCAAAGGGAGCAGCATGTACAAAACCGAGATTGTAGTAGTGACTGTCAAAGGATAACAGAGTGACAGGAAAAGCAGTAGGGAATGATGCCAGAAAGGCAAGAAGAGTGGTGATATAGGAATTATTATTATTATTATTATTGGTTTTTTGGCCATTGTAAGGACTTTGGTTTTTACTTGGCGTGAGAGGTAAAAATCACTGGAAGGTTTTGAGTAGACAGGTGGCATGATCTGACTTCTGTTTAAATCAGATCACTGTGCAAGCTATGTTGAAAATTGAATGAATTGGGCATCACAGCAGAAGCAGGGAGGCCAGTTAGGAGGCTTATGGAATAATCCCATTGAGGGATCATGGTGGCTGGAACCAGGGTAGCATCATGGAGGGAGGGAGATGTAGCTGTCTTCTGGACCTATTTTGATGGTAGACCCTACAAGATTGCTAGTAGGTTGACATGGTGTAAGAGACAAAAAGAGGAGTTGAGAATGACTGCAAACTTTTTAGTGTGAGCAACTGGAGAGATGGTTTTGCTATTTTCTTAGATGGGAAACTTGGTTTGGGATATATTAAGATGCTTACTGGGTCATCCAAAATGAGATATAGAGTTGGCAGTTGGATATAAAAGAATGAGTTTATGTATATATTTAGCTTGTATTAATTTGTAAGGACTGCGATAATGAAGTGCCACAGCCTGGGTGGCTTAAATAACAAAAATTTATTTCCTCACAGTTCTGGAGTCTAGAAGTCTGAGATAAAGGTGTTTGTAGGGTTGGTTTTTTCTCAGGCATCTCTCCTTGGCTTGTAGATGGCTGTCTTCTCCCTGTGTCCATAATTTTCCCTCTGTGTCCTAATATCTTCTTAAAAGGACACTAATATTAGAATAGGGCGCACCCTAATGGCCTCATTTTAACTTAATTACCTCTTTAAAGACCCTATCCCTAAATACAGTCACATTCTGAAGTGCTGGAGGTTAGGTCTTCAACATAGGAATTTTGGAAGGGCAGCACATTTGAGCCCATAACATGGCTCATGGTCTTGAGAGACATGTGACTGATTGAGATTGTCAAGGGAATGTGTTTGAAAAAAAAGAAAAAGGGAAAAGATCCATGTACCAAACCCAGGGGGACTTCATTCAGAAGTCAGAATTAGAGAAACCAGTTAAGAATTTTGAAAAGGAGCAAACAATAAGTTGAGAGGAATATCCGGAAAGAAAAGGGTGGTGGCCAGGCGAGGTGGTTCATGCCTGTAATCCCAGCACTTTGGGAGGCTGAGGTGGGTGGATCACCTGAGGTCAGAAGTTCAAGACCAGCCTGGTCCACATGGTGAAACCCCATCTCTACTAAATATATAAAAATTAGCCGGGCATGGTGGCAGTCGCCTGTAATCCCAGCTACTTGGGAGGGTGAGACAGGAGAATTGTTTGAACCCAGGAGGCGGAGGTTGCAGTGAGCCGAGATTGTGCCATTGCGCTCCAGCCTGGGCAACAAGAGCAAAATCTTCATCTAAAAAAAAAAATAGAGAAAGAAAAGGGTGGTGTCCAGAGAGCTGAATAGAGAAAGTGTTTCAAGGTAGAAGTGATCAACTGTATCAAGTGTTTCAGATAAGTCAAATAAGAAGAATATTGAGAATAGACCAATATATGTTGGATTTAGCAACATGGAAACTTAGGAAAACCTTGAAAATAACAGTTTTTGTGGAGTAGGTGAGAATCTGATGAGTTTCTTATTCCTGGCAAGAACAGTTAGGTGCATGGAAGGTAACTTGGAAAGACTGGGAAGACTGAAGAAGAAACAGATTAGTAGGAGTAGTCATGAGTTTAATTTTAGATGTAGGTTTTTTTTTGAGATTTTGTGAGACATTTGTATGGTTAAACATGCTTTACTTCTAGGGATCTTTGAATTAAAAAAAACAGTTTATAGAACTTTGCTAGGTTTACTTGAAATAAAGCTAAAGCATGAATAGTAGGCATTTCAGAAGCTTGGAAAGTCATTAGGGGAGTGAGATTAGGGACCTAAATCCTACCCCACAAGCAACTGTCTTTAAGTAAGTCTATTATTATAAGTAAGGCCATTTTTTCCCAAGAAACATTTATAAGGAGAAAAGAAAGAAAGAAACAAAGTTACAGTGATGTTGGGGTAGAAGAGAAGATCCTTCTGATGCAAATTCCTATTGTATTAAAGATTATGGGAATTTACTTTCTTGAAAAGTCGGTACTTTATTATGGAAAAAATATCTTGAAAAATCTAGAGATTGACAGAATTTAGTGTTCCCCCATCTGTGTTGTCATGGTACTAACGGCAGCGCAGGCTGTCTGGAGTGACCACTGCCATCACACTGGCTGCAGTGGGGAGACACAAGCTGTGGCCACAGAAGTGGTTGTGGGAGCAGCAGTGGTGGCTGTGGGTCCCCTCTGCGCCATACCCCTGGAAGGCAGCTGACTGCACCATTCCGACCCTTGCATGGCCAGACAGGACCTACTCCCAGTCTTGGGGCCTCTGCTGTGGCTCAACCTCACTCCTCACTGCATCCCAGGGTCCCATGAGACCTGGCTGAAGGCACAGCAAGGACTTGCAGGGCTGGCCCTGGGAGCATCAGGTTCATTTGTGTGGGGTTGGCCGGGGCCACCACACCACCTGCTCCTTGCCTACTGCCCAGGGATCCTCTGGGATGGAGCTGGGCCAAGTTGCCCACTGGAGTGGGAGCAGTGTGTTCAGGCACAGAGGGGAGGGTAGAGAGGGCCCAGAGGCAGAGATGGGCTTGAGGTGGTTTCGTGTTCCATGGAGCCAGTGGGAGCTGGGAGCGGGCAGGAGGTCTGCCCTCCCAGGCAAGGCTGCATCTGCACAAGTTGTGGCTGCAGCCCCAGGTGCCTCTGGACTCTTAGGGACCTGGAAAGGCCCCCACTTTGCCCCTTCAAGCTTGGAGGTGTCTTCTCCTGCTGCCTTGCATCTCCCCACTGTCAGCACCCTGTCATCTCAACCCTCTCTGTACTTTGGGCATCAATGATTATGAGAGGGAGGCTGAAGGGGTGCCAAGTGCAGCTTGGTGCTGGCCTGCAGGCTCCACTTGGCACAAACAGCCTGGGCACCATGAACAGTGGCAGGAGGCAGACAGGCTCCTGGATGGAAGAGGGTGGGTCCTGGGTGAAGCTCCACCTTCAAGCAGGGGGGAGGGCCTGAAGCCTGAGGGCTGGGCTGTCAGACCCTCGACCCGAGTGGGAACTTGTGGTGCCTTTTTTGGCCCCACCCATGGCTGCCCATGGACCAGTCAGCACACACTTCTTCTCCTCTGAGGCCCATAAAAACCCTGAACTCAGCCAGATTCAAGAAGATGACACACGGCCAGCTGCAGAGAGGAACAACTCTCTCTGCTGAGAGCTGGACACTTGTTGGGAGGACCTGCCTAGCAGAGAGGAGCTACCCTCTCTGCTGATACCTGAGCACTCACTGGGACACCCTGGTTACAGAGAGGAGCTGCCTACTGTAGGTGTCCTCTCAGCTGTACAATTGCTCAATAAAGCTCCTCTTTGTCTTGCTCACCCTCCACTTGTCTGCGTACCTCATTCTTCTTGGATACAGGACAAGAATTCGGGACCCGCTGAATGGTGGGGCTAAAAGATCTATCAAACAAACAGGGCTGAAACATGCCCCTTGCCCACCACATTGCAGGTGACAAGGAGAGAAGGGAGAAGGAATGAAGAGCTGTGGCCCTGCAGGGAGCCCAGATCTAGGTGCTTGCTGAACCTGGGCTGTGACATTCTCTTTAGGGTGCTGTGATTCCTGGTATCTCCAAGCTTCTGGGTGCCACACCACATTCCCTGGTGTCAGCCATGGAAGCTGCTTATGGTATGCCTTGACCAGTCACAGCTTCGCAGGCAGCTGGCACCCAGGGCAGCTGGAGTCTAGAGCTGCCCACCTCACCTCAGCTAGCATGCCTGGCTTGTGCAGTTGCCAGACCCCAGGCTCGCTTACACACCCCTTGCCACTCTGCCTGGCTGACCCTTGGCAGGTGTGGGATCCAGGCTGGTAGCAGAAACTGAGTGCAGCCTGCCAGACTGAGTGGGCAGAAGAAGCCCAGTGGGCCAGAGCAAAACTTGGGCAAAGGTGCCACTGGCTACAGAGGACTTGGGCAAAGGTGCCACTGGCTAGAGAGGTTTCCAGCTGGTGAAACAACACCCCAAGGATCCTGTAACAGTACCTTGTAAAAATTACTGCCTGAGCATTTATCACACCCTGCCATATTGCAATTATTTATTTACACATCTGTCTTCTCTATCAAATTGTGTTTTGTTTTTTTTTTTTTGTTTTTTTTTTTTAGACAGAGTCTCACTCTGTCACCAGGCTGGAGTGCAGTGGTGTGATGTCAGCTCACTGAAACCTCCGCCTCCTGGATTCAGGCAATTCTCCTGCCCCAGCCTCCCAAGTAGCTGGGACTACAGGCACCTGCCACCATGCGCAGCTAATTTTTGTATTTTTAGTAGAGATGGTGTTTCACCATGTTGGCCAGGATGATCTTGATCTCTTGATCTCGTGATCCACCTTGGCCTCCCAAAGTGCTAGCATTACAGGCATGAGCTACCGCGCCTGGCCAAAATTGTTCTCTTTGAGGAAGGACATGGATGTTATTAATTTACTTGTCATTATTACCAAAAATGGTGCTGAATGTATAGTCAGCACTCAATAAATGCATACTGCATGAATCAAATCAGTTAAGAAAAAACTGATGTGACATTCCACTAGATAGAGTTAAGTTGGAGATACCAGACATGTGTATGATCTGTGTTTTTAATAGAAGGTGATGGTAGATGTATGGCTATGGACATCAATTGTTTGCTGGTCTGGCATTGTGAAAATGTGTTCAAATGTCTTTGTGGTAATAACCTCTTGCTGTTATCATGCAGTATATCATAATTTCCAGGAACATTATATTATCACTGACTTTTTAAATACCCTGATGTACTGTAGAATATATGTCTAAGAATAAATTGTATATCTGAACTAATCTGAATTCAGGGGCAGAGTGGGTTAGGACATTTTCTCCCTGAGAAGAGGGAGAATTTGTTGGCAAGTTCACATGAAAAAAATTCTATTTCTCAAATGAAATAATCCCACCTGCAAATGAAATCCACTATTGTTATGTGCTATTTGTTAAACACAAGCTGTGTCCTCAGTATTAAAAAAAAAGAAAACAAAACAAAACACCCAAAACACACCCTGGAGGACTATATGATCCATGCCTCAGGGCTTAACAATCCACACCTGGCACAGCATGCAATTCATACATGGCAAAAGCAGAAAAAGTGATTGCATCTCAGAAGCATCAGTCTCTTAGAGATTAGTTTTTTAAATGGCTACAGAGGACTTCCATGAAACATTTTGCTTAAAAAATTTTATGAAAATGAAAAAATTTCAGGAGGAATATTAGAAGAGGAGAGAGGCAGTCAAATGACAGATTGCTAGTTTGGCCTGATCCTAGGGTGAACTCAGGTGCTTACCTATGGGAAGAAGATACTGGTGAGTAAATAATTAATTTAGGTAAAGTAAAGACACATGTATTCATAGACCAATTTTAGATACTGACTTTTTAATATATTTTTGATATGAATCTTCATTGTAATAATGGACTCATTGTCATGAGCTTCAATACTTATGAAAATAAGTGTGATAAAATCTTAAACATAAGAAAATTAAGTAAAGTAAACCTAGAGAAAAAATATCCCTTAAACTTCATCAAACTTTAATGCAGGTTTAAGTGATTCAAATGCAATGACAGAATGTGTAAGAGGTTACAGACAAATAGCAGAAGATTTGGATTAGATATACAAAAGGCTAATGGTGTTTCTGGAAAACAGCGGGATACTGGAAAACATTTGCTAAGGATGTTGGGCTCAGGGAGGCTTAGGGAGAGAAATGTGCACCTGAAATTGTTTCCAAAGAACATAGATCAGACAATAGACTGAGAGGCTGAATCTGGCATTTTCTTCATGAGCTTTTATAGGTTAGAAGAAGAAATGACAGATTATCTGAAAAAGTGTGCACAAACTATAGCACATATTATTGACTTCATCTCTACTTTGCACACTCAGGAACTCACCATTATAGAGCACTCTCATACTGTCAAGTTTTGAGCTTGATGCTTTTCTCTTTAACAATGTCTTTCCTGATTACTTTTTTCCTCCCAATTTGTAATATCCAAGGAGTTTGTTGCTCATCAACAACATGCTAGACACTCAATACAGAAACGTCCAAAGAGCCATTCCAACTTAGTAGAACCCTGACCTGTAATGGTCACCATATGTCACTATTTGAATGCTACTTCCTGGGACCACCCTAGGCTCCTAGACTTGGCTTCTGCTCTGCCTCTGCTCTGCCTCTTTCATTCTGAATTACCCCTGCTGTCTGCAGTCTTCTCTTTAAATACAGAGCTAGGATATGGAAAGAAACATTGATAGGATGAATTCATAATATCTATTATCAGCTGGGTCACTCCTGCTATACTTTAAAAATATGTAGTTATTTACTCTTTAGAGAACTTCAAACCATTTTTCCTGAGCCTTTACCACCATCAAACTCCCAATTGTCACATTCTGTCTCTTCTGCTGCAGGAGACCCAGCCCTCTTTTCTACAAATTCAAGTGCCACAAAATGAACTCTCAAATCTAATATTGTTTGCATGTTGACTTTTCTCTTTCTAGATTATCTCCTTTCCCTTCAGTTTAGAGAACAAGTTTTTCTTGTTACTCTAAATCTCTCCACCTGTATTCTAAAGACTTTCCCCACCTGGGGAATTACAATTATAAAAGCTGGGAAAACAGCTTTTAAACCTCTCACCAGTGCCTCCAATATTTATTTTCTTTACTGTATGAGCTCGTGTTCAATCAAAGAAGCAGAAAAACTAGGATGTAATTTTTAAATAGGTTTTACCTTATGTCACTGTGGGAGATGGTTGGGTTGAGTAGTCTTTGTATGGCTTTCATCTTCTTGTCTGAAGCGGGAGCTTGAACTCCACAAGGTAGACAATCAGAAAGGGAAGATGGAATTAAGGTGGGGAGAATAAAAACAAGCCAGGAAATATGAGTATGAGCTGTAGTTCATGAGGATTGACCAAAACCTGTGTTCGTGTTTTTTTCCTCTAACCTTGGTGGCACGTCCTGCAGAGGCTTTGCCCAGAAGTCAGAGAAGCTGAGGGAGTATCCACGGCAAGGTGGAGAAGTCACAGGGCTGGCCTCTGCCTCGTGTCATCTGATAAGTGACATGTACAGCTGCTGCTTCACTTCCGTCATCCAAATTTCCCATAAGAATCTTTATTGTGGTCTACCTTAACCAAACAAATATGGGAAAGGGAATTCTGGGAAATGTAGTTTTTCAGCAATCTGACATATTACAAAGCCACTGCAATCTGCCTTTGCCAACTTGTCACTCATACACTTCTCCTTAAACTACATTTTAAACTCAGCGTAAAGACCCTAACATATTCATGCCTCTGTTTAATATGATACAACTATCCCATGTACAACTGATTACTTGCCAACCAGTTTTCAAGATCCATCTCTCTGCTGCACAGGCCAAATATGTGAGTTGAATGTGGATATGGTAGGAATGACTACCCTTTCATCTCTCAAGTCCGCCACGGGACTAATCTCTGCAATTCCTCCAGGAATGTGCTGTTGTTCCTGGTTTACACTGTTGTAGGTAAAGGCATATCCAGTAGCTTTCACTTGACCTTTCTTACCATTATAGACCTTGTTGCACGTATCAGGAAAACAATGTGTGGATTCTTCTAATTGCTGAATATATTTATCCCAATTATGCATTCTGTATCTGAAAAAATAACCACAGGGGACCCAGGGACCTACTATGAGATGGACTTGAGCTAAAACTTCACTAATCACTGAACTCCAAAAGCCCCTAGTCTCACTGGTGGACCACAGTGACAGTGATATTTTGGGTTTCTAGGAATTAGTGTCAGTTCAGAGCCAAGGCCTAATAATCCCCCCAGATCTTATTATTTCTCCTTCCCCAATGCAGAATCACACTGTAACTGGCTCAAGGGGTCCTAGATTACTTTCATTTCAAGGCCTCTGGGTCTGTGAACTGGCTCAAAACTGGGAATTCATTGAAGAACTGTACCTCTTTGTTTTCACCATTTAAGTCAGACTTTAGTTCGCTAGACTTAGAGCTTCTCTGCTTAAGCAAATCAAATAAGATTTTAGCAGGCTATTTTAGCAGGCTGTTTTTACTTCAGTTCTAAGAACATCATGATCAACTATAATAGCTAATGTCAAACATCTTTGTAAGTCAGACTATTCTGGTTAGTGCTTTGGCTCTACGGTCCATTAGAGTAATAACACCCACCTTGCCTTTGGAAAATCGGTGCTCCCCTTAGCACCTGCCCACCTGGAAACTCATTATTCTCATCATATTTAGAGATCTCAGTGTGATGATAGTGGTCTCCAGTGTAATTTCTGGCCTTCAGGGGTGAGCCATTACAGGATGCTGAAGCTCATTTGTTCCTGAAAGCCATGGTGAAGGTCATGTTCTCTGGAACCTCATGAGGTAGGTGAGCAGATCAGTCATGATAAACTCCTTCTAAGATTCCAATCTCCCTAAGCCATTGGATACCTTCCTCTATAGCAGGTGTCAGCAAACTACAGTGTTAAGGCAAATCCAGCCTACTGCTTATTTTGTAGATAGATGTTTGTAATTTTGTATTTTGTAAATAGGTGTTTCGTAAATAGATGTAAATGTTTATTGTAACATATTCATGCTCATTCATTTACATATTTTCTATATCTTCTTTCATGCTACAATGGCAGAATTGAATTGTCACAACAGAAACAATGTGGCCCACAAAAGAGAAAAAATTACATTCCGAAAAATATTTTCTGACCCCTGCTCTACTTCTATGAAGGAAGTTCTGGGATATCAACTTCATTTAATGTACACTACCTTTTTATTATGCACCAGTTAATCAACCAAGCAAATTATACAGCCATTCCTAGCCCCTCATGCTACTATATCAAATCTGAAATCTCTATTTCAATAAATTTATTCTCATATCAATAAATTTATTCTGACTTTTAGGCCTTCCACTTTGATCTCATAAACTTAAGATGCATTCTAATACATATTGCCTGGGCCTCTGTCAATATACATTAAAAAAATCATGCAGTTCTTTTGATGTGTATGCCAAATTATAGGTCACATTTTGTAAATCACACTTTTGGTCTTGCTGGGACCTGATTCTGGTTATAGGTCTGGAAGAAAGGAAAGGGATACTCTGAGGAGAATCAGCAGATAAGTGACAAAATGTGTGAGTTATAAATGGCTGTTATTTTACTTTGGTGCCCCAAATATTTTGTAGGAATCCTTCTTGTGACCCACCCTGCATGAAAACAGAAAAGGGGATTCTGGGAAATGTAGTTCAACCTAGACAAGTTGGTACATTATGAAGCTACCATAGCAGACATTAATAGTTCACTCAGGCATTAAAAGGTCATGACAATATAACATATTTTGGCTTTTCTCTTCTCTCTAGCCCTTCTCTTCCTTCCTTCCTTCCTTCCTTCCTTACTTCCTTCCTCTCTTCCTCTCTCCTTCCCTCCCTCCCTCCCTCTTCCTTCCTTCTTTCATTTTTTTAACTGCTTCTTTTTTTGTGTTGCTGGATGTTTTGCTTTAACTGTATTTATTTCTCTTTACCTCTTTGCCTTCTACTTTGCTACTCTAATGAAATCTTTCTCTGGAAATATTAGGCTATTAATCTAAGATTTGCCAAGTCCTTTTTTTCTTTGACATTCTGCCATATTTGACACACTTGGTTAAACCTTCTATTTCTAATATATTTCCTGAATTGACTCTTTCTTTGTGGTTTTCTTAAATCTTTGGTTACATTCTTCGTTCATTTTCTTTTTCTCTTCCTCCAGTTTTGACTATTTCCTAAAAATGAATTCAGGTCCTAAAGTTCCTTATTACAATTTAGGAGTATTCATCAATTCTCAAAATTTTTATGATTACCTCTTAATTAGAGATCCCCAATCTATAATTTTAGACTTGTCCATTTATTTAATTTTGAACTGTCTCCTGTATAAAACCAATGGATAATTTGTCATAATCTCCAATCTAGCTATAATGACTCTCTTTAAGATGAATGCTGCACAATGAAAGTTTTGGTTTATAGTTATATCTCTGTAGTAGATGCTCAACAAATATTTGCTGAATCAATGAAGAAATGTGCAAACTCTTCAAGTGTAGAAGTTAGAATATTATTTCTTTCAGTAGCCAACCTCAATTTTCTAAACCTCTTTTAATACCACATTTTCCCAGATACCCATTCTTATAAATGGCATCATTTTTGACATCCAAGAGGGAATTATCAATAGATGAAAAGGTAGATATTTGAGTAGTTACCTTTACCTACGTTGGATTTAAAAATACTAAGAAATGTAGTCTAGAAAGTTTTTGTTGGTTTTCCTTTCCTACACAATGGAGAGAATCATATAATGGCATTTTGAGGAAGGCATTGTGTACAGTAGTTTAGATCACACACTCTGTTTCCAGACTACCTTAGTTCAAAATCAAAATCTGACATTTACTAATTCAAGTTTCTCACCTCTCTGGTGCCATAGTTTTCTTGTCTGTAAAATGGAGGTAATAAAAATAGTACCTGATTCACAAGTTTCTTGTGAGGATTAAATGGGTTAACAGTTGTGAAGCAGTTAGAAAAATACCTGATGCAGAGTATTGTGAAAATGTTATTATTTTGTAATTCTAGAGGACTGGAGCACCTGGAAATAAAGTATTATTTTAATGCACCTCACAAAAGCATTGGTTTTAGATCTTCTTCATAAACAAAATCTCCTTCCTGACTTTTTTGTTAGAATTGTTGAGTAATTATATGAAATATCACTTAATCCAGCATATTTTACTATTCTTCCGAAGGCTTTTCTAACTCAAACATTTTAAGTTACTCATTAAAACTACATTTTCCAATTTATAAAATCATGATCAGAACAAATAACATCAGATTTACCCTCTAGGTAATTTTTAAGGATATAATACATTATCGTTGATTATAAGTATAAGGGTGTACAGAAAATCTTTGTAGGCCTTCTCATTATTTAAACAATTCTTTCATGCAAGAATGTTTGTGTATACATGCACATATGTATATATGTATATGTGTATATATATCACACATTTGTATATATGTGTAAATATGTAGATATGTGTGCTATTAGATATAGAAAGTCATACATATATGACTTCCAATCAGACCTAAAACTGACTTTAAATGTAAAATGAAATTCTGCGTTTGACCTATCTTACCACTACTACCAGCTTAACTGGAATCATATGGATTAAACAGTTTCTATTTTAAATCTTTGCACACTTAACACATTTAATAGAATACTCATTAGCTTTAAAGAAGGGAAGAAAATCCTGGGTGTTTTGTTACAATTTTGTATTTGCTCTTACCACAGAAACAACTTATGTTTAGGTCCTATTTCACATTTGAATTTTGTGTTTCTAATATCAAATGAATGCAACTCAGAGTTTGGTTAAGTAAAGCAACACTCATATTTGAAGATGTTCATTGTGGTTTAAGGATTTTTATGACACATGTCAACATATATCTTCATTCAACAGCAGTTGATGATACTTATGTCATTGTTATGTAAATTATGTGGTTGCTGGAAGATGAACATCTTTGGTTCATCTTGACTGGTGGCCAGTGAGATCAGAACTGTTCCATTAATCGAAGAAAGCATGTACACGTGAACTTTTTGCCTTGATTGTTTTTTCTAGTTTTACAACTATGAAATATAGTAATTAGTTATTCCAAGATGTGCCTTTCAGGAAGATTACTGCCTCAGGTTGTGGAAGTCCTATAACATTTGGCTGAGAAACAGTTGTGTAATCCCTCAGGAATGTTCTGCATCTTGTATCGGGATACTTTGGAAAGGAGTTGATCTACCTTGAAATGTAGATTTACTTGTATGAGCCATAAATTCAGTCTTGTCTCAAATCTCAATTCAGATAAACAATGAAAAAAGAATGAACAGTGGGTTAAGTACATTTTGATAGTCTTTTTTTTTTTAAAAAAGTTTGTGAATAAGCAATGTTTTGGTGAGAAAGTTTATCTGGCAAAAGATAGGATAGACATTTGAATGTGAAATGATTGCTTATTCACCACTTCTCAAATGGTTTCATGTTGTTTATATTTTGGAAGAAAGTCTTCCTTAATAAAAAAAGTATATTGACCACCATGTACAAGTGACACAATATGTGTGCTCTATAAATAGTATTTTTTTTTTTTTTTTTTTGCTGTTACTGTGTGTTTATTCTTCACGAGTTGGTGTATTCTTCAAACAGACCATGGTTGTTTTTCTGCACCTTTAATTCTGTCGCTGATACTCAACTATTCCTCTTCTTCTTCCACTCTCTCTGTCATTCCTGTCCCTCTCAACCCAAATAGCTCTTAAATTGCATTCTGTCCATTTAGCTTTCGCCGAGTTGGAATATTTATTTTCTCATCCTCTTACCTAATAATATCTAGTCCAGCAAATGTATTCTGTTTTTAATTCCATTGGCCTCAGATGAGAAATTTTCTCTACAATTTTTAATCTCGAAGCCCCTGTTATCGTTTCCAATACATTTCCCATTCCTTCTCCATTTTCTTTACGGCTTTATTTTCTACTAAAGGCACTTTTTGAGATTTGTCTGAAATAGGCGTATAATAAACATTGTCTAATTTTGTGATTCCTATTTCCATCTGCTTTTCTTCCCATCTTTGTTTCAATAAAACAGGATTGAACAAATTGGGAAATCAAAATGCTCTAGTTTTCTTGGTACATGTGTTTTGTCTAATAGTGTTAAGAAAGTCAATGTCTGCCCAACTATTTGAATTATTCCTAAAGCAAACTAGCAAAAAATTTCTTGAGGAAGAATGGCTTTGTAAGATGTAGTCCCATCTTCTACCAGAGGCAGAATGTGAGCGTCTAATAAATAATGGCTATGTCTAATTCATCCTTGAATTTCACTCCAGTACCTAATACAGAGCCTTACATATCGTAGATAGCCTGAAAACTGGAAAAACGAATAAATTGGTTAATTTTTCCTGGTCTGGGGCGTTATAATGGACTGAAAAACTAGTTCTGCTAAATAAATAATAAACTAGATTGACTCTACAATATTTCTCTTTACCAAGGGTGAATTGCATGTCTTCTTTATAGCATATTTCCTTGTCATAGTCTAGTCAGTATCAATATCTGAAATTTCCACATGGTTTATAGCATTGTGCTGTGAAGTAAAACTGTCATTAACTTAGAGATGATGTCCTGATTGCTAGACCAGGAAAATGATGAAATATTTCTATAAACCAGACCAATTATATCTGTCTTTGGCGATCTAAATATTAAAACTGAAAAATATTTACCCAACAGCTAAAGAATGAGAGTTAGGCTGAACATCCTAGCATATATTTGATTTCTATTGAAGTAATCACTAATTTTAAACAATGAAGACCCCAGGACAGCTAGGAATAACTTTAAATTTAATTTGAAACCCCACATAACAGACTGTACTGCCAGCTATTGCAATGAAAATTTACTTAGGTTTTTTTTTCCTCAGAAAGCTTTTACTTAAACAGGACATCTTCCTGTCTTGTGAGATTATTTCAATAGGAATATGCATAGCTATTGTTCAATCAATGAAGTTCCTGGTTTTATTTTTCTTGTGAATTGTTGATGACAGTATCCAGCAATGTTAGTGTTAGGTTTCTCCAATTCTGAAATTGCCTAGAATATAAACTTCTATAATTTAGTGAATTGAAGGAAGAAAATACATATTTTCATCCCCAGTGGACTTCAGTGTGAATCCTAAACCAGGCTTAGTTTAGAATTCTTAAATGCCATTTTATAGGCCACATTTTAGCTTTAAGTCAAATGTTTACATGTAGCTCTACAAAGATTTTCTACTAATTAAGTAGTACTTCATGAGAATAACAGCATTCTAGTGCTATTTATTTATTATTAGTGATAGTATGCTGATATTCAATAATAATTGTTCCAGTTTATAAATTCTTCTTCCTATTTTTAAGGTAGGCTACACTGCCAATCCCAGCAGAGAATGTTGAATTGTTTATCCAAAAATACTGGGGGTGTAATAAAATAATATAATTATGGTGTCTTACCATATCTAACTTGCAACCAGTATTCTGAATTTAAATGGGCACAATACCAATTATAGTCTATGTGAATGTCACTCTCATCTCCTCTCCATCGTAACATAGAATACAGTGGGAAAGGTTCCCTTTGGCTGTGCAAAGGGGAAATATTTTAACCAAAAAGATATATAGAAAAGGCTTTATAATGAACATGCAATTAGCAGTGATGAACTTACACATTTTGTGACATATTCATTAGGTAGTACTTTTACTAAACGTAATATTTATCACAAAAAGTAATGTACCTTTTGAGGAAATGCCAGTCTATCAGCTCTTCAAAGCTTGCTGTTCAGATCACTTACAAAAGTGGGCAGTATCCACAAGTCTACTTGTCCTTGTATCTGATTAAACCAAAGTAAAGACATTCTCTTTCCATATCTGGACATCTCTGAGTAAGAAAATGTGATTATTAATATTCATTTGGGGCCATGTGAAAGGGTGAAGAAAATCAGAGAAAGAGGACAGAAACAACCCATTGTTTTCCAGCCCCAAGGTCTCCTGAGCCTGAGGTAAGGAGCCAAGGAGTGGGTCACAGCAGAGTAGCTGATTATGAGGGCTGGGATGGATCACTGGATAGACAGGAAATGATGAAGCCTGGCTGGATCCCAATAGAAAAACCACAGGAGAAAACTGATGCTGGTACTGATGTTGTTGAGAAGGGCAGAAAGCAAAGCAGCTGCACAGAGAAAAACAGTGCCCCTCCCCAGTCGGAAACTGCGGATACATTTCATTTTAGCATTAGTTCCTGAAACATTGGTTATGATTACCATAAGGTTGTACACAGTTCAGAAGTTATTCAGAAGAGAAGCATGGGAGTATTTGATTCTCAAAAAGGAGACTGTGTCTACTGGGGGGCTTGGAGACGGAAGTGGAAACAAATATAGATCAGCTACTTGTGTTTTAATGAGTGAAGAAAATCCCACAAGGTAGTTTTAAAAATCAAATATTTTGAAAGAATTTCAGGATTCCCTGGATAAGTAGATATATTGGCTTATTTACTTCCTACTTGTATCAATTATTTCAAAAACTGAATTCTAATATGTTAAGTTTTGCTACATCTGAACAAAACTGGATGCAATTACAGCAACAATTATGATATTTTATTGTATTTAGATAGATATGAAAGAAAATCTCTATGGTACAAGGCCAGGCAGAGCTACTCTGTGCTGTTAAACATCAGGATAGTAATTAACTTTGGGAGAGAAGTGACAGTGAGGAAGCAGGTAAGTGACTGAGATATTGAGACTATTCTACCTTTTAGTCTGGATGTTTTGTTACATGGGTAGGTTCAGCTTGTGACAGTTTATGCAGTGCTAAACATAAACTTTTTTATATTTTATATTTTAATAAAATATTTTTAAACAAACAAACAACTCTAGGAAGGAAAGATTTAGGAATTAATCACTTTGGGAAAATGACTTCACAATGTTTAAATACATGAAATAATATGGGCAGAAGTTATTCAAATCAAAAGTTATTTAACCAATTGCTATCTATCCTTCCTAGTAACAGAGTATTGAGGGTTTGTTTCTCCTTTCCAAATAAATTGATCTAACGAAGCAATGTAAGGGTGGCCTGAGTGTGACATTAGGTGATACATAAGTGTGTGTGTATTTGGGGCACACTGGAAATTTGGGGTAGGAACGAAGGCTATCTTTGTCTTTCTTTCCTCTGCAGTTACCTTTTAGTTACTCCCTGCTTTGACCTTGCAGACAAAGACTGAGGGATTTGCAGTTGAGCAAGACTGATGCAAGAAGAGTAATGACAATTCTCCTGTTTACTAGCAGATTTTAATGGATGGGGAAAGATGCATCAGGTAGAATCCAGACCTCTATTCCCTTAATTGAAATATGTTGATGTGGATTCTCCCCTTCATTAAAATAATCCTAGATGGAGGAGAGAATGACAGGGGTGTGGGGTAACTGACCCTTCTCTCTCTCTTATTCATCCTAAAAGAGACAATACCTAATGCTGTGCTATGAGAAAAAGGAGTTGGTAACCCAATGTGTTTAATTTTCTTGCAGTTAAATCCTGAAAGCAAGAAGGAGTAGAGGAATTTGTTCAGAATAAATATTCTAAATGTCATTTTGACGATGAAGAAGTGCCATTTTAAGTCTAAAACTTGTTTTAGATTTTACCAATTTTCAATGATCACTTAAATTCCCAGCATTTCTTTAATAATAGACAGTTCCAAAGTCTTGCTCAAACTTTCCCTGGGCCCAGAGAATAAATTGGAGCCAACATGCAGCCAATATTTTGAATTACATAAGCTGTATTGGAGATGGTTTCATCAATTTCTTAAACTCATGTCAGGTAATGGAAAACAAACTTGCATCTTGAATTGGCTTCCAAAAATGAGATATAAAGTTAGTGATTCTAGTAATTTAGAACAGGGTGGTGTAAGATTTTCCTTCTTGGTTATGATGGATCACTGTTGTGGTAAAATCATGTCTGTGTTAAATAATCCTGTTAATAGCAAAATGTAGATTGCTTGTTTTCAGGAGAGGGGATATAATCATATGCAAGTTTTACTTCAGATTTGACAATTATCTTACAAATATTAATGGCTTCCAGTGGATAACAATTCAGTGTTGGAAAGGATAATGAATCTAATGAGTATGAAGATGCTGATCCATGTGTCCAGATCCTTGTAGACAAAAACAAAACAAAACAAAACAAAATAAAACAAGCAAACAAAACAAAACAGAAAAAAAAAAAACAAAACAAAGATGCATGGAGCAGCCAATGCCCCAGCATGTCAGTTTTCAGCTGGTTCTAAGAAATGTGTGCTTTACCATAATTTCCATCATAAATGCAATGGCAGCTTTAGAAATGCATATCCTGAGGGGGAGAAACCTCAAAACATAGTGGTTTTTATTAGGATTTTGAGCGGCAGAACCCCATTTTTAAGTCATAATTCTGTTAGGCACACAGTTACAAACTTGTTTTCTGATTAGGTATATTCTGGCCACAGAGAGGAAAATGAGACCAAGACAATAAGCAAATGTTAATTCTAAAGTTGACATATCACTTTAGTGGCATGGTGTTTCATTAAAGACGTGGTCTCTAGGAAAACCACTAGAATGTAAGCTTCATAAAGTCAAGGTCTTTGGTGCATGGCTGTATCCCAATGCCTGAGATAGTGCCTAACCCATAGTAGGTATTGGATATGTATCTGGAATCAGCAAATGACTGAGTTCAACTTAACAGGTACTTTTGCAGGCACAGCCTTGTGGAGAATGATACAATACACTAAGTTTTTTTTTTTTTTTTTTTTTTTTTTTTTATCAAGGCTACTGGATGAGTCAGAGAAATTTACGCTAAGACTTGTACTGAAAAATAAGTGCAAGATTGCTAGATAACAGATTGCGGAGGGTAAATAGCCAGACAAATGAAGACCTGGAGGCAGAAAAAATGGACTTGTGCAGGCAGTTTATATTCTGAAGTATAAAAAGCTTATTGGAAGTGGGTGAGGGGAGGCTAAAGAGTGGGGGGTAGAAGAGGCTTCAAGGTCAGATAGGAGCCAAATGATGCAGAAAATAGAAGAAAGGAAAGTTCCACATTTTCCTTCACTGTATTATCCCACTTCCTCACCATCTCCCCTACTTACGTCTGTGCCCATAATCTCTTGGTTCCATTCTGTTATTATGCATGGATGTCCATTTTCCTGTCATGGGTACACTTTCCACTTGTATTTGAAATCTCATCATTTCTCAGTAACTTAATAATAATGTTTAAGGAATTCTTCCTTCTCCTGAATCATAATATTTAATCTCTTCACTGGCTTGACTCATTCCCAGTAACCTAAAAGCATGCTGTATTATCTTTCATCTTATGAAAATTCTCTTTTGCCACTTCTACCCCCCAGTCATTGCCCCATTTCTCTTCTCCACTTTCTAGCAAATATCCTCAAAATGATTTGAAAAGAGAACTGTCTTTAAGTCCTCTTCTTTAATTCTCTGAGAACTCCATTCCACTGTTTGAGTACAACTGTATCAAATGAGATATTATCAGCCCCACCAATGATCTCCACATTTTTAAATTCAAAATTAATTTCAGTCTGCAGCATGACACTGTTGTCTATTTTTGAAAGGCTGGTTTTTGGGACACTGCTTCTAGGTTTTCTTCCTTTCTTACCTGCCATTGATTTTTTGTTTTCTTTGTTGGCTCCTTCTAATATTTTTAATCTCTAAATCTGAAAGTGTCAGTCAGTCCTCAGACTGTGTCTTCATCTATGCACACTTTCTACGTGACTTTACATAGTTTTGTGGCTGGAACCCAAATTTATGATTTTCATTCAAACTTAAAGTACAAATGCTAGACTTTATATGTACTTGTATATTCTACTTCCAACCCACCGTCTCTGCTTTCATCTCTTTTTGTATATTTGTTCATTGTCTATCTTCTTTTCAGGAATATGAGCTTCATGAGGATTTACTTTGTTTGTTTCTGTTTACAGCATTTAGAACAGCCTGGCATTGAGTAATTTGTCAGTTTTGTTGATTATGTTGCTGCTCTGTTAAATGAAATAGATGTATACCTTATGACCCAGTAGGTGTCCCACAGAACCCAAGCACCACACAAGGAAAAAATGTTGAATAAACAAAAGAGGTGACACTCAGTGTATAAGTGATAGAGGAGTGGCATAGTAAATAATGTCCCACCCAAAAGGGAAAGGACCCTATGCTGTCCTTGAGTAGTTAACTCAAAATTAAGCATCTTAAGAGATGGACTTCCATGAACCAAGTTTTAGTCACCTTCACTCTTCTTAACTGTACCAGGTTTTAAGAGAAATAAAACTGGAAAAGCAAGTCTCAAAGGAAAGCAGGATAGAATCAAGATTTATCTAATCTGTTCACAGACTGAGAAAGATAGCTTCTCAAAGTAAAACCAGGTGGATAAAGCTACATAGAGGAAAAATAAAACCATTAGAGACCATATATTATCAAAAATTCCTTATAGATAACAAGTAACAATAACCCTAAATAGTTGTTCAATGGCATCCTTCATGGAAAATTCAGTATTATTTTCTCTTGGGAAAAAATGTATACTAAATTTTTAGTATAAAATACAATTTTTAGTATAAAGTATAGTTTTCAGCTATAAATTGAATTGAGAGCTGGCCTAAGTAACCTAAAGTTTTGCCAGTGATAATTCATATTCAGGTCATGATGACCGGGTACAGGAGTCAGTGCATAATTGAAACAGTTGCCAGTCTAAAAACAAAAACGAAAACCAGAAACACACACACACGGGCAAACACATTAGTCCATTAAGTTAATAAAATAGCTGAGTTTATAATCATGTGGGATCTTAAGCTTTTATTCTATGTATGCATTATCTTTTTATGAGAACCATAAATCTTTCCAGAACATTTTTTTTCTTGATAGTCATTACAATTTTCTGAAGTTTAATTGAATGATAACACTACTGAAGATTAAAAACCAAATTCTTTAGATTTAGGTTTTTGCTTTGCTTCTGATGTCTTTTTGTCTTAAAACTTTTGATTTTCATTATTTTATTTATCTGTTGGCACCTTTCCTGACAGAAACATAATTATATTAGTTTGTTTCTGTCACCATTGCCTTTCACCTAAGGTTCTTGGAGGGCATTGTGAAAATAGAATATGCTTAGAATAGCTTCAGAACACTTTATGACAACCGGTGAGGGAAACACAACAATCAAGCCAAATAATGCTGAGAACAGTACCTCTCGACTGGAATGTGGATACTCATTAGCTGTTCTCAGCAAGCCTTCATGGCCATGACTTTATGGTACCCACTGTGGAAGAATGTGAAATGTCTAAAAACGTTCCCATAGTAATCTATGCCCACAGTGCAGCTATTTTTAAAGTACGTAACTGATCCAACTCAGTTCTATATTCAGTGAGACACACAGATTCCTAGGTTGGAAGGATGAAAGGATGAATAAGGCCAAAAGGAATTGTGCCTTTCTCAAGCTCAGAACAAACCAATCAATAAATAAAAGATATGAACAAGCTAAATGATATTAACCTTGCCACCAAAAAGTCCTAAAACAACCATCAGCTTTATCTAAAATATTAAACTGCAAAATAACCATCTCTGAAGACATTTTATCTTAACTTGGGAAGGGTGGAGCTTCACAGGAATGGATGGTTGGTGTCAGAAATCAAGGATTTAGTAATGGGCTAAAGTAATGGACTATCTTGGAGGCAAGTAAACAAAGGGAGTGTATGACCAGCAGGTGATTTATTGTGTCTGTCTGAGAGTGTGTTCAGCTGTACTCTGATGAACTTTGTGGTCCCCCAATTTCAAAGTCCAAGAGCAATTTTTTGTCATTGAATGGCATCACAGTGCGCAGTGGGCGGGCAATCTGCATTCCTGTCTGACAATCAGTGGGAAGATTTGGATTATCTATTCAGACTAATGTCTGGAATGGCTAATCCTTCTTTGATTTGCTTTGCCAAAGAAACTACAGAGGATGCACATTGTGGTTAGAAATAGGGCTTGAAAAAATTATTTTAAACAATTGAAGAATGGAAATCAGAAGGGGAAAAAGTCTTTTGAAACTTTTATATCCAGACTGCAATGCTGTAATAGGATTTTTTTTCCAACTGAGTAAGCAGAAACTGAGTTAGAATGCATAAAGTTGTTTATTATCTGTCAGTGGATACATACATACACATCTCTATATATAGTGACTAGAAGAGGTTTTTTAAAAAGACTTATCTTCTATAATCTATGCATAATGCAATGTTTGGCACAGGGTGGGCACTTAGAAAGTATTAACTAAAAAATAAAAGAATGAATTATTGGATTCTACTGCCTCTAAAAAGTTGTTCTGGGAGTTTAAATGTTTGATTTTCATCTCCATTCATTTCTTCTCTTCCGAAATTCCTGAGGAAAGGTGCCAACAAATAAATAAAATAATGAAAATCAAAAGTTTTAAGACAAAAAAATCAGAAGCAAAGCAAAAACCTAAATCTACAATAAAGAATTTGGTTTTTAATCTTCCAACCATCCAAAAATATTATAATATTCAATAAAACAAGTCTTGATTTTAAAAATCTCAGCCTCATAAGCCAAATTATGGTCTCATTCATTTAGGCCCATGGAAACTATCCAAGATTTGTCCTCAAATTGATTTTCTTAAGACAATCTATTTTTCCATTATCAAAGCTATGTAACAATGTTAAGAAAACTTCAGGATATTCTTCTGTCTGTCGATTATCTATCTATCTGTCTGTCTGTCTGTCTGTCTATCTATCTATCTATCATCTATTTATCTCTACCTAATTGGCTAATTCCTTGTATTTCCCACACACATATATTTTCATAGAGTTATGTGAAATTTTATAGCTTTAATAAATCACTTGGCAATTTTCTGTCAGGATTTTGTCCAGAATAACTACCACCAGTTGTACCTTATTCTTACATCTAACATATTCCTAAATATATTAATGTATAAATATTTAGGCACTGTCTGCATCATGTGTGGTATGTTTCATGCAGATCCGGGAAAACAGTTTTTTGAGGTTCATTAGTAGCAGAGGATATTTACTGATATGAAAATATTATAGTGCTATATTTTATTGTTTTAATAAATAAAATCTATAGTCATCAGGGTCAGAGTCGGTCTCTCTTGGAGACTCTGTCTTCTCCTATTATATATAGGAATTGAAGGAAACTTCAGCTGAAGGTATCTAATGAAGAGATTATACCAAAAAATGACAGATTCCAAGAGCTCTACCCAGAGCTCTAGCCACAAGCAGAAATGCTAGAATACCCACTATGGTGGCCTGGCTCTAATAAAACTAAACCAGAAATTCAGTTTCTAGAACTTATTCTTAGTGCCACTAAAGCCTTATCTCATTCAACAAATTTCTATTTCTTAACTTTTGATTTTTTTAAAAAATCAGTGTCCCAACAGACTGAATGATTAAAACCCATCTATTATTCTCATCATTGTATAATTGTGTACACTTTTGTATACTTACATTTAGCAAACAATGCTGACAAATGATTTTGTATTGCAGACTGCGTCTGTGGGCTCAGCAATAATTACAGTGATTAGTGTTTATTTTTTTTTCCTTGCGATGAATGAATGATTCGGGGTCTGCTATTAGTTACTTCCATTTGTTTGTTACAGCTAGTCACTGAGCCTGAAACAAGTGGTAGGTGCAGCTTCTTCATAGTCTCCATAACTTCCTAGAACATTTATAACTTAGTACTGTATACATCCTTTAGTAATCAAAAGGAAACCAACTATCATGTTATTTTAAGCCTATGATTCCAAAAAATGAAGAAATAAGTGAAGGCTGGTGGCTCATTCTCTGCCAAAAAACAAAAAATATGCTCGAGTCTTCTGCACTTAAAGAAGTCTTCCTTTGACCTTCTATTCTGTTCTCTCTCAGACCATTTGGCCTTTACATCTGACAAATCATTCATTTTCTCATTTCTTGAAATATGGCTCTTTTCCACATTGAGTTATGTATGCAGCTCAGTGAGGGACGCCAGTTACCTGTGTCAACTTTACTAAATTTACCCCAGCTCCACTTCAATTGTTTACTTTCTTATCTGATTACTTAGTGATAATTTGAAATGTGATTTTCTTAATTCCAAATTCACATTTTCCCCCAAATTGCTTTGTTCTGAAGATTTATTTCCTATTCCTTTGTTATATCATGCATGGCTATTTTAAGATTGTCCTACCTCAGCCTCCAGTCTCTCCCAGCCTTGCTGTGCACAGACTATTTATTAACATAAAATACAACAAAAGTGGTAATCAAAATAAAATAAAAATTAAATACCCCATTCCTTTTAATTTTTTGAATTATACTTTAAGTTCTGGGATACATGTGCAGAACACGCAGGTTTGTTACATAGGTATACATGTGCCATGGTGGTTTGCTGCGCCTATCAACCCGTCATCTAGGTTTTAAGCCCCACATGCATTAGTTGTTTGTCCTAATGCTCTCCCTCCCCTTGCCCCCCAACCCCCCAACAGGCCCCGGTGTGTGATGTCCCCCTCCCTGTGTCCATGTGTTCTCATTGTTCAACTCTCACAAATGGTGATCGTTAGAAAGTCGGAAACAACAAATGCTGGAGAAGATGTGGAGAAATAGGAACACCTTTACACTGTTGGTGGGAGTGTAAATTAGTTCAACCATTGTGGAAGACAGTGTGGCAATTCCTCAAGGATATAGAACCAGAAATACCATTTGACTCAGCAATCCCATTACTGGGTATATACCCAAAGGATTATAAATCATGCTGCTATAAAGACACATGCACACGTATGTTTATTGCAGACGTATTTACAATAGCAAAGACTTGGAACTAACCCAAATGCTCACAATGATAGACTGGATAAAGAAAATGTGGTATATATACACCATGAAATACTATGCAGCCATAAAAAAGAATGAGTTCATGTCCTTTGCAGGGACATGGATGAAGCCGGAAACCAACATTCTCAGCAAACTAACACAGGAACATTCTTGTTTTTAAAATTAACTTATTCTTCCTAGGTAGACTGTGAACTTGTTGAGGGCAAAGGTTGAGACCCCTTTATTTCCTAAACATTTACACAATAAATATTGGTTGAAGATTCATCATCTTCATGTTTTTATCTCTTGATGTCTAATGATTAATGCATATTAAAATAATCCCATAGTATTCAGATTAAGTTAACAAAGGCTGTTAACATTTTCAATATCATAGAATTTTTTGGAATCTGATGAAAACAATATACTTTCTCCTTAGGAAAAGAAGTACACATGTGCTTCTCTACTTCCCCTTCTCCCCTCATGCAATCACACAGACTATTTTTTCATACACTCTGAGGGTACCCCTGGACCCTCTAGGATCCATCTATGGGGTGCCAGGTTAGAAGTTACCACACAATGGTTTTGTTGATAATTTTACTGTCATTTTTGTGGGAGTATTAAAGAATGGTGATAGGAAAGAAATAAGAACACAAGAGAGAAGAGGAAAGGCAGACAGAAAGGAATGGCATGGTGAAAATAGGGAAAGCAAGACAATAGGTGGTATTGGAAAAATAAAAGGAAATCACAAAGTGGCCATGAAGCACTGACAATTCTCTAGGATCAAAAAGATTCTGGATTTAGGCTGGGGTTTGACAAGACTTTCTGCTGAGAAAGAAACCATGGCACAAAGCAAAGAAATGGCACCCCTCCACGCATTGCCTCAGTCTGCCTGAGCCAATGTGAGCACAGAGAGAACAATTTCTTAGGCATGCCAGGAGTGAAGTTTTTTTTTTTAGGGGATCATTAGATCTTGAGTTTGACTATCAGTGAAGAAGTACTAGGAAATACAAAGAAAATATCAAGTCTGGGAGAATGATTCAACATTGAGTCACAGTGAGATGTGGGCATTGGGAGAGGAAAATATAGGTGCGTATTCCCGAGAAGTTTAAGTACTCTCTGTGTTTTATCCTTTTACAACTGACTGGAGTTAGGAGGAGGTTTCAGGTGTAATAACCATGGGCCCAGTTTTATATCCTTAGTTTAATAACAGTAATTGTTAATCTTTATTCAAAATGTATAAGCCAGAAGCGGGACTGAGTGCTTCAGTTACTTGGGTTATTTCACTGAATGGCTTATTTCATTGAATTCTCACCACAACCCCAGAAGCCAAGAACAATTATTTTTCCCATTGTGAAAATGGAAAACCAGGGATTTAAAAGGTGAATTAGCTTATCTAAGGTCACAGAATCAAGAAGTTACATGGCTGGGATTTTAACCCACATTGTCTGATATCAGATCTAGCCTTCTTTACCAGAACTTTAAACTGAAGCTGAGACCTGAGACAGAGTCAGTGTAGCAGGGGCTGCTAGTAGTAGATGGAGGACAGATATACTGAGTCCAAGTACCCTCCAGCCAAGGAGATGTTAGCGATATAGTTGATTTCTTCTTCTCAAATTTTGAACAGCTGTGAAGTGTTTAGAATACTGAGTCCAGTATCAGGATATATAAATAACTCTAACTTGATCCCCTTTGATTTTATTTTTGGATGTCATAGCTTTGTTCTTTCTTTATTTCAGCTAAGCCTCTATTGCATGTTCCCTGAGCAGCAGAATGATCCATTTCAGGAGCATATTTTATGTGATGCTGACACCAGCTGCTCGAGGGAGACCTTCAAGCTCCTGCCAGAGTGTAATTGGCACCCAGGAGCAGGCAGGCTCCAAAGTACCAAAAAGTGAATATGTTTCACAATAAGTCTTTATCTCAGCATGGAAAAAAGCAATAAATTGTGATGAGTCTGAACAGCTATTCTCTAAATATACACACAACAATTTATTATACTAAGACACAGCTTATTGCCAAAAAGGAAGACAACAGGGCTGTCTTTTTAATAGCCTCCATGTAACTTGTTTTTTCATGCTGTTTATTTAAAGCTCTCTAATATCCAGTGCTGGGTGATTTAAGATAATGTAATCAACATTCATTCATTCAACAGACATTTTGAAACACTATAAGTCAGACAATATTCTAAAAATACAGCAGTTCACAACCAGCCTGGACAATGCAGTGAGACCCTGTCTCTACAAAAAAAAATAAAAAATAAAAATAAAAAAATAAAAAAGAAAGAAAAGAAAATTGGCTGGGTGTGGTGGCCTGTGACTGTAGTCTGTAGTTTCAGATACTCAGGAGGCTGAAGAGGGAAGATCATTTGAGCCCAGGAGTTCAAGGCTGCAATGAGCTATGATCACACCACTGCACTTCAGCCTGGGCAACAGAGCAAGACTGTCTCTAAAGCAAACAAACAAACAAATAAAAAGCAGCAGTAAACAAAGACAGACATAAATTTCCACCTTCATTGAATTTACATTATGGATATAAATATGATTTAAAGAGGTGGAGAAGGTGGGGAAAAACAGATCCATCATTTACCTCTTTTAAGGTTTCATTCTCCTGCATTAGGAAATTTTACTTTTTATCTCAATTGATTGAGGGAAAAAATGACAATAATTTCTATGGATTTAGAAATGTTTCCTTTATATATTTCCAGTTAGAATTGCAAGTCTATGCGTTAGAAATAGAGTGATATATGTGAGACATATTGATTTTGTCTATGGTCTTGATTTCTTCATGGTTTGGCTCTCCTGTGGTAATTTCACAGCTCCTCATGGGTCCAAGAACCACAAGTTGGGATGATTTCAAGATTCTTTCTAGCTCTGAAGGTGGAGAGCTGTCTTATGAGAATGCTAGATGCTCCCTGCTGGGAGATGTTTCTAAAACACAAGCCATCTCTTATTCAGCTCATCCTTGCTGTATCAAAATATTTTTAGATAATTCAGTACATTTCCCTGAATCTTAAAATTATCAAGGTATAATATTGCTCCTGTTTATTTTGTCTTCGTTCTGTGTCAGATAACTTCTTCTAAAATGACCTCATGAAAAAGTTTTTACATTTTACTTCTTTCTTACCGAGAAGGAATGCAATTGAATGAAGCCTTTTCATCTTTGTAATCATGAGGAGTCAGGCCATTTTGTGCAGAATAAAATTGTATAATTTATATTCAATATGAAGAGTTTATGTGAAAAATAGGAAAAATATTTAACTTCCTTATGCCATTTTAAATTGTGTTTATTAGGTGAGAAAAATCACACCTATGTTCTGAAAATTTCTTGAAAAATCAAAATGTAATAAAAAATGTACCACCTTGCTTTGCATATAATCTCTGATAAATCATTTAATCCTCCCTAAATTTATCTAGGTGGATTATTTCTGTAGTGCTTCAGTGCAGTGATGATTACCCAATTTCTGTCTCAGTGAGATCATAATGCAATACCTCTCACTTAAGTTTTAATGTCATGCAACAGAAAAATATTAGCATTATCTTGTGCATTTGCTGGTTGCAGAAAAGTTTCTACTTAAAATATTTCTATCGTTTGAATAATTCAGTTCTATCAAAGAAAACTGAGATGAATTCTAGAATTATTTGGAATGAAAAACTGTTTTTGTAAGACTGGATCTTATAAACTTTGCCTTTTAGATTAACTCGAGATGCTTTGCAACTTAGATATTTTGATCTTGTTGAATATACATAATAGAAATGAAAACTAAAGAGGAACAATGGTTTCTACTTAAACCCTAATTACAAATATAAGCCCTAAGATTTTGCTTTTATTTTATCATTAGTCTCAATTTCTTGTTTCAGCAACAAGAGGAAGGGAAGGAAAGGAGTGTGGAGAAATTTATTCAATATCAATTGCAATTGAATCTGAAAAAATTAGATCAAAGAAGAAGTAAGGGAAAATAAAACGTCATTCATTAAGCACTTTCACTGAGTACAAAGCTCTGTTTAAGTGATACCAAAGAAATGAAAAATGAATTCCTTGTTTTTGAGAAATTTGTTATAACATAATACTTACATGATAGTTGAAATGACATTAATAGAAAAATGTCAAATATTTATTACATGCTTATTAAATTCCTAGCTCTGTGATTATTAATGAGAACAAAATACTTATTGAGAGATAGAGGAGAGATGAAATAGGGAAAAATTGAATCTGACATTTCTTACGTCAGTGAAACAAAGTAAACCATAGTAAAGAACACCTTAAAAGCAATGAAAGAGTGTTCACAGATTACCTACAAATTAATGGTAAAGAGGGCCCAGACAACTCAATAACAGCATTAGAAACCCAAACACAGTAGATGGAATAATATCTTTAAAATGTACTGTGACAAAATATTCTTAACTTAGATTTTCATACTCAGCAAAGCTATTGTCCAGAGATAAGAGACACAAAAATTAAAAGACAAACATTGAAAGGATATGCCATCCTCAAAATCTTGCTAAAAGAACACGTACAATTTGTATTTCATCCAAAAAAAGGGGAATCTAAAACTGGGAGAAAGGATTGAGTAAGTAGTAATAGCAGGCAAAGACACAGATAGAGATGTGGGTAAATCTAAACAAGCATGGAGAGAATGTGATGATATTGATGGTGGCATCATGATGATGATGACGATAATGATGATGATCATGATGACTAACTCTGGGGATTAAAAATAGGTGTCAAATTTAAATACTAGATAAGAATAAAACATATGAAAATCAAGTAAAATTATTCTAAAGTACTTCTATTAACTATGAAGAAAAGACACTTTGGGGAAAAAAATCAGCAAAATCCACAGTATATGAACCTCTACAGGATCTCTGGAGTCAAACTGCCTGGGTTTTACCTCTTGATAGCTGTGTGACTTCCAGCAAATAATTTAGCTTGTCTTTTCCTGTTTCTACATATGAAAATGAAGTTGATGATAAAAGTACCTATCCCACAGTGTTGTTATAATGGGTTTGATGTTTACAAAGGATTTAAAATCTGGCATTATGAGAGTATTATTACATATTATATATAAAGTATTTCCTAATAGAAATAATGCAATAGACAACTAGAGATCTGATTAAGATCAGTTATCATGGACCTTAATTAAGGTCACAGTAGGTTCTTGAATAGAGTGTGATATGATAATGGCATTTGAGGAGAACTGGAAAAAATATCAACCTTATATTTCTTGGTTTCAATACCATAGGCAATGGAAAAGATGTTTTACCTTTATTCTCAGATTTTGCAGAGTGGCATCTTTGTTCTGTCTTTTTTTTTTCTTTTTTGGTCTCTTAGACAAGGATACTATTTAATAGAACTACAAATACAAGTTTGGAGCAAATAACATGATACTTTTATTTAATGTATAAAGGTTTTGTATTTTTCAGTTCAAGGAAGTACTTGTAAAAGTTTTAAGAGGTATAATAACACATCAAACACGTTTATTTGACAACAATCTTTTCTTAAACCTATTTTTTCAATGGAAACAATATCTAGATTACAGGGCAGCATCAAAATGAGTTGACTTACATATTGACATCATGTTATAAGCTCTCTTCTTTGGAATGAATTTGTATGCTTTTCTTTTCCAACTAAATCACATTCACTGTAATTATTGTTCTTGAAAACAACAAGGCACGCTTCCGTTATATGGGTCACATCCTAGGTAAAAATGTTAATCTCTTTTATATATCATATCGTGTTTCCTCAGATAATTATGACAAAAGACAAAAGGAGGTAAACATGGAGAGCTGTTGTTAGCGAGAGGTTATTTCAATTAGAAATAACCCTTTTTAGAAAGAAAATATTGATTGGATCTAAACTAAAAACATTTCTCATCTAAAATGATGTAAAAATTACATGTACCCATGCTGTTTTTTTCCTTCGTTTTTCACTAATCTTGTCTCATTCTGTCAACAGGGAGCTGTGCAGTTCTGCTCTGTGTTGATGGGTGCTGGTAACGTTTGCTCACTAATGTCACGTTGAGCAGTGCAGTAGCACTGGAATTTTATAGCATTCAGCTGTGGTTATTTCAGTATGGTCTTCCAGGGCAGTCTCTGAAACTGCCTCCTAATGCAGTCCTGAGGATGGATCCCCTGTGGATTACTCATCTCTTTGGTGTGTCCTTGGCACCAGCTGTGCAGCCCTGGCTCAGGTTCTGAAGGGTACTTTATGCCGCAAAAAATAATTCCACTGGGCTCTTTGATCTGATCCCATTTGGTCAGCTGGGAAAGTGAGCTCTCTCTCCACCCTGCAGCTCCAGGTTGGCTGCTGGCCCTTAATGTAGTCTATTCTTCTAATGCCACAGGGTTCTAGCTCTCCTCAGCTGCTCACACGGGCATTGGCCCCCATTCTGGCACCCTGATTTATCTCTGCTGGCACTGGCCCCATTACTCTGGCTTTTGTTCTTTGTAAAGCTGCTGAGTTTCCCTCCTGACTCTGGTGAACTCCCTAATTCCCCGGGGAGCCTGAGATGTAATAACATTTCAACTGCTGTCCCCATATGAGGTACCAATTAAATTAAGACGAAAAAGGAGTAGGCTCTGAGATAGAAAACTAGAGCCAAACTTTACTCATCTCTGAGCCATGTTAGGAGAAAGAAAATGACACACACTCTGAGGTTTGGATTCTAAATTGTAGTTTAGAGGGGGTGAGGAGATTTGCTTTAGATGCGTGTTTAGAGTCAGTATGAGCTTTCAAATTTCAGTTAGAAGGAAATGCTTGGAATTTCTTGTGAAAGAATTGCTGAAAGACCCCCAGAAACAAGTGGAAGATAAATCCTATTGCTACAAGTACACTAAAATAGAATGAAATATTAACAAAGCATCATGCATGAAAATTCTTTTCCCAATCCCCTCCAAAAAAAAATGTCTTTTGTTTCTAACCTCAGTAAGATAAAGCATTGCAAATTTATTCAGGAGGCTGCAGTACCCTCTACAGTACTTCAGCAAGGGGTGCCATTTGTCTTTTGACAGTATTAAAATAGCTGGTGAACCAAAGACCTCCATATTGTGGCTTTAGAAAGCAAGGAGGGCACCTGAGGGAATTAGAGACAAAGAAATGCCAATAAATGAAGTTGGAACTGAAGATCTAAAGGAGGGGAAGAAGCTTACCATTCATTTGTTTTCCAGGTTTTGTTACTAGGGCTCATTGTGTGATATTTTATTTTATTTATTTTCCATGAGCCTGCATAAACAATCATGAGTAACTGCCAGTATTTAGTTTTTATTATTTATTGAGATGGAGTCTCACTCTGTCACCTAGGCTGGAGTGCAGTGGTGTGATCTTGGCTCACTGCAACCTCCATCTCCTGGGTTCAAGCAGTTCTCATGCCTCAGCCTCCTGAGTAGCTGGGATTACAGGCATGCGCCACCACACCTGGCTAATTTTTGTATTTTTAGTAGAGACGGGGTTTCACCATGTTGGTCAGGCTGGTCTCAAACTCTTGACCTCAAGCGATCTGCCCGCCTTGGCCTCCCGAAGTGCTGAGATTACAAGCCTGAGCCACTGTGCTCAGCCAGTATTTACTTTTTAAAATCACTATTTCAAGTCAGTATGGGTAGGTTGCGGAGGAGAGTATACTAATGGGAAATAAAATTCCGTTTTCTTTACAAAAAGATGCTACTAAAAACCACTTGGTTCAAGGGAGAAACTCAAAATTGCAGAATTGTTGAAAAATAACAATAATGAAAACAGAAAAACAGAATCTGTGGGATATGACTATGTTATCAAAGGAAAACTTACAGCATCAAATACTTATATAAATAAAAATGAAAATGAATGAACTAAACACCCAATTCAAAAACCTAGAAAAAGAACAACAAAGTAAATCGAAAGAAAGAAAGAAGAATTAATATTAATAAGAACAAATAAATTAATTAGAAAACAGAAAAATAGTTCTAAAATCCTATCAAGTTATTTCTTTAATAACAAAATTAAAAAGCTATTACCTAACATAATGAAAGAGAGAATAGAAAGATGAAAGCAAAACCCAAAATTAAAAATAAAAAAGGAGCAAAACCAAGCAATTTTGAAGTTCTACTTAAAATGTATATACATGAGTGACCAGAGTTTCTGGAGATGCTTCCCTTGGCCAACTTTGAGCTACAGTGATGACACCAAAGCATCTTTCTCTATCCCCTCAAAATCACTCCAAATAAACACATAATCTATTTTTAAAATAAACTTTGACTTTGCCCAAATCTATGCAAATAGATTTGAAAATCTTGACAAAAATGAATAATTTAAAAACTAAATTCAATTTACCACATTTGACTACAATAAAACATAAATCAAACGATAATTATAAAAGAAACAAAAAAGTAATTAAGCTCTAACACAGGCCACCAGATTCAGTTTGTCTCATAGAGAAATTCTACCAAACCTTTAATGATTTGATAATTCCAATGCGTTTAAGGTATGCCAGAACAAATAGACAAGGAAGAAATCTTTCAGTTCCATTTTCTGAATATATGACAACTTTGATCCCAAAAGCTGACAATGATTGCACCAAGAAAAGTAGAGAAAATCTCATTTATAAATATCGACATAAAAGTCTTAAATAAAATATTAGTAAACATAATTCAATAGCACATTTAAAAAATAATGCATTATGACAGTGTACTGGGATTAATTCCAGAAATGTAACAGTGGTTCAACATTAAAAATTACATTGAATTTTTAAGACATATTAAAAAAACTAGGCAGAAAAAAATTACATAATAATACCCATTCATATTATAAACAATAAAATATTAATTAATGGATACTTAACATGATCTCTCTCTTTCCCGCTCTCTTTCTCTCCAAAGTCATCATCTAGGAATCTAGCATCTTATTTGATGGAGAAACAATAAAAGATTTTATTCTGAACTTGAAACCAAGTAAGATTGCCCATTTTCTCCACTGCTATTTAACATAGTTTTAGAGACATTAGCTAATGTATATAACTCAAGAAAAAAATTACATAATCATCTATAAATATACAGAGGTGTTATATTTAGTGTACCATAAGGCCAGCCACATCTCAATCAATAGAAAAAAAAAGATAAAAGTTTTATTAAGAAGTTTTGGGGATGGCCATGTGGAAAAATAACATTAGTTCCATTCTTTATTTATTCCTTACATAAAGCTAAAATCCAAAAACATCAGAGATTAAATATAAAAACCACAACACCATACAGGTTCTGAAAGGATACATGAGCGAATTCCTCTATTCTGAGAATGTGATTTTTTTTCTAACTTTAATTCAAAATCTAGAAGCAATAAAGAAAACGTTTGAAATTTTTGACTGCATTAAAAGTTTTGCATGGGAAATTATGTCATAAGCAAACATACAAACTATGAGCTGGGGAAAAATACTTGCAAATTCTGTTAGAGACAAAGGGTTAATATTCCTAATAAATAAAGGGCATCTGAGGATTTTGAAGGTATAAGACCATCTCCTCAGTGAACAAAGATAATCTGACTTCTTTTTTTCCAATTTGGATGCCTTTTATTTCTTTTTCTTGCATGATTGTTCTGGCTAGGACTTCTAGTAGTATGTTGAATAGAAGTGGTAAAAGTGGGCATCCTTGCCTTGCTCCAATTCTAAGGGTGAATGCTTTTAACTTTCCCTCATTCAGGATGGTGTTGGCTGTGGGTTTGTTGCCTTTATTATTTTGAGGTATGTTCCTTTTATGCCTACTTTACTCAGGTTTTCTTATCATGAAGGGATGCAGAATTTTATCAGATGTTTTTTATGCATCTATTGAAATGATAATATGGTTTTTATTTTTAATTCTGTTTATGTGGTGAATCACATTTATTGTCTTGCCTATGTGAAACCATCCTTGCATCCTTAGGATGAAACCTACTTAATCATGGTGATTTATATCTTTAATGTGGTGTTGGATATGATTTCCTCGTGTTTTGTTAAGGATTTTTGCATCTATATTCATCGTGGATATTGGTCTGTAGTTTTGTCTTTTGTGTGTGTGTCCTTTCCTGGCTTTGGTATTAGGGTGATACTGGCTTTGTAGAATGAAGAAGGGAGGATTCCCTCTTCCTCATTGTGATGGTTAATATTAAATGTCAACTTGATTGGATTGAAGGATGCAAAATATTGTTCCTGGGTGAGTCTGTGAGGGTGTTGCCAAAGGAGATTGACATTTGAGTCAGTGGACTGGGAGAGGCAGACGCACCTCAGTCTGTGTGGGCACCATCTAATTAGCTGCCAGAGTGACTTGAATAAAGCAGGCAGAAAAAGATGGAAACAGTGGACTTGCAGAGTCTTCCAGCCTTCATCTTTCTTCCACACTGGATGCTTCCTGCCCTTGAACATCAGACTCAAAATTCTTCAGCTTTTGGACTCTTAGACATACACCAGTGGTTTGCCAGGGGTTCTCAAGCCTTTGGCCATAGACTGATGCTACACTGTCAGCTTCCCTACTTTTGGGGTTTTGGGACTCAGACTGATCCACCACTGCCTTACTTGCCCCTCAACTTGCAGATGGCCTATCGTGGGACTTTACATTGTGTTCGTGTGAGTCAATTCTCCTTAATACACTCCTTTTCATATATACTTATATCCTACTAGTCCTGTCTCTCTAGAGAACCCTGACTAATACACTCAGCCTTTTGGAATAGTTTCAGTAGGATTGGTATCAGAAAGACTCTTAGATTTGATATGTGAACTCAGTGAAGTCTCAGGTTACAAAAACAATGTACACAAGTCGGTAACTCTGCTGTATACCAATAATGACCAGGCGGAGATTCAAATCAAGAACTCAATCCCATTTACAATAGCTGCCAACAAAGTACCTAAGAATATATTTAACCAAGGAGATGAAAGATCTCCACAAGCAGAACTACAAAACACTGATGAAATAAATCACACAGGACACAAACAAATAGAAAAACATCCCATGTTCATGGATGGAAAGAATCAATATTGTGAAAATGAGCATACTACTCATGCTTCCAGAGCATACTGCTCAGCTTCAGTGCAATTCCTGTCAAAATACCTATGCCATTTTTCACAGGATTAGAATAAACAATCCTGAAATGCATGTGGAACTAAAAAAAACCATGAATAGCCAAAGCGATTCTAAGCAAAAAGAATAAATCTGGAGGCATCGCATTACCAGACTTCAGGCTATGCTACAAGCCTATAGTAACCAAAACACCATGATACTGGTATAAAAATAGATACATATTCCAAGGAAACCGAATAAAGAACCCAGAAATACAGCCAAATACCTACAACCAACTGATCTTTGACAAAGCAGATGAAAACATACACTGGGCAAAGGACACCCTATTCAATAAATGATACTAGGAAAATTGGATAGCCACGTGTAGATGAATGAAACTGGATCTCTATCTCTCACCTTATACAAAATTTAACTCAAGATGGATTAAAGACTTAAGTGTAAGACATTAAACCATGAAAATCCCACAATAAGAATAGGAAAAACTCTTCTGGACATTGGCCTAGGTAAGGAATTTATGGCTAAAACCCTAAAAGCAAATGCAAACAAAACAAAAACAGACAAACAGAGCTTAATTAAACTAAGAAGCTTATGCATGGCAAAATAAATAATCAACACAGTAAATAGACCATCTACAGAGTGAGACAATATATTTTCAAACTATACATCTGACAAAAGACTAATGTCCGGGACCTACAAGAAACTCAAACAAATTAGCAAGAAAAAATGAATTATCTCATTAAGAAGTGGGCAAACGACATGAACAGACATTTATCGAAAGAAGAAATACAAGTGGCCAACTAACTAATGAAAAAATGTTTGACATCACTAATCATCACAGAAATGCAAATTTAAACCACAACAAGATGCAACCCTATCCCAGTCAGAATGGCCATTATTTAAAAAGTCAAAAAAAACCAATAGATGTTGGTATGGATGAGGTGAAAAGGTGAATGCTTATACACTGTTGATGGGAATGTAAATTAGAACAACCCTTATGGAAAACAGTACGGAGATTTCTCATAGAACTAAAAGTAGATCTACCATTTCATGTAGCAATCCCACTACTGGGCATCTACCCAAAGGAAGATAAGCCATTATATCAAAAAGACATCTGCACTCAAATGTTTATCACAGCACAATTCACAATTGCTAAGATATGGAATCACCTTAGGTGCCCATTAACTGATGAATGGATAAAGAAAATGTGGCACATATGTACTATGGAGTAGTACTCAGATATAAAAAAGAATGAAATAATGTCTTTTACGCCAACTTAGATGGAATTGGAGGCTATTATCTTAACTGAACTAACTCAGGGGAATGAAAAACCAAAATCTGCATCTTCTTACTTATAAGTGGGAGCGAAGCCATGGGTACACAAAAGCATACAGAGTGGTATATTGGACATTGGGGACTCAAGGGGGAAGGCTGAAAGAGGGGTGAGGGAGAAAAAAATCATCTATTGGCTACAGTGTACACTATCTGGGTGATGGTTACACTAAAAACCCATACTTTACCACTATGCAATTAATCCATGTAACTAAAAACTATGTGTACCCCTAAAGCTACTGAAATTAAAGAAATAACAGCTGAATATAGAGACAAGTAACTATAAAAAATGAGTTAAAATACAAATTTTTGAAAGAAAAAAGAGCAAATGTGTCTAAACTATGTGAAAAGATGCTCATAATAGGGGGAATACAAAATAAAAACATCACTGAGATGCCATCTATTTCCCACCTGATTGTTAAACACCCAATTTCAAAAACTTTCTTTTGGCAAGGCTAGAGCTGATATATAATGGTACAACCACTATGGAGGAAAATTTGACAATATTCAGCAAAATTACACATTTGCTTCTGGATCTGTAAAAATCTGAATTCTAGGGGTCTATGCCTATTACACAATAGAAAAATACAAAATGATGTATGCATAAGTCTGTTAATTGCAGTGTTTTTATGATAAGAAAAGACTGGATATAATCTAAATGTTCCATGCTAGAATGAACTATTGTTTATTATCTTACAGGAGTACTCTTCAGGCCTAAGAAGAAATATGGAAAATCTGAATATACTACTCTGGAGTAATGTGCAGGATGTATTGTTAAATTAAGAAAAAGGTGTGGGGGGGAGAAGTATACACAGTATGTAACAATTTTCATAAGAAAGAATAACTGTATTGCTTATGTTAGAAATGGAAAATAAACCATAAAATAGAAAATAAATGGGATGTGAGTGTCTCATGGGACATTTTTGGTAAGCAGAATTGGTGCTGCTGGATGAAGAGGAGAGAATAGGTTATAAGGGGACATGAGTGGGACTTAGCCTTCTTTGAATATACTGTCTTTCAAGTATTTGATTATGGACCACTGTTAATATTGTACACAGATAAAATATAAAATTAAACAATTAAAATTCCCTTCACATCAAGAAGAAAATAATACAAATGAAATGAACTGTGTCTCCAGTTGGTGGATAACCACACACAGAGGAACTAGTCTAAGTGACTTCAGAACACAGTAACTTGTACATTTCTAGTGGAATATCTCTTCAGGGCAAAAGTAGCAGTGAAATATTTTTAAAATCTGTTTTTAGTAATCATAATTTTGGTAGTAGTTTGGCATTATTATACAGAGATACTGTGTGTATTGTGTGATAAAGCAGATGAGACATATTGGTGTTGAGAAGCAAGTTTTACGGTGTGGTGAAAGAAGATACAGATGTAATATCCATGAATTGAAAATATTAATATGAACTCAAAAGGCATTTTATGTTTTTGTTTGTTTGTTTGTTTGTTTGTTTGAGACGGAGTCTCCCACTGTCGCCAGGCTGGAGTGCAGCGGCACAATCTCGGCTCACTGCAACCTCCGCCTCCCGGGTTCAAGCGATTCTCCTGCCTCAGCCCCCAGAGTAGCTGGGATTACAGGCGCGCGTCACCACGCCCAGCTAATTTTTGTATTTTTAGTACAGACGGGTTTTCCTCATGTTGGCCAGGATGGTCTTGATCTCGTGATCCTTCCGCCTCGGCCTCCCAATGTGCTGGGATTACAGGCGTGAGCCACAGCGCCTGGCCGGCATAGTATGTTTCTTAAAAAGTATGTTTTCTATGTTATTTCCTCTGAAACAGCCAAAACCTCAAAAGCATGGAACACCCCTGGTGCCAAGATTGTAGTCTCTAAACACCATTTCACATTAGTAGGAATTAGAGTTTCCTGGAGAAAAGAGTGATTTCAGTTGATGGTAGAAATGTGTAAGATAAACCTGGAACAAATTGTCATACCAGAAGCAAGGAAGCTGTTAGAGACTACAGAGGTTGCACTCAAAGGACTCAGGAGCCAACATGAATTGTCACCCACTGGTCAAAGATGGGCCACTTTGAACGTTAATCAGAGTAATAACTGCAATGGATGGAAACATATCATATTTGTTTAAATATATTAATAATAATACTAAAATAGTTACTTTTGGAGACTATCAGGAAACTAGCTCATTAGTTTCAAAAATTGGCAAATTAGAACAAAAGCAATTATTTATCCTTTCTTCCTTTTATGAGCTATACCTCAGAGTACAAATGAGTAGAATAGTGGGGACATAGATGAACCTTAGACTTATTTGAATATAATTTGTTTCAAGTATTTGACTTGGGTACAAACGACTGGAAGACCAAAAAATTTATAAAAGAAATTTCTCTTTATAAAATGATTCCAATTAATAAATAAGGAAGAAATGATAGAATATTACCATTTTCTAACCTCCCAAACTAATGAATTTCAGTGATAATAATCAGTGGCAAATAAAATCACACACAAACAAAGACAACCAGACATTGTAGACCTCTTGGTAAGTCCACAGTGTCAGCTGTGAAGTTACTAATTATGACCCACCTTCCCTTTCTCTGTCTCTTTTTCTTTTAGACAGGGTCTTGTTCTGTTGTCCAGGCTGGAGTACAGTGGTACAACCATGGCTCACTGTAACTTCGACTTTCCAGGCTCAAGTAATCCTGCCACTGCCACCTCAGGCTCCCAAGTAGCTGAGACCACAGGAGCATGGCCCCACGCGTGGCTTTTTTTTTTTTTTTTTTTTTGGTAGAGATGAGGTCTCACTCTGTTGCTCAGGCTGGTCTCAAACTCCTAGGTTCATGTGATCCTCCCACCTCAGCCTCCCAAAGTGCTGGGATTATGGCCATGAGCCACCACACTTAGCCCACCTTCCCTTTTTCTATCCCTCAAAAATAAAACCAGAATGTGATTAAATCTCTGGAGTTGACCACCAATTCAAAAGCAATATAAGGGACAGAGGAACAAATTAAATAACACCATGGAGTTGCAATCAGTGAAATCCAGATGGTAAAACTGTACAGGACAAATGATCTGGTTGTTTGTTTTTTAATAAATGAATTCCAAAAAATTGGGGAAAGCTCTAGATTAAAAAATCTTTAAAAAATCAAATCTTAAAACCAATCAATTCAGATATAAGCCTTATTTGAATAATGATTCAAATAAATTGTACAAATCATTGAAGACAATTAGAAATGTAAACACTACTAATATATTTGATAATATGAAGGAACATTTTTAGGAGTAATAATTACACTTAGTTTGCTGAAATAATACTTAGCTTTCAGAGATGACATAGTTAAATATGTATCAATAAATGATATAGAATTTCCTTCAAAATTATTAAGAAGTGGGTAGCGAGTGGGATATAAATAAAGCAATTATCTGTCTTAATTATTAAAGCTCATATGAACTCATATGCTATTCTCCCTACTTTGTATATAAATATTGAAAATTTTCTATAAAATATTTTTAAAACCCTCAATACATGAGGTCTTTCAGTAATAATTCATGCTTCTTAAGAAAAAGTAATCTTTAAATGAACAGTACTAAAATTATTTCAATTACAAAAATACAAATATATGTCCTTGATAATGAGGAAATTAGAAAACCTTCTTAGATGATGAGCTTTCTTATGAGGCAGATTTGGAACTTACTGTCATGATGCCAGTGGTGTGGTGATGAATATTAAAGAACCAGCTCTCCAATAAGGGGTGAAAAAAGGAATGATTTGTAATTTTTAGCATTTGCTTATTTCCTTCATGTAAGTACTCCCTCTGTGGCAGATTTCAAGCTCCCAACTTGACATAATTGAACCCAGAATTGGAAGAGATATGTGCAATTAGTTTTCATAGCCAGCTATAATCAGTTATCACGCCAGCTAATACAAGCCAACTCTATCACACAGTTGCATGGTCCACATTAAAAACCTGTTGAGTCTTCAGATAACTATTGGCACACTTGCTGCTGTTTTCTCCACCTCCTTCACACAGTAGGCCTCAGAGCACCCTGCTCCATTAAGCCATTAATCCAAATCTTTGGCTTTTTTTTTTTTTTTTTTTTTTTTTGAGACGAAGTCTTGCTCTGTCGCCCAGGCTGGAGTGCAGTGGCACAATCTCAAATCATTGCAACCTCTGCATCCTGGGTTCAAGTGATTCTCCTGCCTCAGCCTCCTGAGTAGCTGGGATTACAGGCACCTACCACCACACCCAGATAATTTTTGTATTTTTAATAGAGGTGAAGTTTCACCATGTTGGCCAGTCTAATTTCAAACTCTTGACCTCACGTGATCCACCCGCCTCAGCCTCTGAAAGTGCTGGAATTACAGGCATGGGCCACCATGCCTGGCCATCTTTGGCTCTTTTAAAAAAATTTTTTTGTGGGTACAGAGTAGGTATATATATTTATGGGTTATATGAAATAATTTGATAAAGGAATGCAATGTGTAATAATCACATCATGGTAGGTGGGGTATTCATTGCCTTAAGCATTTATTCCTTGTGTTACAAGCAATTCAGTTATACTCTTTTAGTTATTTTAAATGTACAATTAAATTATCTTTTACTATAGTCACCCTGTTGTGCTATCAAGTATTAGGGCTTTTGTATTCTTTTTGACTATTGTTTTTGGTACCTATTAACCATCTCCACTTCTTCCCACAACCCTTCCCAACCTTTAGTAACCATCCTACTCTCTGTCTCCATGAGTTCAATTATTTTAATTTTGGGCTCCCACAAATAATTGAGAACATGCAAAGCTTGTCTCTCTATGCCTGGCTTATTTCACTTAACATAATGACTTCCAATTCCATCCATATTGTTGCAAATTATAGGATCTCATTATTTTTATATAGCTGAATAGCAATCCATTGTGTGTATGCATCATGTTTTCTATATGCATTCATCTATTGATGGACACTTAGGTTGCTTCCAAATCTTGGCTACTGTGAACAATGCTGCATTAAACTAAACATGGGAGTGCAGGTGTCTCTCTTTGATACCCTGAATTCCTTTTTTTTGAGTATATATCTAGGGGTGGGATTGCTGGATCATATGGTAGCTCTATTTTTAGTTTTTTGAGGAACCACCAATCTATTCTCCACAGTGGTTGTATTAATTACATTCCTACTGGCAGTGTGCAAGGGTTCCCTTTTCTCCTCATACTCACCAACTCTTGTTATTGCATGACTTTTGGATGCAAGTCATTTTAACTGGAGTGAGATGATATCTCATTGTAGTTTTGATTTGCATTTATCTGATGATCAATGATGTTGAGCATCTTTACATATGCCTATTTGCCGTTTGTATGTCTTCCTTTGAAAAATGTCTATTCAGATCTTTTGCCCATTTTTAAATTGGATTTTTAGATTTTTTTCCTGTAGAGTTATTTGAGCTCCTTATATATTCTGTTTAATCCCTTGTCAGATCAGCAGTTTGAAAATATTTTCTCCCATTCTGTGGGTTGTCTCTTCACTTCGTTGATTGTTTCTTTGCTGTGCAGAAAGATTTTTAACTTGATGTGATCCCATTTGTCCATTTTTGCTTTGGTTACCTGGCTTGTAGGTATTGCTTAAGAAATGTTTGCTCAGTCCAGTGTCTTGGAGAGTTTCTGTAATGTTTTCTTATAGTAGTTTCATAGTTTGAGGTCTTAGATTTAAGTCTTTCATCAATTTTGATTTTATATTTGTATGTGGTGAGAGAGAGGAGCCTAGTTTCATTGCTTTGCATATGGATATTCAGTTTTCCCAGCATAATTTATTGAAGAGACTCTCCTTGCCCCAATGTATGTTCTTGGCACCTTTTAAAAATATGAGTTCACTATAGATGCATGGATTTATTTTTATGCCAGTATCATGCTGTTTTGGTTGCTATAGTTCTGTATCATAATATAAAGTCAGGTAATATGATTCCTCCAGTTTCATTTATTTTTGTTTAGAATTGCTTTGGCTATTCTGGGTCTTTTGGCATTCCATATGAATTTTAGGATATTTTTTCTATTTCTGTGAAGAATGTCATTGGTATTTTGATAGGAATTGCATTTCATCTTGGTAGTATAGATATTTTAACAATATTGATTCTTCCAATTCATGAAAATGGAATATACTTCCATTTTTGTGTGTGTCTTCTTTCAGTTCCTGCATCAATGTTTCATAGCATTCATCTTAGAGTTCTTTCACTTCTCTGGTTAACTCCTAGATATTTAATTTTATTTGTCGATGTTGTAAATGAGATTACTTTTTAATTTCTTTTTCAGATTGTTTGCTGTTGGCATATAGAAATGCTACTGATTTTTGTATGTTGATTTTCTATTCTGAAACTTTACTCAATTTGTTTATCCGTTCTAATAGCTTTTTGGTTGGGTCTTAGGTTTATCCAAATATAAGATCATATTACCTCCAAACAAGGATAATTTGACATGTTATTTCCAATTTGGGTACCCTTTATAACAGTGGTGAAAGTGAGCATCTTTGTCATGTTCTTGATCCTAGAGGAAAGGTTTTCAGTTTTTCCCCATTCAGTATACTAGGTATGGTTCAATTGTATGTGGCTTTTATTATGTTGAAGTATGTTCCTTCTATACTTAATCTTTTGAGAGATTTTATCATGAAGGAATGTTGAATTTTATCAAATGCTTTTTTCATCATCATTTGAAATGGTCACATGGTTTGTGTCCTTCATTCTGTTGGTATGAGGTATCACATTAGTTGATTCATGTATGTTGAACCATCCTTGAATCCCAGGCATCCTACTTAGTCATGATGAATGATCTTTTTAATGTGTTGTTGGATTCAGTTTGCTAGTATTTTTCTTTTGAGGATTTTTGCATTAGTATTCATCAGTGATGTTGGCCTATAGTGTGCTTTTTTTATGTGACTTTGGTTGGTTTTGGTGTTAGGATAATCTAAATTAGGAGAATGAGGTTGGAAGTATTCCCTCCTTCTCTATTTTTCAGAATAGTTTGAGTAATATTGGTATTAGTTCTTCTTTAAATGTTTGGGATAATTCAGCAGTGAAACTATTGGATCCTGGGCTTTTTTTGCTTGGAAACATTTTATCATGGCTTTGATCTCATTTCTTTTTATTGGTCTGTTCAGGTTGTGAATTTCTTCATGGTTCAATATGTAGGTTTTATGTGTCTAGGAGTTTATCTATTTCTTATAGACTTTTCCAATTTACTGGTATATAGTTGCTCATAGCAGCCACCAAGGATCCTTGGAATTTCTGCAGTATCAGGTTGTAATGTCTGTTTTCTCATCTTTGATTTTATGTATTTGAGTTTTCTCACTTTTTTCCTTGTTAAAGGTTTGTCAATTTTGTATTTTCAAAAACCAGCTTTTTGTTTAATCTTCTGTATTGTTTTCTTCATTTCAAAATCATTTATTTCTGCCGTAATCTTTATTATTTCTTTTCTTCTACTGATTTCGAATTTTATTTGCTTTTTCTTTTCTAGTTCCTTGAGATGTATCATTAGCTTGTTTATTTGAAGATTTTCTTCTTTTTAGATGTAGGCATTTATAGCTGTAAACTTGTCTCTTTGCTGCTTTCACTGTATCCCATAGGTTTTGGTATGTATATCCATTATCATTTGTATCCAGAAATTTTAAAATTTCCTTCTTAATTTGTTCATTAACCACTGGTCATTCAGGAGCACATTGTTTAATTTCCATGTATTTAGATAGTTGCCACAATTCTTCTTGTTATTGATTTCTAGTTTTATTCCATTGTGGTTAAAGATCTTTGGTATTGTTTCAATTTTTTGAATGTTTAGGACTTGTTTTGTGATCTAACATATGGTCTGTCCTTAAGAATGATCCACGTGCTGAGAAACAGAATGTGTATTTTGCAGCTGTTGGATGAAATGTTCTATAAATATCTCTTAGGCCTATTTATTCTATAGTGAAGATTAAGTCTGATGTTTCTTCATTGATATTTTGTCCGGGAGATCTGTCCAATGCTCACAGTACAGTGTTGAAGTCTCTAGCTGTTATCATATTGGGGTCGATGTCTCTCTTTAATGCTAATAATATTTGCTTTATATATATCTGTGTGCTGCAGTGTTGGGTGCATATGTATTTACAATTGTTATATCCTCTTGTTGAACTGATCCCTTTATCATTACATAGCTACCTTCTTTGTCTCTTTTTATAGATTCTGTCTTGAAATTTATTTTGTCTGATATAATCATAGTTATTCTTTTTTTTGTTTCCATTGGCATGGAATATCTTTTTCCATCTCTTTATCTTCAGACTATGTGTGTCTGTAAGTGAAATGTGTTTCTTATAGACAACTGATGATTGGGTCTTGTTTTTTAATTCATTCAGCCACTCTGTGTCTTTTGATTGGAGCGTTTAGTCCATTTGTATACAATGTTATTACTGATATGTAAGGACTTACTCCTGCCATTTTGCTATTTGTTTTCTGATTGTTTTGTGGTCTTAGCTTCCTTATTTCCTTCCTTCCTATCTTCCTTCTATGGAAGTGATTTTCTCTGGTGATATAATTTAATTTCTTGCTTTTTATTTTTTCTGTATTCATTGTAACTTTTTTGATTTGAGATTACTATGAGGCTTGCAAATACTGTCTTATAACTTGTTATTTTATTCTGATAACAACTTAATACTGTTTGCATAAACAAAAAAGCAAAAAGAAAACTAAAAAACTCTATACTTTAACTTTGTACCCAGTATTTAACATTTCTTTTTATGTCTTATTGTACCATGTATGCCTTGAAAAGTAATTGTAATTATTATTTTTGATCGGTTCTTTCTACTTAAGAGTAATTTACACACTACAGCTATAGTGTTATAATATTATGTGTTTTTCTGTGTACTTACTATTTTTTTTTTTTTTTGAGACAGAGTCTCACTCTTGTTGCCCAGGCTGGAGTGCAGTTGCGCGGTCTCGGCTCACTGCAACCTCCGCCTCCTGGTTTCAAGCAATTCTCCTGCCTCAGCCTCCCAAGTAGCTGAGATTACAGGTGCTCGCCACTACGCCTGGCTAATTTTTTTTGTATTTTAGTAGAGACGGGGTTTTACCATGTTGGTCAGGCTGGTCTCGAACTCCTGACATGAGGTGATCTGCCCACCTCAGCCTCCCACAGTGCTGGGATTACAGGCATGAGCCACTGCACCTAGCTTCTGTGTACTTACTATTAACACTGAGTTTCGTACCTTCAGATGATTTCTTGTTGCTCGTTAACATCCTTTTCTTTGATTGAAGCATTCCCTTTAGCATTTCTTGTAGGACAGGTCTGGTGTTTATGAAATCCCTCAGCTTTTGTTTGTCTGGGAAATTTATTATTTCTCCTTCAGGTTTTAAGGATATTTTCATCAGATACACTATTCTAGGTAAAAGCTTTTTTCCTTCAGCACTTTAAATATGTCAGGCCACTCTCTCCTGGCCTGTAAGATTTCCACTGAAAAGTCTGCTGCCAGACATATTGGAACACTATTGTATGTCATTTTTTTTCTCTTCCTGCTTTCAGGATCTTTTCTTTATCCTTGACCTTTTGGAGTTTCATTATTAAATGCCTTGAGATAGTTATCTTTCGGTTAAATCTGCTTGGTGTTCTATATCCTTCTTGTACTTGAATGTTTTAGGTTTAGGAAGTTCTCTCTTTTGGCTTTGAATAAACTTTCTACCCCTATCTCTTGCTCCACCTCCTCTGTAAGGCCAATAACTCTTAGATTTGGCTTTTTGAGGTATTTTCCAGATCTTGTAGGTGTGCTTCATTGTTTTTTATTCTTTTTTTCTTTTGTCTCTTCTGACTGTGTATTTCCAAGTAGCCTGTCTTCAAGCTCACTAATTCTTTCTTGTGCTTTATCAATTCTGCTATTAAAAGGCTCTGATGTGTTCTTCAGTATATCAATTGCGTTTTTCAATTCCAGTATTTCTGCTTAATTCTTTTTAACTATTTCAATCCTTTGTAAAATTTATCTGATAGAATTCTGTCTATGCCATGCACATGTGTGCTGGTGTTGGTGGTAGCAGTGGCAGGGTTCTCCCCATTCAGCCATTCATAGATGCTGAATTCTAAGGATTGTGAGAAGTTTACATTTGAACTTGGCCTTCTAGGTCACCATGAAGTGTATTTGTCAAACAAGGAGGATAGAATTTTTGTTAATTTAATGATTCGTTAGCTTTTAAAGCATGTAGACATATGACATGTGGGTCTTGATTTGTACTTTTCTTTCAAAGTGTTAATGAGGGTAATTTTTGTAATCCATGTTAGAAGTGCTCAGCTATCACAGCAATGGAAAAAACAGAATTTTCATGTGTGTGCTGATTATATTGTATCCTTTTGAGATGTACATTTTGAGATATCTAATGAACTCAAACTAGTGTGGTGAGGAAGCTTCAGTGATAATAAGCATAATGGCAGCTAATATTTGTTGAGCGTTAATTGTGTTTTAGCCTTTGTTTTAAGCACATGAAACATATTAACTCATTGAATTATCATAAGAATTCAGTGTTGTGAGCACTATTATTTTCACCACTTTACACATGAGGAAACTGAGGTTGAGGGACTTAGCAGATAATGGGGCTAGGATCTTAACACAAGGAGTTTGGCCTCAGAGTTTGTGCTTAACCAACTGGCTATCCTTCTTTAAGCTTTTCTCCTAGAGAAGGCTATGTCAGTTAGCTGGAATTACAATGGCCATTATAGTAACTTACCATGGAATGAAATTTCTTCAAATGCTACCTTTGGTATTAATAGGCACTATCATAGATAATTTTACTTAACTAGCAATTTGAAAAAAGTAGACTTTTACTATAGACTTTATTATTATAAATCTAGTTTCAGTACTTTTGTTGTTTTATTCCTTAAAATAGTTTATAACTTAATTTTTTATTTCAAAGTACTACATGCTAATTGAATATATAAAAGTGAAAAAAAAAAAAGGAAAATGTACAAAGCATATTCATAGTCCCACCAACCAAAGACAGACTCTGTCAGTGCTTTAAGGTTTTTCTTTTCTAGAATTATCTTATGTTTTATAAAACATCATAACAAAATATAGCTAAATTCATTACCTGTACAATCTCTATGTTAGTTTTTCAGCTAACATTGTAATGAAGTTTTTCTATATTACCAAAATAAGATAAATTATAATTAATTTAATAATTTATTTATTATTTGGTTTTCTAAATGTTTCCTTTCACTTAACTCAATCATTTATTTGCCATTAAAAAATCACTGCATTTAACATCTGTGTGCCTAAAACTTTCTTCATATAACAGTTTATTTCCTTAGGCTGGATTTCAAGAGGTCAAACTGTATAAGAATTTTTTGGGCCCTTGAAATACATTGCCATGCATCTTTTTAGAAATTTTACACTCTGGCTGGGCGCAGTGGCCCATGCCCAAAAATCCCAGCACTCTGGGAGGCCAAGGTGGGTGGATCACCTGTACTCAGGAGTTCAAGACCACTGTGGGCAACAGGGTGAAACCCTGTCTCCATTAAATGCAAAAAATTAACCAGCACTAAAATACAAAATACGTGGTGGCACGTGCCTGTAGTCCCCAGCTACTCAGGAGGCTCAGGCACAAGAATAGCTTGAGCCTGGGAGGCGGAGGTTGCAGTGAGCCAAGATCTTGCCACTGTACTCCAGCTTGGGCTACAGAGTGAGATTCCGTCTCAAATTAAAAAATAAAAAAAATTATACTTTTTTTGAAATTCCAAACAATAGACTAAGAGTTTGCTGATTCTTTCATATTACTTCTAACATTTAATGGTATCACAGAAAAAAAAAAATCTTGCTAATCTGACAGTTCTAACAGTATCATGTTTTTCTGTCCATTGTCTGCTTATGGCTCTTTGTCAATTTATTATGAGGATTTTGATATTTGTTGTGACAATTTCTGTGGGCCTTTATAAGGGAATGATATTTTAACTGTCATTTCTTTTTGTGAATATTTTCTTGTAGTTGATAGTCTGCCTTCTAATTTTGATCAGTTTTACACACAAAATTTAAATTTTTAGGTGGTTATATTTATCTTTTCTATTGTAAATTTTCCATTGTTTATAAGCATCATGATCCTTCCCTATGCAGAAGTCAAATTACATTCAACAACATTTTATGTTTGCCATGTAAGATTTTTAGAATTAACCTTTTAATCCACATAAAGGTTATTTCAATATATGATAAATACCTCCATTGACCTCACATTGATTTCCTTTCAATGGTTATCTAGTTCTCTTAACTCCATTGGTTGTGCAAGTCATATTTGCCACAGTGGTTTGTGATGTTTCTCTTTTATCAGTTTTCAAACACTAAATCAGGCTATGTATTTAGTTTCATTAATCTATTTATTTTTGGACTAGTGTGAGAGTTTAAATCATTACAATGTTAAAATATGTCTGTACTGTCCAAGTATACTATTAGTTGAACGAATTAGATGGTTGTATATCTGAGAGAGCACTAGGACTGGAAGAAGAAAAGTGACTTTTCCTTCTCATTCTTCAAGTTCCAGTTCCTCTAAACACACAATGAGCTCTTTGAAGGAAGCCAGTAGATCTTATATTTGTTTGGAATCTCTCCGTAGGGTCTGGCAAAATGCTATCTATATTATGCAAGCTCAATTAATATTTTCTCTTGTCTGGTATTAATTGGTTTCAGCAGTTACTTCTACAGAGTCTATCAAAAGTTCTGCTTGTAAAGCTTGCCAGGGTGAAGGGAAGAGTTGACCCACATACTGAGGTCTGCTGACTTTTCAGTGTAGTCACACTTTTTCTAAGGTCTCTGGGAGAGGCAACTGCTGTTTTTCTGTGCTAAGCTATTAAGTATAGAGCCTGATAAAATTTTCCCTTTACTTTATATGAATATGGGATGGGTTATAAATATCTCCATGGGAGACATGAATAAAATATGGCAGGAGGCATTGGAATGAAGAATAATTGTGTTGATAAGTAGCCAGTTGGTACACTTTAAGGCTTTACTATGAGATCACAAAAAGAAAAGTCCTCTTTAAACTTCTTATACTCGCCTTAGAAACAGTGATAGAATTCAAACAACTATAAATTAGAAAAGTCCCTGAGAATAATCTACTTTAACTCCTTTATTTTGGAGCAATCTAAAGGATAGACTAGGATAGAGCAATCTAAAGACTAAAATCTGTTTTCATGACTAAAACATTTAATTAATCAGTAGTGGAATCTCTTAACTCCTCTTTAAGTACCCTCTTTATACTCTCTTTATCACATCCTGGTTAAATTAAAATGATGGTGAAAATTTGGCCCCTCTAGAACCTCTAATATTTTTCTTTTATATAGCATATAGGTGGAAAATGCATGTTTAGAAAATTCCTAGTGAATTGCAATGGGCTTCTTAAGAAACACACCATTTTATTTTATTTTTTATTATTATTTTTTTTTCACATGCACACGTATGTTTATTGTGGCATTATTCACAATAGCAAAGACTTGGAACCAACCCAAATGTCCAACATTGATAGACTGGATTAAGAAAATGTGGCACATATACACCATGGAATACTATGCAGCCATCAAAAATGATGAGTTCATGTCCTTTGTAGGGACATGGATGAAATTGGAAATCATCATTCTCAGTAAACTATCGCAAGAACAAAAAACCAAACACCGCATATTCTCACTCATAGGTGGGAATTGAACAATGAGAACACATGGACACAGGAAGGGGAACATCACACTCTGGGGACTGTTGTGGGGTGGGGGGAGAGGGGAGGGATAGCATTGGGAGATATACCCAATGCTAGATGACGAGTCAGTGGGTGCAGCGCACCAGCATGGCACATGCACACATATGCAACTAACCTGCACATTGTGCACATGTACCCCAAAACCTAAAGTATAATAATAATAAATAAATTTATAAAAAGATAATAAAACAATGCCATCAACACCAAAAACCGACGTTTTTGAAAACTTTGGAGAAATGGACAAATGGCTAGAAAAATGTAACTTACAAGAACATAAAAAGAAATTTTAAAATCTTGAATCATCCTATAACTATCTTAAAATTCAACGCAGTGGTTAAAATCTTCCTGCTGAGGAAATACTAAGTCAAGACTGTCTTATAGTTGAGTTCTACCAAGCTTTCTAGAAAGAGATAATCTCAATTTTATACAAACACTTTCAGACAAAAGAAAAAGAGGGAATACCACACAACCTATTCTGTAAGGCAAGTATACTTTGACATCAGAACAAATAAATTATGAGACATGAAGATTACAGGTTATTTTAACTCATTAATTTAGATGTAAAACAGCTAACAAAATATTAATGAATCAAACCCAAAAGAGTATATGAAAGACAATATATCACAACCAAATGGAATGTATTCCAGGTATACAAGGATGGTTTATTATTAGAAAATCCATAAATGTACCTTACCATATTTACAGAATAATACAGATAACCAAAAGATCATTTCAATAGATAAGTCTTTCATCAAACTTAAAACCCACTTATGATTTTAAAAACTCTTCTTCAATTAGAAATGAGAAAGGATAGTTCTTAACCTGACTAAAAGCATCTATAAAATAATCCAAAAGTTAACATTATCTTAAATGAGCAAACATTGGAAGCATTCTCTTTGAAATCAGGAATGGCACAAGGAAAAAACTTATTACCACTTTTGTTCATAATTGTACATGAAGTCCTATACGGTATAATGAGGCAATCAGAGATATAAGGATTGGAAAGGAAGAAACAAAATTGTGATTATCTACAGATTATTTGTAGATTATGTGATTTCTATAGAAAACCCAAAGAGTAAACCTTCACATTATTAGACACAACATGGGAATTTAGCAAGGTAACTGCATATAAGATTAATATAGAAGATTCATTGTGTTTTCTCTTTAAATATAGTTTTAATGGCTTGCTGCTGACGAATAGAAACACACCATTTTAAATTCTCTTTCCAATCCCGATTAAACTAGACCACAGAGCCAAAAGTTCATTGCAATTTAATAGTTTTTTCTTTTGTTCTGCTTTGAGAGCAGAATCTCCTAAAACCCAGCTCTAAACTCAGGCATGTGATATGTTGTCTGATATCATTTTAAAGACAAAAGTAAAAACCCCAAAAAACAAAAAAAAAAATGATGCTGCTAAACCATCTCAGAATTGTAGTCTTCAGTACAGAATTACAGCAGGTGCTCTGCCCTTAGTGCTAGTGCTGGGAATCACATGTGCTTTCATCTATTATCTGAAAGTTTTCTAATTTTAAAAATTTTCATCTCTCATGATGAAAATAAATAGTTGTTTAATTTGAAAAGTAAGATGCTAAGTGTGAGTCAAAACAAATCTATGTGACTTTGAAATGGGGGTGATATTGGAGCCTAGATTTTATTTTCTTCTTTTTTCTCAAGAGTAATAATTTCCTCAGGACACTGAAAAACCAACTCAGAAAGCAAGTGGCTGAAGGTATGTGTAGTTCATGTGCCCATAACTATCAAGTAATTTAAATTAATAGAATAGTTAGCGTAATTACTGAGTAGAGAAATAGGTACTACATCATCTAGCTGTGCATGTCCAAACTCCTATCACTAAATCAGATGTTAGACTTTCCTTTTAAGGACATTGCTTTGCTACATTTCTTGGAGAAGATTTGTTTTTGTGTTTCTTATAAAGAAATTCAATGAATTAAAATGTCCCATGGATTAATGGGGAGCTTAAACTTCAAAAGTTTCCTTCATTATTTCCTTAGCATTAACACAGGAAATCAATTAGGTCATAAAGATAGGTCTTATTATCAGAATGTTCTCCACGATTTTGAACATAATAGAGAAAGAATGCTTCATATGGTAACATCAAAGCTTAAACTAGTAGGACTTATTGTATTGGTTAGAAGATGATACATTTCATTTCTCTTTTTACAAAAGGAAGGGGTTGACTATTGCTTAATGGGTTGTATAAAAGTCTCTTATGCTTTGAGTCTGTTATTGCATCTGCATTTTATGAAAAACTCATATTTTGGGCTTAGCAGATGGACTCATTTGAATTAGATTTGCTTGAAAGAGTCTTTCCAAATTATACTATTTAAAAGATTAAAGTAGTAGATTTGCCTCAAGATTTTCTAGAACAATGGTTAAGCCCAAGACCCCTTAGGATAAAGACATGGTTGTAACAAACACCCAGAACTCTCTTAGGTGGTAGGGGCAGAATCCTTCTAGGAAACCCACAGTGCTTACCTCAAAGCCATGGGAAAAAAAGCTCATGTTTTTCTGACTGACTGACCCAGATTCTTCAGCTGCAAAGCAAGTAGCCTATGAAATTTGCTTTTAATTTCCAAATAAAATCCATTTGACTAACACTCAGCATCCCAACATATTGCAAAAACAGAAATTTCACAACACTAACTAAACATAGTACATATTTGCTGCAAACATTTCATGAGATGGGGTCAGTTGCTTCAGAAGATAAACTGTTTCAGAGAAACAAAAAAACCCCTCAAATGCTAGCAATTCTTTCTGTTTTTAGGCTTTTAATAAAATATGTGGGAAGTGGTCACAGAGACCTGAGGATCCTGGTAAGAATTTATTTTTAAAAGCAGTTGTCGAAACATCCTAGTTATTTTCTACTTTTTAATTAGAAGAATACAATTCTTGTTCTTATGCACAAGTTCTGTGAACATAGATTTAAAAGAAACCTGAAGGCTTTTGGGGAACAACGTGCTCACTGGGGGAATTAGCTGGATGGAAAGAAAGCTGAATGGGGCAAAATGAATAGTTTTTAGTACACTCAAGATCCAATTTGAAAAGCAGTCTAGGAAAAAAAATTAAGTGGAATTGGCCAACTTTGGTCCAATACATTTTTCTATTCTGGGTAAGAGAAGTAATGGGGACATGGGATAATATGACTTTTTCCTTCTCTTTCCTTACTTCTACCTTCCCTCCCTCCCTCCTTCCCCACTCTCCCTTCTTTCCTTCCTTCCTTCCTTCTTTCCTTCCTTCCTTCCTTCCTTCCATAACAAACTAAGGAAAGAACATCATCAATGATGGGCATATAGATAGACCTATGAAAAGCAAATTGACTTACAGATATTCTTTGTTATTAATAAAGGGGTGCTTTGCCTGGAGACACTTCAGGAATCCAAGGATGAGCTTTGGTGGTTGATGAAGTCCCTAAATTCTCAACATATGCAATTTGCATTTTTCTAGGAAGAATGAACTTTTGTCTTTCACCAGATTCTCAAGAGGCTCCATGACCTTGAAAAGTATAAGGACCCTTAGTAGAAAGCCTTTAAAGCAAATGCAATAGTTAAACACTGCTATAATTTTTAAATGATATTTTAGAATACCTATGAATTTCTTAAAACATTTTTTCAAGCAACTTCAGATTAGAATTTTTCTTGTAGCACTACTAAAACAGGACTTTTTTCTACTTAAAATTCTCTATCTCACTAAAATTAGTGGGCAGAAGTTTGGGGGAGAAAAAGGAATTTGCATAGTCTTAAATGATCTCCTTCAAAGTTTTATCTATATAGGGAAAAATAATAAATTTACAGTGGAGAAAGCCAGCATATACCACATTAGTCAAGTGTAATGAGACATATATGTACCATTAACCCCTTGATAAGATTCCTTGAGAAAGAAATGACATCATTTCTGTGGTATTATTGCCAGCAATGCAGAACTTCCTTCTAATGTTGACACAAAAACCAGAGAAACCCAAACCGAGAGACATTCTACAAAATAACTAATCAGTAATCTGCAAAGTATCTATATCAAGAAAGATAGAAAAATTGAGGAGCTGTTATGGATCAGAGGAGACTGAGGGGTATTACAACAAAATACAAGGTAGGATCCTGGTGGAATCCTGAAATGAAAAAAAAGAACATTAGTGAACAAACTGGTGAAAGTAGAATAAGGTCTCTAGTTCAGTTAATAGAATTATATCAGTGTTAATTTCCCAGTTTTGATAATTGTCCTATGTTTATGTAAAATGTTAACAAAAGGGGAAGCTTCATGAGTGGTATACAGGACTCTTTTACAAGTCTTGATACATTTTCTATAATTCTAAATTTAGTGCAAAATAAAAAAAAATAATAAAACAGAAAACCTGATGACATCATTTTAACTTTTGGGCCCACTTTTGCCTGAATTCTGACAATCTTCTAACAGTGCAACTAGGTAAGACAATACATTCCCTCTTTTCTTAAAAGATTAAGACAAAATAAAATAGTCTTTCTTCTTTGTTACTCTAGGCAATGTACTTGAGCTCATTAATGCCCTACAAATATGTTAAATTATTTTGATCTTTCCTCTCTCTTTGATTTTGTTGAGTTATAAATATGGATTCTCATTTGACTAAGCATCCTTGATTCAATTGTCCTTTATTCTTGACCTTGGACACAAGATCATACTTTTGTGTCACATCTAGGCATGGATCATTGACTTAAAGTTTCTGGCTATTGATTTTTATGTGTTTAATAATTACTAGAAGATCAGTTATGACCTTTTGTTATTAAGTTGGAATAGATTGCCTTTTCTCTTTTTCATAATTTTTGCAGAATGCTTCCTAGTAGACATACTATATTGTTTACTATCAGACATCTAATAGCTCTTTGTACCAAGAGGATGTGTAGGTTATCTTACACTGTTCCTCCATCTTTCATTCACTTAAAAAATACTTGAGTGATTACTAAGTGTCATTATTTTTCAGATGAGAATAAGACAAGCAAGATCTCTTCTTGTTCATCACCATCATATCTGTATTTCACCCCATAGAAGGGAGGAAAAAGGGAGTTTGGAATTAGTGGCTTTGCATTTAGAGATCACTTGGAAGTTGCACACATATAAGTTCTGCTCATATCCATAGCCCAAACTTAGTTGTGTGGCTTTACCTCATTAGAACAAAAGAGGCAGTCACGTACTCTTAAAACTTGCTGGAGGAGGCTGAGCGCGGTGGCTCATGCCTCTAATCCCAGCACTTTGGGAGGCCGTGGCAGGCGGATCATGAGGTCAGGAGATCGAGATCATCCTGGCTAACGTGGTGAAGCCCCGTCTCTACTAAAAATACAAAAAATTAGCCGGGCGTGGTGGTGGTCGCCTGTAGTCCCAGCTACTTGGGAGGCTGAGGCAGGAGAATGGTGTGAACCCAGGAGGCAGAGCTTGCAGTGAGCTGGGATTGTGCCACTGCACTCCAGCCTGGGCGTCAGAGTGAGCGTCTCAAAAAAAAAAAAAAAAAAAAAAAAACTTGCTGGAGGAGATCATTATTTTAAAGAAAACAGAGAATAAGGAGATATCTGCCACACTGGATTTTAAATGCAAGACTCATAAATACTGATCTGCTCCTTAAAAACTTCACTCTAATAGCTTTGTGGATAATGGAGTTCAGTGGAGCAAAAACAGAAATTTGGAGACCAGTTAGGAGGCTATTTGCAGTTGCTTAGGTGGTAGATCATGGTGGTTACTTGGGAGTTGGCATGATACACATTCAATGTTAACCAGTAACAAGTTAAAGTCTCACTTGGATAATGAAATCATTGTAAAATTTAATAAAATATAGAGTATTACAGTTGCCTTTACATAATCATTGTTTCCTATACCTGGAGGCTGATTGTATTATTATATATACAATTATTTTACAAGTAAATATAATAATTTACTTTGGTTTTATTTTGACCACCAAGCTAATAAGTCTGATTGGCTTTTCAACATGATATTAGCTGAAAGATGAGTTAATAAGTTTTTGTCATCATGCAAGTGAGAGATGATAGTGGCTGGACTAAGACTGTAGTAGTGTGGATAGAGAAAAGAAGGAAAAGTTAGGATATACAGTATTAACAGGTATAGTCACAGAACTAGCAGATGGAATGTGAGAGGTAAGAACAAGAGAAATTAAAAATGGCTCATAGGTTTTAGCCTTTATCAATTTGGTGAGTGTTTCTGCCATTTACTGAGACGTAGACAATGGAGAAGAAATGGGTTTCCAGGAGTGAGCTGAAATCAAGATTTACATTTTGGTCATCTTATGTTTAAGATCTCTAACAAAAAACAAAATTAATATTCAATAGCTGATTAAATATAAAAGCCTGGGGTTTAGGTACCAGGTCAAGGGAAAGATAATCTATAAACTGACTGGGAGTTCATACGACACAAATGTTCCTGGGAATTTTGAAGGGTGAAGTGAAGCAAATAAACCCAGGAGAAAGTGGAAAGTTCCAGGAGATGGGTCCTGCAGCAATACCAATAATAATGAAGTCTCAGAGTGAGTAGGCTGGGCTTACTTGCTGAACTAATGGCTCTACCTTTGGTAGCATTCACAGATGGAGAGGTGCCCATTCTCCACAAAATACTTAAATTTTTATGGTGACTCTACATAATTAAGTGGATAATGGCAACAGTGGATAGGGATGTCCTAGAATTCTTTTTAGAAAGAGCCACCTCAAATAATGTGCAGTTCATAAGCCGTCAGCTTCTGCCCTTTGCATACTCCACATTCTTTTGCACTATGGTGTCTTTCTTCTTAACTCCCCAGACCTGCTCACTGAGACCTGGTAAACTTTCAAGGTCAGTTGATATTTTCATCAGGATAGGTCAGTAGAACTTTGCAAGCATATCATAATGCTTGGAGGCATCATTTGTGCATTCTTGAACTTGAGTCTAGGTCCAAAGATTTTACAGGAACACACTGAACTTTTTGGAGCTGGTCTCTCATAGGTAATGACAACACTCCAGATAGACAACCAGGAGTAAAATTGGGAATGATGAAGTGTTACTTTGCAGTGCTTGCCACTTTGAACTTTTTATTTGGTCTCCTACAGCCTACTCTTCTGTCTCTTTCCCTTCCCATCTCATCTTTTATCCTCTTGTATCACTTTTTAACAGTTCATCACAAAGGGAAAGTAAGAATTGGATGGCCTCCCTCTCATTTTGTAACACATTGGACTAAAAGTGGATCTTTGAGAGTAATCATTTCCAGAAAGGACTTGCATTGTGTGCCAGTAAATTGACTATTACCTCCAAATACATGAGCATGTAGGGGCATTGTGTGTTGGGTTGGGAGGGGTGTTATTTTTTTTTTTCTCTTGCCAAGACACAGTGCTGTTTTCCTGTGCTCCTGGTCTTTATTTTGGGAGAACCACATCTTCTATCTGATGAAACATTTTAATAAAATCAGAAGCCAACATGCCTTCTATTCTAAGTTCTCTCTCTCACTTTCCTCTTAAGCTCCAGGTCATTATGTAAAAATCAAAGCAGAAATGCTCCTTTATTCACTTATTTGTTGTTCAGTCATTTATTGTTTATTGAATACCGATGCCTGCTCTGCACTGTAGTGAGAATTTCAAGAACTTTGAGATAGTTTTATGGTAGTTGTTTCTGTAGTGTTTAAGATTTTTCTTAGGATGATAGAACTTATGCTTTAACCATCTAAAATATAATTATAAGCTAATATTTGATTATGTTTGTAATTGGGTGGGTCAGTCTCAAGCCATGAATACTCAGGAAATTCAGAATAAGATACAAACTATAGTGGGCATAGGATTGGTAACTGGTAACTTTTTAGAAGAGAAACTCTTTAAGTAGCCTTGAAAGAAGTTTAGGGGTTGGGCAGGTCACACAGTAGATAGATTACAATCCTTTGCCAAATTTCAGTCCCTATTTTTTTATGTGAGTGGGAAAGCCTCCAAGGATTCTAGGAGATAGTCTTGGTTCTGATCCTTCTTATGTTAAAAGTTATCCATCAACTTCTGCAGTGTGTTTTGCTCATTATATTCAAGTCTTTTCTCCGCGTAGTAAGCGTCTTAATTTCAAGGTCTATTTCCGTCCAATCTTAGCATCCCTCTTGGCAATTGGCACAATTTTCTGAATTCCTGACAGATTGCTTTTGGGGAGTGAGAAATAAGTAAAATAATGTCATTCAGGTAAGGTCCAAGTTACATTTTCATTCTCCCTTGAGGTAGTTGCTTGGGAGCTCATTAAGAATGGACCACAGTCAAAGCTCTGGAAAATTCAGTCCAAATTCTGGGCCAGGCTGTGTTGGAAAGTCTTCTTCTAGACAGATATCAAGGGAGCATCAAAGGCTGACAAATAGCAAAAGCAAATACTAGAGATGAAAGGGCCCTTTCATGATGACCTCAAAGTTAGTCAACACTCATTCAGGTGCCTTGGAGAAAGGCATACCATAGTATTGAAGAGCATGATCTTTGGAGCCAGGATGCTTGGGTTCAAATTCAAGTGGTGCCCACTTCTTCCTAGCAGCTTGACCGGACATATTAATTAAGCCTTCTCTGTCTCAGTTTCCTCATCTTAACCTGAAGATAGTAACACCACCTTTTCCATAGCACTGTTGTGAGGATTAAACAAGACAGTATCTATAAAGTGCTTAGAAATGTCCCTGGCCATCATCGTCATCATCAAATTTTTATTTAGAAAGCAGGAATAAAATGGAAACATAAGGATTATTTTGGAAAGAGAAATATGTGGGTGGTTTAGGTAAGGAAGGAATAATGAATGAAATATTTTAAGTGCTAAGCTGAGTAGTTTAGTAGACAAAGGTGATCAGTAATCACTGGGTAAGATGTTTCAGCCTCAGATCTACGGGCCAAATCATCTGGAATTAGAGACTTAGAGACTCAGAGCCAGGGATTGGTTTGGTGATGGTGGAGGAGGCAACTTAAATATGGCAAAGAGAGCAGATAGCCAACCATGAAATTCCATTACATGCTTAGTGTGCAGAGGACTTTTATAGCAAAGTAAATATTTGTACCCCTATTTAGTCAGCAAACATTAAGGTGTTCGGCTAGTATTATCAAAGCAAATAACTTCATCATTGTATCTGTCCTCATAGAGTTTATGGTTTTGCAGGTAGCCAGATTTTTAACAACTTCAATAAAGTGTGATGGATGTGAAGAGGGAGAAGCCCAGATGGCTGTGGAAAGCATCTCCTGGTCTGTTTCTCTCTCTGCCCACTCCATGCTGCCAACGGATGCACTTAGGAACCTTTCGAATCTGGCTCAAAACCTACCTTCATCCAAAAGTCATTGTTGGTGGTTTCAATATTTTTATTTTTTCTGGTTCTTAATTCTGTCATTCTACAAACATGCAGTGCTATTCTAAGTTTTCGTATTCTTCTGAACGTATACAGCTTTCTCTCAAGAAGAAATAGGGACAGAGTACTGGACTATTATGGCTCCTGGTACTTCCCTGGATCCTTTTCTGAAAATCCTGTGGAATTAGGGATTTATCCCCTAAAATATGCCTATTTATTTTTTTCTCCCAGAAGACACACTCTTTTGAGGTCTGGGGTATCTCTCTGCAGTAAGCGTTCACTCATCAATTTTCACTCCCACTTCAGTAGAGCCTTTTCTGTACCTGGGTTCTTTGATAAATGTATTTTATCTTCATTTTATCTGAGAGAGCCAAGTTCATGATGAAAGTCAGGAAGTCAGATATCCTGGCACCTTGAAGAAGAAGCCAGTTCTGGGTCTCATTTGCAGTACATTTTTCTGTGATGAGTGCATATCTTTTTTCTTAGCAGGGCTAAGAATGTGGGATATATATTTGTTAAACTACTGAAAACATCACTTATTGAATGAACAAAAAAAGATAAAAGTTAAACTCTTACTGCAAAGACAATGAATAATCTTCGTGAACATTTTTAACAAAATTGAAGTCTTAAACAACAGTCTCCTTATTTTTGTCCTTAAACTTGATGTGGCATAAGATAAGAGTCACATAGAAGCAAGTCCAAGTTAACTGGAAACCCCCAAACTGCATGCTCAAAGTGGTTGATTACAAGAGAATTGATTTTTTAAACATGGTGAGACAGGCAATTATCTATCATCTCTCATATTAAGACTGATCTTTGCACTGACTCATTTTAGACCCTTTCTGTCTCTGGAGAATACCATCTGTATAAAACTGCAAGGTCCAAGACAGTGATGATCCGCTAGACATATGCACAACAGATGGCCGAAAAAATTATCTGCCCATTCAATTGCTACATTACTCATTTCCGCCACCTTGCTGCCCATGAAAATGTAGGGATGCATAAAGCCAGTGTTTAGGTCATTCCTTATGTTGATTCAGGGAGGTCACTTGGCATGACTGTCTGTAGAGGGGTAGAGGGGCCAGCACCCCCAGACAATATTGCCTAAATTCCCAGACTGCTTTTAGGGAGTGAGAAAAAAGTAAGATAATGCCATTCAGGTAAGGTCCAAGTTACATTTTCAGTCTCCCTAAAGTAGTTGCTTGGGAGTTCATAGGGAAGGGACTTCTATGAAAGCTCTGAAAAATTCAGTCCACAAGGCCAGCCTGGTTTTAGAAAGTCTTGTTGTAGACAGATACTGAGAGTGCAAAAAAGCTGACAAATAGCAAGGCAAATGCTGGAGATGAAAGGGCCCTGTGATAACCTTGAATGTTGCTGCCTCCGTCATTTCCACACTGAAATCAAAGGCCAAATTTGCAGTTTGAATTGTCCTAATCCTTCACTGGGGTAAATCACCAATGTTTGCAATCAGATATTTCTTAATTTCCTCTTATACCCATGATCCAGGAGAGGAAAAAGAATCAAACCAATACTAGAGAAATTGAGTATTCTGTGCTTAAGTTGACCGAGTCTTGGAATAAGTCATATTCAATTAATGTGTTTTTGCCCAGAGTTAGGCCTAGTAATATTACAATGAAAGCCAGGTGAGTTGAAAAGGTCACACTGAGAATCTGTGGTCTCTACCGCAGTATTTTCCTGTTTCCATTTAATTGAATTTTAAGTGGGTTCATAATAAATGGGTAAAACCACTGTACTGTTTCTGCCACTTGGTTTTAATTAGTGACTGGGAATAACACAGTCCTGGTTTAACCCTTTAGCAGTGAAAGATTTATTTTGAGGCCTGAGAAGAAGTGAAAGAATATGCTGTATTAGATTTCATTTTATTTTGAGTTACATTTCTATCATTTCCTCAAATTTACTATACATTAGATTTGTGCCATGTACTCTAATGGGGATAGAGCATTCTTGTCTTTGTGATGCTTACATTGCATAAGATCACATTATTGTTTAGACTTGAATAAGAAATATTTGAGAAAAGAACTATCCTGGAAAAATCCTGACACTAATAGTAAAACAAATGTGGACATACATTAGATTTAGCACACTCTATCCACTCTATCCATGACTGCAAGTGACCACTTTTCTGGTCAAAATTATTTTCCACTCTCATTGAAAATATTGGTTATAATTCTTGATTTTAAGGATATTATACAGTGTAAGAAATACCAAAAACTATTTTAAACATCAAAACATAAATTTTTATATAATTTGTGCAAAAATGGCCTAACAGCCAAACAATATTTGTGACGTTATAGTTAAGTGGCAAGGAGAGCCCAAAGATAGTAAGGCTTCTGAGTGAAGCTTTGCAAAGAGCACACACACACATTTAAACCAAAAGGTTGTTTAAAATTTTGACCTAGATAGCTATAATGTGCTTGTTTCTCTCTTTCCCTCTTCACTCTTTTCTTTTATCCAGATGATGCTAGTATGGAATAAATAATATGGTGAAGCGGCTTTGCTTTTTATGGTTTCATAAGGCTATGACTATTTCACAAAGATTAGTTCCACTGGAAGGCCCAGGTTTCCTGTTTCTATTATCCACACTTCACACGGTGGTTTAGACTAAATTGTCCATTGCAGAGTTTGGAAAGCAGTCTGTTTAATGCAGTAAATTGTGCTGCTACTTCCATACCCATCTCTCACAGCCCACGTTCTGGGGCTGATCAGATACACATTCACTAACACAGAACAAATAAATGCTTCATTTCTCACCTATTTTTGAAGTTACCTCTTCTTTAAGGTTTACTACTTCAGTCATGTTTATTTGGCCTGTTGAGTGGACATCAGGAAACAGGTAACATGGAAAGAGAGATGACGATTGGAATGTAATTTCCCTTTCATCCAGAGGAGCCCCTTCACAATTGGGACTGTCCCACTCCTGACTAGTGGTGCTGAGGGCTCAGTAATGAGCTCAGCTTGCCTAGTGAATCCGGAGTAGGGAAAGCAAACATCTCTAGATGCAAATATGACCTGAAGTTAACCAGATTAAATCCCTGGTGAACTCTTGTAAATAGAATTTCACTTCTAGAGGATTGTCAGCATGCTCAGCAGAGTACAAAGTTATCTATTCAATGTGCATGGTAATTTAGCTAGTCAGCAGCAGGAGAAATGGTAATAGGTACACAGTGATTTATAATAACTGGTAATGAGGTAGACACAGCAGGTAATCTCAGCACAGAATAACTTGGCAGAGGAGACGGGAAGGGCAGATTCAGACATTGTTGCGATGAGGCTACGGTTTAAGCTGGGGAGTAAACAGCAAGCGGCCGCATCGGTGCTGTCCGCTCTGAGCACTGTGCAGACTGGCTTCATGTCCAGTGCTGCAGCCTGTGGCCACTCATCTGTCTTCCCAGCAGACGACAACTGTCCCAGCCTCACGACTCCTCGAAACAACTACTGTTGCTGTTTTTCTTCTGTTTTCGTCACTTTGATAATATGTCAGTAATGTGTTCTGTCCCATAAATGGCGGTGAATTTAGAAAACAAAACCGAAAGCAGCTCAGTAGCTGTCAGTGAAGAGCTTCATGTGTCCAGGCATTCAGGGACCCCAGAGATAGCATTTGCATGTTGTGCTCACTGCAAACTTGGGCAGTCATAATCTTGGAGGCATTGTTGTCCTCATTTTATAAGCAACAGTAAAACATTACCTTTATAGTAGACTGGATTGTTAAATCCAGGAAGATTCATGCCCTGTTAATCTTGTCCCCTGCTACCATGACTCCAAGTATTTTTAATTCCACAAAGCCTTTCTGCAGTTTTCATCACCTTCTTGTTTTCCCTGACTGCTTCCTTATTCTGGTATTTTGCTGAGTCATGATAAGGTATCAGAGAACCAACATGTAGGAACAAGTAAAGAGAATCCTAATGTTTTGGCTCAAAATAAAAGGATGGAGGAAGATCTACCAAGCAAATGGAAAACAAAAAAAGGCAGGGGTTGCAATCCTAGTCTCTGATAAAACAGACTTTAAACCAACAAAGATCAAAAGAGACAAAGAAGGCCATTACATAATGGTAAAGGGATCAATTCAACAAGAGGAGCTAACTATCCTAAATATTTATGCACCCAATACAGGAGCACCCAGATTCATAAAGCAAGTCCTCAGTGACCTACAAAGAGACTTAGACTCCCACACATTAATAATGGGAGACTTTAACACCCCACTGTCAACATTAGACAGATCAACGAGACAGAAAGTCAACAAGGATACCCAGGAATTGAACTCAGCTCTGCACCAAGCAGACCTAATAGACATCTACAGAACTCTCCACCCCAAATCAACAGAATATACATTTTTTTCAGCACCACACCACACCTATTCCAAAATTGACCACATAGTTGGAAGTAAAGCTCTCCTCAGCAAATGTAAAAGAACAGAAATTATAACAAACTATCTCTCAGACCACAGTGCAATCAAACTAGAACTCAGGATTAAGAATCTCACTCAAAGCCACTCAACTACATGGAAACTGAACAACCTGCTCCTGAATGACTACTGGGTACATAACGAAATGAAGGCAGAAATAAAGATGTTCTTTGAAACCAACGAGAACAAAGACACCACATACCAGAATCTCTGGGACGCATTCAAAGCAGTGTGTAGAGGGAAATTTATAGCACTAAATGCCTACAAGAGAAAGCAGGAAAGATCCAAAATTGACACCCTAACATCACAATTAAAAGAACTAGAAAAGCAAGAGCAAACACATTCAAAAGCTAGCAGAAGGCAAGAAATAACTAAAATCAGAGCAGAACTGAAGGAAATAGAGACACAAAAAACCCTTCAAAAAATCAATGAATCCAGGAGCTGGTTTTTTGAAAGGATCAACAAAATTGATAGACCGCTAGCAAGACTAATAAAGAAAAAAAGAGAGAAGAATCAAATAGACACAATAAAAAATGATAAAGGGGATATCACCACCGATCCCACAGAAATACAAACTACCATCAGAGAATACTACAAACACCTCTACGCAAATAAACTAGAAAATCTAGAAGAAATGGATACATTCCTCGACACATACACTCTCCCAAGACTAAACCAGGAAGAAGTTGAATCTCTGAATAGACCAATAACAGGCTCTGAAATTGTGGCAATAATCAATAGTTTACCAACCAAAAAGAGTCCAGGACCAGATGGATTCACAGCCGAATTCTACCAGAGGTACATGGAGGAACTGGTACCATTCCTTCTGAAACTATTCCAATCAATAGAAAAAGAGGGAATCCTCCCTAACTCATTTTATGAGGCCAGCATCATTCTGATACCAAAGCCGGGCAGAGACACAACCAAAAAAGAGAATTTTAGACCAATATCCTTGATGAACATTGATGCAAAAATCCTCAATAAAATACTGGCAAACCGAATCCAGCAGCACATCAAAAAGCTTATCCACCATGATCAAGTGGGCTTCATCCCTGGGATGCAAGGCTGGTTCAATATACGCAAATCAATAAATGTAATCCAGCATATAAACAGAGCCAAAGACAAAAACCACATGATTATCTCAATAGATGCAGAAAAAGCCTTTGACAAAAATCAACAACCCTTCATGCTAAAAACTCTCAATAAATTAGGTATTGATGGGACGTATTTCAAAATAATAAGAGCTATCTATGACAAACCCACAGCCAATATCATACTGAATGGGCAAAAACTGGAAGCATTCCCTTTGAAAACCGGCGCAAGACAGGGATGCCCTCTCTCACCGCTCCTATTCAACATAGTGTTGGAAGTTCTGGCCAGGGCAATCAGGCAGGAGAAGGAAATAAAGGGTATTCAATTAGGAAAAGAGGAAGTCAAATTGTCCCTGTTTGCAGACGACATGATTGTATATCTAGAAAACCCCATCATCTCAGCCCAAAATCTCCTTAAGCTGATAAGCAACTTCAGCAAAGTCTCAGGATACAAAATCAATGTACAAAAATCACAAGCATTCTTATACACCAACAACAGACAAACAGAGAGCCAAATCATGGGTGAACTCCCATTCACAATTGCTTCAAAGAGAATAAAATACCTAGGAATCCAACTTACAAGGGATGTGAAGGACCTCTTCAAGGAGAACTACAAACCACTGCTCAAGGAAATAAAAGAGGAGACAAACAAATGGAAGAACATTCCATGCTCATGGGTAGGAAGAATCAATATCGTGAAAATGGCCATACTGCCCAAGGTAATTTACAGATTCAATGCCATCCCCATCAAGCTACCAATGACTTTCTTCACAGAATTGGAAAAAACTACTTTAAAGTTCATATGGAACCAAAAAAGAGCCCGCATTGCCAAGTCAATCCTAAGCCAAAAGAACAAAGCTGGAGGCATCACACTACCTGACTTCAAACTATACTACAAGGCTACAGTAACCAAAACAGCATGGTACTGGTACCAAAACAGAGATATAGATCAATGGAACAGAACAGAGCCCTCAGAAATAATGCCGCATATCTACAACTATCTGATCTTTGACAAACCTGAGAAAAACAAGCAATGGGGAAAGGATTCCCTATTTAATAAATGGTGCTGGGAAAACTGGCTAGCCATATGTAGAAAGCTGAAACTGGATCCCTTCCTTACACCTTATACAAAAATCAATTCAAGATGGATTAAAGATTTAAACGTTAAACCTAAAACCATAAAAACCCTAGAAGAAAACCTAGGCATTACCATTCAGGACATAGGCGTGGGCAAGGACTTCATGTCCAAAACACCAAAAGCAATGGCAACAAAAGACAAAATTGACAAATGGGATCTAATTAAACTAAAGAGCTTCTGCACAGCAAAAGAAACTACCATCAGAGTGAACAGGCAACCTACAACATGGGAGAAAATTTTCGCAACCTACTCATCTGACAAAGGGCTAATATCCAGAATCTACAATGAACTCAAACAAATTTACAAGAAAAAAACAAACAACCCCATCAAAAAGTGGGCGAAGGACATGAACAGACACTTCTCAAAAGAAGACATTTATGCATCCAAAAAACACATGAAGAAATGCTCATCATCACTGGCCATCAGAGAAATGCAAATCAAAACCACTATGAGATATCTCACACCAGTTAGAATGGCAATCATTAAAAAGTCAGGAAACAACAGGTGCTGGAGAGGATGCGGAGAAATAGGAACACTTTTACACTGTTGGTGGGACTGTAAACTAGTTCAACCATTGTGGAAGTCAGTGTGGCAATTCCTCAGGGATCTAGAACTAGAAATACCATTTGACCCAGCCATCCCATTACTGGGTATATACCCAAATGAGTATAAATCATGCTGCTATAAAGACACATGCACACGTATGTTTATTGCGGCACTATTCACAATAGCAAAGACTTGGAACCAACCCAAATGTCCAACAATGATAGACTGGATTAAGAAAATGTGGCACATATACACCATGGAATACTATGCAGCCATAAAAAATGATGAGTTCATATCCTTTGTAGGGACATGGATGAAATTGGAAACCATCATTCTCAGTAAACTATCGCAAGAACAAAAAACCAAACACCGCATATTCTCACTCATAGGTGGGAATTGAACAATGAGATCACATGGACACAGGAAGGGGAATATCACACTCTGGGGACTGTGGTGGGGTCGGGGGAGGGGGGAGGGATAGCATTGGGAGATATACCTAATGCTAGATGACACATTAGTGGGTGCAGCGCACCAGCATGGCACATGTATACATATGTAACTAACCTGCACAAGTGCACATGTACCCTAAAACTTAGAGTATAATAAAAAAAAAAAAAAAAAGAGAATCCTAATGTTTTAATATTTTGGAGGAGGATATGATCCATATGATTACATTTTGTTTGGGTTGGGTTTCTCAGACCTCCTTTGACCTGTAACCAAAAAATTCTTCAGCAGTATTTACAATTCTGCCCGTCTGCACCCAAATGGTTTGTGTGTGTGTGTGTGTGTGTGTGCATACACACACACGCCTGCACGCACACACGTGCACATGCATGAGTATGTGCTTCCTTCTTGTACTGTATAATAGGTCTGTAGCATACAAGCTGTTAAGTCATTTTATGGAAGTTCTGTGGAAATGCTAATGTATACTAGCAATTGTGATCAACACAGCTGTTAATCATCAATGTTTCTGTATCTCCAAAAAAGCCAACAAACCTGAGAACTGTCGCTGATTTTAACAATTGACAATACTGCCATTGGTAAGAGTCTGACATGATTGTTTGAGATACATTTGGATCTTCTCCATTTATTCTTTTGCTATATATCAGTCATAGAATATGAAATTATTAAAATTAGAAACAGGTAACTCTAATGGTAGGAAAACAACTCAAATCCCTAGGACACGAAGAAGAGAGTGAAAACATGAGAGAGAAAATAAGCTATTTATTCCATTCCCTGAGTAATATAATACTGAAAGGGAAATGAGTATAATACTGAAAGTAAACTGGAAGGGAAAGGGTTATGCTCTCTGGAAACATTACCTGGGTATGAATGTGTTCATGGTTTACATTTTTTCAGATGTACATTTGTGCAACTAAACATCCTTCCTTCTCCGTAGGCTCCATCTGTACTCAGGGACATACATGACCAGTGATTGGTGAGTGAAGGTGTAAGAAGGTGGCCATATGTGCCTTTTCTCTAAGCGCACAGCACTTGGGGAAAACCATAAGAAATTTGTGCTTTTGTGGGATGTACTGGTAGATGAATGAGGTAGAAGGAGAAGAAAATAGACTCACTGCTCCTTTATAGTGTTACAGGACAGAGATGAAGTGGATGGGGGAATCCTGGATAATTAATTGAGATATATCAGCAGAAGAAAATATATCCCTGTTTCTGAGATTTGCTGCTTTCACCACAGGTTGGGAGGCCTTGAGTTCAAATTTTGATTCTCAGCTCTTGATGTCCTTAGTCAACTCTCCTAAATATATCTGAGAAGGCCTGTTAGTTTGTGTATGGAGAGGGTAAGCTGATGGCAGGCAGAAAAATGGGCAAATATGAAGTTAGAATTGCATCATTATAATAATACTTTTTAATTTTTTGGTATCTGCTTGATCAAAGTTCGCAATATAAAATATGCTTAAAATGCTCTTTTCTGGTATTCATATTAGTTTGTGTATATTATGTTATTTTTCAATAGCCTCGGCTGATAACGTCTGGTTGGTACTCACCACTGTGGCCCCATTGGCGGTGAAAACATTTAAATAATTATAAACAGCTGCTGCTCCAACTCCCTGAGTAGCTCCTTGCTGACCCAACCCTTCCAGCTCAACCGGCTCAGGCATCCTCCATAGGACCCCCAGCACCTTCCCTGTTCTTCATTCCAACATTAAATTGTCAACACCTAGCAAAGCAAGGCCCTCCAGAGCTCCTGTTACAGGAGGGGGCTCTATTTAACTTAGTTGGTATCTGTGCCCTGCCAGTTACTAAATATTTCGAATATCGCACTTAAATGAAATAAGAAAGTGTGTGCACAGGCACACGCGCACACACACACACACCCCGCTGAGCATAAATTTAAAAAGCATATTTGTTAAGGGTTGAGCATTGTGCTTCAACACTCTTTCTTTGAAGGAACTTACTATATTTTTTTGTAGTCAATAACTTCTACTTTTTTAGTACTTTTTGATATTATCATTCTACCTTAAGTTGGACATTTCTTCACAAAGCAGCTCAAAATATTTGAGTGGCAGCTTTTTTTAATGATTCAGGGATTTATTAGGTCATACATGCAAAACACACTGCTAATTGCATTAGCAAAAGATCAACGTAAAAACACTCCACAATTCTGCAACTGTCAACTTAAAAATTTTTGTTCTAGTGGTTGAAAGGTCCTCCCTTGTACTCTTGCCAGTGAGTTAAGTTGTATAGAACATCGTCAGCACCAGCACAGTTTACAGAACCTCACAAACCCAAAGGAACATCATTAGACTAAGCAACTACAAGGAAGCATATGTCCACATGCGGGTGAGGTAAAGAGGGTCAGTATTGGTCAAGTGACAGTGTCAGTAATCTGGCAAGACAGCGATGTTAAGAAGGTTCATAGTTTAAGAATTATCTAAAATATTTTAAAAACTATAAAATTGCAACACATGATTTTTACACCTAGTTACTGGAAAACTAAGGAAAGCACTTATTAGCTTTGAATAAAGTAACATGGAAAGCACTTTTACCAATCTACAAAAAAACCTTCTAATGCATTATGAGAAAGATTTCATAATACAAGGAGGCATATTGCTCATTAAGAAAGGGTTCTATAAGAAAAGCACTTACTAAGTTAGAGACTAAGGGAACGACCAGTTTAAAGATGAATTAAATGCCCAATTTGGGGGGGGATGGCTGATGTAAGAGAAAGGAAAAGCTTAAGTAAACACTTCCTGATAATACCAACCTTTCTTTAATCATCTACTGCATTTGACAGAAATTAACCTTTTAGAGGTTTTACCCTTGACACTTTTATTCCTTGTACCCGCCGCTTCTGGTCTCAGCGCCCTGCTGCTGCCCCTGCGGCCCAGCGAGCGGCCCAGATGCAGGCCATCAAGGGTGTGGTGGTGGGAGACGGAGCTGTAGGTGAAACTTCCTACTGATCAGTTACACAACCAATGCATTTCCTGGAGAATATATCCCTACTGTCTTTGACAATTATTCTGCCAATGTTGTGGTAGATGGAAAACCGGTGAATTTGGGCTTATGGGATACAGTTGCTCAAGAAGATTATGACAGATTATGCCCCCTACCCTATCCGCAAACAGATGTGTTCTTAATTTGCTTTTCCCTTGTGAGTCCTGCATCATTTGAAAAAGTCCGTGCAAAGTGGTATCCTGAGGTGGAGCACCACTGTCCCAACACTCCCATCATCCTAGTGGGAACTAAACTTGAACTTAGGGATGATACAGACACGACTGAGAAACTGAAGGAGAAGAAGCTGACTCCCATCACCTATCTGCAGGGTCTAGCCATCACTAAGGAGATTGGTGCTGTAAAATACCTGAAGTGCTCGGCACTCACACAGCGAGGCCTCAACAGTGTTTGACAAAGAGATCCAAGCAGTCCTCTGCCCACCTCCCGTGAAGAAGAGGAAGAGAAAATGCCTGCTGTTGTAAATGTCTGAGCCCCTCGTTCTTGGTCCTGTCCATTGGAATCTTTGTACACTTTGCTCAAAAAACGGTGGAACCTTCACACTCAATGCCAACTTTTTGTTACAGATTAATTTTTCCAGAAAACCATTTTGAACCAATCGGTAAGTTTAAGGTTTTGTTTGTTCTAAATGTAAGAGTTCAGACTCATATTCTATTAAAATTTAGCCCTAAAATGACAAGACTTCTTAAATTCTTATTTTTCAAAAGCCCCATTCTTGCTCAGATTAAGAGTTGCCAAAATACCTTCTGAACTACACTGCATTCGTGTGCCAAGAACACCGAACACTAAACTGTGTAAAGACCTTCGTCTTTCAGAAGACTGTAGCTTCTGCAGTTAGGAGATGCAGACACTTGCCAAGTAGTTGTCAGATGCGTGAAGCAGAACAGCCTCCTGAATGAAGCGTTGCCATTTAACTCGTGGGCTGATTTATCAGCCCATTTTCATGAGGTAACATTGTATAATGGAATGGGTGCGACATCTCAGCTCTTTGGATAAGTCTTTTTGATTTCACAGTGAATTTTCTAAAAATTAGTTGGCCAACTTTTGCTGAGATTTTGAACAGAACTCATGTGTTTCCTCTAATGAAGTATTCTGTTTAGTTGTGGGTGTGCTGGGTGGGGTGTGTGTGATCAAAGGACAAAGACAGTGTTTTGATAAAATATTTGAGTAGCAGTTTCTGTTTACGTGAGCTCTATACAAGGTAGTAACTGCAAGATGTTCTTATTCACATTGTGGAAAAGTTTTAGGTGCCTATTATTAAAGTGCTTGCAGGTTAAGAAATGAATCATGGTGGGTCCCTGGATTTTCTGAATATTTACACTCTTCGTATAAACATGAAGTCATTGGCAGTTATACAGGAAAAATAGTTCTTATAGCCCCAAAATATTTCAGGTTACATATTTTCTGTCACTGATTTCCCCTTCTCTCTATAGGAATTATAGAAAAACAATTACTATAAAGCCTTACTAATTTTCAGGATCAATTACTCCATATGAATGTGGATTAAACCATACAAAACATGGTTTATGATTAAGGTGGCATCATATTTTGATCTAATAATCATTAATCTCAATCATGCTCATTGAGATACAAATTAATATTGTGCATATGTATCTATTACCACAGGTCTTATTTCTCAAGCTTACTAACCAGAAAACATGAATGGATTCTGAAACTGTTAGCAGTAGTTAAGTTTACAAACTTACAATCAGCAAGATCTAGGCTCAAATCCCAACTTCCCATAATATTCGCCAATGACTTATTTTTTTTCAAAGTCTCAGTTTCTCTTTTTGTATAATGGTACTTATAACAGTAACTATTTCACAGGGTTGCTATAAGGATTGGAAAAAGTGATGCATGAAAAATGCTTAGTATACTATATGTTAATTCTTATGTTTTATTTCCTTTCCCATTATGAAAAGCATTTTCAAATGTGTATATTCTTTAGTTGTTTTCCACCAGAAAGTTTAAGAAACTTTCAGTTTGATTAATTGGCATTTTTGAAATCCCTTTCATTTGAACTATTTGGAGTATTTCTTTAGGAAAAATTTTCATGGGAGAAGAATGCAAAATAAATATTACTCTAGGCGTGTAGTACTTTAACAAAACAGATAATTTTTATCTACCTCTGCTCCTGAATACAGTCTATTGGTGCAGAGTGTGTGCCTTTTTAGCCTAAAACACACCAAACTTAGATAAGTGCTCTCCGTGACTTATGCTAAGGAAGACAAGAGATATTTGTGAACCTAAAAGGAATTGGACCTATCTCAAGCCTGTTCTTCAGACCTTAACGTATTTTTATTTTTTTAAATCTAAAAGACAAGAAAGATATAGAACTATAGGGGTAAACAGAAAGTCAAGTGTGTAAAGCCAAATAGTGGCAGGACTTAAGCAGTCTTCCAGAGAACAAATCAAATTTATCAATTCACAACTGCAGAGAATTTTGAATGTAGGTGCAAGTTTTCCAAGGCTTTATGTGATTTTTTTTGGCTTTACCACACTCCACCACAGGATTAGGGTCTCATTTCATGTCACCAAAGTTTTATAGTTGAACTCCTATGCCATTTACTTACAACACTTCAATGACAAAACATACTGTATCTTATATTAAAGTGATTTTTGTTTTTACTAGGCTATAGCTTCCTTGAGGACATGGATTATTCCTGATCCATTTATGTATCTATTGTAGAGTCTATCATTGTGCCTTCTAATATTTAAGCTGCTGATCAATGTGTTTCAATGAGTTGGAAATAATATCAATGAGTTATTTGAATTCAGGAAATATGTAGACTTCATGGTACATTGTCTGGCATAGAGTAAATATTTCTCCTCCTTGCAGCTTCTGTGATAGTTTTTGCTATGTGGGTGTATCAGTCCATTTTCGCACTGCTGATAAAGACATACCTGAAACTGGGAAAGAAAAGAGGTTTAATTGGACTTACAGTTCCACATGGCTGGAGAGGCCTCAGAATCATGGTGAGAGGCAAAAGGCACTTCCTAACATAGTGGTGGCAAGAGAAAAATGAGGAAGAAGCAAAAGTGGAAACCCCTGATAAACCCATCAGATCTCATGAGACTTATTCACTATCACGAACATAGCATAGGAAAGACTGGCCTCCATGATTCAATTGTTCAGTAAGAAGGGGTTCTATAAGAGAAGCACTTATGACGTTAGCGACCCTACCCCTGGGTCCCTCTCACAACACATGGGAATTCTGGGAGCTACAATTCAAGTTGAAATTTGGGTGGGGACACAGCCAAACCATATCAGTGGGTGTGCAGGTGAATCCAGATATTCATAAACAAGTTTATATATGGGGATAACAGTACCATAAATCTATATTTATTAAGAATACAAGAATCTTCCATAACCTAAAATGATTTAGATTATTGAAGAAGAGGATCTTATGAATCTCATTCCTTTACAATATTTAAGTGTCAGCAGAGTACTATTAATAAAAAATTATGCCCACTTAAACCCAAATCTTATTTTAAACAATTCACTGTGGAAAATAGAAGATATTTCCAAGATTTCTTTTAATTATGAAAAGTATTCCAAAATCTTGCAGGGGAAGATACAAAATTGTTAGTGGGTTAGGGACTGAAAAATGTCTGTGTGCTTATATTTTGGCATCTTCATCAACCATGGTAAAATAATCAGTATCTTAAATAAAGTGAGAAAAGGAAATGACAGCTATCTGTGTCATTCTCATCACTAGGGGCCTTCTCAGCTCATCACCCTGCCTTCTACTTTACTTTTTCATCCCTAATAACTGTGGCTTACCAGCATGTTCTCTATTACGTCCTTAGGTCCAATTCACAGGCTAAACTTATTCACATCTCACATCAGCTTTTCAGCTCCGTGTACTCCTTAGGAATCTCTCAGAATGTCTTTGCCTTGGCTCTGTCATAGAACAATATTCCTTTTGAAGAAAAATCCTGGCTGGATCCCTGTTATCATCTAGTTCCCTTTCATTTGATGAAATCCTAGATCCCTCTTTTAGAGAAGCATTCAATTGAAGTTGAAATAGAGTAAATTCATCTGTATAAGGTATATGTGAAATGGCTCTTATTCTGTGGCGTCCTGGAAAGTAGTGGTGGCTTTGGTTGCTGTGTGTTTGAAACTAGCTCATCAGGAAGGCAGGTGCCTGATGAAGAATAGAACCCTTTTCAGTATAAACACATTCCTTTAGTGTTATATCAGTGAAACAAGGCTTTGGGAGTAAGAAGTCCTGGGTTCAAGTGCTATGGATGCTGTGGATGCCTTGCCCCATTGCCCCTGGGCCCACCTGAGCTTACCTGCATCTGTGATGAATAGTTTCCTGCAAGCTGATTCTTGCCTCAAGTAGGGCGGCTCTCCACTACTCATCTGAGGGCTTTCACTAGAGCCTTGGGAGCTTACCCTGTGGCTCAGAAGTGCAGGGGAGTTAAGGTCGCCAAGGGCAACCCTCTATCCACGTGGAATGGGACATAGTGGATGGAAACACAGTCATCCAATTCCTGGGTGGGAAAATTCAGAGGCCTACTCCACAAGGTTTCTCAGTAGCTCCCCAGCAAGACTGAGCCCTAGTTGCCACAGTAGTAGTCCATTCATTCATATATCTTTATTGAATTTTTTCTTCCTTGTCTCACTTTCCCTATTCTCTCCTTCAGATTTCTGAGGGTCACTTCTTAAAGAAGCTACCTGAACCCAAGTCTGTCTTGAGATTTGCTTTGAGAAGAACTCAAACTAATACATGATCCTAACTATACACTAACTAGTTTGAGACGTTGAGAAGGTTATTTGATTGTTCTAAGTTTCTTGACCTGTCAAATGAGACAGTTGGACTAAATGGATAATTTTGAACATTAAAATATAAAAATAGTTAAAAGTGATGAATACATTTTTAGGTAGTTTACAGGGTATTTTTTTGTTTGTTTGTAAGGCAGACATTTACTTGTTTGTAGATCACTGAGGCATATTCTTGACATCCTGGGTTTCCTTAGAGCATGATTTTAGAATAACTGCATTAGATGATTTTTAAGGCTCATGGAATTCTGGGATTCCAATCATGAATAAAGATCCTTGAGGAGCTTTCTACCTCCACCCTAATCTCTTAGGCTATTTCCCAAACTCCAAACCCACAAAGATCCAGCTTAGAATCTTTCATCCCCACACCATCTGTGCCTATTACCAATTGGTTGTGCATGTGTGCACACATGCATGTGCACATACGTGCATGTGTATTTCCATATTCCAAAAAACAAATAAGAAATATAATCTCCCGGCTTGTGGCATTCTATTGTTTCCCAGAAATTTTAGTATAAAGAATATAAATTCTGATGATATGCTGGGTGTTGATGGGGGCAAAAAATGTTGACCTCATTTAAAAAATGTTTTTTTACTTTATCATAGGGGGCTTTCAGACTTTTTTTCTTCTATTTCCTATAGAGGAACAATTTAAGTAATATTTTCAGCTTGAATACAGACCATATGTATATGGAACTTATAAATGCAGTTACATACCACATAATGATGTTTTGGTCAACAAGGGACTGCATGCATGACGGGGATCCCATAAGATTATAATACTGTGTTTTTACTGCACCTTTTCTGTGTGTAGATACACAAGTACTTACCACTGTGTTACAGATGCCTGCAGTATTCAGTTCAGTAGCATGCTATACAGGCTCTTAGCCTAGGAGCAGTAGGCTATACCATATAGCCTAGGATTATGTAAGTACACTCTATGATGTTCACACAATGACAAAATCACCTAATGATACATTTCTCAGACTGTATCCCCATTGTTAAGCAATACATAATTATATTTTAGGGAGTCTGTGTGCTGTAAATTTTTTTTTCCAATTTCAAATCTTTGTTATTTATGTAATTCTCAAAAGTTGTTTTCCTGTCTGCACCAAGGTATTTTGACTAGAGTTTTAAAATAAAACTATTTGTCTTAGAAGTATCCATAGGCCTCTTTATTTCCTCCCTTTCCACACTTTTTGCCTGTGCTGGGATCTGAACTTTCATCAGCCTATCTTCTATTATTTTTCTCAGAATACGTCAGTTCATTCCGTTGCCAATCTTCCTAGAGACACTTTCTCCTCATCTAGACCATCGTTTAGCTTGTACAAATACACAGGAATAAAAACCATTTCTTGGTATTTTTACTTTCTGGAGGAATACTTTTTATCTCATTTCCGTTGTTCATCAAGTCTTTGCCTTTGTAATCACATGGTTTTTATTTTTTTTTCTTGAAGATAAATGGAACAGAGAATCAGATTCAAGAATTAAATTTGGAGGAGAGATAGAATAACCTCTACCCAAGTTTCTGACAAATGTACCTATCTAGATAACACGTATACAGGCTCTGTTAGGAAGGATTATTTCTCCTGAAGATAATTCTTAGTGCTGTTAGCTCACCATTTCCTAGTGAACCTGAAAGTCAGTGAGAAAGAAAATAATTTATATAACCGTCACAACCCGGAAACAGAGTCCCATATTTCCAGGGGTGTGGATGGTTGCAAATTCCTTTTACAAGTTCTGTATTTACCCAGCAATTTTCTATAGTGTTTCAATATTTTGAAATAGAGGACAGTCTAATGGCTATTTAACATAGCAGAGAACAGAGAGAACACACATTTTCCTTTCCTAGGTGGTTTTCCTTGAGCCATTCAGCTGCACATATAGCCCTTTACGTTGTTTTGTTTCTGAATGCCAACTTTTCTTTCCTAAGGGGTGCACCCTACCACATCACTTCATCTCAATATAATCTGCACTCAAACCATGAAGGCTGAGGAATGTGTCTCTTATCCCCTACACCTGAGTATAAGTTCCTACAAGGCAGGAACTCATCTGTCAGAACTGAGCAGCACGTTGGGTGTGTGATAGGTCCCTAATAGGTGCTGGTTGAATAAATCACCAAATTACTAGAACACATGTTTTAGACGTTGCTTTTGGATGAGGCTTCATTAGGAACTTTCTGAATGTCTCAAGATATTGTGATTTGGCTGCTTTTCAGAAACTTGGAATAGCTTTTTGGTTGTTTCCAGTTCCATGCATCAATTATGTATCTGAAGTTTCTCTCCTACTGTGCATGGCTTTGATGGCACCCCAAGTTTTGAGCTTTCTGTATTTCGTTGTCAGATTATAATACTGTATCTCATTCTTGGTCTGGCCTGTTCACCTCAGACACTGATGTGAAAAACAAAATCCTTTTCATTTACTTTCCCTCTGTCATGTGCATCCCCATGTTTAGCTGTGGTCATGTCGAGTATCAGCCCACACCCTGCAGAGATGACCAAAGGTCCTGTGATAGGTGCCAGGGCAGTGGTAAACTCACCACAGACTAGTCTGGGGACATTCCAGGGAGGGGAACAACTATTTTCCCTCCTGTTTTAGTTCCAAGATCCTGCAGCAAATGAAGCCAGCATGCCTCTGCATTGTGTTTTATATTATTTCTGGGCAGGAATCACTATGATGTGTTATCCCTGTTAGCACCAATGTTCCTAACAGTTGGCCAGCATATAGCCATAGGTAGAAAAGTTGACAAGTTTCATATGTTTTTCTTCACTTTGCCTCTTCCTATTTTTCCCTTCTGTGGACTTTTCTCGGCACATTTCTTTCTAAATTGTTTTCGTTCTTTATTATCTTATCACGACATCTATTGAAAGATGTTGCCAGGTCAAGATCTTAGGGTGGTGGATAACCCCTAGAGCCTCCTTAGAGTCACATATTCAGTTAGGATCTGCTTTAGGGTATTAGGAATAGTGAGGTAGCCCCAGTAAAATTTCTACATTTGTTCTCTTCCTGTTTCACTAGCCACCTCCAGTTTGTCTTTACAGATGACTGTGAGGTTGGACAGGGCCTTTCCCTTCTCATTTGCTATATTTTCAGATGGTGACGGATGACAACAATAAAAATAATTATCTGCTGCATGCTAAATCGGTGCCAGGCAATGTTCTTTGTCTTGTACATAGATATTTTATTTAACTCCCACAGTGACCATATGGATTAAGTGTTATTCACCTAATTTCTTTAGAGGCCTCTAGTTGCTGTTCTTGTATGCTTACTAACCTGATATTTATGGCCCCTTCCTGTCATAATATGTCGATTTTCTGAGCCTTAATAACTTTCCCCTCATTTTAAAAATATCACATTTATTATATACCCTATTAATTGATGGAGATGAAGAGGATTATTACTATTTATGTTATTTCATTTTCCCATTCAATGATTTCGATGCTGCCTATAAATTCAAGGTGGCAAAGGGAAAAAAAGGTAAAATGCATGTGGAACCGTTTCTCTTTTGTTTTTCTCCTTTCTAAGGATACCATCCTTCCATATTTTCTCCTTACTCCTGTTTTTCTCATCCCTCTCACCCTAGCCCTAACTGCAGCTTCACATCCCTCTCACCCCCTTTACCAACTTGTCTTTTAAACATGTGACTTACTGCTAATTCCCTCGGTTAGTTGATGAATACTCTCAGGAACAGAGCAGTGAAACAACTTGCCAAGTTTACAGAAATTAGAAATACGCCAGAGAAATATATGGGCATTGGAGCTTATCCTTTGTGAGGCCCAGCTCAAATCTTACTGCCTCTGTGGAATCTTCCCTGAGTCCCCCTCCGCTTTCTCTAAAGGCAGAGTTATTCCCCCTGCCTCTGTTATCTTGGGTCACTATATATATCCCCCAGCACAACATTTATCTCAGGATATTATGACTGGAGGTTTATTTCTTTTCTCTGTTAGATTGTGAGACTCTTTATGGCAATCACTATGACATTTCTCCATGTATACCCTGGGTCTAGAACAGTGCTTGGCACATGGTAGATGCCAGATAAGAGTTTGTTCTGTGACAACTACATCCATGCTGCACAGTTGGCTGCTATTGTATTCTTGTTTTCTGAGGTCCTGCTTCATATGGATCTTGTTGTTTAGTGGGCAGTGATCAATAGAGTAGGGTAATCCTATTGACTCAGAAAAATATATAAGACAATGTGGGTCCTAATCACAGAAGTTTTATAACAAAGATTCCAATTTTAAGTTCGAAAGCTTCAACTAAAACCAGGCCTAAATCATTCATGGAATCTCCTTTACAAAAACTATAAAAGGAGTTTAAACATGAAGACCAAATTTAAAATGAAGAGTTTCATATTTATGGCTGAGGTTTTCTCAAGGCAGTGAGAATTTTGTGTACACACACACGTATTTGCTGCTAGAGGTTATTTTATGTGGTTATGTAGGCTTTCGATTTACATATAAAATATTACCAAATTGTTTACATCCATGAATTTGTGACATAATTTCAGCTTGACCTGTGGTAACTTTCCCCATGTAGGCACAGAAGGAGACACACCTTTATCCCAGATTTTAACTCATAAGCAGAAGTAACTTGCTAAAGGAGTCAGGAGAGAAGAAAAAGAGAAATAGCTATGCTTCTAATAGAAGAGAGCAAGCAAACGTTGATTTAATCAATTGATTTAGTTTTAAGTAAGAGAACAGATGTTTTCTGTTAGGTCCCTGGTGAAAATTCAGTAGGCGCCAGTGATACTTTAGGATCAGTGGCTTCTGATAAAATTGAAAGAAAGGTCTGGGCTGTTCTTGCTAAATGGGCTTTTGCACAGCAGGCCTGTCACTGTGGTATGACTTTTCTCTTGAACGGGAGTTAGCACTCCCTTCCTTGTGCATTCATGCTTACTTTCTCACTTCCCATTCACATTTGCCTTGCATCCCTTAGAATATGATATTTTGCTACTCTTACGTTGTTTGAAAATATTAATTGGAAAGAATTATATTTTCTACCTATTTGAGTCCAGTTTTCTGTCCCAGCAGAAACACTTATAGTGTCTTTTGACTTTCCGTGGGTTATAACCTTTCTGAGTGGTTGAGTTTCAGGAGTGGGTGAGATGTCTGTCTCCTGATGCTGTCTTCATAACCTACCCAACTCCCTGAGCCTTGCTATGGAAACAACCAGAACCCCACTCACTAAAACTTCAAAGGCTTCCTCTGAAGGTTTCTGAGTCTCCATTCTCCAAAATGCCAGCTTTTCTTTTTCAGCTTCTTGAAAATCACTTGCAGTAATATGAGCCTTTTCCTTCTCATAAACACTCCAATTATGTTCATATTCTTGAAATTTCGTAGCTGAACATAATTTGTTCCTATGCTTCAAGTAATACCTCATCTTCATTGTCACTCCTTTTTCCCAATTAGCCACCCTCTCACCCATCACTTGACAAACAACTCTGCAAGACTCTAAACTCTTTATGATTAGGAAATGTCCTATAAGATTTTAGGTCCTAGGCAGAGCATGGCTCCTAGTATGTCAGCAAATGTTTGTTGAATGAAGACAGATGTTTCTTTCATACTGACTTATTAAAACCCGTGTTTAGGCAGGCTACCTTGGTCCATCATAAACGTCCTACTTAAGAAATCAAGATAGCTAGATAGTCAAAGAAATGTGTTCCTTGGTCATATTTTCCATAATGAATTCTCCTCTTATTGGCCATGCATTTTGCATTATCTAATCTATACATCCATTTGGTCTATACATCCATTTGCTTACCATCAGTCTGTATTGAGCAACAACAATAATATCTAGAACTACACAATGATTATTCTTGCAAAATAAACTAGCCTTGAAAACTAATATAGCACTAGCATGCTAAGAAGGAATTTTACCGTCTAGTAAGTCTATTCTATGGGAGATGAAATAAGTGACCACTTTTTGATATCTGCCCAGAATAGATTGGCACCTACTTGGAACATTATTCTATTGCTTGACTAAATTAAGTGGAAGGATGATAAGGATACTATTATGACACATGGAAACTCTTCCATAGTTTCCTTCCCAATGCATCTGTAATGGGTTTGTTCCGATTTTCACCCCTCAGTGTCATCCTTTATCCTGTCCTTCAAACTAAAACATCTGCGGTAGGAGCTGGCGAGTGTTTCTTAAGCAGGAGTTCGAGGAATGCTTATTTGAATGGAGTTGACTTCTTGCTCTCCCCCAGGGACAGAGGTGTTGATGGTTTCCATCAGTAATGACCTCATAGGAAAGATGTGTGCATTGCAAAAAGCACCACTACACCTGGCACTGATTCATGAAGAAGCTAGAGCCTGAGTATAGGTGATCGCCAAGACAGAACTACTCTTTCTCCAATCTGGGCAATTCGTTGGCCCCAATCTGGAAGCACATTGGGAAAAAACATAGCAGAGTCTGTTTAAACTGTATCATCCCTCTGGAAACAGAGACACCTGATTTCCCAGGCTTTATTTAATATTTAATGTGCATAATTTAGAAATGTTAAAATAACTTTTCTCCTGCTTAAAAAACTCACAGTTAGTTACTTATTAACTCTGCACGCATTCACTCATTAACCAACCCACATTTGGCAAACAACCGCTATGAGGTAAGCACTGTGTGAGCAACAGAAATACAAGGGAGAGGAAAACCGGAATTGCCCCTGCCCTCATGAAGCCTTTAGTCTGTGAGAGAGATAGATCTCAATCAAATAATCACACAATTGTACAAACGGAGATAAATATGATGAAAGGAAAGAATGTTCTAAGAAAACATCTAGCAGAACAACTTTCATATAGTTTTGGGTCAAGGAAGGATTGTCTGAGCTACAACATTTAAAGGAAGAATGGAAGTTAACCAGATGAAGTGGGTAGAGAGGATAACTTTCCAGGCATAGAGAGCAATATGGGCTATGAGACCCTGTTGCAGAAAGCAGCATGGAATATTCAAGAAGTGTGTAAACATGGTTCAGATGAATCTTGAAGGGTATGCAGGTACAAACCATTGTTCAATCAAGTTTAGCCTAAAGCTGCCTCCTTACATGTTTTAAGTGTGGCCTAAAGGTTTTTCTGTACACTGTGAACTAGAACAAGTAGAGGTGTAAACAGGCCGTAGCCTACACTTGTGCCAATCATCGAGTTTTGGCCAATCAAATGTAGCCAACTGCTCAAACTGTGTTCAAATAAGGCAAACCCCAACCTGTAATTAATCCAGCTGTTTTTGTACCTCACTTCCTTTTTCTGTACATCACTTTCCTATTTCTGTCCATAAATCTTCTTCTACCACATGGCTGCGCTGGAGTCCGGAGCCTACTCTGGCTTGAAAGTCTCCCCGATTTGTGAATCATTCATTGCTCAATTAAACTCCTTTAAATATAATTCGACTGAAGCTTTTATTTTATCACCATGCAGATATTTATTCTCTTCCTATTTTTCTTTTATAACCTGGCTTGTTTAAACTCCATTCCAGTGTCCCACTAAAAAGTCCAACTCCAAGTGGAGGGCAGGGAGACTTGATGAGCAGATGACCTTGGCTGAACCTTTGCCTCTTTCTAGCACTGTGTAGGTGTCAGTCCCTGAACTTATGAACGTCCTAAAGCAATAATAAAACCTTTCATAGAATGAGGAATACTAGGCAGAGAGGAAATCTAGCCAATTAGCTTATCTATTTTCTTTCTATTGTTGGGGCTGGATCCTTAGAAAGAACAACTTCTCTACAAAGGGGACATCATATTCTTTTAGGCAAGAAGAACTGTAGCTCATACCTTTTGTTCCAGTATAATATATAATATATATTATAAGTCCTTCCCTTTTGTTACAGTTAGAGTTATGGTTACCTTTTCTTTTGTGAGATTCTCAGTAAAAACAAAGACCAGCAAGTAAAAAACTCCTGCAAAAAATTGGTTGCAAAAAAAATGTATCTAAATCTTCACTCCTCCATGTATGCACACATTCTGCAATAAAATTTTGAAGCTCCTGTCATCATGAAGTGGAGCCTATTTCCCCACAGTTTGAATCTGGGCTGTCCTCATGACTTTCTTTAGCCAATAGAATGCTGTGGAAGTGACTGTACTGAGTTCTGAGCCTGGACTTCCAATGGCCTTGCATAATTCTGCCCTTCTTTCTTGGAATCCTGCCCCTGCATGATAACAAACGCAGGCTGTTGTGATGGAGAATAAGGGACCATGTGGAGCAAAGCTGAACTGTCCTAGCTATCTCCCTGTACCAGCCAATCAGTCCATCTCCCTGGCCTGCTAGTTGACTATAGATGCTTGTGCAAGCCAAGATCACTTAGCTGAGTCTGGCATAAATTGTACCAGCAGACTCATGGGCTAAATAAATTGTTCTTTTAAGTCACTAAACTATAGAATAATATTATGCAGAAAAATATTTCCTAGTGATTACCTATTTTTATTTTATTTAATAATTTATTAAGTTATTCACAAAGTATTTGAGTACTTTCTATATGCAAAGCACTGTTTTAGGCTTTAATGAGATAAGTGAATAAATAGATATAGTCTCTGTCTGCAAAGGAATGTGATACAACTCCTGAGAGGAAGTGAACAACTGCAAAAGCAAGGTGAAGAAGTGCTAAATTTGGGCCAAGTTGCCCAATAGGCGCAATTTTAAATGTAGCTTTAAAATTTAAGTGTAGCTTTAAAATCCTCTAATTGATTGATGAAAGACTAGCCTCCAGCAGGAAAAAACAAGATGGTGTGATCTGAGAACAGGGGAAGCTTCTTTGAAATCAGTTTCAAGTGGTGTGGTCTGAGGGTCTTTACTGAAAGCAGTAGGCCATCTCAGCTATTCACTTTCTTCTGCTGAGAATAGAAGTAGGACCTACCAATAGAATGCTGTCTTTCATTGTTATATAATTAGAAACAAATATTGCACAGTACACATAAAATAATAATGCCTACAGAATTTTTAATACATTGAATATATTTTTGTAAAGATCTCACCACTGTAAATTTTATTCTGAGTTTATTCCAATACAAGTTCTAAGACTTTTTGCCTGAGCATATAGTCACCGATTTCCAACAAATGCCAAATAGCTCAGTATTTCCAAACATAGTATTTCAAGAGCTGTTTTCAAGAACTGGTATTTCAAGAACTGTTTTCGGTGACCAATGTTTCTTTCTAGAGCAATGTTGAACACATAATAGAGACTCAAAAATAATTGTTAACTTGTATTAAACTAAAAGCTTTCCATTTTGTTAGGAATGAAGGAATAAACAGTTGACTAATTTCTTGTTAGTTTTGTGTTTCAGTAATCTCTTACATAACCAAATGGCTAAAGAATAAAATATTCTGGCTAAATTAAATAGTCTGACTAGCAAAAGACTAATATTTACTTTATATATTATGGGTTTACTTAATAAAAATAATAAAAATTCAGTAGTAATGCTAACACTAAAATAATAATTGAGTTTGCTTTTTTTATAGTTATCAAATTTCATTGCACAATATAGTAAGCAATATATAGTATTATTGAGATTTACGGATGTTTGAGTTCCATACAAATTTCTTACAAAAAGCTGTTACCTATAATATTATACCCATGCAATCAGAAATCAAATTATAAGCAATCCTGTATTTTTCACTTTTATCTTACTGTTTTAAATATTAGTGCACTAGTGTTTAATGGTCAAAATGGGAAGTTAATGTGTAATGTAGAATGTCCCTTCCTGCATTGAAAAGAATTTATTTTCTCCAGATGTGTAACAAGTCTTTTATATATTTTACTATTTTGTCTGTAACCATGTAGTCATGCATACCACAAATGTCAGGTGCTTTGAAAAGATTCATTTGGAATTAAAACAGTCTAACAGAGAGAGAGAGTTCAAATATAACTTAGCAGAGAGAAAGTCAAGTCAAATTATATACATCCAGCTTAAAATTCAGGCCAAAGCAAAGAGATTTCCAACATTACAGCATGGGTTTGCAAGAAAGGCTTTTCAGTGAGATAGATTTCTCTTCTTTATGAAGGCAGGAGATTAAGAGATATGTTATTTTGTATAGAACATTTACGATAAAAAATGTAAGTGCTGTACTTAAGTTAGTACACGGGATAAGACTTCAGGAACTCTAGATTTAAAAAATGTACCAAGGTCATTATTATCTCTATTTTCAAGTTAAGGTAAATCAGAGACAGCTGGAAACTTCGTTCAGCCTGAGGAAATATTCAACCAACTAACCAAACAACTGCTTAGTGAACTATATTCCTAAGATGTTTAACATTGTGCATGTTCCTAGGTTGCTCTCAAACCACAGGAGGTTAGTACAAAGTCAAAGACCTTCAAGTACCATCAATGGCATTTAAATTTAGCTGAATTAAAAGGTGTATATGACTGAGCCGCTAAGTAGCTGTGTGTCTTTGAATAATTTCTTTAGCCTCTCTGGCGTTCTAAAATGTGGCAACATTTTGGTTTATAAAATTATAAATCTTTTTGGGTTCCACAAATCATCAAAGTCAAAATATGGCCTTTATTTTCTTTCAGACCAAGTATCCTTTTGAGACAATAAAGGAAATAATGTATAACCAGGCTGTGCAGTTATTCCACGTGTGAATATATCACCTAGCATGACCTTGAGGATAGGTAAGTCTTCAAAACATGATTGTTGATTATTTGACATCTTGTGATTTATTTCTCTTAGCATTTAAAGAGCATTATCAGGCCTTGTCCAAGCCATCTAGAAGAGCTGATCTGGCTTTTGCTTTTCTTCAATGGTCACATAATCTATCTAATTAGAATCCAAACAGATTACTGTCATTGTTTACTATCAGTGGTTTTAATTAGAGTTCTTTAATAGGTATTTTATTAGCGCACATAATGCGACTTTGCCTTTTAGAAAAAAAATGCCTAGGAAGCTCTTGGGGTATAATACTGGTAACATTACCATGACATGGAAAAAACTTTGTGCAGGACCCCTGTATGCTATAATAAGTTAACAGGGGAATAATAAAATGACAGTGTTTAAGATATGAAGTTTTTTTCACATGTTATCTAATCTGTTCTTTGACATAAGTCTGTAAGGTAGGTATGATTATCTCCATTTTACAGGGGAGGAGAGATCTTGCTCATTGATTCACATATTCAGTACATATTATGCACTAAAGCTCCATTTTACAGAAATCTTGCTCATTCATTCACATATTCAGTACATATTTATGAAATTTCCACACTAGGCCCAGCACTGCTCTAGGTATTAAGGAGAAAACAGTAGACGGATGGGAGGAGAATAAGATTCTTCTTTCCCTGGAGGTGCATTCTTGGGAGTGGTGGTGACAGGAGATGTAAGCATTAAACAAGTAAAAAATACATAAATCATTTCAGATACTGTTAAGTGTTATAAAGACAATGACGGGTAATGTGAAGATTGACTGAGACATGGGGTGGGGGACAGTGCACATCAGAGGAGGACCTCCATGAAAAGGTGACATTTGAGTTGAGATCTAACTTTTCTAAGCAGAGCAACTAGGATTTAAACCTATGATTCTTTTAGTGTTTGATGCTTTATTATGTTTATTTTAATAACATCTGCTATGGATATTAATATACTTAAATGTCTATATTAATAACAGAAAATTTAAGAATCGTATAAGTACCTATATCCTTCCTCCTCTTGAGATTGTTATTAACGCCAAATAAAAAATGCAAAGAATGTAAAAGCTATAAAGAATTAGGTACACTAAAGCTTTACCCTTATTGTGTGCCTTGTAGTCTGGTATGAGATGCATGCTGAGAGAGAAAAAACAGTAAAGGAATGAAATATGCATGCAATTTCAACCAAAAACAGAAGTTTAGTGACTTCACCATAGATAAAATGTATTAAATACCATTTTTTGTTTTTCTGCCTCAAAATGTCTTGAAGAAACAGCCTTTTAAAGACAAAAGTTAGTATCAATAATCCACAACCCCATTAAAATGGTGCTTATTATTTTGTTCTTTCAATTTTATGATATTTTAATAAAATTAAATTCATATTTGTATGTACATTTTGTTTTTTACTCAACATTTTTGAGTCAAAAATCTTACTTTTATTACTGACAAAATTTAGGCTAGAGTAATAGCATAATATACAGCCCAGTGAACTTTCTAATACTAAACTTCAGAATAAGAAAAAATAATTTTAACAGTCAAGGCCTGTCAGAGTTTTTTTTAAAAAAACCTTTATTTTAGGATCAGGGGCTACGTGTGCAGAGTTGGTACATGGGTAAATTGCATGTTGCTGAGCTTTGGTGTATGAATGATCCATCTCCAGGTAGTGAGCGCAGTACCTGGAGATAGTTTTTCAACTCTGGCCCCTGTCCCTCCCTCCTTCTTCCCTCTAGCAGTCCCCCGGTGTCTGTTGTTCTCACCTTTACATATGTACTAGTCCATTCTTGCACTGCTATAAAGAAATGCCTGAGATTGGGTAATTTATGAAGAAAAGAGATTTAATTGGCTCATAGCTCTGCAGGCTGTGTAGTAAGCATGATGCTGGCATCTTCTAAGCTTCCAGGGAAGCCTCAGGAAACTTATGATCATGGGGGAAGGTGAATGGGAAGCAGGCACATCTTACATGGCTGGAGCAGGAGCAAGAGAGAGTGGGGAAGGTGCTATACACTTTAAAGCAACCATATATTATGAGAACTCGCTCGCTATCATGAGGATAGTACAGAGGGGGATGGTGATAAACCATTCGTGAGAAACCACTCCTAGGATTTAATCACCTCCCAGCAGCCCTCATCTCCATCATTGGGGATTACAGCTGAACTTGAGATTTGAGCAAGGACACAAATCCAAACCACATCATTACACATGTGTACTCAATGCTTAGCTCCCACTTATAAGTGGGAACATGTGGTATTTGGTTTTCTGTTCCTGTGTTATTTCACTTAGGATTATCACCTCCAGCTGCATCCATGTGGATGCAAAAGACATAATTTCATTCTTTTTAATGGCTGCTTAGTATTCCATGATGTACAGGTACCACATTTTCTTTTTCCAATCCACCATTGATGGGCATCTAGGTTGACTCCATGACTTTGCTGTTGTGAATAGTGCTGTGATGAACATACAAGTGCCTGTGTCTTTTTGGTAGAACAATTTATCCTTTAGGAATATACCCAGTAATGAGATTGCTGGGTTGAATAATAGTTCTGTTTTAAGTTCTTTGAGAAACCTCCAAACTGCTTTCCACTATGGCTGAGTTAATTTACTTTCCCACCAATGATATATAAGCATTCCCTTTTCTGTGCAACCTTGCCAACGTCTGTTATTTTTTGTATTTTTAATCATAGTCATTCTGACTGGTGTGAGATGGTATCTCATTGCGGTTTGATATGAGTCTTTTCTCATGTTTTTTAAACTTCATGGAACATAATCTGTAATGGCATAGAAGAGTTCATCATACAACTATACACTATTGAATTTAACGGTTCCTCATGTTGAACATTTAGCTTCATCCAATTATTTTGGCATTTTAAATAATGTTGAAATGATTATCTTCATACATATTTGTTTGCAGGATAATGTTCTTAGGGGAGATTTCTAGAAGTGAAATGAGTGTCAAAACAAGGAAAATTCTCATAGTAAAAAATGTGAACATTTCATTCACAAAGTTTTTGTGCAGAAGTTGCTGTGTGGTTTTAGGCTCTCTTGCAAAGCCAAGTTTAACATCCTGCTTCATCCTGTGCTACTTTGAGTGATAGAATCACAAGTAAAACTCTCTTCCCAGTGGGAGCTAAACTTATCAAGTCTGATGGTTATTTGTCTAATATTATGTTAATAATACCTGTTTAAACCAACATTTGAGTCCATGTCCAATGGTAATTGATATTCACAGAGTAATACTGAAACATGGCAAAATCCGAATCAGTCATCAAAAATGAATAAATTATGTTCAGTAGGGTTTTTTATTATGCATTTATAATAGTGTGTGTTATATAGAGAGAGTTGTATTCACAATTTTCTATATCTTTAAAAATAAAAGTTCTTTTGTGTCTATATGGTAACCTTTTATTACTCATAATAAATTATCCCTGAATTTAGCCCCTAAATATATGTTTAACAACAGAGTTTATTACATAGTATAATGTATTTTATTCCTACATCATGAAGTAGAAGGGGAGTATTGGATGAGTCATACCTCTACTCTATGCCATTTTACTTTTCCCAAAATAAACTTTTATCAACTTTGTTTAAAACATTATTTATATTAAAGCCTGTCTGAATAGACATGGAGCCTGTCCGGTAGCCTTAAGGGATTAGCAAATTATAATTTAGCTGAAATATGACAATTTTAGCAGATCAGTGTTCCCCTCTGGAGGCTAAAAATATGCATCAAACTACACTAAGAAGAGGGATGTTTATTTGAAACTCATCCAAACAATCTGAAACCCCTACATGGAAATCTTGAAGAAAAGATTTTTCCACAGATTTCTACTCTCTTCTTTCTTACTTTTAGATGTTCTAGGAAAATAGTATTAAACAATCTATTCAGCTTTGCTGCCTGGAGTGAAAACAGAGAAGCAAATGTTGTTAATGAGGGAAAGAAAAAGAGAAGGGGAAATATCTACTAGAAGTAATTTGAATTTGGCTGATATTTATATGCAAAAGAAAAATGAAAGACAGAATATTGTACCTTAAATGAGATATATTTGGAATCATTTTGGAGGTATAAAATTGAACTTAACGTACAAGATGAAATAAAAGCATACCAAATTATCCAGTATCACCTTCATTCTTTATCCATTTGCATTAGGCAATGGTAAATGCGTATTTCATTCATTGAGCTTATCTCCAAGTGTAGCTAGAGGAGAAAAAGTTTCCTTTCAAATAATCTATTTTATATTCCAGATTTCTTTCAAAGTCCAAATTGAACAAAAGTTTAGTTCTTAAAGGTAGGTCATGTGGTCTGATGTGGGGTTTTGAATTTCGGTTTTCTGCTTTTTGATTTGGGACCTCAATCCCTCTCTTTATAAATGATAGAATTGGAATACATAATTTATCTTTAAGATCACTTCTACCCCCTTTTTTTAAGAAAATTAAAACCCATAAATTTATAGTCACTTGATGTATCTCTTCTGCTTTTTGTCTCCTTCCCCGTATTTTTAAATTTGCCATTGCTTGAGTGTTTGATTCTTCTACAGAGGTAGAAAAACAAATTAACTTGCATCCTCTCTGCTCTATTAATTTCTGATGTACTTGAGGGTGGATACTGTCTTTTGTTTTTTCTGTACTTTCCCAAAAGTCAATCATTTTTCTGCATAGAGGAGTTTCTAGCCCTGTTTTTAATTGACCAGTGTCTTTAGAAGCTCCTCATGGAATATTATAAAGGAGTAAACAGAGGCATATGTATGATCATTGAGTCTCCACTGCTTTTCATGTCTGTGTGGTGGGCTCATGAGGTCATACATCCAAATTCTAAATATTAGAAAGGCCAGAGTCTTTATTCTCAGTTTCTTAGAGTATTTCTATCAAACTCAACACATCACCCCTTTGGGATTTCCATCAGGAGGTAGGAGAAGTGCTCATGGTTTTTTTTTAAAGAGGTATAAATTTGATCTCATTTGACATTGCCAGCCTCCAAAACTGTATTCCGTAAGGAAGCCTCTACCTTGGTGTGGGTGTTTTCCCTGGGGTCACTGAAGGACAGAGCTGTGATTAATCATGCTTGCCACTAGAGGTCAGTGCTTACCATTCACAGAGTGAATCTAATACAACGGCCTTTGGACTCCTGAAGACCAGCGTTAAAAGAGTATTTGAAATTTCTTTGTGCTGTTAGTTGAGACTAATGGACTCTGGGTCATTATGGATTGTGTATTCTATGCAGGCTCTATTAGGAATAATTCAAAATGATAATTATATTTTCAAGTATTATTTAGTATTATTTCCATTCCTGGTTATATAGATCAACTGTTTCAGAAATTAACAAGTTTTTGCTCTATAGAATATCTCAGTGGTCTTTAGGTTTTCCCACTTTCTCCTTTTTCAAAATGTTATAATCGGCATCAATCAATAAGTAGGGTGAGTAAAGGTAGAGAATAAGGTGGTGGTATTTGAGGTACTTTGATAAGGTTCTTCTATTCTTACCTAACTTAAAACATTTCTTCACTTTTCTGGTACAGAGGCTTCTCATTCTATCATCAGGCATTAGTCCTCTTAAATCAAATCATTTAGCTATAGTTCTTTTTACTACAAATATTTATTATTTGCACATAATATGACAGGGACTGTGTTTTGATTTTAAGCTTCAATAATTCACTTATTTTAAATATTATCTGAATGAGGTCCTGCTGAGAAATGGATTCCAGTTTATATTTATTTGATAGAGCTCACTTGGCTGTTTAGTTGTACTTCAGTGAGCTGGCTTTCTAAGTTCAGCCTTGGTTCAGCCTTCACTATAGAGGTAAGGCTGTTAACATTTGTTGAACACCTACTGTATGTAAAGTATTTCTTGTATATAGTATCTCATTTAATGCTCACGGCAACCCCTGAAGTAGGAATTGCTTATTATCTCCATTTTACTGATGAGGAGACTCAGCTTCAGAGTTTAAATAACTTGCTCAAGATCACACACAGCTTATGAGGGAAAGGGCTAGGATTTGAATCTACGTCGGCTCTTCTCCAAAGCCCATGTTTTTTTCCCTAAGTGTTAGGTTGCCTTATGTGGTATTCATAGTAAAGTTGCTGCCCTCTTCCCTTCCCTCTTACCAACTCTCTTTCCCCTTCCAGACATCTTTGCATCAAATATGTTCAGGATTTCATGACTTATAATTTTTACTATTTTAACCTGCTATTCTAATGAGAAAGTGACCTGACTCCAATATATTTGTTAGTGTAGTTTAGTGTTAGTTACAGAAGATCTGGCATTGAGTTAGGGTGTTTGATCATTATAGTGCCTCTCCAAGTCTCCTTACTGTTAACTGAAACTCTGAAAGCTGAGGGCCCTTGTAGCATAGATTGGGTAGCTTAACCAACAGAAATTTATTTCTCACAGCTCTGGAGGCTGGAAAGTTTAAGATCAAGGTACCAGCAAGGTAGCTTTCATTCTGAGGTTTCTTCTTGCTGTGTGCTCACATGGTGAAGAGAGAAACAGAGGAAACAAACTATCTGGTGTCCCTTCTAATAGGGACAACTTCTAATAGGGACACCTTCTAATAGGGACACATAATTTCATCATGACAGTCTCTCCTTCATGACCTCATCTGAACTTTACCTCCCAAGGACCCGTTTCCAAATACCATCACATTGGAGGTAAGGGCTTCAGCATATGAATTTGAGGGGGACACAGTTCAGTCCATAGCATCTTTGAATATTAAATTGCAGTGATTTTTCCTCATCCAAAATATGGGGAGGGAAGCTTTGGAAGGTGAAATGTTAGACAAGCATGTTATTTTTGTTATCATACTTTACACTTCTGTAGAATTCTGGGTGCACTGATATAGCGATTCTACTCCACTAGGCACTGAGCTTCTTGAGAGATTGGGCCATGCATTTGTATATGACCAACAACTACAGATTAAATGGCACGTGAATGTTGAATGAGTCAGTAACCCTCTCAGGACTAATGCTACCCAATCTGCCTTTCTGGAGTGGTTTAGGGCTGTGGGGGTTATTCCTAGGCTTCTTGTTACTCTTTTCAATTTTTCATATTCTCTTTTTGGTTTCCGAACTGAAGTCAGGTTTGTTGAAGTATACTTTACATACAGTAAAATTCACAGTTTAAAGTGTACAGTTTGATGGGTTTTGATAAATGTATTCAGTCATGTATACTCTGTTTGCTACCACAATAAAAAATTGAATATTTTCCTCACCCCTAAAAGTTTCCTTGTTCTCCTTTGTAGTCAGTTTCCTTCTTCTACACCTGTCCCCTAGCAACTACCAATTGAATTCCTGAATATAGTTTTGACTTTTCTATGTCATGTAAATATAATCACATACTGTGTTGCCTTTTGGATCTGGCTTATTTTTTTGAGATTCACCCATGTTTTTGCATGTATCAATAATTTACTTCTTTTTATTGCTAAGCAGTCTTTTATTGTATAGATATGCCACAATTTGTTCATTCAGTAATTAATAATATTTGAGTTGTTTCCATTTGTTGGCTATTTTAACAGAGTTATTATACATTATCTGTTGTGGACTCAATGTTTATATATCTCCAAAATTTATATGTTGAAGCCCCAATCTCTAAAGCGATGGTCTTTGGAAATGGAGCCTTAAGGAGGTAATTAAGTTTATATGAGGTCCTGTGGGTGGGGTCATCACAATGGGATTAGTGTCCCTATAGGAAGAGACACCCAATAGCTTGCTTTCTCTCTTTACCATGTGAGTACATATTGAGAAGATAGCCAACTACAAGGCAAAAGAAGAGGCCTCATAATGAAACTTACCTTGCCTGCCCCTTGATCTTGAAGCTCTCAGGCTCCAGAACTCTTAGAAATAAAATTCTACTGTTTAAGCTGGCCAGTCTATGGTATTTTGTTATAACAGTCTGAGCAGACTAATACAATATCTATGCACAGGTCTTTGTTGAAGCATATAATTTTATTTCTTTTGAGTAAATACCTAGGAATGAGAATCCTAAAACACATGATAAGTTAGATATATGTGACTTTAGAAGAAACTGACACACGGTTCTCCAAAGTGGCTGTATGATTTTGCATTTCCCTTAACAGTGTATGAGAGTGCCCTACATCCAAGTCACCATATGGTATGATAAGTGTTTTGAAATCTCAGCCATTCTGGAGAGCAGTGATATCTAATTGTGATTATAATTTGAATTTCCCTAATAAATATTGGAGGTGAGCATCTTTTTATGTACTTATTTCTTTGATGAAGTATCTGTTAAAATGTTTTTCCCATTTAAAAAAGTTGTGTTGTTTTCTTATTATTGAGTTGTAATCATCCTCATATGTATTCTAGGTACAAGTCCTTTTCCAGATACGTGTCTTACAAGTATTTTATCACAACCCAAGGCTTGTCTTTTAATTTTCTTAACAGTATATTTTGAAGTTTTAAATTTTAATGAAGTCCAAAATCGGTTCTTTCTTTTGTGTTTTCTCCTGTATTGTTTCCTAAGAAATCTTCACCTAATTGTAGTTCAAAAAGATTTTCTCATGTTTTACCAGAAATTTTATAGTTTTTGGTTTTAAATTTAGGTCTAATGTTACATGTGAGGTTAATTTTTGTTTAAATTGCTCTGTAAGGATCAACGTTCACTTTTTAAAAAAATACAAGCATCTCTTCTCAAATTTTAAAGAGTAAAATATAGAACTGAGACCTTTCCTTTCTTGCCACAAGGTGAGTTACAATTATTTCGATCATAGATTTGATGGAATTTTGTGGTATATTCACTTAAAAATATATTCTGATTATTTTCCTGTATCTATAATCACATGGATACTTACATCTTTGTCTTTTGTAAATCATGGATAATTTTCATACTTAATCATTTAGAAAAAATATAAACAAACCAAAGGAAAAAATAAAACAGAAAAAGGCAGCTGTAAGAAGAGGATTAAGAAGGAATGTCCTCCAAATATACTGTAATTCATTCCAGAATCACGGAGATTCAGAATACACTGTGTTATGAGGGAAAAGGCTTTCTAATAAGCAACTGTAAGGGACTAGTGAAAATCTCTCAGTTTGAGTCCTTTGAATTTAAGTTCTTTCAGTATGAAAGTATAAAAATGACTTTCAGTAGGATGCATAACAAGTTGTTGGAATCTGTAATACATGGTCAGATTACTTTAATACACACCGTAATAATAAACTATTACATGTAAGACAAAATGTCAGAGGAAACTTTTTTTAATAATTAACATGGCATTGGGAAAAAATGTTTTTATTGTGGTTTAAGCACTTAAAGACAGGGAACAAATGGTTAGCATAAATAAGCACTTTCCTAACTGGAAGATGGTAATGGGGACATCCTCTAAAGAATGCTTTTAAATTATATATAGGTTAGTAAATTATCTGAATAATAAAATCGCTAACAGAATTTAACACCACTATTTTGACTAGAAGAGATACTCAGTTCATGGGGAATACGTTTAATGATGAATTCTCAGTTATGAATGTAAAACAATGACAGGTGAACTTTTAATGTATATATAGGTGTAAGATATCTATTCAAAGAAAAAAAGAAGTGCAGAACTGATGGCCTTATGGTGTTAATTATACCTCAAAATTGATTTTGGAATAACGTGAATCTCCTCCCCAAGGCACTAAACCAATTGTGTTTCTCATTGAGAAAACTGGAAGCAAATCAGAAAACATCACCCTGTGATTGTATAAGAACTGGAATATTCTATATTCTCTTGGTCACTACTCCTCAGAGAAAATAGACCTGGAAGAATTCCGCAGAAAAATAAGTGAAATGATCAAGGGGTTTCTGTATGAACATCGATTAAAGAAATTTGGATGTCTTAGGCTAGAAACACAAAAACTAAGAGGGAATATGATCAAATCCTTAAACCTGCCAAATCTATGGTGAGGTGAAATCCAGGCTTGTTCACAAAATCATAAAATATAAGAAGTGAAGTGCATGATATATTGTATATAGTATAGCTTTTAAAAATACTACCTTAGATAATCAATATGTTTAGCAAGCCTATTTTCTTTAACGGTAATTTAGGCGACCTGAATGAATAGTTTCTGGGACTAAGATTATCAATGACTGGTAGAGCCACAAAGTAAGAAGGTTTGAGTGATATCTCTGAATTAAAAAAAATAATTTAAATATATTACTTTGTTTTCGGTAAACCCAGAATATATGTTCATTATAGAACATTTAAAAATGTAGATTTAAAAAGAACATTACCCAAAACTTCATTAAGGAAGTCAAAAAACTAATATGTAATCTTTATTCTCCATACATAGTTTTTAAAAATATCTGTGTTCATATTATACACACAACTTTTTATGGAACATTACAAAAATAACTTTTATACATTATTTTAAATATTTAACATGATATTCCTTTGTTCATAATAATTGGATGAGCTTATATAATTACATAATAATTTCTCTATTTCTGAGCATCTAGGTTGTTGCCAAATTAAGCTGAACTTTTCTAGGGTGATATTAAGAAGAACAGTCATGCTTCTTGAAAAAAATCCATTAAGAGATATCAAATGCGAGTAGAAGAGTGCAAAACTGGGGAAATGAGGTTATTGCAAGTTGCTCCAGAATTTATGTTTACTTCAAAAACTATTAACAAAAATAAATAAATAGCATATGCCACAGAGATTTGTAATATAATTTTTAATGTTTTATATGCTGCTGTGTTAATAAAATTTGAATTCATTTGAAAGTATCTTGGAATGTGGAATAGCTATAAGTTATTTATTGTGTCAAAATGCATTCACTAGCATCAAGGGATTTCATAATATTTTCAATTAAAAGGAGATTTTCATGCTTATAAAGATTAGGTATAATTACTCCTTAGTCACCTCTTGAGTGTGAATACCAGTAATAGCAATAGTTTTACTAAAAATTTCATTGAAAGCTGTCAGTATGATTGCTTCAATATGGTTTGAAACAATTCATTTTCTCTTAAACTATTTAGGAATAGAAAAGAGAAAAAGTAAATAAATTTACCAATCCAATGGGTACTTTTCTTTGGAGAAATATGAAGAGGAATAACACATAGTATTTTTTCTCAAGATAATCATCATTATGGAGTAAAATATGTAGAGAAATATAATTAAGATTCCTCTAGAAAGTATGACAGAAAGTCAGAGAAGAAAGAGAGACTAGAAAACTCCATGCAGGAGGTAGGATTTAAGTTGGGCATTGAAGGATGGGTATATAGGTTAATGGAAGGATGGAAAATTTTCTTTTCAGAGGGCCTGGTAAGCAAACCCATACGGTGGTGATACCATGGCATGGAGTGGGGAAATTCATTCTATAGGGTAGCAGAAAATGCAGATGGAAATAGAGATGAAAGATGGATGAAAGATTTTAGACTTTATCTTCATGTATAATGGGGCTCTTTGAAGAGTTATTTAATAGTAAGATAACATAAATAATATAATTGTTAGATAATTTAATAATGATGTGTATAATAAATTGCAGTGAAGGGAGACTGAAAGTAAAAATACAGAAAACAGTACAGAGAGGAGGGAGACAAAGACACTGTCCATGCAGCTGAATACAACGCTTTAGGGTGTACTTCCCAGCAAGAATAGGCCCAGCAAGGAACCATTCTATTATGAGCGTGGTTTGCTTCCTTTACTTTCTCTGAGGAGCTGGAAAGGTATTGAGCTTTCTCACAGCATTGTAGTTTCCGAGGAGTCAAAATTCTTACATGGCATCTGTCTTCCCCAGTGCGAGTTTTCCAGGAGAACAAGGCAGAATCGGCTTCATGACTCAGAAGTCATGTCACTGTAGCATCACTTCGGCTATACTCAGTCAAAATTGAGTCACAGAGCTAGCCAAGATTCAAAGGGGGCACTACACAAGGACATGAATATGTGAAGGTGCAGTTCATGGGGAGACACTCTTGGAGACTAGCTATGGTAGTGTGCCATCTGGACCACAATGCATCAAGTCCTTTCACATGCAAAATCCTCTCATCCCTTTCCCAAAACTCTGAATTTCATCTCACTCACATCAGCAGGCTCAGGTTTAAAGTCCAGGATCTCATCATCTAATCAGATCCTCATGTGAAATGGTTCCTCATGTGTTCCTCAAGTGTGGTTCTTCTTAATATAAAGTTACGTGACTTAAGGAGATGAATATCTATTCCCCACACACAATGGTGGGCCAGCTGGAGAAGAACCACAAAAGTCATTCTTGTTCAAAAGGGGAAAACACAAGGCATATAGTAATCACTGGTCAATAACATTTCTTAAATTTAACCAGAGACTTGTCATCAGTTCCTTGACTAGGGTGCAGTCCTGTTCCCTGGACATGATCCTGTATCAGTCAAGGATCAATATGGGAAGCAGAACCACTATGAGTGATATAGAATAAGGGATTTGCTGTAGGGAATAGATATTATGCAACTGAGGCAGCTGATGAAGACTTTTCTGTAAGCCTGCCGATTCTGTCTGGTGGTCATCTTAAGTTGCCACAGGTCAGCTGTTAGAAAGAAATGCCGGACCTGAAGCAGAGAAGAATGAAGACAAACTAGAACATGTGAGCGCGTAATGGACCTGGAGGACAAACTGTCCGTTCCTCATTGCCTCCAACATTGACAGTGTGGGTACTTTGCAGAAGAAGCCAGTGCCCTTCTTCACAGAGCTGCATACACCTGGCTCAGGACTCAAAGAAGCCCAAGGAGTTTCAGAAGGCCTGAGAGCTGAATCGGATGTGCTTGGAGATAAGTCAGAGTGGGTGCAGTTGACATACCACATCCTTTCTATGTGGATGTTAGTGACCCAGAAATCCAACTGGACCCCTGGATTTTCACTAGACCAGAGCCTTGGCCTCAGGGCCATGAAATCATGGCCAAAGAGCATCATTTTCATGACATCTGCCATAGGAGAAGGTAACTGGTACGAAAGTGAGAAAATAGAGAGAAGGAGAGAGGACAATATAGTGCCATGTCTTATTTTGTCCACCATACCCATTCAATTCTTTTAAAGAGCCTGATGTTGAGTGTTCATTTTGATCTGTCTCTATATGCCCTGTAGAAGGACTCAGATAAGTTCTTCCCCTGTTATAATTTTTCTCTAGCTGGCTCAAAGATATTTTGAGCAAGATTGCACTGAGTGGTCTAATATTGAGTTCTGATGTATTTCTCTAAAAGAACATTCTGGATTTCAGTTGTTACTGTGAGAGAATGTTCTGGATTTCAATTATTGGTCTGAGAGAACATTCTGAATTTGAACAATAGGAAAATAAAAGTTTCTTTAAAATTATATTTATTTTCATTATCCTGCCATGGTTCTTTCTTTGAGAAAAACATGGATTAATGAGAAAATATGACGTAATAGAAAAAGCCCAGGAAACTTGAGTCCTGGATCTGCTGTGTGACTTTCAATGATTCTGGAATTTTTTATAGATATATATATGTATCTGTAAGTGAGGTTGTACTAATTATCTCTGTGGAAGTAGGTTGCACAAGAAGATGAAAATTTGCTAAAGGAAACATGGCCCCAAATATGATTCTTTCCTTTCAAGCATGCTCACGTTTTACTTCTATCCATTGCCGTGCTGGTTGAATACCAGCGTGGTATTAGAATTGCTGTCCCCTTCAACACTCCACATCTTCTCATAATTATTCATATCTCAAACCTGATACTAACAGTATGTCCACCACTACTCCATATTTCCACTTATCTGATTCTACTTGCAGAGAGGAGGAAACAAAAAGTGAATGGCAAAAATAAATTGTAGGATCATGTAGAGCAGGGGTGTCTAATCTTTTGGCGTCCCTGGGCCACATTGGAAGAAGAATAATTGTCTTGGGCCACACATAAAATATATGAATGCAATGATAGCTGATGGGATTAAAAAAATCACAAAAAATCTCACAATGTTTTTGGAAAGTCTATGAATTTGTCTTGGGCCACATTCAAAGCCATCCTGTGCCACATGCAGCCTGTGGGCCATGGGCTGGACAAGCTTGATGTAGAAGGTTGTAATACTAACATTCTAAAATTTTAGGGAGTATTATATACTATTTTATTGTCCCTTTTCAAACATTTCCAACTGACTTTCAATAATAAAATAATCAGATAATACAATTCAATGGATTTATAAATGACTTGTAAAAATTACCATAGGTGAAAATCCTTCCTGAATGCAATTAAAGTTATTTTCCTAGTAACTGATTTCAGAAGAACATTCAGGTAGTCCTTTGTACATCAAGAATGTGTTCTGCCTGATGCTCTGAAAAATTAAAACTTAGGAAGATTATTTTAATCAGCACATAGACTAATGTTGCATATTTCACAAAGTGTCCTTACACTGTGAATAAACCCATTCCAGGAGGATATTTATGGATTTTGTGGGCAGCACACACTATCAGTTGAAGGCCGACGAGGCTTAGATGGGGGAAGGAAAGTAATGTTATTCAATTTATTATTATTCTCTGACCCTCCACCTTTGCATTTTCAAAGACTACAAAGAAAACTCACTCCTAAATAGAAAAAAATCAATCCTCAATAACATAATATTTAGACTGATTTTTGATATGATAGAGTGATATGGTAAATTATTTAGAAATGGTAAAGTAACTTTCAGTCCTTTTAGGCAGACTCTTCCATAACCAAAACACCAAATTTTCTGCTCACTTAGGAAGGTCCCTCCTTAACCAAAAAAGTTTCAGTCAGTTTCAAAACAAAATGGAAAGTAGCAGAGGATGACCAAATTCATTTCTATTTGGCAGACACTTAAAATCTTTTCTTCTCTTCCCATTTTGCATTTTAGTCTTTGGCTATCTTAACAGCCTGCTATCTAAAAACAAGGCACATTCCTCCCTCTCCTGGAGTGATAGAGTATTTTGCTCCAAAAATAAAAACCAAGCAAGTGCTTCCAAATGCTCAGATCCTCTTTCCTGCTCTGCTTGTTAAAATGTTCATCTGGGACGCCAGTCTGACTCCAGGCCACAAGAGTAGGTAGGCAGTGCATGGGGGCCTGATGCTGCTCATGCTGACATAGGTGGCCCCTAGAGAACCTCTTTTTTCACCACCAGAGCCACACTCTGTTCCTACCCAACGTAAAGCACATATATATATATGTACATATGAATATACATATATATATACACACACATACACGCACGCGCGCGCACACACACACACACACACACACACACACGTGGAATTATCTGAGAGGAAAGCCAAAGCAAGAATAGATTTGGCATTGACTAATTCAGGTCAGTGGATAATTTTCCTGTGTTGCAATCTGTTGGCTTTTGGTGTTTTAAGGGTTGCTATGTGTATGTCAGTGAGGGAGCTGGAACTGGAAAGAACATCAGAGAGGGGATGGGAGAAGTGGTTCATAAAAGCTTCTAGGAAGAAGTGATTCTTAGTTAAATCTTGAAAGATGATTAGGATTAAATTTGGTTAAAATAAGGAGGAAGGATATTTTAGGTTGAGAAAATGATATGTGAAAACACACAGAGAGGTGAGTGACTGTGATCATTTGGGCAACAGAATATAGGTAGGAAAAATGACAGGAAACAAGAAAAGATGCAGACAGAGGTCAGATGATGAAAACCCCTGAATGGTGTGCTCCAGCAACTTGAATTTTATCTTGAAAACAATGGAGAACAATTTAATCAGTAGGACATAGACATACCCTGGGAGACTTTGGTAGAAGTTTAGAGAATTGATTAGAGATGGTTAAGACAGAATTAGATAATGTATATTATTCTAATAATTCAATTGGAAAATTATGAGGGAACAATATTCTCCTAAATGAATCTAAAAAATTATTATCCATATATTCCCAAAGTAAACAGTAGGATAGTAGTTTTTTCATACATTTTGTCAGAGCAATATTTTGGTTTCTATTTGAATGTTATTTATTCATATATATTATACATACATATATAATACACACATATAATACTTATATATAGGATGTGTATATATAGTCCTAATTCATTTTCATGTGTGTTTAGAAATGATTATTAAACTTACCAAACAGTTACTGAGTTAATATTTTGAATGCTCTTCTGATTCTTAGATGTACAAATGATGTATTTATATTTTCAGCTACACGTCAACAGAGTTCCATTGAAAGTGCTCAAATATTCTAAAACAAATCTCTTTTATTCTAATTCTTCTGTTTCAAGTCTTTTAGTAGACTTGAAAAGGTAAAAATTTTCAGAATTTCAAAAAATAACAAAAGTTAAATAAATAAATAGAAGATTATTTTTGTTTATTTCAAAAAATGTTAGTATGACCATTTAAAAATAAGATAGTATTCCAAACAATGAGATCATTTTCTTTGTAGGGACATTGATGGAGCTGGAGGCTATTATCCTTAGCAAACTAACACAGGAACAGAAAACCAAATACCACATGTTCTCACTTATAACTGGGAGCTAAATGAGGAGAAAACATGGAGACAGAGGGGAACAACACACATTGGGGCCTTTTGGAGGGTGGAGGGTGGGAGGAGGGAGAGGATCAGAAAACATTACTAATGGGTACTACCCTTAATAACTGGCTGATGAAATAATCTGTACCACAAACCCCTATGACACAAGTCTACCTGTATTACAAATATGCATATGTACCCCCAAACTTAAAAGTTAAATAAAAAAATAAAAAAATGCTTACGCTAAAAAAAAAATTAAAAATAAGATAGTATTCCAATAGCATTTAATGCTATAAAGTAGAGCTTGACATCAAAATAAAGTTCTTGGAAGATATAATTAAGTAAGACTTTCACATATTGTAAAGGATATTGGTTTTCTAATTGCAGTATACTTTGTTTCTTTTAAATAAATTTACATTTTAGGGAATTTCTTTGGTTTATTTTTGTGAAAGGATGGATTATTATTTTTATTTAAGAAAACCTCGCACAGAGTGAAATTGCAGGTTTTTGTCCACATTTTATAGAATGAATCCTTTTCTAATAAAAAATGTTTATAAAAAAGTCTAAATATTAGTACATTTCTAAATCAAATGGGAAATTACATGAACATTTTGACAACCAATAGAGAAGTGAAGGGCAAAATCACTGAAGTGCCTAGACGGTACATATTCCTAGTCATTTTATCTGCTTGGCTCACATATGCATTACTTATGTGAAACCACCATTATATATTTATGACCAGCATATGTTTGCTATATGCTTTTAATACTTGGGTCTGTTGCCTGGACAGTACATAGAGTCCCTAACACAGAGTGTACTTAAAATATTGTGTAAATGCATCATCATCATACTAATTCCATTTACAATTTGTGCTAAAGGACAACAAAATGTGCATTAAGAGGTTTAGAGGAGGATATATTCTTCTGCCAAAGTAAAACCTAATTTTTCGTGAATTATTCCTCCTATCTATGTTTTGGTATTTTCCATTGAGACACTTTGTTCTCTAATTAATCAGAGATTTCAGCCTGGCATTTTCCTGAAGATTTGAAAGAGATTATAAGAGTCCAAATAGAAATTATATTATCTATAACTCGTATTTTTTTCTGATACAGAGACACTGGGAAAAATGCAAACAAGTTTGACAAAGAGATGATATTAAAATAATATTAAACCAAAATACAAATATATTTTAATAGATAATTGACATGTATATGTGAAAACGTAACTTTTTATGTACATTAAATATATAAATATATATGTTTTAAATATAAAATACAAATAAGTTTGCAGCACATCTCTGTGGGCCTCACTCTTTTTTTCATGAAACAAAACTTTATGTGGGGCTGTATCAAAATCACTTGATTGTAATCACCATGGAAATATTTTTATAATTGTTTCCTGGAGGTGTTAAAGAGACAGTGTTATTTATACGTTTGAGTGTGAAGGTTTTTCAAATTTGGCTTATTTTGGAATGCAACATGAGAGGCCAAATTCAAGAACAATGGCTATAACAGAAATTTTGTATAGCAAAAGATCTCAGACTCAGCCGGGGCTTCCTAATTTTAAACTATAGCAAAATTTGCATTTGTCCATAATTTAACGTGTATTTAGGCAAACAATATTTATAAAAAGATTATTAAAAGATGGTCAAAACCTCCCTGGCATAGTTGTCAGCCTTGTAGACCAAAAGCTTTGTTGGAGGAAAGGAAATAAGGAAAATGAGAGAAAGGAGGGAAATAGGAGAAACCAGAGAATGCGTAAAGAGAGAAAGAGATGAGACTTGTCACCACCTAAGTTCTTAAGTGTAGCCGCATTAGAGTTTATCTAACCCTGGTCAAAAGATCCATCCAAAGGGAGGCACCCAAGCCAGAAGTAACCTACTTCTAGAAGGAAACCATTAAGAGATTTTGTGGAGTACAATTTCACATTTCCAATGAAAGAATTGTCCTTTAGACTCCTCCTCTGTTTCTTTTGTTGTTTGGTAAAATTTTCTCCACCTTCTTTCCTGTTGAAATTATTAAAAGTCCATCTATCTTTCCTTTGATTTTGAATGCCCACTCTGGTGGCCACCAATATTAAAATCTGCAAAATTAAGAGAAACTATTCATAGCATTTTAAACCATGTGGCTTGAATATTGACTTATAGGCTTCCCACTATTTTTTTTCAGGCCATTTATAAAAATTAGTATGTAGGAAATTGGTAAAACCTTGTCTTGGGCATAATTGTGTCTATTTGTGGTATATCTATTGTATACTAGACGGCATTGTTTGTTTAAAATATATAATGCCCACAGGGACCCCTCCCTGCTGTCCTTCCCTCTGGGGGTAATATTCTTCCCACCCAAATGACATGTGTTGGCCGTGTGACTTGCTTTAGCAAATGGTCTGGTGAGCAGAATGGACTCCGTATCTGAGCAGGTTTCAGAGCTGTTACATAATGTTGCTGCTGCTCTTGTTCCACTTCCTGGAGAACTGGCTACTCTTTCTGCCTGGAGTTGGGAATAAAGAAAAAACATGGGGCAGAGCCACAGATACCTCGCAGCCAATAAACATATCACATGAATGAGAAATAAACCCTTATGTGGTTAGTCCCCGAGGCTTAAAGATTTTTATTTATCATAACATAATATAGCAAATGCTGAGTAAAAATACATACTACGTGTCAATGAGCTGTTGATTACATACACAATGGCTTTTTCACGGATAATTTTGATATAAATATATTTCAAAATTAACTGAACTATGTTAGACTAGATATTGTGCCAACAGCTAACATCATTGTTTTATATTGCTATTCACAAATCTTGAAAAGAACAAAAGGACACAAGCTGATATTTTAATAATAATGTCATATTTTTTCTCACATTACAATTGATTTAACATTTCATTTACAGTATCTCATTTTGTTTTCATGACAATTTTGTGTAATTGGTATTATAATCTCCATTTTATAGAGTGGAAATTGCTGAGATTTAGAGAGAGTTAATACTTTCCCAAATTCTACATTGGTGATTGTGGAAAAAGACTAAAAATAAGTTCCAGCTCATCCCTTCTCCCACTGCCCCATCATCTCATAGTCCTCACTATCATGTATGATTTCCTGTATGATTAATTTTCCCTTCAATGTTTTTGTGATTATTTATGTTTACAGATAGAATTTATGAACACTATAGTTAATACCACTTTACATTGACATAAGTGAGAAATTCCTGGGATTAAATTCTTCTTCTTGCAAGATAACCAGTTGTAATGGGGCTATAGATGTTTAGAATGCAAAGAATGGAGTGAATTGTATTCCTTAGAAGCTGCCCATAATACAACGGTAGGAATGCAATGGACATTCAAAAATGAGAAAATACTGTAATATTTTGTCTTTTTCTGTTCTTTTGCTCACCTGTCTGTTTCTAGTTATGGTGACCAAAGTCATAATAGTGAAACTGGATAAAACTAAAACATGTGTTATTCCTGATTCCCTGGAGTTGCCCTATGTTGTTGCATCAAGTAGCAAGGACATGGCAATGCTGGTTATAAATGTTACATTATATTAAGAGAGTCACTGTTGATTCAGAGTAAAAGCCCCACCCCACATTTCTATAGTGGGCTCTAATATAACAAGGTTCAATGGAAATTTTAATTATCTCCTTTACTGTTTCATTTTTTTTTCTTTCTTTCTCCATGTGTATGATTGTTGGTGGATGGAGATACAGAGCAATTTTGCCATGGAGGTGATAAAGTCTTTCTTTTTCAGAAGTACTTTGTGTAATGTGCAAGTCCAAATGCATAATAAATGTTTATGCTTTTTTTTTTTTTTTTTTGAGGCAGAGTCTCGCCCTTTCGCCCAGCCTGGAGTGCAGTGGTGCAATCTCAGCTCACTGCAATCTCCGACTCCTGGGTTCAAGGGATTCTTCTGCCTCAGCCTCCTGAGGAGCTGGGATGACAGGCGTGCGCTGCCATGCCCAGCTAATTTTTGTATTTTTAGTAGAGACGAGGTTTTGCCATGTTGGCCAGGCTGGTCAGAACTCCTGGCCTCAAGTGATCCGGCCACCTTGGTCTCCCAAAGTGCTGGGATTATAGGCATGAACCATGGCGCCTGGCCTGTTTATGCTTTTAAAAATATTCATCTTGCTTCCTATTATATAAGGATCTGTGTATGTATGTGTATGTTCTGATTTTAAAGTTGGCCCTGTATTGCTTTAAATTTGTCTTGATGGTGTTGTTGTTGTATATAATTTTTATTTAAAAATGTACATAATTATAAAAATTTCATAATCTCAAACATTATGATGTTTCCAAAACTGTTTTAAATGTCATAAAAATTTTAACCAAGTTAAAATTTAATTAGAAATATTTTCACCAACTTATTTGTTATCAAAGTCCTCACTCAGGCTCAATATTCATAATATGCTAGAAAGATCACAATGGTGATACAGGGTAAATGGCAGGTAATGTTTATTTGTGAAACAATGTCATTCAAACCTATATTTGATCATGTGCTATGTAGTAAGTTCAATGGACAAAAGTTAGCATCCTGGAAAGTGAGAGACTGCAAACAATTAGCGTATATTATTCTGCTACATACAAACATCCTGTTATTAAGCATTTCTTTTGAATGATTCAATGATTACTGTAATAAATCCTCAAGAGTATTAAACTGTCAGTTTATAAGGAAGGCACATGATAAAAGTTTTGATAAGTTGTGCCATTGGAAAAGAAAATTATTTGCTTGGGTAAACCTATTATATTTTACATTGAGATTGCTTTATATTTAGTATGACCTAATCAGAAATGAGCCTCCTGAAATTCTATTTCCTTTGTGAATGAGTAGCATCAGTAGACTCTAGCCTTAGGCTTCAGCACTGTTCATTTTAGTTTAAGGAACATTTCTAATCTATCTAGAAGTACTTTTATTTTCAACCAAAGGACAACATCACATGAGCAGCGATGGTGTGGTGTAGCCAGTGGAAGGAATTACACATGACATGCAGATGCTTTTATGTGCAGTGCAGGGATGCAGAGTTTTGAGCTTGCATAAATTATGAAATCCAAATCATTATAACTATCTCTTAGTTGTGCTTTTAGATTCCTAATAACAAATGTTTGTTTTATTGTATTAAACATTGTGTCTTTCAACTTCAAACAATGCATATTGGTTTTCTTTGTATAAAATACTCGACAATACAATTTGAAGTCGACTTGCTTTACCTAGCTACCTGATTATTGCAGTCATGTAATTTACATTTCTGTGTGGTTGAAGAATCATGCTAAGGCTTTATAACTATTACTGTATTAGCATATTAATGAAGCTAGCCAATAACCAAAAATGTATATGTCTAGCATCTAACTCGTGTACTAGGCTGTAAGAAAAATAGAGATATTGACCTACTTCTAATGAGATTGACAAGGGAATGGTGAGAAGGAGTAAGCATCAAAATCTCCATATCCCAACTATGAGAGCAGTACAGTATTCTGTTTCCAGTACTAGCTTTTCTGTGCTGATTCAGCAGGACAGAAAGGAGTAACAACAAACTTGACCTGTCTGGTTTCTAGAAATATGCAACACAAGTAACTGAGAAATCTATGAGCAAGGCTATTTTTTTCCTGATGCATAATATTATTGTAATTCTGAACTCTAAAAGAGATATTTTGCAAGAAAGACATTTGTTATTTTCTGAGACTCTCTTCTTTCATTATCCAAAGCAGAATATGAAAATTAATTAAGTTTTATGACTGTTTCTCCTTCCTTCCTTCCTTCCTTCCTTCCTTCCTTCCTTCCTTCCTTCCTTCCTTCCTCCTTCCTTCCTTCATTTTCTCTTCTTTTATTGGAGTACCTCCTTACTTTCTGGCACTATAAGATGCTGCAGCACTATCTTGTAGGTTTTCTTTTTTTAATAGTATGTATATTTTATTTATATATCATATATTTTTCATATGGAAAACCAAATATCTCAGTGCCATTACTTAGTATCAATAGTTTCCTCTAATTCATTTCCACTGCCAATATCAAGTGTCATGTATTAGGTTTCTTTATATATTTTCTCTTTTTTACTTTTTAAAAACTGATGTATAATAGTACATATTTTGGGGGTACATGTGATGTTTGCATACCTGTACATAATGTGTAATGATCAAATTAGAGTAATTGGGATATCCATCACCTCAAACATTGAAATTTGCAATAAATTATTGTTAACTATAATTTCCCCACTATACATAGGGAAATTATATATATATAGAATATATATATAGAAATTATATATATAGAATATATATATAGAAATTATATATATATAGAATATATATATAGAAATTATATATATAGAATATATATATAGAAATTATATATATATAGAAGAATAGTAAAACTTATTTCTTCTAACTGTATCTGTATACCCCTTAACAAACGTTTCTTTATCCCTTGCCCTCCTTCCTTCTCAGCCACTGGTAACTTCTATGCTCTACCTCTATGCTATCTGCATTTTTACTTCCCACATATGAGGGAGAATATGTGATATTTGTCTTTCTGTTCTTGGCTTATTTCATCTAACATAATGATCTCCTGTTCCATCCATGTTGCTACAAATGACAGATATCCTTCTTATTTTGGCTGAATAATTTTCCATTACTTATATACACCATATTGTCTTTATTCATTCATCTGTTGATGTACACTTAGGTTAATTCTGTGTCTTGGCTATTGTAAATAGTACTGCAAGACACACGGGAGTGCAGTTATAGTGATTTCCTTTCTTTTGGATACATACCCAGGAGTGGGATTGCCAGATCATATGGTAGTTCCATTTTTAGTTTTTTTTTTTCAGGAAACTCAAGCTGTTTTCCATAATGGCTGTACTACTTTACATGCCCACCAACTGTGTGTGTGAGCATTTTCCCTTTTCTACATCCTCACCAGTATTTTAATATTTTTAAAATAATAGCCATTCTAACTGGGAGGAAATGATGTCTTGTGGTTTTGGTTTGCATTTCCTGATAATTAGCGATGTTGAGCATTTTTTCATACACCTGTTGGCCATATTTGTATGTCTTCTTTAGAAAAATGTCTATTTGGGTCTTTTGGCCATTTTTAAAAATTGGATTTTTTTTTTTTGCTAATAAGTTTTTGAGTTCCCTATTATATTCTGATTATTAATTCCTTGTTGGATGGATAGTTTCCAGATATTTCACCCCATTCTGTAGATTGTCTCTTTGCTTTATTGTTTGTGTTGCTGTACAGAAGCTTTTTAGATTGATATCATTCATTCCATTTGTCCATTTTTGCTTTTGTTACCTATGTTTTTGAGGTCTTACTTAAAAAATCTTTGTCCAGAGCACTATCATGTAGCATTTCTCCATTGTTTTCTTTTGGTACTTTCATAGTTTCAGGTCTTACATTTAAGCCTTTAGTTCATTTTGGGTTGACTTTTGTATATGGTGAAAGATTGTGATCTAGTTTTATACTTCTGCATATAGATATCAAATTTCCCAGGACCTTTTATTAAACAGACTGTCCTTCCCCATCTATCTTTTTGGCACCTTTTTAAAAAATAAGTTGGCTATAAGTACATGAATTTATGTCTGGGTTCTTTATTATTTTCCATTGGTCTATACATCTGCTTTTATGCCAGCATCATGCTGTTTTGATTACTGTAGGTTTATAGTATAATTTGAAATCATATAGTATGATGCCTCCAGTGTTGTTCCTTTTGCTCAGAATTGCTTTAGCTATTTGGGGTCTTTTGCGGTTCCATACAAATTTTAGTATTGTTTTTTCTACTTCTGTGAAGAATGTCATTGATATCTGATAGGGATTCCATTGGATCTGTAGATAGCTTTGAGTAGTATAGATATTTTAACAATATTAATTCTTCTAATTCATGAACATGGAATATCTTTTCATTTTTTCATATCCACTTCAATTTCTTTCATTGGTAATTTATAGTGTTTCTTGTATAAATGTTTTACTTTTTTGGTTAAATATCTAGGCGTTTTATTATTTATTTACTTAGGTAACTATTGTAAATGCAATTGTCTTCTTGATTTCTTTTTCAGATTGATCACTGTTAGCATATAGAAATATTGATTTTTGTATGTTGATTTTGTATCCTGCAACTTTACTGAATTTGTTCATTAGTTCTATGAGTTCTTTTCATGGAGTCATTAGTTTTCTCTATATATAAGATTATGATTTTCTCTCCCCATCTTAGAATTACATATGTTTCCAAAGAAGCTCTAGTTTCTTTTACAGAAGAATTGTAATAAAAATCAAGGTGTTGGCACTAAGTGTGCCTGTTTCTACTGAGGTCTCATGACTTGGAAGCTTTCTCCACTGACAGAGAAAGTGCATGCAAATATACCTATCCATAAGTATTTTTTATGTAAGCATCTGCATCTGTGTTAAGCTAAATACGTATTCATTTTGATGTCTCCAATTCTAATCCAATGCCACATGGATCATTCTAGCCTCCTCTCCATGTTTATCTGTTATTTCCCACTCCCCCAGTGAGAAACCTGGCTCCCGATATCAACCATGCACCATCCAGTTACTTAATTGTTATACCCTCATATACATGCATAGGAATAATCAGAATTTTTAACCCATACCCCTGTGGGAAACAACCTTATCAATTAGAGTACAGTGCTTATATCCAGTTCTTCTTTACCTTTAGTCTTATATACTTGACTCATGTAAAGTTAGTTATGTTTGTACTTTCTCTCTTTCCACCCACTTCAGTGTAGTTGTTTTATAAATTTGTAATATGGCTAAATTATCTTGTCACACTATACATTTCTTAATGAGACCCCTTTACTTCCTAAATGGCTTCTTAAAAAAAATTGCATACATTGACTTACTCTTTGTACTGTGAAGCTGTATGGCTTTTGACTGAAATGTAATGTTGTGCATCTACCATTATGTAGCAGACAGTATAGTCTGACCACCATAAAATTCTCTTGTATGTCACCTACTTAACTCTCCTGTACTCCCCCAAACCCTTGAAAACCAGGGAGCTTTTCACTCTCTGTACGGTTTTGTCTTTTTCAGAATGTCATATAATTTGAATAATTCGAATAATATTTCCAGTTTTTTTCATTTTTCTTTTTTAACTTTTGGTCAATCCTTTTAGTTTTTCTGCATAGATCACTATTTTATCTGAGAACAAAGAATAACTTTATTTCTTAATTTTCAATACTCTCATGTTTTACTTCCTTTTCCTATTTTGTTACACTAGCTAGGGCTTCTAGTAGAGTAATGAATAGGAATTGAGAGAAGTGATATTTTGGCCTTGTTCCTGATCTTAGTGGGAAAGCATGCATTTTCTCACCTTTAAGTGTGATGTTAGTTTTTTTTCTAGATTTTTTTTAATCAATGAAGAAATTTCTCTTCTTCTAGTTTACTGAGAATTTCTATGTATATATGGCTCCTGGATTTCATTAAATATTTTGTCTGCATCAATTAATGCAATCATATGATTTTTCTTCTTTAGCATTTTGATGTGAGATTGAATTAATTAATTTATAAATGTTAAGCAAGGCTTGCACACCTAGAATAAATCCCACTTGATACCAGTGTATAATTATTTTTATATATATAAGATTTAATTTTCTAATATTTTGTTGAGAATTTTTGAACTATGTTCATAAGAGATATTAATCTTTAGATCTCTTTTCTTATAATGCATTTATCTGGATTTGGTATTAGAATAGTACTGGCTTCATAGAATTGGTTGTGAAGTGTTACCCTCTGCTTTTAATTCCTGAAAGAATCAGTAAAGATTTAGCATTATTTCTTCCTTAAATATTTGGTAGATTTCACCACTAAGGCATTTGAACTTAAGACTTTCTATTTGTGAAGATTTTTATTAATTCAATCTCATTAGTAATATAGGCTTCTTCAAATTACCTGTTTTTCCTTATGTGAGTTTTGGTAGTTTCTGTCCTTCAAAGATTGATCTATTTTATCCAAGTTATCAAATGTAGAAGCCTAGAGTTGCTCATAATTTTCTTTTATTATTCTTTTAATATTTATGAAATCAGTAGTGATGATTCTTTTTTCCATATCTGATCATAGTAATTCATGTTTTCTTTCTTTTTTAGCTAACCTAGCTAGATGTTTATAAATTTTATTGGTTTTTTAGAGAACCAGATTTTGATTTTGCTAATTTTCTCTATTGTTTTTCTGTTTTCAATTTCATTGATGCCTGCTCTGATATTTTTCCTTTTCTTTTTTCCTTTAGACTTGTAATGGTCTTTTTCTCTAGTTTATTAAGGAATAAGCATAGATGCTTATTATTTTCAGATCTTATTTCTTTTCTAATGTATTCATTTAATGCTGTATATTTTTCTTTAAACACAACTTTCAGTGCATTACAGGTATTTTCATAAGTTGTATTTTAAATTTCATTTGGTTAAAAAATAGATCATTTTTAAATTTTAAGTTGCAATTTCTTCTTTGACCCATGTGTTATCTAGAAGTGTGTTTTTTAATTTCCAAATATTTGGGGATTTTTAAGTATTTTCCCTTTACTGATTTCTAGTTTAATTCCATTGTGGTCTGAGAATATACTTGGAATCATTTCTATCCTTACAAATTTGTTAAAATGTGTTTTATGACCTAAAATATGGTTTATCTTGGTGAATGTGAGCTCAAGAAGAATGTGTATTCTGCTGTTGTTGGATGAAATATTCTATGAATGTCAATTAAATCCAGTCAATTAATATTGCTGTTATGTTTAACTATATCCTTACTGATTTTTCTGCCTGCTTCATATATCCATTACTGAAAAAAGAGTGTTCAAGTTTCCAGCTATAATAGTGAATGTGTCTATTTCTTTTTGCAGTTTTATTAGTTTTTGTTTCATGTATCTTGATGCTCTGTTGCTAGGTGCATCCATGTTAAAGATTGTTGTATTCTTAAATAATTGAATATGGATTGAATATGAATAATTGAATAATATGAATTGCTTTTTCATTACATAGTGCCCCTCTCTATCTCTGACATTATTCCTCATTCTGAAGTTTACTTTGTCTGAGAATAACATAGCTATTTCAGCTTTTCTTCAGTTAGTGTCCTTCATGATATATTTTTCTTAATCCGTTTACTTTTAACTTATATATGTCCTTATATTTAAAGTGAGTTTTTTTGAAGCTATCATATAATGGGGTCTGTTTTCTATCCACTCTCACTGATTTTAATTGGTGTATTTAGATTATTCACATTGAAAGTGATTATTCATATAGTTGGATTAATATCTGACATGGTTATAACTTTTTTTATTTGTTGAACTTGTTTTTCACTTTTTCTTCCCCTCTTTTCTGCCTTCTCTGGTTTTAATTATGCAGTTTATATAATTCCATTTTCTTTTCTCTCTTAATACACCAGTTATACTTCCTTTACATTTTTTTAGTGATTTCCATAGGGTTTGCAGCATAAATTTTGAAAAATCTGTCTCTTTTCAAATAACACTTCTAATAAATAATATTTATTAAAAGACATATCTGAAGAACTCACTCAAAATGCAACTCAGAGATAAAAGAAAAATTTTAAGCAAATTATAATTGAAGGAGGACAAAATATGAAGCTACAATATGTGTCTAGTGTTAGAACCTTGTAACAGTATTTTAAATATATGTCTTCTATTTCTTAAAAATTACTGTAATCCATTTTACTTGCCCATATGCTATAATCACACAATACACTCTTTTTCTTATTACTTTAACAAACATTTATCTATTAGATTGAGAATTTATAAAAAGATTTCATTTTACATTAAAATTCCTTCTCTGATTTTTTCTTGCTTTACATAGATCTGAGTTTCTGACTTCTATCATTTCTTTCTCTCAGAAGAACATCTTTTAATATTTTTTTACATAGCAGTTCTGCCGTTAATGAATTCTCTGTTTCTGTTTGTCTAAGAAAGTCTTTGTATTTCTCTTTTATTATGTATGATAATTCCCCCGGATATAGGATATAGGTGGGTGAGAGTTTTTTGTTTTGCTTTGTCTTTTTTTTTCAACACACTGAAAATTCCAGTCCACACTTTTCTTCCTTGCATGTTTTTTTTTTTTAACAAAATATTCACTGGAATTATTACCTTTTTTCCCCTGGATGTGTAAGATGTGTAAGGGGATTTTTGTATCCTCTGGCTCCTTTCTAGGTTTTTTCCTTGGTCTTCTGTGTTCTGCAGTTTGAATATGATAAGGCTTGGTGTAACTCATGGCTACAGAGCTTTCAATTTCCTCTAGTGTCCTTGTTTTTGCGTGCCCTTTTGTCATTGTTTTTGTTGTTTATTTGTTTGTTTGTTTTACCTGAGGGTAGCCCTATGTTACAAACAACACACTGAGAATATTTCAAGCTAGATACTTCCCCACACTCTGCCAAAGATAAAAAGTGATTTTTTTTTTTCAGATTCTCACTGTAATAACCTGGTGGAGATAAAACCCAAGCAATTGTGCTCTTTTCCAAGACTACAGCCTGCAGGGTTTCCAATAATTCATCAAATTACTATTTAAGTTTTCCCATCAGTGTGTGGGTCCAGTGATTTCTGCTGTAGCTAATCTGATCTCATCTGTGTTTCTATATATTTGCCTGCCTCTCCAGATTTTTGGGATGGTGGTTTGCCTTGCACATTCACTTCTCTGATGGGATCCAGGAAGTCGCTGATCTTCAATTTTTAAGCTATTGTCTTTTTATAAATTTGGGAATGATGACTTCCAAGCTGATTTCTTGTCAGAGATGGAACCAGAAGTCAATATTCACACTTTTAATAAATAAAAATATTGAGTGTTTCCATTTTTAGGCCTCTTATTTTTCTTATGGAAAATAATTTTCAATGTAAGACATACTAAGTTATATTTTATTAATTTAAATATATTAATGAAGTGTTATATTTTCACACTTCTGAATTTCGAATGCAACTTACAAACAATGATTTTTATAAAAAGCATTTGGCATATTTTTATTGGCAGCTTATTTCTTTCCTGTTAGGTTACATCTTATGATCAATGGTGCCTTAGAGTCAGTGAACTATGAAATTATTACTTTAAACAAATTTCCCAATGTAAGTAATATAAAAGAAGTAATGGTTATTTTAAGATTTGTGAATTTCCATAATACAAATATTTCTACACATAAATATTTTGGGAAGAGCATATCACACAGTATACAATTTTAGTATGCTACTAACAAATGTGAAATCCAGGCAAAATAATACACAAATGAGTATACATGATGCACAAAATAAGTGGAAAATATAATGACTTGCAAGAGAAAATTCTTGCAAAAAATCTAGGGCTATCTATATTCTTTATTCCATTCTTTCTTCAAATTTGTTAGTAAATGATTTAGTAGCATTTTTGTTGTATAACACTAATTTTAAAAATACTAGCTAGGAACCACTTTTCAGCCTCAATGGAAAATCTAGAGAATGATGGAAACACAGTTATTAAACATAAATTTGAAGCCTTTATCATATAAACAATAAAATCCTATTGTGCCACTAGTAACAGAAGTAGTATGAGAAAATCCTTTAGAAATTATTAATCACAATGATAAATAACAAGTTTTAGGATACTAGCCACAGATTATAAAAATGTCCACTTTAAAAATTATTTTCTAAGTTATAATTTGACACTGTTTTAAGCATAATTATGTCAGAAACAAAGTTTAGTATTCATATAGCCCTGCAAAACATAAAGAAATTAAGAAGTTCTTTGAACAATGTAGGCAAAAGTATATTACTGATGCTAATCAAACTGACATTGTTATCCTTTCATAGTGTAGAAAATACCAGAGTAAGGGGGAAAAATCAGTCTTATGATCAATTCATCTGCATTTCAAAATCAAAGCATTCTTTTCTGTATTGGATGTTATGATACAATTTTTTAAATATTATTTTATTATCATGCAAATTTGTCATTTTCTTTCCAGCATTATAGGTAAGTACTTCTCAAAGTTTAATGTTCATAAGTATTACTGACAGTTGTTGTTAAAGTGCAGATTCTAATTCAGTATAGCTGTGGTAGAATCTGTAACTGTTTCTAACAGACTCAGAGATGATGCTGATGCTAGTGGTTCACAAATTGCACTTTTAACAGCAAGATTCTGGATGACATAAAATTTGAAGAATTATATTTAAATTAAAATATTGCTACTTTGTAAAACTTACAAATGAAAGTTACTGATAAGTATATAAAACCTTAGTTTTTTTTATTCTAGAATCTGTTATTATTCTCCTAAGGTATTGCAAAGTATTTGCAGCAGTAATTTATTAGACTTATTTTTGAATACACTTTTAGCTCTTAGTATATATTTAACTTCCTCCAAATCAGTTATTAGAACCTATATATATGAAAACATATATATAAAACATGTATATAAAAACATAGAACATTTATGAAAACATAGATTCTCAAAATTAAAATTTATTAAATAAACAAAAAATCTGTAATATAAATACTATCAAGTATAGCAACCATTTTATACAGAAAATGAGTATTGGATTAGAAAAGCATTGAAACTGCTACAAAGGAGTTTTTATGAAAGCCCATGGTGTATTTTATAATAAAAATATACATTTTAGACTTGTTCCTAGTCCTTATAGTTAAAATTTGTTTTTATTATTTTATGTTAAATAATTTGACTTGTATAGTTTATACAGAATGTTATAATATTGTTATTAAGAAGTTACTAATATAGTAACAATATTTTTACTTGAGGAAGACACTTTTTTCAGTTCACAAAAATATTGTAGCATATGAAGGTGTTCTTCAAAAATGTAATCTCAATCTGCCAATTTTCCATTTGTACCCTCACCCTCATTGCAAGTATTTTTGGAATATGAGGAATCACTTTTTAGATGAAAATCTTTCACATCTTTCACAATTGTTAAAACCTTTTCATATCCATTTGTTGGGAAGATGTGTGATAGTTTAAAGGTAACAATCTATACAGTAATACTTAAACTGAATTTGCATTATGTTCAACACAAATGTACTTACATGCATTTGAAAAATGATGATGTAAGTCTATATAATATACAGTCATGTGCCACTTAATGGCAGGGATAGGTTCTGAGATGTGCATTGTTCAGTGATCTTGTCATTGTGTGAACATTATACAGTGTAAGGACACAAACCTAGATGGTATAGCCTACTAGACCCCTAGGCTGTGTGGTATAGCTTCTTGCCCCTGGCTACAAAGCTGTACAGAGGTTGCTGTACTGAATACTCTAGGCAACTGCAACACAATGGTAAGTATTTATGTACCAAAATGTATGTTAACATAGAAAAGGTAGAGTAAAAATACAGTATAAAAGATTTAAAATGGTATACCTGGGTAGGGCACTTACCATGAATGGAACTTAAAGGACTGGGAGTTGCTGTGGGTGGGTCAGTGAGTGGTGAGTGACTGTGAAGCCTGAGGACATTACTGTACACTACTGTAGACTTTATAAACACTGTGCACTTAGGCTACACTAAATTGATAAAATATTTTTTCTTCAACAATAAATTAGCCTTAGCTTACTTTAATTTTTTTACTTTAGAAACTTTTTAAAATTTTAAACTGTTTTACTCTTTTGTAATAACACCTAACTTAAAACACAAACACATTGTACAGATGTACAAAAAAATTTCCTTATATTCTTATTCTAAACGTTTTACTTTTTCTAAAATTTATTATTATTATTATTTAAGCTGTTTTGTTGGAAACTAAGACAGAAGCACACACATTAGCCTAGGTCTACTCAGGGTCATGATCATCGATTTCACTGTCTTCCACCTCGACATCTTGTTTCACTGGAAGGTCTTCAGGGCCAGTAACACACACGGAGCTGTCATTTCCTATGATGACAATGCCTTCTTCTAGATGTCTTCTGAAGGACTTGCCTGATGCTATTTTATAGGTATCTTTTTTTTATAAGAAGGAGTACACTTTAAAATAACTATCAAAAGGATAGTAAATACATAAACCAGTAACAGTAGCTTATTATTATCAAGTATTATATACTGTACATAATTGTATGTGCTATAGTTTTATACCACTGGTAGGCAGGGTAGGCAGCCCAGTAGACTTGTTTACACCAGCATCCCCACAAACATATGAGTAATGTATTACCGTATGACATTAAAATGTCACTAGGTGACATCTTTCAGATCCATTATAATCTTATGGTACCACTCTTTTCAGAGGCTGCAAGTAATTGACATGGTGTACTTTTAATCAGGCCTTTGTTTGCTTTGAGGTAAAGAAAATAGTGTGATTTCCTTGGTCATTTATTACGTCAGAAAAAAATATTCTCATGATTACAAATCTTTATCCAACAATCAACTTCTTGTACATGGAAAACATGGTTTCCTGAGGAACAACTTGCAGAAAAATGTCCTATTCTTTTAAGCCTGGGTCTTATCTTTGAACCTCCAAACAATTTTTAGAAATCCAAGATATGTCTATGCCTTTTGGCTCATTAACTCAACAAATCTGGTTGATCTCTATGCCAGGCATTGTGCTAGCTAGTGGGGATTCCCTGAAGAACAGGCAAGGCAACAGCACACAGCCACATGTCTTCAGTGACCTGGACACTATATTCTTGGCTTCAATGGTAAGATGACTTCCCCTTCAAAAATATCAGTCACCCCTCTCTCTTACTTATTGGACGAGACTCCTTACACAGAGCAGCAGTCACTCCTAGTCTTAGCTCAGCACAGAGCTTCCTGAAGAGATTTATATTGCAGTTTGCTGTTCTGTCTCTGTATAGTTGGTGGCAGAAGAATTGTAAAGAATGGATCCAAAGGCATAATTTTTCTAAACAGATGAGCCAGTGATGTCTCTTAGTACAGACACAGTGTTGTGAATGACAGATCAGAAGCACCAATTGCTCTTTTTAGTTTGCAGTGTAGATAAGCATATTTGCAGTGTGGTTTGGTGGAAAGAGTTTGGACATTAGAAATCTTTCTAATTCTGTCATTTACTGACCGTAAGACAGGGTTTCTCTGGGCCTCAGTTTCTTTATATGATATATGGGGATAATATTTCCTGGCTTATACAGTTATTTTGAGTATTATTCAGAAATAGTGCAGGGCTGCAATAGTAGATATTAATAACTATGTATGTAAATATGTACATTTTATATTATAAGATAACTTATAGAATCAGTGTGGATTAACTTGGACAGAACTCTACTGGCCAGGGGTGTGCTTAAGTTTTTCTATAAAATACCAACTTTTTAAGTAATCTCTCTAAACTGTGTGTGTGTATGGATATATGTGTGGGTGTGTGTACAACACACTTGCATATAGCTTTTTAAAACAAAAACTGGTAGAAGAAATGAACAAATCCAGGGTGTCCTGAAGCAGAGCTTCTGAAAATAGCACTTCAGAGGCTTGAAAGAACCTCCCTATATATATGTTATATATTGCCTGGAAGGGGAAAGGGGGATAATTTATCAAAAGAGGAGGCTTTATTGTAGTGCTTGACCATTTCTTTCCTTTTGCATGAAGCCAGAATAATTTTCTTTTAACCTCTGACCTACCATTCTACTAGCATGCTATTTCTATGTTCTGTAAAGTAAATAAATATATTAACACTCATAATATTTAATGTAAGCTGGTTACCTAATACTTATTATGAAATCATTGCACTTAACAGTTACCAAAATGTAGCTTTCCTTTTTTGTTTAACGTGGAAATTTTTAAAAACCCATTTCAGACCTAAGAGACACCTCAATTTTTATATCTGTCACTGGCTTTTGTCCAAATGTCATGTGAAGAATTTATTAATATTACTATAATACTTCAGAGGACTGTGGAATGTACATTCTAGGCAGATTTTTTAAGCTCTGTGGGGGGAAAGGGAAAGAGCAGAGATGATGGTGTGATGGAATTCTCGTCTCTGTGGGAGGGAGGAAGAACGTTTTCTTTATGCCACTCTTTCATGCTGAGACTCTCCACCACAGTGCCAGGGGCATGCTAACACAATATTAAGTCATCAGTTCCTAACATGGGCTACTCACATCTTTCTGAAGACTCAGAAGGAATTTAATAAGGATTCTAAAATGTATTTATAACAATAAAAAGTAGAGAGTAATATATTTTATAAATTAATTTATCGGGCAAATCAGAACTATTTTGGTACAATAAAATATTGCATGCTTAACTGTTAATACTTTTATGTGGCATATACATAATTTCTTGTTTTTTTTTTACAGATATTTTGGAATATTAGTTATCATTCCCTATAGATATAATAAGAGTTTTATTTACTGTTTTTGAAGTTTTTAAGGTAATGAGAAACTGACATAACTGATGAATCACAGACATTGGAAGTAGTGTCTAAGGTTTTAAATGAAAATTTTCTCCAATGCTTATCCATTTAAGAACATTTCATTTTTATCTTAATCACCAAGTTCAAAAGTCTTTGCCTAGTTCATTCTCCTTGACCTATTTCCAGCATTTGTTGAAGTTTTCTTCCCCTTTCTTATTGAAACCTCACTCTTCCCTGGGCTTCTGTAACACATTCCTCTCTAGATGTGCTGATTATTTCGCTATTGTTCCTCAACTCCAAGAGGCCCTTTTCTACTGTTCTATGAGGGTGGGCATGGGAGTCTTCAGATAACATTTCCCAGACTTCCTTATCAGCTGGCTTCCTGTTACGTTCTGCCAGTAGGGGGCATGAAAGGGAGGTTGGAAGGTGAAAGGATAGACAGGACTTCCCTTCTGTTTTTCCAGTTTCTATCAGCATTGTTCCAGCAACAGCAGACAGTCGGCTCCAGCCTCCAGAGTCTTTCACCACTTGCAGCCTCAGCCTTAGCGGGAACTAGAATGTGGTTTCTTTAAGGCTGGAGTATGAGATGCCCCAATGTTTCCTCACTTACTGAGGCATACACTCCTGGACTTCTGCTGAGCGGTTCCCCCTCCACTGAGTTCTAGCACCTACCAGACTAGCTCTGCCACCCGCAGCCTGCAAATCAGAAAACCAGTTTCAAGAGCTTCCCCCAAAGCACATAGCACCAACTCCATGGGGACCCTCCTTCAAATCCTGTGTTCCACTGTTACCACCTCTTCTCCTTTGTTTACCCGGCCCTAGGGACAGTGGCTGTAATTATTAATCTTGGGTGACCTCAGCATCCTTTTACTGCTCTTGCGGCTCCCTATTAACCAATTCCTTGTATCAGATTGCATTTTAGAAATACCTCATAGGCACTTCGTATTTCACTGATTGGTTGGATAGTTCTCGCTTTGCTCTATTTCCTCTACCGGATCTTTTCTCACCCAGGTTTCTCTTCTTGGCCTATTTGGCTGTGTGTGTACACTCGCCATATCAGAGATCTGATCCATTCCTTCAGCTTCAAGCCTTGCATGTCTAGTAGTTCATATCAACAGTTTACTCTATTTCTGCTGGGAGTTTCTGTCAACTCATCATACGTAATAGAACGCTCTTCTCTCACATACCATTTCCATGCTTCACCAACTTCCCCTTCTTCACACTGGCTTTCTCCCATCAGTGGTACCTCAATAGTCCCAGTCAGGGAGACTCATAATTTTAGAATGTTTAAATTCCCCCTTCTTATTAGACCTTCATATTCAGTAGTAATAGTAGCATCTAGATCAGGGGTTCCCAAACCCCGGGCAGTGGACCACTACTGGTCTGTGGCCTGTTAGGAACCCAACCGCATAGCAAGAGGTGTCACATCAGCGGTAGCATTAGATTCTCATAGGAGCACAACCCTACGGTGAACTGCACATGCGAGGGATCTAGGTTGTGTGCTCCTTATGAGAATCTAACTAATGCCTGATGATCTGAGATGGAACTGTTTCACCACGAAACCTCCCCTCTTCCCCCTCAGTGGAAAAATTGTCTTCCATGAAACTGATCCGTGGTGCCAGAAAGGTTGGGGACCACTGATCTAGATTTCTCTTTCACAGTATATTTTGTATTTATCCTTTCCTTTCCCCTTACTGACCACCACCACCACCCTATTTTAGATTTTCATTGGCTTCATTCTCTGGTAACTAAAATAAAGCCCATATTGGTTTGTTTGTTTTCACAATGATTCTCATCTGTACATTGCTACAAGGCTACTTTCCATAGGCCCTAAAATCACCATCTACAAACTTTCAGTGGTTCCCTAAGCCCACAAGATAAAATCCAAACCCCACAGCTAGAAATCTCACCTCAATAGAGTGTTTGGCCGTTTCTCTCACCACTGCCCCCAGTTACAGCAGTCCCTCCTCATCCACCGTTTTTCACTTTCCTCAGTTTCAGCTACCTGTTGTCAACTGTGGTCTGAAAATATTAAATAGAAAGAAATAAATAATTCATAAATTTTAAATTGAATGCTCTTCTGAGTAGTGTGATGAAATCTTGTGTTATCCCTCTCCAACCTGCCCGAGACATCAATCATTCCTTCGTCTATCAGATCCATGCTGCCTAGCCTACCTGCCCATTAGTCGTTAGTCACCTAGCAGCCTTAGATCAATCCCTATTAACTTGGTTATAATATTGACTGTTGCAGTATTACAGTGCTTGTGTTTAAGTAATCCTTATTTTACTTAATAATGGCCCCAAAGTGCAAAAGTAGTGGTGCTGGCAATTCGGATATGCCAAAGAAAGGTCATAAAGTGCTTCCTTTAAGTGAAAGGACTTAAAGAAAGGAAAAATAATTATGCTGAGATTGCTAAAATATATAGTAAAAACAAAACTTCTATCCATGAAGTGGTAAAGAAAGAAAAAGAATTCATGCTAGTTTTGCTGTTTCACCTCATACTGCAAAGGTTATGACCATAGTGCATTCTGAATGCTTAGTTATGATAGAAAAGGCATTAAATTTGTGGGTGAAAGACATGAACAGAAAATGTGTTCCAGTTGACAGCAATCGGGTGTGGTGCTCTTTAAGGTTTTAGGCATCCACTGGGGGTCTTGGAATGTATCCCCAAGGATAAGGGAAGACTACTGTAAATCTTTAGGAAAATTGGTTTGCTCTATGACTTTCTATTTTCTCTCTCCTTGTCTCTTTATATGATGCACCCAATTCAACAAAGCTCTACTTTTTGAAGTCTTCCAAGGACATCCCAAACAGAACTGATCTCTCTCCATGAGGGACTATTTGGCACTACTCATGAGTTGCATGCAATATTATAGTGAGAAAAGAGGAAAGTATATATTTAATCAATAACAGAGTATCATATTGCTAATCATGTTCTGTGTGTGATGACCCCTAGGATGTATCTATCCAATGTTAGTTGAATTGACTAAGAGACAAAAAAAAAAAAAAAACCCTCAAAACTAACAATTTGTTTTGAATTCTTGACACTGATACGAGCGTTTTATGAAATTCTAAAGTCACTGAATTGATCACCTTTATTGCCTTAATGTTTTGTAGAGGTATATTTAGTACTTCTTAAAGACACAAAATGTTTTGGGGAACTCTTCTCTTGAAAATTTCCCTGCCATACGTCTTCCCTTCCCCTCCCTGCCCCTCCCCTCCCCTCCCCATCCCCCACCTCTGCTCCTCTCCCCTTCCCTTCTCTTCTCTTCCTTTTTTCCTTCCACTTTTCCTCATATGTTGTAATTCTTGCTCCTGAAAGTCAAGGTTCTGAGTGTCAGGTTTTATTATTAAATCTGATGGTGTCAAATTTTATGATTAAATTTGACCCATCAGATAAATTTCAGGTTTTGTAGGATGTAGGGCATGTAGCAAAAGAAAGAGGTCTACAGGGAACAGTGCATGAGGATGTACTATTAAAAGAATATCACGTGAACAATGTGAAACTGCCTTGCCTATACTTGTTTTAATGGATTTCTATAATCCAACCCTCAACAATGTATAGACAGTCAGAGGAAATATTTACATATGGGAGGCCTCCAAATAATGGGAACGAAATTTTGAACTCTGTAGATTAGGAAAAAATGTGACAACAACATCTTAGTATTTTTCTTTAAGAGAGCTGTATAACTGTAGAATTTTAATACAATTCATGAAAATGACTGAGTTCCTATTATGTTTAAGGACAGTAACTTATAAGCAGAGGTAATGAGTCCCCATGGGTGGCAACTCTACAGCTCTCACAGTCACTAATTTTTACAATTAATATTTTGAAAGTCAAGATGATCTAATTGTGTCTGGTAATTTTATAAAAAATAATTATTTTATATAAACATATGTCTAATAATTAGATGATCAGCCCAATAATAGCAGGACCCTCAAGAAACATATAAATCAACAACAAAAAGTGTCCTGCTTTTTTTCCTATTTGGTCTTCATGGAAAAAGAGAGTAAATGATAAATATTTTTCTCAATATCTTTCATATACTTGAAGTTAGCCAATAAGTCTCCTAGTCATACAGTGAGCCTGTTCCCTGTTTACTGAAAACAGTTCCAGTGCGGGCCTGTTGTCTTGGCAAAGTCTGTAACAGCCACCCCCTTCATTCTCTCTGAAAAGTTTCCCAGATTTAAAAATCTGGCAATTACATGGTCAATCTATTTACTAATCTGCTCTCACTCGTGCTAAATAATTCAACATTTAAGCCCATCTTTTTATGACCATCTTCGTTGTTTTTTTGTCTAAATCATCTCCAGTGATTATGAAGTAGGTTGCAATTTTCAATCCGTAACAATTTAGAGACATTTCAAAACCAAAAATACCTGTTTTCAAAGAAGATAGCATCAGATCCTATATGGGAATCCATAATTAAGGAGTAGTTGCAGGAATGGAAGTGTTTTTAAGAGTGATGGTGCTTGGAGGGAGAGAGAAAGTGTGCTGCTGAAAGGTTTATGATAAGCAAATGAATTCTAGTTTCAGAAATCAAATACCACCTATTTCAACTCCCATCAGAGGTTCAGTTGGAAATAGAATCCTTCTTTATTTCCTGCCCTACACTGTCATGTTGTTATGGGCCATGCACTGTTTAAACAGCTGCGGAGGCTTACCTCAGGGGTGACTAAATTGCCCTGGTGGTGTTGATCCCTGTATGGAGCTAAAGCTAAAAGGAATCTTGCTCATTTGCAGAATGACTTAGGAATTGGGGGGTTATGCTGTCTGAGGATAATGAGTTAAGGAAGTCTAGAGAATGTGAAGTATTAGGTAGTTCTAGTTTCCTCACTAAACTTAGTGTCAGACTTTCTCTTTTCAGTACAAACGAAGAATGAAAACCAGCATAGGCACAAATATACAAATAATAAATTACAAAAGAAAACTAAAAGATTAATATGAACTCGAACTCACATTTGAGTCTCTGGTACAAGAAAGTGGGAAGTTGTCACTTGCTTATTTTCTTTTTCTGCAGTTTTCCATTCTCCTTTTCTAACCCTGTCTGTATTCCTATCACTCACATTCAGTATGCTTGTGAATGATCTCCTCATATTCAAATATTCCTTTAGTCCAGTGGTTCTCAAAGTGCATTACAATCACCTGAAGGCCTTGCTGAACCACAGATTGCAAGGCCCTACCCACCCCCCCAAATCTTTTATTCCTCAGCCTTAGAATTTGCATTCCCAGGAAAGACTGATACTGCTGGTCTGAGAGACCACACTTTGAAAACCAATGCCTTAGCAATTCAGCGACTTTCTAAAAGTCACTGACAAAAGTAAACTATTGAGAGAAAAACAAGGAAATACAAATGCATTATTTGGGAAGATACAGAGGAAAGAGAAGCACTGGCTACCTGCACTGGGCCCATGAAAGGGTCATCACCATCTTTCCCTGCATAATCTTGTGCGTCAAACCTCTGGCATCCTTCCAAATTCATTGATTCTTAGGGAGCACAACTCAAAGCATTCTGTTCATTAAATTTGAGTTTGTTGATCTATTAAGTGAATTCATGGATTTGAGAACATAAGAGTAACATTGTAACTATTGGATTGTAAATGTTTGGTGATGTAATAAAAGCTGTTGTGAATATAACACACATAAAACAACCCTTATAGGCATTAGAAGATGGTGACCTGGTTTTGGTTTCCCCTAGAATACCACATCAATAATGCACAGGAGCAGTGTTGACTTTTCTGTCAGCACATTACTTGAATGGTTTTGCTGCTGTGTATGTGTCAAAGTATTCGACTTATTCCAACATACTGACTTTGTCTTTTGGTTTATATTTCTTTTTGTTTACTACATTTCAATCTGTATTTATCTTTTTAGTCATCCTCCTTTAATCTTATTATATATTAATCTCAATATTCTTCTAATTTCACGAATTATTACTACCTCTGTTTTATTTACCTTTGGTGCTCAGTTATTTTTTTCATCATGACTTTATCTTGCCTTTTTCGTCTCCTCTACTCATATCTTTTTCAGAATCTTTTTACAATACAGTGGAACATCTAGTTTATTTTCTTTCTCTTTAGCTACAACTCATCTTATTCAAGAAAATATTTTAAGACAACTTTCAATGATATACACAAAACCCAAAAATATGTACATAAATTTAAAAGTCAAGGCCATGAAGAACATAGAAAAGCAAATTCAGGGATAATTTAGAACAAAGAATGCATATTGTAAATGCTGAAATAAATGTTAATTAATAAATTTAACTCTGAGCTTCTTGGTAGTTGAAATGAAAGGAACTGTGATGCGTACAGGAGTCATATCATCACTTAAGGAGAAGGCACATTAGTTAATTGTAGGATCAAACACAAAGGCCCATGTCTTTGAATGGGTTTTTGTGTAGGAAATTCTGTGTGATGTAGTGGATGATATTTTAATAGCATTATTAATTACCTATGGTAGTGCATTTCATAAACATGTTTCAGGATATCTATTAATATTAATATAAGCTGAGGACCAAGTACAACAAAGTAAATATCTTGTTGGAAGCTAAGAAAGGGTCTAAATAGGAAGCTTTTTGATAATGTAGACTGATTTAGGGGTTAAAAACTTGGATGTCTAGAGAGAGACAGTCATTTTATCCTTCAAAAAAGTCTCCAGAAATTCCCTTCAAATGGCTTCTGATAGAAGTTAGCTAGCAAACAGTTTGGAAGCATGTTCTCTGGCAAGGAACAATTTCTTGTTACTGATTAAAGACAGACTCTATATTTAAAAAATCAACCAACCAAATAGAAGGGCTGACAACCTCTTTTGAAAACTAGACCAAAAATCCACACTACTTCTTGAATAGATGGCCACCCAATCTCCACATCGAAGTGGGCCAATAGAGTAGGCAGGTCCAAGAGTTTACTAAAGACACAGTTTCTGTAGCTCTTTTTAGCATATGAACAAATGAATTATTAAGTCTTCAAAGTTCTTCACTATAGTATGTGACCAAGATTATTTACACTGAAACATTTCCAAAGCATGGGTTACCAGCCACCCACTATGGCTATAGAAACCAACAAAAAACAAACAAACAAAAAACTAACTCATCAAACACATTGATAGAACATCTGGTTTTAAGAGACCGATTTCCTTGGTGAATCTGCCAAGATAGATTCATTGCAAATGTACACTTAAGTAACTAAATAAAAGAATTAATTATCTTGTTATATAGTGTAGATATAATCAATTACATTTTGGAAGGTAACTTACCCAAGAAATAATTTAGGTTTTAAACTGAATAATTTTAGGCACTCTTTTCTAGTAATAGTTAGCAAGCAGAACCAATTTCCCCTTGAGAGCCTTGATAGTTTGTGACACATAGTCTTGTCATAAACATATAGAAGGAACATCCCATTTTCAGTATTAGATATATTTGTGCTAATTCAACAAATCAATGAAATATGTAAAAAGAAAGTGGGCAGAACTAAAACTCAGAAAGATTTTTGCATTCTTTAAAATTGTTATATAATTAGTTACTCTCCAGCAGATCTCCATAAAGTACCAGCCTCAGGACCAGAATATCACTTAGCTGGTATTGACCCTTGGTTTTTGCTCAGAGTAAAGGCTAACTGAAAGTCAACAAAAATATGCAATTCTGGACAGACTTTGTCACAAATGGACTCGGACAAGGATAAGATTCAACCAAGTTTGTAACATTGTTCCTTAGCAGAATAATCTTTCCCCAAATCTATTATTTCTGATATAAAATATTGGTCTAAGAAATCTATATGTGTAATTTGTCAAGGAGGAAACGGAAATGGAGTTCTAGACAGAATGTATATTATAATGATACATAATTTTAGAAATATTGTGACTTACACCTCTTTTGCTGCATTTCTTTTATTATTTTTCTGTTTAAGAAAGCTATTGCTTTGTTAATGGAACAAAAAATTCATGGTTGTAAAAGAGTTAAAGAGGTTGAAGTGACTGTGCCCAAGAACTGAAATGCTTTTCCTTTCTTATTTTCCATTCCACTGTAATCATTTAATAATAACCAAATGTCACTGAAGCTTGGGATACATGTGAATTGCATCAAAATAATTTTGCATAGAGGGCAATAAATTTTTGCACTTTTTAGGGATATGACATAAGAAAAGCCATGAAAATAACTGTGATAAACACTATGGTAAGTGAATTTATTTTCAAAGCAAGCACAAAGAGGGAAGAGCTGAAAATTAGTTTGTTTTGTGGAATAGGAATACTATTAAGATATAAAATGTATTATGCTTTTTGACTCCGAATGTAGCTTTTTGTTTTCCTATGTACATTTTATATATGCCACTGCTTTCTTGTAATAATTTACACAAAACATGTTTTTTTTCTTTTGAGCAATTCTAACTGCCCTCCTTTCCCCATGACAAGCCATTAATTTATTTTAAGAATAAGTGATATGTACTTGGTGAGAATGTAATCTTTCCTGCTTGTATAAATCTGTCTCAGATGAGCCTAAAGATACATGTGTGCATGAGTAGGACTCTAGGAAGAAAAAAAAAAGTCTTGCATCGGTATTGCTCCAAAGCTATTGCAAAAATAAGTAAATAAATAAATAAAAGGCATATTTCATCTCTCTGTGATACAGAATGGGCTCTACAGATTCCAGTGGACCCAGTAGGTCTACAAAGTTAGCAAATTTATTAAGCAGATAGAGAATTGCTCATCGAAACCCTTTTACTCCCTCCTCCCCACCCCTCAGTGGATTTTTTACATGTAGAAAAAACTTGTATGGTGGTCTTCTGAAAACTTGGAAAGACTCAGAAATCACTCCTTTCTCTGAGGTTGTCTCTTTTTTTTTTTTTTTTTTTTTTTTTGAGACGGAGTCTCGCTCTGTCGCCCAGGCTGGAGTGCAGTGGCGGGATCTCGGCTCACTGCAAGCTCCGCCTCCCGGGTTCACGCCATTCTCCTGCCTCAGCCTCCCAAGTAGCTGGGACTACAGGCGCCCGCCACCTCGCCCGGCTAATTTTTTGTATTTTTAGTAGAGACGGGGTTTCACCGTTTTAGCCGGGATGGTCTCGATCTTCTGACCTCGTGATCCGCCCGCCTCGGCCTCCCAAACTGCTGGGATTACAGGCGTGAGCCACCGCGCCCGGCCTGAGGTTGTCTCTTGAGATGTATTCTTTTCCTATCATGTGTCTGAGACGTAAATTTCCTGCATAATCCTACATACCATTTTATTCTTCCTTCCTTGAATTGAAACTCAAGCATGCCCTAGCAGAGTAAAAATATCGTTTGGCAAGTAGCTCATATATTGATGTTCTGAATGACATTTCTCCTGGAACTTGCTGGCTTCCAAACCATTCATTACATGTCAGAATACATAGCTCACATTGCATCATATTTATCTAAGAAAAATTCTATTGTTTATATCTAAAGGTAAATGAGCCAATCAACCCCACATCCTAAAACAGTACATTGTGTGCTTTCATACACAAATGAACTGGAACTCATTGGATTCAAATATAGATTTTTCATTGATGTGTTGACAAATAAAGCTTACCATTACAGCCAGAGATTCTTAGTAACTTACGTTACTATACAGAGTTCAGAAAGGTCAAATATTTGCCAACGGTCCCATCTGCATCTGAAAGAAAGGTCACATTAGCCCATTTATTTACTTTAATTTGGAGTACATACACATATAATACTTGTATGTTGACTAGTATTAATTTAGATGGAATTTTTACAGGATAATAATTTGAAATTAACTACTTTTGAAACATTGTTTTATTCAGCATTGAAAGCTTGTTTTAAAAGAATAATTCAGGTATAAAATAACAACTACTATCAAGGCACAGAAATTGTACAATTCTTTCTGATGAGATGTTTAAATTTGTTTGGCCTTGAAGATTCATTTAAAAATTTAAAATTGTCTGATTTGTAGTTTTAGCCCCTTAGAAACTTCTCTGTGCCTCACATCAGTGGTACCTAAACTTTTTGGCACCAGGGACCAGTTTCATGGTAGACATTTTTCCACAAACCGGGGGATGCAGGGATGGTTTCAGGATGATTCAAGCACATTACATTTACTGTACACTTTTTTCTATTATTACATTGTAATATATATATATATGTGTGTGTATATATATATATATATATATATATATATATATATATACATATAATTTCACAACTCATCACAATGTAGAATCAGTGGGAGTCTTTAGCTTATTTTCCTGCAACTAGACAGCCTCATCTAAGGGTGATGGGAGACAGTGACAGATCATTAGGCATCAGATTCTCGTAAGGAGTGAGCAACGTAGATGTCTTGTGTGTGCAGTTCACTATAGGGTCTGCACTCCTATGAGAATCTAAGGCTGCCGCTGATCAGATAGGGCATGGAGCTCAGGCAGTAATGTGAGTGAGGAGCGGCTGTTAAGTACAGATGAAGCTTCACTCCCTTCCCTGTGGCTCACCTCATGCTGTGCGGCCAGGTTGCTAACAGGCTATGGACCAGCATATTGAGGTTTGTGGACCCTTGACTCAGAGACATTGTAGTAAAGCCCGTTAATCTCGGTTCACTCTCTAAATTCATCAGTAAAAGGCACATATATAAGTCATAGCTTCTATATTGATAATCATGTGCCAAAATTATTTAGAGCTGAGAACCTCAATGTAAGCGCTAAAGCTGCGTAAATACTTCATTTGGTACAAACAGAGTGTTAATTTAGAAGAACAGAGAATATTTCTTAGCAAGCAATATGGAATAAGAAGAACAGGAGCTTCTATTTAGATCAGGTTTCAACATAACTACTATATCAGATATAGACTGCATTATTAATACCTAATTGTTTTCCTTTCACATTCTGATCATAAGCCAATCTCAACTGGCACCTTTATATTCTACGAATGCTCGCACCTTCTAGTGCAGAGACATATACACATTACTGACTCATAACATCTTAATGTTGAAAAAATAATGGGTTTTTAAATAAATTTCTTAATCTAATTTCCTTCAATTCAACAAATGGTCAGCGTCTAATCAGTTTTCTGTTGCTCGTAACAGAATACCTGAACCTGGGTAATTTATTTTAAAAAAAGAAATTTATTTCTTATAGTTATGGAGGCTTAGAAGCCCAGGGTTGAGGGGCAGCAGACCTTGGTGAGGGCCTTCTTGCTTGTGGGAACTCTCTGAAGAGTCCAGAGGTAGTGCAGGGTATCACATACCTAGAGGGCTGAGGGCATTAAGTGCTAGCTTACGCCTTTCTTCCTCTTCTTATAAAGCCACTGGTTTCTCTCCCATGATAATTCATTACTTCATTAAATCATTAATCCACTAATCCATGAATGTATTAATCCAATCATGAAGGTGTGATCATTAATATTGAGTGTCAAGTTGATTGGCTTGAAGGATGCAAAATATTGATCCTGGGTGTGTCTGTAATGGTTTTGCCAAAGGAGATTAACATTTGAGTCAATGGACTGGGAAGGGCAGATCCAACCAGATTAAGGGCCAGGATATAAAGCAGGCAGAAAAACATGAAACGGCTAGCCAGTCTCCCAGCCTACATCTTTCTCCCATGCTGGATGCTTCCTGCCTTCAAACATCAGACTCCAAGTTCTTCATCTTTGGGATGAACTGGTTTCCTTGCTCCTCAGCTTGCAGATGGCCTGCTGTGGGACCTTGTGATTGTGTCAGTTAATACTCCTAATAAACTCCATATATATACTAGTAGGATATATATATATATATATATATATATATATATATATACACACACACACACACACACACATACACATACACACATACACACACACACACACACACACATATATATATATGTATGAACTAGTGGGATATATATGTAAACTAGTAAGATATATATCCTACTAGTTCTGCTCCTCTAGAGAACCCTGACTAATACAGAAGGCAAAGCCCTCATGATGCAATCACCTCTTAAAAGCCCTACCTCTAAATACTGTCACATAGGAAATTAAATTTCACTGGAGTTTTGGAAGGGACATTCAAATGGTAACAGTCATTGAGTTCATTCCATATTCCAGGCAATGTTCTCAGGTTGTCAGTTACAGACATGAATAAGCCATGATGGTCCCTGACATTCAGTAAAAGAAACAAACGTGTATTCAGTTAATTATAATGCAATAAATACTCTACTGTTATTAAAAAATGCATAGAATCACAGGGGAAGAAATGATGCTTTTTCTCAGGTAGACTATTCAAGAATTGTTTCTCAAAGGAAAGAATGTATGTTGCATCTTGTTATGAATTAGTATTTTCTTTTATCAGGCAAGTATAAAGCATTTCTAGTATTACAATTCAGTAAGATATGAAAACATTTAAGTCTGTCACCTTGTGCAAGCAATAATTAAGAATCTTGGTATGATTAGAGTGTAGGAAATGTGGTAAGAAGAGAGATTTGTTGAGTGAATGAATGAGGAGTGGCATTAATTGAGGAATATTACTCAGAGGATCCTTTCCTTAATTGAGTGAAGACTACATGGACCCACTGAAGGTTTTAATTAAGATAAGGAAAGGACCAGGTTGTGTTCTGGAAACCCCAGCAGGCAGTCTGAGGCTGGATTGGAGAAGGAAAATACAGGGGAACCAGAAATTAAGTGACACAATTTATTTTGTCCAAAAATATCAAAAAAGGAAAATAAGCAGTATTTGATTACATTAAGCACATAGTTGTGATTAGATGCATTTTTTTAAGATTTATTTGGTGCCTTTTAACTGAAGAGAAGCTTGAGTTAGGGCTATTTCTCCTTTCATCTTTTCAGGCTGTATGCTCATGCAATAAAGGAGAATGATATTTTTCCCTTTATCTGCCTCCTGTCACCTGAATGGCTCATGACATATTATTTATCAGAGGCTTTGAAATCTTTGAAGAGGGATTTAATACAGTTCATGGAGTATTATTGTCCCTTTTGATCAGAGACTTCCCATATTTGTCTTATTTATGCTACTTTTGGATGAGGTCCTGCAAGATACCAGCTGTAGACCCATAGTGTGTATAGAATTAGGCCATACCCTGGGACCCAGTCTAGCAGAAAATTTTGCCTATCAACAACATTTCTTAGATGTTACTAAGGACATCAATTTCTGTAATGACAAATTTATTGAAAAATTTCTGGCACTTGGTGGTGTTTTACCGTGAGCACATAAATAATTCTCCCAAAGTAGAAAAGGTTATCTCTGTGGAAAGTGTTTTGGCTTTAGCAAGTTTTAAGATTCCTTTCTAGAGTTCTTGTTAATCAAAATTTTTACAACATGTGCATTGTTCATAGCTTTCAAATCATATGCTATATGAACATCTTATTTTCTGAAGTTCTGCTAATGCATATGTGTTTTTGGGCCCATCCTATATATTCTGGCTTTTAAATGAAGCAGATAGCAGGCAGTTGGGTGATTCCAGTAAGTGAGGCATCTTTGATATATGCTTGAAGGAAAAAGTGGAAAAAGTCAAGAGGTGTTGAATCTATTTTTAGTGTGGCAACACTTAGACTGGAGTTTCTTCCTTTCCATTTTTTGACTCAAATAAAACTACCTTTTCTTTCAATATCCCAGATTTGAAGAACCTGTAAGAATAAAATGTTTTAACCAAGCACTTTTGTTCTCCAGCAGCCCCAAAATGATTTATGTTTTCTTTGATGCAAGTCACTTAAAAATTGTAGAAATAAAAATAGAGTTTTAATGTATTGTTTAGGTATGTGTCATTCAGAAGCACAGTGCTTCCTCAAACATTACAAGTTCAGTGCTGTAATTACACACTTTATTAGCTGTTATACATTAAAATCTTGAGCTTTAAACAATTTGATTTTATGTTGGAATTAAATACATATCAACAAATGTTTAATTCTTTAGATCTAAGTTTGAAAAGAAAACTTTATACACCTGTCCACACCTTTATTTAGATGTTTATGTGTATATATGTGGGGCTTATTGTAGTTTTCAAATAATGTCACCAACCTAAGGATACACTTTTCCACATTGTAAGTTTGTACTAATCTGGAGTAAGAAGTCACTGTGTAACATTATTTCTCTGATTTGGCCTTTAGTTCACTTCTTTATTTGATAAATATGTTTGAATCCCCATTTCCTACTATGGAGTATATTGGACTTAAGCAATGATAAGTTAGCTGGATGGTAAATAATACCCTTGAAAAATGTCATTAAATCATTATTTTAAATATGTATGTTTTTAACTGACAAATATTGTATATATTTATTATAATGGAGCTAATTAATGTATGCATTGCCTCATATATTTATTAAACCATTCTTGAACCTACACAGTTAATAGTAAACCAAAATCCATCGGAAGTCAAGTTAGTCTATCAAACTGTAAACATTTGTTTTAGGCTATTGACTAAACATTAGATATGCAATGCAATTTTCATGATGAAATGACTAAAAGTTTATAAATTAAAAAATTACTTATGTTCAATAATCTAATGTTCTCATTATATTGATACTTATTTGTTATAACAAAGTCTTTCCTGCATTTTCAATATTTTTTCATAAAAAGTTGTGAGACATAAAAGTAGATAGACTAGTTAAAATGAGCCCCCTGTACCTACAATCCAAGTAGCATTGTTTTAAATATCAATTTTTCCCATCTGTGTTTTGCGGGGATGGGGTAGTGGATGTGGAGGTCTGTGTGTGTGCAGAATATAATATTTTAATTGAGGTTCTTGAGATGGCATCTAAGATTCAGCAGCCAAAGTCCTATTGGTTCAAAACATCTGAAAAATTGTTTTAAATTTAGGATGCAAATGCAACTGCACAATGATAATGACCTTCAACACATATCACCACCAACACTTGAACAATTTAAGCAAAGCAGGAAGAGGAGTGTGCTTAGTCCAGGATTAGAGTGATTAAAGGGAACCTGCTATACTTGTTTTATTCATCTGGTTGTTTGTAAATGCACAAGAAAGGTAAAAAATAGCTCACATTATGAACAACAAAAGTATATTTATCCACCATCCCACTCTCCCATATTAGCACTGAGTTCCCTGTTTATATTATTTGTACATGAAGAGCATACCATGTTTCTACTCTTAGCTCTATTTTCAGGCAGAGTGAGTTTCAGTTGATCAGCTTTCCCTACTCTCACCTGAGCTCCTTGTCAGCAAGCACAGGTATGTGAATGACCCTTGAACTCAGATGAGGACACTGCCTGTTGTAAAAATCACAAACTGATATACTTTTATATAAATCTAGCCCGTTAATCTTTTAGTGTGCAGTTTGAACAAAGTTCTTAAAACATTAACAGCCCACATTAAAAAATATGGAGACTTGACATGAAAACATGGATTGTCAACATTTTTAACTCTGATCTCACTGCCCTCACAATAGCCAAGTGACATCTATCCCGTTGAACAGGCACATTTTCTCTGGTATACTGCAGTTCCCACCTGGCCAGGGCCATTTATTCATGTTCTCTGTTAAAAAATCTTGAGTTTGCCAACCTTGGTCTACAACCATTAATAAACACTGTTCCCAACGTGTAAACTGACTGATCCAAAAGAGCAGACTTTCAAGGACAGAAGCCCTGTTCGTGACTTTGTAACTGGATGTTAAAATTCATATTTTTGACTAAGTAATACAGGCACAATAGATGTGGATTTCTAACATGTCTCTGCCTCTTGAGTGTCTTCCAGACCATCACTATGAGTCCCAGAAATTCCAGGTGGGCAGACCTCAAAGTTAAATGATATGAAGAAGAAATTTCCAAATAGATGACCCAGAACCAGTTAGATAGCTTTAAAACCCTTGAGGAGTATAAAATAGGATGTAAAAAAGAAGACATTTCTTTTTCTTAAGTTATATGAAGCTTTATTCATAATTGATACTGATTTATAGAATAAATGCACATAAATGGAAATTTATTACAACAAATAATATAAAGGAAAATATAATGCCACCAATCCAAAATGAAATGACAAGGTATAAAAACACAAATAAATATAGATCTGATTGAAGAACATAACTAATCAACTTTTCAAAATTGCCTCGTGGCTAAATACACTGTCTTTGCTACCAACCCAGGCAATTCCAAGCCCCCACTGTGACCATAGCCAGATTGTGAATGGCGACAATTCATTTAGTCTCTCTGTGTAAGTTACCCTTCTCTTTATAATGAAAGTAATAGTAGTGTGTGTCTCATAGATTTGTGAAGAACAAAAGCATTACCTCACGTATGCTCTTCATAGCAGTGATTCATATTTTGTATGTTTCCTCTAAATGTTATATATTTAACTCTTGGAAATCTCTTAATAATATTTAAAAACTACCTTAAAGATACCTGAGAGGGAACTAATTGTAAGTAGATAATATTGGATTTCAGCTGAAATGATAAATTCAGCTGTGCATCCTATTTCTATGCAAGATCCTCTGGCTCTGAACACAAGTATCAGTCTTGGTAAACAGAAAGGCCTCCAGAGATTTGGCAATAGGAATAATCTTCTTATCATAGAGTATATTTGAAATCAGAGAAGACTTCTTGAGTGTTTTCTAGGCCATCACTATGAGCCCCAGTGATTCTAGGTGGGCAGAGCTTAAAGTGAAAACTCCCAAGTACACTGGATTATCCACCATGCTGTGCTGGAGTCTGATCATGCTGATAATTACCATTTTTCTTCTTTGTGTGGTTGGCAAGTGGGCTAACACAAGCATCACCAAATATATATATATATATATATATATATATATATATATATATATATATATATATGAACTGTTATAGTATAGTTCATGACAAAGTAAGAAAATAGGAGGCCAGACACAGTGGCTCACACCTATAATCCCAGCACTTTTGGAGGCCGAGGCAGGTAGATCATTTGAGGTCAGGAGTTTGAGACCAGCCTGGCCAACATGGTGAAACCCTGTTTCTACCCAAAAATACAAAAATTAGCTGGGCATGGTGGGGCACTTATAGTCCCAGCTACTCGGAAGGCTGAGGTGGGAGGATTGCTTGACCCTGGAAGCAGAGGTCGCAGTGAGCCAAGATCATGCCACTGCTCTCCTGCTCTCCAGCCTGGGCAACAGAGTGACACACTCTCGCCAAAAAAGAAAAAGAAAGAAAGAAAGAAAGAAAAGAAAATAGTACAGTTGTCACAAAGAACAATCTTAAATTTAATTTCAAATATATCCATTACTATTTTAAACACAAATAGACTAGTTGTTCCTGTTAAAGTCAAGCATTATTCAACTATATTAAATTAGACATTTTTTCCAACAAACATAACTAAAACATGAGGGTTAAAGTAGAAAAATAAAAAAATACATTTTGTGTAATTTAACCAATTAATCAACTGGGATGGCCTTAAATGTATCAGATAAAATAAAGTATCAGATAAAATAAAGATAAATGGTATCAGATAAAATACTTGGTATCAGATAAAATAAAATTTAAGTTTAAAGAAGGTTGTAATTGTTGTAATTAGTGTTATTTTTGCATTTTTTAATGTTTACTTTTTAATATTATTTGATGGATAATAAATATAATCTGATTTTCGATAGATATACACACATTTATACACATACAAGTACATACACTGTGCACATATACCACCATTCTTTTGTAATGTTACTGTTATATAATTGTGCTTATAATTCTGTGAATCTATGGTAAATGAGTAAGTTAACAATTGAATATTGTTAAATAACATACAATTTAAATTTTTCTGATAATATGAAGGGTTTTTAAGAAATTTTATGTGGGAAAAGCAGAGCTTTAATACCCTAGAATCATAGTGCATAAAAATAAAGGGTCTAAGCATTAGGAAACATGCATCAGTTACTTCAGAGAGGCTTACCAGTAGCCAAGTAGAATTATTTGAAAGAGCCAAAGACAGAGGAGAGGGTATAAACAGATACAAAGGTGCTGGCCAGGACATGGATGCTTTGGGCAGCTCCGGATTCAAGAGAGGATCTAGGAGAAACGTCAGTCTTAGTAATATATTGGACCTGCCGCTTGTGCCTGTGCAGGATACATCCATGAAGCTTCTGGCGCAGAGCATGAACCCTGAACAGAAAACATCAGGGAATGATAATAATGCTGCATAGACTGAGTCTGTAGTTTTGTCATGAGCTATACCATAAGACATTTCAGAGTGCTGCTGCTAGTTGTCAGTCCCCTTTAATCCCAAAGGAGGACAGGTTAGAGTGTTACCTTCTTCACCTGAAGTCTATTGAAGTAATTCCATGGGATCATTCAAATGCTTCAAATATGTTCCCTATGATTAAAAGGCATCATTAGAAGATGCCTAATTCATGCCTTACTGAAACAGAAATAGAGATAGAGATAAAGAGAGAGAAGGAGAGAGAGACAAAGGCATAGAAACACATTATGTTTGGATAGTAACTATGCTTCTATTGAGTGTGGGGTAAACTGATCTCGTTAAACCAGATGTGGAATACCCATGCAAGAGAGGAGCGGTTCTAACTCTTCCTGAGAGGTGAGGGTGATGGACTCTGAAAGTGAGAGTCTGTGAGGAGTGGACAACAATTTCTTAGGAGGCAGGAATGAGGGTCCATGTGAGTGTGGGTGGAGAAAAGGGAAAAGCAAAGAAAAAAATAATGACACATTATATGGCAGAATTCACAGGTTCTACCCAGCTGAGAAGAAAGGAATATTTAATACTTTGCCAAGTTTAGATTTATATTACATGGGATTTGGAATTACTTACCAAATTGAAGTTGTTTGCAAATCGACCTGAAGAATGTTATTAACTGAACATCATCATTAAAAATATGTATGATTTCTTTTGTTCTCGTCAGGGTCAGGAGAAGATCAACACTATTAAATTCATTTTATTTTTATTTTTTTGATTGAAGAGATTAGTGTTTGTTTGTTTATTTATTCCCCCAGCATTAATGAGGTATAACTGACAAAATTGTATAAAGTATACAACATGATGATTTGAGACGTATATGTGTATGTGTCTCTCTCTCTAATATATATGTGTGTATGTATATATTTCACTATGTATATATATATAGTGAAATGCTTATGACAATCAAGTTTGTTAACACATATGTCACCTCACATAGTTACCCTTTTTCTTTGTGGTGAGAACATTTAGGTTCTCTTTTAGCAAATTTCAAGGATAGACTATAGTATTGTTAAGTATAGTTATCATGCTGTACATGAGATCTCCATAACTTCGTTTTCATAACTGAAAGTTTGTATCTTTGTCCAGCATCTTCTCATTTTCCCCAGCCTCAGCCACTGGCAATTACCATTGTACTCTGTATTTCTATGAGTTTTACTTTTTTACATTCTGCATATGAGATCATAGTATTTGTCTTTCTCTGTCTGACTTATTTGACTTAGCATAATGCCCTCAAGGTTCATTGGAAATGGATGAGCACTTACGTTGCTTTCACTTCTTGGTTACTGTTTTTTTTATAATGTAGAATTTTAGGATTTAGTAGCACCAGAACACCTTAATAGCAATCCCTACATGAAACTTTTGAATTGAGGCAATACAAAACTCATGTATGATTCAGACTCTTTCTTCCTCCGTAAAAGCCACCAACAATATTCCAGATGATAAGTTCTTTGTCATCCTGTGTCTTGAGTCACTGATGGTACAGAGATCTAAATTGATCTATGTTATATACATAGTATGAGTGATGTATAAACTTGTGTGTGTCAAACTATAGAAATTTGGAGATTTTGTTGTTACAGTGCTGTAACCTACCCCACCCTGACTAATCCACCTAGTAAAGTCTTACATTGAACAAGTACGCAAGAGATTTATTCACTTAAATGTACTGGAAAAAATTGATAAAACACAGTTGATTTTCCTGACTTATGGCCCACATCTTCTGAACTTTAGGAAACTTTAGTTCATGCATGGAGACTAAAAGAAACATAAGAGAGACATAAGCCCAAAAAACTGTTAATACAAAATCAACCTCTGTTAAATGTTGTAGTGGAAAAATAAAGGGCTCTGGGAGTAGAGTGAGGTTATATTAACTCTGCTTTGCAGATCTGAGAAAGACTCAAGGAGGATATATAATTAAATAATTAAATCTATGCCTAAATAACTTCTATTGTAGGCTCTTGGTTACTGTTAATAACGCTGCAATGAACATAGGAGTGCAGGTATCTTTTTGAGATACTGATTTTATTTTTTAGGGTATATACCCAGAAGTAGGATTGCTGGACCTTATGGTAGTTCTATGTTAAATTTTTGAGGATCCTCTATAATGTCTTTTATAATTAAATGAAAAACACTCCCACCAACAGTGCACAAGAATTTCTCTGTGTTTTTACCAACACTTGTTATTGCTTGTCTTTTTGATAATAGTCATTCTAAGAGGTGTCAGCTGGTAAGTTTTTGTAGCGTTAATTTGCATTTTCCCATGTACCTGTTGGCCATTTATATGTGTCCTTTGGAAAAATATCCACTCAAGTTCTTTACTCATTTAAAAAAATAGTTTTATTTGTTACTGTGTTATTGAGTTGTATGAATTCCTTGTATATTTTGGGTATTAACTTCTTATCAGATATAAGGTTTGCAAATATTTCCTCCCATTCTGCAGGTTGCTTTTTTCATTTTATTGATTATTTCATTTGCTGTGCAGAGCGTTTTTAGTTTGATGGAGTCCCGCTTGTTTATTTTTGCTTTTGTTGCCTATGCTTTTGGTGTCGTATTCAAAAAATAATTGCCAAGACAGATGTCAACAAGCTTTTCCCCTTTGTTTTATTCTAAGAGTTTTACTGGTTTAGGGGTAACATTGAATGTTAGAGATTGCTTTGGGTAGTATGGTCCTCTTACCAATATTAATTCTTCTGATCCATGAAGATGGGATATCATTCCACTTATTTTTATCTCCTTCAATTTCTTCATCAATGTTTTATAGCTTTCGGTGTAGAGATCTTTCAGCTCCTTGGTTAAGTTTATTCCAAGGTATTCTTATTTTTTGGTAACTATTGGAAATGATATTTTAAAAAATTTAAGATAGTTTCTAGTTAATACATAGAAATGCAACTGATTTTGGTGTGTTGATTTTGTAACCAACCACTTTACTGAACTTGTTTATTAGTTCTGACAATTTCTTGGTACCACCACTGAATATATTTTAAAGAGACACAGGACACAATAACAAAACTGTGCTTTGATTATGTCAGGAGTTATGCTTGTGCACTGTACTGGATACAAACAACACCAACAGCGCCACAACAGAAACAACCAGGCTCTGTGGAGAGGGTTGTCTTCATGCTCTTAGACCTTCTGGTTTTTGTGTACAGCTTTATCAATTTGCTGATAGTCTGATTATCCACTCACAGGTCACCACTATATTAGCACATCTTTTCTGTTATCTTTCAAACCTATTGAAACCATGATTGTCATTAATGTTCTCTGTTTTTTATACTACATTCTACTTTCCTCTAGTTTTTCTTAAAATCTTCAATTCTATCAACTTGCGGCTATTTTCATAAAACTAACTTCTGTTTTTACATTCTGAGCAATTTCCTTTTGTTGCCCAAAAGCACATCCAAGATAGGTATAAAGTAGAACAGCTTCACTTACAGTCACTTAGAGAAGATGATTGAACTCATTAACTGCTACCTTCCCATTGTCAGTGAGTTCTTGTCTGGGGATTTTATGACATGCTATATTGTCTCCATTTTATTTAAAAATAAAATGAAACAAGTATTTTGATGTATTATAAAATGTATCTAGATTTAGAGAAAGAGAAATAAATAAACATGAGAGGAATTGAAATTAATATGGATTAAATTAAATCCCAATAATTAAGGAGCAAGAGATAATCAAATTTGTTAGCATGTGAAGTACATCCTAAACAATTTCCTATGGTGGGGAAAAAAAGGCCTAACAGAAAAATGCAAGAATAATAAGTCACCTTGTCAGAACCAGTTGACACTTAATAATCATAAATTTAACTAATTGGGCTAGGTATGGTCGCTCACACTTATAATCCCAGTGCTTTGGGATGCTGAGGTGGGAGGATTGCTTGAAGCTAGAAGTTCGAGATTAGCCTGGGCAACAACGTAGTGAGACTGTCTCTCTAAAAAATAAAAAATAAAAAAAAATTCAGGGGTGTAATTAGCGTCTCAAATATTAAAAATTCATGTTACTTTATCAGTCAGTTTTTATTTATCAAAACCTCTTTTACCAAGTAGGAAGTAAAAAAAAAAAACACTATTGCTTAAAAATATATTTGTAGTACCTAAGGCAAAGGAGTGAATATAAGCAAAAAATCTGAGACTGATGATTCATTAGAACACTGTGAATTCTTTGGGAATAGAAATAACATTTATGACTCAGAGCTTAAGTAGACTGATATCCAAAAAATGACAGAAGAATGAAAGAATAAGTGAATTAATGAATGAACTAGTGAATGAATAACTCAATGCCTAACCTCAGAAATTTTCAATAATATGCATATATGTTAGATTTTACTCTCATCTCTGAGGTTAGTTCTTCACTTAATGGATTTACTTATTTTTCTATTTTTGAAATGTTAAACCTAGATTGATGAGATCTCAGAAACTTAGTCTAATCTTCTCATTTCACAAAAGAGAGACCTGAGGGAAGAGAGGTCAAGGTAACCCAATAGATTCTGGAGTAGAACCCAGGTTTTAAAATTTCTCAAACTGTATTCTTTGCACTGTAGCATTCATCTGAAAAAAAATGCAATAACTTTAAAAATATAGATTCAAAATGAAATTTTCAAAAATTAAATAGTAAACCATATTCAAGAATGATTTGGAAGCTTCTTCCATGGTGCTGGAAGTTAAAGGGGTTGTCAGATCTGATCAAGCACAGACAATGACCCTGATTTTATTTAACATTTCTCTTTTTGGGAAATGTGTGTTATCAAAGTTAGAAAGTTAGAGGGTGTAAGAGAATATTATCCTGAGATCTTAAGAACTGTGACAGTTAGAAAATTAGGGAAATTTAGCCAGTAAGTCTTCTAGAGAAAATGACTCAAATATAGGCACAGTTATTAAACATTCTCTTTTTGAATATTCTATTCAGAATCCTAAAAATAAAATAAGAAAAGTGATTTCTAATAAAAATCACTGCACTTTCATTCAAAAACTTAGAGTTGTTTAGCAAGTACCTTCATTCAGCATCATCTCAGCAGACGCTATTGGATACCTCTGTGGTATAATACAAGACTGACTTTGAAAACTGTCTACAGGTTGCTCATCATTTGAAGTAATTCGCATAATGGCAAAAAATACAAGGCTAATACTACAGTGTTTTCAGAAACAATGACTAACAATTGCAGGATATAAATGGAAAAAGTGCCATTGATGATAATGCAGGGGCTTTTAAACACTTGTAAGGGAGGCCAATTATAGTATCTCCTGCTACCTTCTGCCTTTCAGTATAACCCTACCCCCAGGAATGGGAACATGTATCACTTCCTCCAGAACAATTCCTTTCAGTGTAATCATGAAGAAAACCTCTTTTATGCAGATCCCCGACTTCCTTCCCTCTGATGTCCAGATCTTTGAAGCTCACTAAGTCACACAGCATTTCTGTGCATTGTTACCTCCTCCTCAATGAGGCTGTTGGGAAACACTTCAAACAGTCTGTTCCGGAGGGGTACCAAACTGGCAAGGGGAGTTGGGGGGAAAGGAAGGGAAATCAAGTCAATGCTTGCCAAACAGTGAAAAAAAAATGTAGGAGTTGGTGGTGTTGGTGGAGAGGGAGTAATTTTTATGCAGTCAAAAGAAATGGTACCTGAAAGAAATGTTTAATTCATTCTGAAGAAAAAAAAATGATTCAGGAGTTAAATGATTACTTGAAATTTGTGAAAGTTATAAAATGGTGTAAAGAGAATAATTTGAGGTGTTAATGTGAGGCCTGAAAGGGAGTGGAGATGGCTTTGACTTCCCTAAGGTTTTCAAAGGCTCTGAACTTCCTGAGACACCAGGCACTCAGCATCAGCCCAAGAGACAGCAGCGGCTGAACTCTTATGTGGCTACATTCATTCCAATGTAAAATCCTATGTTTAAAGTTTCTCTCAGTGACATGTTCCTTGTAATAAAAAATAACCATATTAAATATGTACAGTATAATGGTATATTGTTTTTAAACAAGAGGCTTTTAAAGGTTTACTGCAAGGCATCACCTATTCTTTAAGTTAAAATAATGTTTGACAGGTCAGTAATGAGACATAAAAGATTTTTTTTAACCAGACAATTTTGTACAAATAAAGGGCAGAAATAGAAACATCAAAGCTCAGGAACTGTGTACATTGCACAAAGCATTAAAAGTTTCTGTTCTCTTTAAAATTTTGACATATGTTTTGTAGTGAGGTTAGAACTATTAAGGGAATGCAAACGTTTGTCCAAACAGTTATTTTACCCCTCACGTCTTCCCATGTATGTGAAGGCTGCTTTGAAGTTTCCCAGAAATAAAGGTGAGTTATCAATGTGCTATGCTGGATAGAATTAGTATGAACAGAGAATCCTGATTAAGGCATGGAATATAGTAATCTATCAATTAAGTAGGTTTATTCTTGATTTAAATGGCATTTTGATTTCTTAATACAGGGATTCCAAGAGAAATATGTCCTCTTTAGTCATCCCAGTTCTTTTAGGGCTGAGAATTGCCAGAGTTGAGGAGCACTGGAAGTTAGTATTGGCTGATTGGCAGTCCAATTAAAAAAATGTGTGTGGAGTACTTCTCAACTGGTGGATGTAACTTCATAAAAATTTGCAAGAGGTTTTTCATAACAATTACATTTTTCTGATTGATCATTTATCATTTGATTTGTAGTTTTTTTTTGTTTAGCTTCAGCAGATTATCAGGATTTCTTCAATGAAATAAGATAGGTGTGATCATTTCTGAAATTGAGTGTGAACACTTGACAGAAATGCTTCTGTAGAGGAATCATTTTTAGAGTATATTATAGCTTAAGGGACAGGGTGGCTCTTTAGTTTTCTCATAATCAACTTTTCCTAATCCTGATTTCTGGAGCCAAAATATTCTTTAAATACGCAACATCTGACATCGTATAATGAAAGAAGCATGAACTTTGAAATCAGACAGATGTAGATTTACACCTAGTCTCTACTGCTTACCAGATGGGGGACTATGAGAATGTCTACAAACTTTTCTGAGATTTGGGTTCCTCATCTGTAAAACTGGAATAACAATACCAATTTGTGGAGGTTTATTATAGAAATTAAGGCACAATTTATGTAAGATTTAACATTTAACAAATAGCAGCTTCCCTATTCCACCTTCAACAGAAGGAGCACTGACTGGACAGACTTCCATTTGGGAGCCAGAAAGAAGCATGTTCAGGATTATAAAAGGCAAACTATTCCTTATCTTTATATTAGATGTTTATTTTGGTGGTTTCAAAACCTATCATTCCAAAAGCTTGAATGTTGGAATCAGAACAAATGAATGAAGGGATTATGTGGACTTGTTTCCTTCTACTCCTTCTTATCATTTCTAACCCCACCCCCAGCATGGCTTTAAAAATAAGCCGTTTGGGGGATCAGCATGAGCACATCAAAGGTGAATACGGATTTCTCAAACACAGCTTGTCCATTGCTGAATGTAGGGTCTTTTTCTGCCACCACCAGACATTTGAACTAAAAAGCTAGATTTCTCTTGGCCATCCTGGCACTACCCACAAACAGCCCAATTCTAAGAACTTGTACTGCTACCTTTAAATGAGTACGTTTTTCCTTTCTCTCTTCCCCTTTGTTTCTATTCAAATTTTGATACTCTTCAATTTTTTTCTAGATTACTGTCAAGGCCTCCTGGTTGGTGTCTCTTCCTCTGGCCTCAATATCATCCAAATACAATGCCAAGTATGTAACTCCCCTGCCTAGAACCATTAGATTGATATCTATAGCATCGAAAGTTAAAGTCTGAATTCCTTGGCTTGGTGAACAGGCCCTTGTGATGTGGCTCCAGCCTATGCCTTCAGCCTTACATCTTGCTGTGCCATTCTTGCTTCCTAAGCTTCCCTGGCACTGAATAACAGCCCATGCTGCTACTAAACTCTGCAGCCTTGTACATGATATTCCTTCTACTTGGATGTTTTTTTATCCTATTGCCACCTGGAAAATTTCCCAGTTCGAACCTTACCTTCTGTGAAATATTCCCTGACTCTCATTTTTTACCATTACCTAATCTTCAAAATCAGAGAGAATTAACCATTCCCCTCTCTGGACTCTCTGATTCAATGATTGCACTTACCGTATTGGATTAGATGTATATTCTTTTCCTGGATTGTCTATGAACTACATGAACAGTGAATATATTTATTCATCCTTGTGATCTCATAATACTCATATAATATCATAGATATCATTTAAGGCTGGTTGAGCCACTGAATTTAGGAGATAGAATCAGGCTACATGGATGTGGCAGTATAAGAAAGAGATAGATGTGATGAGTTTAGGTCACAATTGCAACAAGCTCAGTATTATTTAGCGTTATTTTGGCATGGTAATTTTATGTCATGCAAATCTATCAGTAGTTTAAAAAGAATAGTGAAAGAAAATTTAGTGCTAATGGTATATTTGCTTCAAAACGTCAGTGACTTTACCCTATAACTTTTAGAGCCATTGTAACAGTTAGGATGTGGCCTCACGCTCTTTGAACAAACAGGCTACAAATTGCTGTGGGCCAAAGAAAATATTGTATTTCTCATGATTTCATAATAGAAGTATTTGTAAAATATCAGGAGGTAGAGGAAGAGTGATTACTTAGACAACAGAATTAAAGAAGGCCTTGCAAAGGATTTGATAATTAGGTTGAAACTTGAAAGATGCTTAGCACTTTAATGGCTCAAAAACAGTCAAGAAAAAGACACTATTCTTAGAGGAAATGGTATGGGAAAAACTCAGTCATAAAACACATGCAGTGCCTGGGGCAATGCAAATAGTCTGGTACAATGAACTGAGAAAGCAGTGAGAGATGAGACTGAACAGGTAGGTCGGAATTCACATTGTGAACAGTTGAATATTTGACCTTATAAGAAGTCTTTCTGTGGCCGGGCACAGTGGCTCACGCCTGTAATTCCAGCACTTTGGGAGGCCAAGGCAGGTGGATCACGAGGTCAGGAGATCAAGACCATCCTGGCTAACATGGTGAAAACCTGTCTCTACTAAAAATACAAAAAATTAGCCAGGCGTGGTGGTGGGCGCCTGTACTCCCAGCTACTCAGGAGGCTGAGACAGGAGAATGACCTGAACCCGGGAGGCAGAGCTTGCAGTGAGCCGAGATCGCACCACTGCACTGCAGCCTGGGTGACAGAGCAAGACTCTGTCTCAAAAAAACAAACAAACAAACAAAAAAAAACAGAAAGTCTTTCTGTGATGTCCCAAATGAGAAGCTATGTGAGGCTTTTGATCCAAGTGGTGATGTGACGCTAGTTATAATATTGAACGATGCTTCAGATGGCTGTGAGTGGGAAGAAAGTGTCCACTACTCTATGTCTCATACGGCATCCTGGTCATTCCTATACTATATAACCGGGAAAAGGGGGTTTGTTATGCTTAAAAGTTAGATTTTTCTAAATCCTGATAGAGAGGAGAGTTATTTTGTATGGTATAGCATGAAAGCTGGAGTAAGTTTGCATTCCCATCCCCATTCAAACATCAGAACACCTCGGAGAGGCACAGGTCAGAAGGTAAAGTGTCTCTCCTTCCAGGCTCAATGTGAAGAGCAGGATATAATTATCTTTATAAAATGAGACACTCCAGGAGTTGAATGGCTCACTTAAAACCCAAGCAAACTTAAAATGTCTGATCCCCAGTCTATCCACAAAAAAACCCTTACATGCCCCTCAGTCTATCCACAAAAAAAGATTTGGCTGCATACTATTTCCTTGGGGGTGGGGGAAAAGAATAGAGTATACATTTCTTCACACATCTAAAGATTCTTTTGAACTCATTCTTCTTATATCCCTACACACTTTTATTTGAAAGCTGCAATGCCCACAAATCCAGGCAGATAATTTACATTTTTGATGAAAGCAATTTCGAACGATTTTTTTCTCTGTATTTTTTGGCCAAAGTTTTTGGCAAGAGGGTGAGTCATAGACTCATAAAAGAGATATTTGGGTCATCAGTGATGTTACTATAACTCTGAGCCTATAACAGATTTCAGATTTTAGTTGCTTGTATTGTAACAGCTAAATACATATTATATTATTCCAGGCTAAATAAATTTAGTGGATATCACTTCTGTCTTTTATCTACTGGAATTTATTTCCCAAAGAAGAAGTGAAGCTCATGGGTTCATAGAAAGGAGACATCATTGTAGACAGAACACTATAAATTTTACAACATTAGGCCCATACGCAGCTTAGGATTTGGCTATATAGAAGAAATGTAAAGATGTTGCTGGTAGAATGGATAAAGTATGTAAGAAACAGAACACTTTCATTCATTCATTCATTCATTCATTCATTCATTCATTCACAGATATATATTCAGTGCTTTCTAGGTGTTAAACACAGAGCTGGGAACTTGGTAGATCTTAAGAAAGAATGCAAAATAAACCAGGAAAGATGTGTGATAGGTAGATGTAGAGGGCTTCACATCACTAGTTATCACATTATAATTTGTCTTGGAGGCAATAATTAGTCACTCAGGAGAGCACTGCATTTGAAAGACTAATCCAGAGGCATTGCCAGATAACTAAAAATGGAAGAGAAAGAAGGAAGGATAACAGTTAAGGGAGGCGCTTGTAAGAGTCTCAAGTGTGAGGGAGCAGAGGCTGTATTGGGTTGATGACTGAAGAATGAAAAGGAATGGAAAATCAGGGAGTATAGATCAAGAAAAAAACAGAAGAAATTAGCAACTATTGGGGATACAATGGAGGGAAAAGAAAAATATTTTAGCGGGGGCATTGTTGCTTAAATACTGTCTATTATAATATCTACCTTGGTACATTTCGAACACAGGAATTTCCTTTTTCTTATGATTTAATCACTACTATGCCTAATTAGGTCTAGAGTGGAACATGACTGGTTATCTGGAGAAATATATGAAAATGTAAGTGTATAATAATAGTTTTCCTTTCATGTCACTCTGTAAAAGAAACATGGGAAAATAGGTTTAAAAATAATTACTATAAACAATTTCCCACTATAAGGAGGAAGTAAAGTTTTTTAATCAATATACAGAAATCAAACATTAAAGATTATTTCTACATAATTGCCAGAAGATATATGAATATATTCTTTGCTTAAGACTGGACTACAAAAAATTTTAGGGGAAGATTTCCATACCAAGTTGGTTTAATAAGGACAAAATTAGTGGCAGTAAGCCAGATATTAGGAAAAATATATTCCTTTTAGGTCAAAAGACTTGCGCCTTTTTGCTGAGCTATCATTATAAATGATTTATTTAAATTAAGTATTGTCTAGGATGAAAAGTGTGAAAACCATTTTTGTAAGAACCACTAGAGATATGTTACCATACTGATTTGATAAACATGGAGCTCCTGGTCTTGGATAAAAGCAAATGGGAAGAGAGTTAATGAGAGAGAAAGTTGGTCAGGGAACTCAACCATGATTAGCAACATAGCAGGGTTTGAATCATGAAAGAATAGGCATATAAACAGGCCAGTTCCTTTCCAGAAGAAAGATGACAAGTGGGCCGGGCGCGGTGGCTCACGGCTGTAATCCCAGCACTTTGCGGGGCCCAGGCAGGCGGATCACGAGGTCAGGAGATTGAGACCATCCTGGCTAACACGGTGAAACCCCGTCTCTACTAAAAATACAAAAAGATTAGCTGGGCGTGGTGGCGGGCGCCTGTAGTCCCAGCTACTTGGGAGACTGAGGCAGAAGAACGGCGTGAATCTGGGAGGCGGAGCTTGCAGTGAGCCGAGATCACACCACAGCACTCCAGCCTGGGCGACAGAGCGAGACTCCGTCTCAAAAAAAAAAAAAAAAAAAAGATGACAAGTGTACTTGGGGTCGGGGTCTTACATAGCTGAGTGTGCGCCCATGTTCAACCTTTGTCTGAACCTGGTTCACATTCTTTTCGACACAGCACTACCCTCACCCCCAGATGAATTACATTCTCTCATAGCTACTTGCATTTCTTTTTCCTTTATAGCATTTATCAAAGCTAGTAATTGTCCATTTCTGTGATTATGTGATAAAAGTATGTTTCATCCATTGGCCTATAAGCTTAATAATAGAATCTTGGAAGAGACCCTGTCTGTTTTGCTCTCAATAGTATTCCCAGCAACAATTAAAATGTCGGGCACATGCTTTATTCCCGATAAATATCAATTGAAATGATTAATGTCTAACACTCATTCCTCCACATAAACGTCTATGTCGAATTGAAAAACTAGATGGAAATGGTCAGAATTAGGTATCTAATACTGATAATTTTGAAGAAGCTCAATGTTCAAATGTCAGAGAACAAAATGAGGCAACTGAAGTGGCAGATAACAACATTATAAGGGCTCATTGATGATCAAGTTAACATTTATCTATGAAAAGGGGCCCAGAAGTGACTGTGAAAATAGACATTAATCTATGTCATGTTCATGAAGGTAGTCAAATTAGTGAAGATTAAAAATAAGATAAGTGGATGTTTAAACTCCCAGGACAGCAATGCCACTAGCAAGGGGAAATTATACCTGATCCCATCAGATAGTCTCTTTAAAGGAAATTCATACATGACTGTGGATGAAGGATAAACTGAAAATGTAATCTATTTTTCTTCTTAAAAGCCTTTAAGAATGTTCTGTATCAAAGTCATTGGGAAAAACTTGTGTCACTATGAAACTGGGGAAAATGTTTTGTCACGAATAGGAAATTGGCTAAGAAATAGGAAATAATGTGTAGTGATAAACGGGTACTTTCTTGCTGGAAAAGGTAAACAATGAGGTTCTCAGGGATCAGGGCTGATATACCTTTTGTTCAGCATGTTAACAAATGATATGTAAAAGGAAAAAAGCCTCTGGAATTTTTACATGTGAAGATTATATAACTATTTCAGGTAAGGAAATGTGAAATGTCAGATCAACTGGTTAAGCTGCATACTGTGTGTGGGCAAAAATCTTACAAATAAAGGGCTTTTTTTTCTTTTTATTGCAGTATTATAAAAAAAATTCATATAATATGGCAAATAATACAAACAGCACAAAGATATATAAAATAAAGTGAGCCATTCAACTTAGACTGTCCTCCAACTTCCTCACCTCAGTTCTATTCATAAAGATTATCACAAAACATGGTGTCTAGACGAGGCTTTCTGAAGCATCATGTGCATACACATGCACTTCCGTGCATATCCTTTTATATACTTACACACAAATGAGGTACTTACTATATATACTGTTCTAAACATTGCTTATTGTTTATGTAAGAATAAATATTGGAGACATGTTTTCTATTAGCAGACAGAGATCCACTGCATCATGTTTAATAACTGCATATATACTATCATATAGATTTTTCCAAATCTAATTTATATGTTCCCTGATGATGGAAATTTAGGTAGCTTTCTGTTTCTGTTGCTCTTATGTTGCTATTGTTGTGATTTTTGTTATTATTACAACCAGTGCTGCAAGGGCATTCTTGAATGCCTATTTTTTTTTTACATTTATTTGTCTAGGATAAATTCCTGGAAATGAGATTATTGTTGAGTCAGAGTAGATATAGTTAGAGTTTGCTTTACTTTTGCCCAATTGCCTTCCAAAAATTTTGTATCAATAAATATCACCAGTAGGAAATGAGCATCTATTTCCCTGTACCATAGCCAATAGTGGGTTTTATTGAAAAAAACTTTTAGCTTTTTCAAAGTGGGATCTTAATATTTAAATATATATATTTTTATTTTTCAATTAACTTTTTATTTTTAAAATACATAAGTATGTATATGTGCCTAGAGGAAATAGAGCAGACTGTAGGCTGAAGACTGAGAGAGGGGTCATTCCAATGGCCTTAATCTTGCAAAATAAATGATAATAGAGAATATTTAGTTGACCACAATCATGATTTCTTGAGAAAACCATGCAAGATCAAGAAACAGTTTAACAAAAAAAGTTTCAACCATTAACTCCTGCTTTTCTATCATACTATACATATTTGATTTTTAGATCTTCTCCATCTGTTGACACACAGTAATTCCTCCATCTACTCAGATACATTCCACATACAGTTTATTTTATTTACAACTGCCATTTTGTGTGAGTCTCTCACATGTAAAATCTTGCTTTATCATCTGGGATTTATACAAATTACTAAGATGCTTAAGTACCAAACAAACTAAAAAAGGAAACACTACACGAAGACAGAAATTGAAGCCATTTTTTTTTCTTGCAGTTTTCTTAGGATTTTTCTAAAAGCCTCGGGTGGTACATCATGATTATTTAGTTTAGAAGATAGCTATCAGGGTTGTATCAAAATATTTTTGCCAATTTATATTGAGATGCATTGTTCCAATATGGGCAATCTTTCAAATGCCTGATTAAATTTGTTGGAAGTTTTTTGTTTGCTACAGCATTTCATATCCTGGGAAAATAAAACCAAATATGTCATTTCTCTTTGTTCTCCACTGAGCCATGCAATGTTAAACAGAGCGTTTTTTTTTTAAAAAAAAAAAAAAAAGGAAAAAAAAACCTGAATCAACCCCCTCTAAATCAAATTGACCTTTCTAAGAGGCAATTTTTTCTACATTTTGGCAGAGGCTGAATCTATATTCTTTTTTCCTAGGCACACCATGTGTGGTCCACTTCCTGTGGCTGTTCTATTCTCTGAAATGACAATATTTTCAGACTACAGTAGCTTAAAAATCATTAATTCTCAGTCATCGGAAATTACCCATGTTTCACTTGAGGCAAAGAAATCATTTCTGCTTTCTGATAGTTGAGCTTTATTGCTGCTTACTTAAGGCAATCCCAACACCGGGAGGTGAGAATAACTTTCCTTTGGAACCATTTCCTTTATGTGTTGCTTTCTTTTGCCACCCCACCTCCCCACCCCCAGCCAGGCTGTCAGCACATTCTCCTCTGGTGCTGGTGTGGGGAAAGTAGGGAAAAAGCATTAGCATGAAGAAATAGTTTATTTTAGGTAAACTTAGTCAAGCAGTGAACTTTTATTTTTACTTTTTATATGTTGGGAAAAAAGTTTTGGGAAGATTTAGAAAAGCAGAATTTTGGAACTGGAACTAAGGTTTAGGGATTTTTGGTTTTACAGATGACAAAACAGTTTCAGGCCTCTCTGCTTTTTCCCTTTATAACTTGCCTCCTTTCTCTTGACAAACGAAATAGTTTCGCAGTGTACTTAAAATAAAACCCAGTTCCCTTTGGCCTGCAGTATACGGGAATAGTATCCTGCTTGAAATGGAGGAAAACTTCCTGACTGAGAGTAAAATAGACACCTTTTCCAGACCTCACTCAAACATCAACTGGGAAGAATCTCTCTAATTCAGTGGTCTGAGTGTGGGAGGCTTTTCCAGCTTTTTCTCTTTTCCAGATTTAAATAAATCAGACTAACATATCATCTTAAGTATGAGTTTATAAACCCTGTGGTGAGCACATCATTAATCACAATAAGCCTATTCTCTATAATTTATGAGTGCACAAATTCGAAACTCATATTTTTCTATAAGCTGACACAAATTACCCCCAGGGGCTCTAATTGATAAAAATTTCATCCCATTTAACTTTTCTGTACCTTGAGTGTATGCCCTGCCAAATATAGGAGAACTGCCTTTATCTATTTTATGTCTTACTTAGCACTGCTGTCTATACACTTTGTCATCAAAATGTTCTATTCAATACTGTTGATTATTGGAAATTATTTACTGGGCACTTATTATGTGGAGGATAATTTACGCATTATCTCTTGTAAACCATCTGATGATTATATGGAACGAATATCTCCCCTTACCAGATGAGTATATCTCCCCTTACCAGACTCGGGATAAAAAAGTTATCCTATATCTTACCGTTAGTAAGTGGTGAGGACTGCACAGATACATATTATTATATATATTATGTTGCATATAATGTTATATATATTTCTATGTCATAATTATTGCTCACAACTTTCAAACTATTAGGGATATTTGATATAGTGGTAAAATAGGGATTTTATAGTAATAGAGGCTTAAGCCCAAATACTTCTTTTCTGCAAATTATTAAAATCCAATGAAACTCAATTAAATAAGACGACCAATTGTCTCAAGGCACATTCCCTACACACAGAGCCTAACACAGGGATTTGGGTGCATGTGCTTTATGGAAGATATTCTCTCCAGGAATAAAGCAGTAAGGGACTGATGGGAGAAGGACACAGAGTAGGAAGGATGGAGAAAGGATGTGGTCTCAGGAAAGTCTAGCCTTGGCCTGACCCTCCAGATGCTGAAGCATCCATTTGATGGCAGTGTTTGCCCTATTGAAGGAAGGGGCAGGGATCTCGTACCCCTTCAGTGTATGAAAGTGTCGTCATTTTCTGACCACAGCAAACGGGTGGCATAGCTCCCTCCCAGGCAAATTCTGGAAAGGTGCTTTCTGTCAATCAAGGGTGATTTTCCTGAGAAGGTGGCAGGTATAAGCCATCAGTCCACATTATTCTCAGTATCTGGGAGATGAGTGTCCCAACAAGTTAAGATGGGTAGAGTATGGCCTGTACAACATCTACTCTATCAACCTTTGTGGATTGTCAACTGGATGTCATTTACCATATCCCTCACACAAAAGAAACAAAATCTAATAGGAGGAAAAGCAAATTTGACTGGGGTCAATCTAAGAGTATATTTATGATGTGGTGGCCTGTTTTGTATGCCTTAGACTGAAGTTGGAAATATAGAGGAGGGAAAAAAGGGAGAGAGAAAAGATCTAAGGGACTAATGAAGGGCACAGGGAAAGCAAACGGTACAAGAAGGGAATGATTCTTGAAGACCACTTAGAAATTAGTGGATGAGATGGGAAAGGGTATTTTAGACAGTAGGAATGGCATGAACAGAGGAGGCTCGACTAATCATGATGACTTTAGGGATCAGCATTAGCTCTCTCTAACTAGACTATTTGGACCTTGTGAGCATAGGGTGGAAGATGAAGTTAGAAGGATAAGCAAGAGCTGTCTCATGAGAGGCCTTCTGGTTTATGCCTAAGGGTGAACTTAAGACAGAAAATTAGAATGTTGAAAAAAATTACTGGTGGGCTCAGGTCTATTTTTGACGCATCTATGATAGTAATTACTTACAGACATTTTATTCTGTAATTAGATTCATGCAGTGTTGCCAAACTGGTTTTTTCCACCTCCACTTTCCTGGAAATATCTGAAATGTGGGATGGATAGTCTCACCATAGTAATATAGATGACTAAAATTTGTTAAGGGTAATTGTGAGGATGGTGTAAGAAAAGAGAACATTGCCTTATTCCCCATGGCAACAAAAGTGTGGTTTTGAGCACACTGGCCCAAGCTTGCAGAGCCTGGTTGTAGGTCTTTCTCTAGGCTTTTCCAAGCTGCCTACTCTGACACTTGCTCCCTCATTTCTGAGGCTGTTCTACTTCCCCTGTAGACCCCAGGGCTATGAGATGCCTCACTTTTTAACTTATTTTGCTTTTTCTCAAATCCATGGCCCACATCATAGAACACTGATAGATTTCAGGGTGGAGGCCAACTTATTTATTTTTGCTTATGGTCACCATTGTTTTCTCTCCATTTTGATACTTTTTCCTTTTCCTCTCATAGAATCATATCGCTTTTCCATATGGCCTCTCTATGGAGCAGGTCCTCTGTGTGCAACTCCCCTGAATTCCAGCCAAGGTTCATGTGTTAGAAATGCTCATCTGAAAGTGGAATGCTGGGGTGTGGAGCAGTGGGAAACAGAGGTGTGAGTCTAATGTTCAGTAAGAGACATATACAAAAAAAAAATTCTTAACAATACTGTTTATAATAGCAAAACTTGGAAGCAAACCAAATGCCCTTTGTGGGAGGGGATGAATAAATATGATACAGTCACACAATAGATTATTGTATAGCTGTCAAATGAATGGATTACAGTCCCACCCAGTAATATGGATGAAACATAGCCACATAATACTAAATATGAAAAGTCAGTTCCAAAAGTTGACATAGAGCATGATATCCTTTTTGTAACTTAAAAAGAATAAAAATAAAAATAAACATTTTAGGAAAATAAAGATAGGTAGTAAAACCATAAAAAAAGGATGCGGGGGACAAATGAGACAGGATTTGAGGTGGTGGTTATTTGGATAGGGGAAGCAAAGAGATGGTATTGGGCAGGTAATTAGGTGTACGTCAAGATCCTAGTTTTTATTTTGAATGGTGGGCTTATGTGTGCTTATTGTATAATTAAAACAACTAAAAATTGTTACCTACACAAAAAGGGACAATTTGGAAAAATGAGAAGAGTGTGTCATGAGCCAAGGATTATAATTAAACTAACTCTGTGTACCTCAGGCTCCAAACAAAAGCCATATATAGCTATCATAGTTATTCAGGAGATAAAAGGGATAGCAATTCTTATGTCATGAATTGCTTTGAGAGTTAAGTGAGACAATCTATGAGTAGTAAGTATGAAGAAATTCTAAAAACTAATACAGCTGTGAAAAAGAAGTTCTCGCATTTCTTCCTTTTCTTTTTCAACTGAAATTTGACTCCCAGTGTGAAGGGACTTTGAGTTATCAGGGAGGTTTACTCCTCTGTCTGCAACGTGCTCCTCCATCAAGGTTGAGAAAAGGGGCATCCAGAGCAGAAAGGAGTTGTGGGAGGATCCTCCTAGTTACTGGTGAGAAGTTTATTACTCTGGTCTCTTTGGTCTCTCAGACTGTGACAGCTTCACAGTTTCTTCACTGATTTGGGAATGAGGGTGAATCTTCAGTAAGACTGGGAACAATGATCCCTAAAGTTAGGCCTTGGTGAGTATATGTATTAGTCCATTTTCATGCTGCTGATAAAGACACACCTTAGACTGGGCAATTTACAAAAGAAAGAGGTTTATTGGACTTACAAGTCCACATAGCTGAGGAGGCCTCACAATCATGGCAGAAGGCATGGAGGAGCAAGTAACATCTATGTGGATGGCAGCAGGCAAAGAGAGAGATCTTGTGCAGGGGAACTCCTCTTTTTAAAACCATCAGCTCTCATGAGACTTGTTCACTATCACGAGAATAGCATGAGAAAGACCTGCTCCCATGATTCAGTTACCTCCCACTGGGTCCCCCCCGTGACATGTGGGAATTGTGGGAGCTACAATTCAAGATGAGATTTGGGTGGGGACACTGACAAACCATATCAGTATACAACACAGGCATTTCTCTCTGAGATCTTGCCACTTGATCAGGTTTTAGTTAAAACTCAGATATTCTTATCTCTCTCCACTTTTTGGGAATCTTATCTCTCCCGTCCAGAGAGTCACTCCCCTTCCCTCTGGAATACATGGTACATTCTCTTCAATTAATTTTTCCCCAAAAGGTAGTAAAACATTGATTCAGCCAGCTTCTGCTTTATGGCCTGCAAATGTACCCAAGGCAAAAAACTAATCCAGGGAAATGGAAAAAGAAAATGTATGAAGGAGAAACACAAATATTTTAGTAAATTTGTCTGTCCAAATGTTAAGCACTGGTCAATGGGACTCAGTAAACATTTCTGACCTACCTCTACATCCAAGTTGATAACAAAAAGGATAGGCTTTTGTTTCTCTATGTGGCTCAGATTAGAGAGAGATTTCATTTTGGCATGGCAGAAAAATCTGCTCTCATGTTTGCCTCTTCCGGCTGTGCTCCTCTTTCCACAGAGCAAAAATGGCAGCCCATGTGGTCTGGTGCCCAGAAGAGTGTTAACATATGAGGGATGATCAACAAAAGTTTCCTAACTGATAACTACAAAATAGAAGATAAGAAAGTACATTTCTTTTCTTAGAAAGAAGAAACCCTGGACAAAAGCAGAAAAATTAGCGTGCATTTCAGAAGTGACTTGTGTCTTTCTATGGTGGGCATACTCCGGCCCATTTCCTTATGTCTAGGCTGAAACTGACTGGATTTTCACCAGTCCAAGGAATAGGAAGTATACTTCCTTGAAGTAATAATTAGAATATCCATATATGCCTTTAAGACAACTTACTCACCCATACCCTTTCCTACTATGCACAGCAAAATGTGAACTGAGCTCAGTGCTCTGTTGTCCTTTACTCTCCATTGATTCACGTAAGCAAACAAGACACTCTTCTCCCTTAAAATAGCAATAGTTTAATCTGAGAGAAGTTATTCTAACTAACTAACTCGCCATTCAGGAAAAATTTCACTGGCCTCCTAGCAGCTCCACAGGGGTAACGACTATTCATTACATGTATCTCTTGAGTAATCAGCATACCCCAGCCAATTTCTCCAGATGGCCTATCCTATCACTGGATGTTGCAATAACATAAAAGAAACCATGCTTTGTGTGGGCTGATTTGAAAATGGATCTCTGTTATGAAGATAAATATAGAAAACTTATCAGGTTACTAATCTGCCATTGAATGTGGGCCTCAAAGGAAAGTCATAATCATGCTTGTCATATCTGTCTTCAAAGGCTGTAACAAATATAGCTAATGAATTACAAAAGCACCTGCCTCCACCTTTATGGCTTCCCTTTATCTACTTTCCTTTGTCTTTTGAAAATGATATCAACTGATTTCAATATAATTGATAGCGATAATAAAATAGTGATTTCTGATCTGCATTTTCACTATTGACCTTACATCAGAGGTTTTATTGTTTTGTTTTTTGCCTTTTTAGTTTAGCTAGAAATTTAGGGCAACTTAGAAATCATCTATTTTATCTGTAATTGACTATAAATGTTTCTAAATAAATAAATGAATATATGCATTTAGTGATCTCAGACTACTTCAGAGATGTGTAAAGCTATCTTTCTTTAGTCATACATAAACATTCTCCCTAATTTTAATTAATAATGCATTTCAAATTATTTTAAGATTTATTTTTTGTTTAAAGATTGAACGTAGTAGATTGCCACTTGCTGCATAAAACTTTTTTAAATTGTCATTTAAAATGTTTTTAAACCACTTTTTAGGCTTATCAACTGACTATTTCCTTGTTTTTAATCTTTTTTCCTTGATCTCATTTTTTAAGCCTGGATTTTTTAAACAAATAAATATGCTTTGTTGCCTGTAACTATTAGACTAAATTTTAGTATTTTAATATTTATTAATATTACCAGCTGTTAGCATAAGAGAAAGATAAATTAAGTGTTCCTATGAGTTTCAGGATTACTAACACATAAAAGTATACATGATATTATCATTTAAAAACTTATTTCTAGAGTATAAGCATGTGAGAAATCTTGAATAGAGAAATTATTCTAAAATGTAAATGTAAATACTTGATTAAGTGTTGAAAACATTTGGAAAACATACATTTACTTTTGGTATTACAGATGTCTGTAATAATAGTTTCTACAACTATGAAGTGGTGTTCATACTTAATTGTTTATACTCTGTAGTGGAAGGTCTTATTTCCTTTATACTTTTTTTCAGTCACGTGATCTCCAGCTAGTTCCTTTTTTACAAAAAATAAAATTTTCTCTGTAGAATAATTTTAGATTTACCAAAGAACTACAAAGTTAGCGATAAGTTCCCCATAACCAGGTTCCCCTGTTATTGACATCTTACATTAGAATGGTACATTTGTTATAATTAATTTGTACAGTTGTTATAATTAATGAACCAATATTAATAGATTATTATAACAAAAATCCATATTTTATTCAGACTTCCTTTTGCCCAGTGTCCTTTTTTAGTTGTTCTAGAATTCTATTCAGAATACAACATTACATTTAATTATGTCTCTCTAGGCTCCTCTTGGCTGAGATAGTTTCTCAGCCTTTCTTGTTTTTGATGACCTTAACAGTTTGAGGAGCACTGGTCAGGTATTTTCTAGAATGTCCCTTAATTGGAAGTTGTCTGATGTTTTTGTCATGATTATACTGGGATTATGAGTATTTCGGAGAAAGGTCACAGAGGTAAAGTGCCATTTGTATCACATCATTTGGAGGATTCATACAATTAACATAACTTATTACTGTTCACATTAACCTTTCTCATTTGGCTGAGGTCGTCTTTGCCAAGTTTCTTCACTGTCTGAAGTTACTATTTTCTCAAACCCTCTCTCAACTCTCCATACTGCACGCTTTAGAAAGAAATCATACGAATGGTCTGCACTTGAGGAGTGGGGCTCCTATGTGAATTATTTGAAATTCTTCTTTACAGGACACTTTTCTCCTTCCCCATGTATTTTTTATATTTTATCATTCATTTATATCAGTTTGGACTCATGGATATTTATTTTATAATTTGGGTTGTAATCCAATACTACTTTATTTTCCTGCTCGGATTGTTCCAGCTGTGACCATTGTGGGCTCTTTTTTAACTCCTATGTTATCTGACATATGCCCATCACTGCAGGTTTTTTCTTTTTTGTTTTTTAGCACTTTCTTACTTTTTGGTTTTATAAAATGTTCTTCACTTACATTGTATATTTTCTGCTCCAGTTTTAGAATCCTAAAATTGGATTGTAGAATTTTAGGATTCTTCTCTGAAGAGTCCTGGTTCATTTTATTGATATTAGAATCCACAATGTGGGTACTACAGGCCTAACCCATGTATATACACATATCTAAATATTTAATTGGATATCTGCATATATAAATATTTATATATACCTACCTGTATCTATATTAAGCTAAATATGAGCTAATGCTAATGTCTTCAATTCTAATCCTTCACCACATGAATCATTTTCACTTATTCCCCGTGCACATCTGTGAACTCCCACTCCAACAATGAGAAGCCTGGCTCCCACCATCCACCATCCATTTACCTAACTGTTCAATTCTAGCATACATATATAGCAGTATCAGAATTCTTTACTACTCTCCTGGAAAATAACCCTATCAACTAGAATCCAGTGATTATGCAGTTTCTGTTGCTTTTAGTCATACAGACTCTACTCATTTCTAAAGTTACTTAAGGTCAGTACCTCTGCCCCCACCACCCTTCAGTGAGGTTCTTTCATATGTTTGTTATGTAGTTAGATTATTGTGACACATTCTGCATTCATTTTATTCTGAAGTCCTCTGACCTCTTAAGTATTTTTTTAGCTTGCATATGACGTTCACTATTTGTGTTGTGAAGTTCTCTGAGTTTTAACAAATGCAGAATGTTTTGTATCCAAAATTATAGTGTTATTTATTAGTCCTAGTAGTTTTTGGTAAATTATTTGGGGTCTGCTATATAAAATGATTATGTAGTCTTTAAACAATGACAATTTTACTTCCTCCTTTCCAATTTGGATGCTTTTTATTTATTTTTCTTGCCTAATTGCACTGGTTAGGACTTCTAGTACTATGTTGAATATGAGTGATGAAACAAGACATCTTAGAGGAAAACCTTTCAGTAAAGTTTCAGGATACAAAATCAACACACAAAAATCAGTAACATTTCTCTATGTTAATAGTGAACTATCTAAAAAAAAATCAAGAAAGTTAACACATACAATAGCTACAAAAAATGATACCTGGGAATAAACTTAACCAAACAAATAAAAAAAAAAAACTTCTACCTTGAAAACTATAAAACATTGATGAAATAAGTTGAAGAAGACACAATGTAAAGATATTCCATGTTTATGGATAAAAATAATTAATATACTTAAAATGACCATGCTTCCCAAAGTGATCTACAGATTTAATGCAATACTTTTGAAAATACCAATGACATTCTTCTTAGAAATAGAAAAAACTATCCTAAAATTCATATGGATCCTGATAGCCACAGCAATTCTGAGTGAAAGAACTAAGCTGGAGGCATTATGCTACCTGATTTCAAAATATACTATAAAGCTATAGTAACTAAAAAATCATGGTATTGGCATAAAAACAGAACAGATACATAGACCAGTGGAACGGAATACAGAACCCAGAAATAAAGTTATGTATCTATAGCCAACTAATTTTTGACAAAAATGTCAAGACACACATTGGGAAAAAGACAGTCTCTTCAATAAATGGTCCTGGGAAAATTGAATAGTCATGTGCAGAAGAATGAGAATAGACTCAGGCCCTGGTGCAGTGGCTCACGCCTGTAATCCCAGCACTTTGGGAGGCTGAGGCGGGCAGATCACGAGGTCAGGAGATCGAGATCATCCTGGCTAACATGGTGAAACCCCGTCTCTACTAAAAATACAAAAGAATTAGCCGGGCATGGTGGCAGGTGCCTGCAGTCCCAGCTACTTGGGAGGCTGAGGCAGCAGAATGGCGTGAACCCGGGAGGCGGAGCATGCAGTGAACCGAGATCGCACCACTGCACTCCAACCTGGGTGACAGAGCAAGACTCCGCCTCAAAAAAAAAAAAAAAAAAAAAAAGAATGAGAATAGACTCCTACCTCTCACCATATACAAAAATAAACCCCAAATCCATTAAAAACTTATATCGAAAACACAAAACTTTAAAACTTCTAAAAGAAAACATAGGGGAAATGCCATGACATTGGGTTGGGCAAGGATTTTTAAAATAACACCTCAAAAAAACAAGCAATGAAAGCAAAAGTAGACAAATGGGATTGCATCAAACTGAAAGACTTTTGCACAGCAAAGAAGACAATTAACAAATAGACAACCTACAGAATGGGAAAATCTATTTGCAAACTATGCATCTGATTAGGAGACAATATTCAAAATATATAAAGATGTTAAAAAACTCAATAACAAAAAAGCAAATAATCTGAATTATAAATGGATAAAACCTGAATAAACATTTCTCAAAAGAAGACACGCAAATGGCCAACAGTTATATGACAAAATGCTCAACATCACTAATCATCAGATAAATGAAAATCAAAACCACAATGAGATGAAACTTCACTTCAGTTTAAATGGCTATTAGGAAAAAGACAAAATAAACAAGTTTGGCAAGGATGTGGAGAAAAAGTAACGCTTGCAAACTGTTGGTGGAATTGCAAATCAGCACAGCTCCTATGGGAAACAGTATAAATAGTCCTCCAAAAATTAAAAATGGAAATAGCATGTGATCCAGCAACCCCACTACTTGGTATATATCCAAAGAAAATAAAATTGGTATGTTGAAGAGATACCCATACTCCCTTCCATGTTTATTGTAGCACTATTTACAATAATCAGGATATGGAATCAACCCAAGTGTCTGAAAAAGGATAAATGGGTAAAGAAAACATGGTATTTATACATAGTGGAATACCGTTCAGCCATAAAAATGAAATCTTGCCATTTGTAACATGAATAGACCTGGATGACATCATGTTAAGTGAAATAAGCCATACTTGGAAATGCAAATACCGCATGATCTCACTCATATGTGAAAATAAATAAATAAATAAATAAATAAAAAGTGTTGTGGCCAGGCACAGTGGCTCATGCCTGTAATCCCAGCACTTTGGGAGGCTGAGGTAGGTAGATTGCTTGAGGTTAGGAGTTCCAGATCAGCCTGGCCAACATGGTGAAACCCCGTCTCTACTGAAATACAAAAATTAGCCGGGTGAGGTGGCAGGTGCCTGTAATTCCAGCTATTAGGGAGGCTGAGGCAGGAGAATTGCTTGAACCCAGGAGGCAGAGGTTGCAGTGAACTGAGATTGCGCCACTGCACTACAGCCTGGGTGACAGAGTGAGACTCTGTCTCAAATAAATAAATACATACATACATAAATAAAAAGAGTTGTTATCATAGAAGTAGAGAGTAGAACAGTGGTTGGTAGTGACTTAAAAGAAAATTGATGAGGGGAGAATGGAAAGAGGTTGGTCAATAGGTACAAATTAGACAGGTAGAATAAGTTAAAATGCACAGTGCTCTGATGATGGTTAACAGGAAGGTATTGTACATTACAAAAGAGCTAGAAGAGAGGTTTATTTTTAGCCCTATAGGAATTTTAAAATAGTTTCTTCTAAATCTGAGAAGAATGTCAATGGTAGTTTAATGGAAATAGCATTGAATCTATAAATGATTTGGGGCAGTATGGCCATTTTCACAATATAGATTCTTCTTATCCATGAGCACAGAACATTTTTCCATTTGTTTGTGTCCTGTCTGATTTCCTTGAGCAGTGGTTTCTAGTTCTCCTTGAAGAGGTCCTTCACTTCACTTGTTAGCTGTATGCCTAGGTATTTTATTCTCTTTGTAGCGATTGTGAATGGGAGTTCATTCATGCTTTGGCTCTCTGCTTTCCTGTTGTTGGTGTATAGGAATGCTTGTGACTTTTGTGCATTGGTTTTGTATCCTCAGATTTTGCTGAAGTTTCCTGTCAGCTTAAAAAGTTTTTGGGCTGAAATGATGGGGTTTTCTAGATAAAGGATCATGTCACCTGCAAACAGAGACCGTTTGACTTCCTCTCTTCCTACTTAATACTCTTTATTTCTTTCTCTTGCCTGATTGTCCTGTCCAGAACTTCCAGTAATTTGTTGAATAGGAGTGGTGAGAGAGGGCATCCTTGTCTTGTGCTGGTTTTCAATGGGAATATTTTCAGCTTTTGCCCATTCAGTATGATATTGGCAGTGGATTTTTCATAAATAGCTCCTATTATTTTAGGGTAGGTTCCTTCAATACCTAGTTTATTGAGAGTTTTTAACATGAAAGGATGTTGAATTTTATTGAAGGCTTTTTCTGTGTCTATTGAGATAATCACATGGTTTTTGTCTTTAGATCTGTTTATGTGGTGAATTACGTTTATTGATTTGTGTATGTTAAACCATTCTTGCATCTCGGGGCTGAAACCAACTTGATTGTGGTGCATAAGCTTTTTAATGTGCTGCTGCATTTGTTTTGCCAGTATTTTATTGAAAATTTTGGCATCAATGTTCATCAGGGATATTGGCCTGAAGTTTTCTTTTTTTATTGTATCTCTGACAGGTTATGGTATCAGAATGATGCTGGCCACATAGAATGAGTTAGGGAGGAGTCCCTCCTTTTCAACTGTTTGGAATAATTTCAGAAGAAAGGATATCAACTCCTCTTTATATTTATGGTAGTATTCAGCTGTAAATCAGTCTGGTCCTGGACTTTTTTTGGTTGGTAGGCTATTTATTTTTGCCTCAATTTCAGAACTTGTTATTAGTCTTTTCAAGGATTCAGCTTCTTCCTGGTTCAGTCTTAGGAGGGTGTATGTGTCCTGGAATCTATCCATTTCTTCTAGATCTTCTAGTTTATTTGCATAGAGGTGTTTATAGTATTCTCTGATGGTTGTTTGTATTTCTGTGGGATCAGTAGTGATATCCCCTTTATCATATTTTATTGTGTCTATTTGATTCTTCTTTCTTTTCTTCTTTTTTAGCCTGGCTAGCAGTTCATCTATTTTATTATTTTTTTCAGAAAAACAGCTCCTGGATTCATTAATTTTTGAAGCATTTTTTCATGTCTCTATTTTCTTCAATTGCACTCTGATCTTGGTTATTTCTTGTCTTCTGCTAGCTTTGGGCTTGTTTTCTCTTGGTTCTCTAGTCCTTTTAGTTGTGATGTTAGGATGTCAATTTGAGATCTCTTTAGCTTTTTGATATGGGCATTTCATGCTATAAATTCTCTCTTAACACTGCTTTAGCTGCATCCCAGAGATTCTGGTGCATTTTTTCTTTGCTCTCATTGGTTTCTAAGAACTTCTCAATTATTTCTGCCTTAGGTTCATTATTTACCCCATAGTCATTTAGGAGCAGCTTGTTCAATTTCCATGTAGTTGTGTAGTTTTGAGTGCATTTCTTAATCTTAGGTTCTAATTTGATTGTGCTGTGGTCTGAGAGACTGTTTGTTATTATTTCAGTTCCTTTGCATTTGCTGAGGAGTGATTTACTCCCAATTATGTGATTAAGTTTAGAATAAGTGCCATGTGGCACTGAGAAGAATGTATATTCTGTTGTTTTGAGGTGGAGAGTCCTGTAAATACCTATCAGGTCTACTTAATCCAGAGCTGAGTTCAGGTCCTGAATATCTTTGTTAATTTTCTGTCCTGATGATCTGTCTGATATTGACAGTGGGGTGTTAGAGTCTCCCACTATTATTGTGTGAGAGCCTACACAATAAAAAAACCTACAAGTCTCTTTGTAGGTTTCTAAGAACTGTTTTATGAGTCTGGGCGCTCCTGTATTGGGTACATATATATTTAGGATAGTTAGGTCTTCTTGTTGCATTGACCCCTTTACCATTATGTAATGCCCTCTTTGTCCTTTATCTTTGTTTGTTTAAAGTCTGTTTTGTCAGAAACTAGGATTGCAACCTCTGCTTTTTTTTTTAACTTTTCATTTGCTTGATAAATTTTCCTCCACCCCTTTATTTTGAGTCTATGTGTGTCTTTGCATGTGAGATGGGTCTCTTGAATATAGCACACTGATGGATCTTGGCTCTTTATCCAGTTTGCCATTTTGTGTCTTTTAATGGGATCATTTAGCCTATTTACATTTAAGGTTAATATTGTTATGTATGAATTTGATCCTGTCATCATGATGCTAGCTGGTTATTATCCTCAGCAAACTAGTGCAGAAACAGAAAACCAAACACCACATGTTCTCACTTATAAGTGGGAGCTGAACAATTAGAATACATGAACAAAGGGAGGGAAACAGCACACACTGGGCCTGTTGGGGAGTGTGGTGTCAGAGACAGGAGAGCATTAGGAAAAATAGTAATGTATGCTAGGCTTAATACCTAAGTGATGGGTTGATAGGTGCAGCAAACCACCATGGCACGTGTTTACCTATATCACAAACCTGAACATCTTCCACGTGTATCCCAGAACTTAAAATGAAAGTTAAAATTAATTTAAAAAAGGAAAGATTATTCTTTGACCATTGGATTGCCTTTGCTTTTTTGTCAAAGAGCAGTTGACTATATCTGTAACAGTCTTTTTTTTTTTTTTTTTTTTTTTTTTTTTGCTGTCTAGTCCATTCTATTGATCTATACATCTACTCTTTTGCCAATACCATGCTCTCTTGGTTACTTTAGCTTTATATTAAGTCTTAAAGTCAAGTAGTGTCAGTATTCTAGTTTTGTTTTTTTTCAGTGTTGTGTTGAATATTGTGGGTCTTTTGCTTTTACTTTACAATTGATTTGTCAATACATATAAAACAGCTTGCTGAGATTTTAATTGGGATTATGTTGAGTCTATAAACTAAATTGGGGAGAATTGATAACAATATTGAGTTTTCCAATTCATGAACACAGAATCTGTCTTCATTTACTTAAAATTTCTTTGATATCTTTCATCAGATTTTTGTCATTTTCTATACATAGAACCTATACATATTTTGTTAGGCATTCGCCTAAGTATTTCAATTTTGGGCATGCCTTGTAAATAACATTATTTTTAAAAATTCAAATTCTTAATTGTTCTTGGTGGATATATAGAAAACCAATTGAAATGTGTATATTAACCATGAATTCTAATACCTTGCTGTACTCTCTTATTAATTATAGGATTTTGTTTGGTCAATTTTTTGAAATTTTCTACATAGACAATCATATCATCTGCAACCAAGTAATTTAATTCCTTCCTTTCTATTTGATAGATCCTTCATTTTTTTTCTTGCTTTTTTTTTTTTTTTTTTTTGGTCTTATTCCATTAGGTGGGACTTCGTAGTCTGATGTTGAATAGCAGTAGGAAGAGAGGACATTTTGTCATCCATTTATTCATTCATTTACTCACTTACATAAACATTTGTTGAGCACCTGCTCTGTGTAATTTAACATGGAATTTTATAATTTGGCCTAATATTCAATTATCCTCATTTAAATAAGATAAAGCCTAGGGAAATAGAAAGCAGATCAATTACATTGTTTTCTTTACCCATTAAATAAGTATCATCATTTATGAGTTATGTGGTAGTAAACAATGCACTTAGTATCTCTGTATCTCAAGTTCTTTTATATACAAAATGGAGAAAATAATCTCATATATATCATAGTGTTATGAGATTTAAAGAATTTTTTATGTTAAATTTCAAAATAGCGTCTAGCACATAGTAAACCAATGATAAATTTTATTTATTTATGTTAAAATTTTCTTCTCACAGACTTAGTTAAGGGAAAAGACAGAGCTGGTATCAGACTATGTGTGGTCACAAACTTTTAGCTTTATCTTTGAATATATTCAAGTATATAGTTTATTTAGAATGGTCCCTTTTTGAGACAGATATACATGCAGAAATTTTATTCAATAATGCCAGTATAATCAACGCCAGCGAGGAAGTTCAAAAAAGAAAAACAAACACGGTTGGGCATAGGGAGAAGTTAAACGTCAGTGTAGTTACAACAGGGGCCTCATCTAGTGCCTTGGGAGCTGTGGAGCTGGGATAGATTACTTTATTAGATGGGTGCCTCCTCTGAGAAAGGATGTAACATTGGTTGGTGCAGCTTCATTTGGCCTCTGAAGGTAGTTCCTGAAAAAGGATTCAGTTGTGAGCCTTTAATAGCCAATACTCCCAGGTCCTAGGGCAAGGTCCTAAGAGGAGAATCTAGGCGGTAAAACATAGCATTAATAAATACATCTTATTTTCTATAAACTTGAAGCAAGTTTCATGTCTAGAAGTTGAAAATATTAATTGTACTCAACTGGATTTTATGAACCTCAAATATTGAGGGTTTAGAAGAAAGTTCAGACTTTTATTTACTACCAGTTGGTGATTTAAGGTTAACAGTTTCTAGAGTCTGTTAATATTTCAAAAATTCCAAGTGATTTATCTCTCATGATGGTAGAGTAGGCTTTTAAAATTTCTTGTGAAACAGAATTATTTAGAGAGCTATTTATAATGTGAAAGTCCAGGGGTCCTTGTGTCAACCTTATAAATAGGTTTAGAAAATTTATCAGCTCTCTGAAACATGCATAGTATCAGCCAGCAAAATTTTTTATCAAGCATGTCGTAGTGATGAAATATCTGATAGCCATGAGTATTAAGCATAGAATATAATGGGACACATTTCAGTTTGATGAATATCCTTATATCCTGGTCTTTTGAACCTTGCTTTAAACTCTCATGCTAATCATAAGTCTAGGGTAGGAGAGTGAAGTCTGGCTCTTTAGGATAGATACTGAATTATGTAAAAGGGGTCTGTTTTGGATCATATGCATTGTTAAGTAGAACATTTCCTAATCCTATTTTGATAAGCCAAAGTGAATGAACAGGCTTTTTTTCCATGCATATATAGCAACAATATATTTTACATACTGTCTGTAGCGAGGAATACATAAACTCAGAGCTAAAGACACAGTGTGTGCAAAGCTCTACCTTGAAGAAAGCTGTTACTTCTATGTTGGCCCTCTGATGCTCTTGCTCCTGAATTCAATTTTCTTTCAAAATATTAGCCCTTCTAGCTTTTTCTACAAACTTTCATTTCTCACACTAATGGAAAAATTGCAATCCTTTTACTTCTTGGTCTTTAAAAAATTTGTTTATCCCCCATCTTACCTCAGGACTAACACTATAATTTCTATTTATAATACTGAAAACTTTCTATCTTCATTGGTGAACAGGAACCCACTATTTATTTCTTATTTTATGTCTATCAGATTTTTCATTTTCCCGGGGCGGAAGGGCAACCCAAGTTGGTGTGATGGAGAGTGTGAAAAAATAAAATCCGACAGTCTTGATTTTTTCTCGGCATTAACACCTTGTATAGTTGAATGCACAAATCAAGCTAAGTTTCTTACTTATCTTAAGACACAATATATCTCTCCATTCTAAGTATGCAAACTTTAATCACTATAGTCAACATTAAGTGCTTAGAAAATTTTTTGTGAGTTATGATTCCTTCTCATTTTCATACTACAGTTCTGAATAGATTGGACATCCAGCTATTCTCAAATTTCTATATGTTGCTCAACACTGAGCTTATTTTTGGGTATGTAGACAACTAAAATTTTATTTCTGTTAAGTAAACAAATAAATGGATGAATAAAAAAACTAAAGAAGACAAGTGGCTTTTATTCTAACTTTCACTTTTAGAAACAAAGTCAACATAAAATATTGTTGGCCAAAGCACATTTAGAAGTGTTTAAATGATGAGAGATTAAGAGATTAACAATGACAATTCTCATTTGAGTTGGTCCTATGTTTAGAAAAAACTAAATTATCAATTTGAATTTAGAAGTCAGTTCTTTGATCTTTGCTCACATTCTCTCCTTTATAACAATGAGTTTTGGTTAAGTGTCTAAAAAAAACTCTTCTGTCTTTATTATAAGAGACAGTTACATTTGAGGAATTAAGAGAAAATTTCTTATTACCAGATTTGGAATAGCTACTCCAACATACTTAAGAAAATTATAATTGTTATGCCATAAACCAAATGGAATTATCATGGATTCTTCTTTCTTAATTCTTAATTTCTGATTTTTTTGAGTACATAGTAGGTGCATATATTTATGGATTATATAAGATATTTTGATACAGCCATGCAAAGTGTAATAATCACATCAGGGTAAATGGGGTGTCCAGTACCTCAAGCATTTATCCTTGGTATTACAAACAATTCAATTATAATCTTTTAGTTATTTTTAAATGTATAATTAGATTATTTTTGACTAGAGTCACCCAGTTGTGCTAGCAAATACTAGGTCTTATTCATTCTATTTTTTGTATCCATTAACTATTGCCAAATTTCCCTGACATTCCACTACACTTCCCAGCCTCTGGTAACCATTCTTCTACTCTGTATCTCCATACATTCAATTGTTTTAATTTTTAGCTCCCACAAGTAAGTGAGAACATGTGAATTGTGTCTTTCTGCGCATGACTTATTTTACTTAACATAATGAACTCCATTTCCATCCATGTTGTTGCAAATGATAAGATCTCATTCTTTCTTATGGCTGAATGGTACTCCTTGTATACATGTACCATATTTTCTTTATCCAATCATCTGCTAATGGACACTTAGATTGTTCCAGATCTTGGCTATTGTGAACAGTGCTGCAACACATATAGAAGTGTGGATATGTATTCGATATACTAATTTCCTTTCTTTTGGGTATATACCTAGGAGTGGGATTGCTGGATTGTATGGTAGCTCTGTTTTTAGTTATTTGAGGAAACTCTAAACTGTTCTTCATAGTGGCTGTACTAATTTACATTTCCACCGAAAGTGCATTAGAGTTCCCTTTTCTCCACATCCTCACCAGCATTTGTTATTGCCTGACTTTTGAATAACAGCCATTTTAACTGGAGTGAGATGATATCACATTGTAGTCTTGATTTGCATTTTTCTGATGATCAGCTACATTGAACACCTTTTCTTATACCTGTTTTCAGTTTGTATGTCTTCTTTTGAGAAATTTCTATTCATATCTTTGGCTCATTTTTAAAATGGATTATTAGATTCTTCCCCATAGAGTTGTTTGAACTCCTTATGTATTCTAGTTATTACTCCCTTGTCAGATGGGTAGTTTGCAAATATTTTCTTCTATTCAGTAGGTTGTCTCTTACTTCATTGATTGTATCTTGTGCTGCGCAGAAGCTATTTAACTTGATGTAATTGCTTTTGTCCATTTTTGCTTTGGATGCCTATGTTTATGAGGTGTTACTCAAGAAATTTTTGCCCAGTCCAATGTCCAGGAGAGTTTCTTCAATGTTTTCTCTTAATAGTTTCATAGTTTGAGGACTTAGATTTAAGTCTGTAATCCATTTTGACTTGATTTTTGTATGTGGTGAGATATAGAGGTCTAATGTCATTCTTCTGCATATAGATAGCCAGTTTTCCCAGCACCATTTATTGAAGAGACTGTCCTTTCCCCAAAGTGTGTTCTTAGCACCTTTGTCAAAAGTGAGTTCACTGTGGAAGCATGAATTTATTTCTGGGTTTCTAATTTGTTCTACTGGTCCATATATCTGTTTTTATGCCAGCATTATACCATTTTGTTACTATTTCTCTGCAGTGTAATTTGAAGTCAAATAATGTATTCCTCCAGTTTTGCTATAAGATAGCTTTGGGTATTCTGGGTCTTCTGTGGTTCTACATAAGTTTTACATTTTTTTTTCTATTTCTATGAAGAATGTCTCTGGTATTTTGATATGGATAGCAATAAATCTGTAGCTTGCTTTGGTTAGTATGGATATTTTAATAATATGCATTCTTCCAACCTATTATCTAGAATATCTTTCCATTATTAGTGTTCTCTTTGATTTCTTGCATCAATATTTTATAGCTTTTTATTGTAGATATCTTTCTTTTTTGGTGGATTCCTAGATGCTTTATTTTATTTGTACTCTTGTAAATGGAATTACTTTCTTGAATTCTTTTTCAGTGTGTTTGTTGTTAGCCATATAGAAATGTTGGTGATCTTGCAAGTTTACTGAATTTATCAGTTCTAACAGTTTTTTGATGGAGTTTTTAGTGTTTTCCAAATATAACATCATATAATCTGCAAACAAAGATAATTTGACTTACTGCTTTCCAATTTGGATGCCGTTTATTTCTTTCTCTTGTCAGATTTATCTAGCTAGGATTTCCAGTACTATGTTGAATAACAGTGGTAAAAGTGGGCATCCTTGTCATGTTCCAGATATTAGAAGAAAGGCTTTCAGTTTTTCCCCATTCAGTAGGATACTGGCTTTATTTACGTTGAGGTATGTTCATCTTATATCCAGTTTCTTGAGTGTTTTATTATGAAGGGATGTTGAATTTTATGAAATGCCTTTTCAGCATCAATTAAAATGCTAATATGGTTTTTGTTATTTATTCTGTTGATAAGATGTTTCACATTAATTGATTTGCATATGTTGAACCATTCTTACATCCTTGGGATAAATCCCAATTGGTCAAGATGAATGATCTCTTGTATGTGTTGTTGAATTTGGTTTGCTAGTATTTTGTTGAGCATTTTTTGCAACAATATTCCTCAGTGATATTGGCCTATAGATTTGCTTGTTGGTGTATCTTTATGTGGTTTTGGTATCAGCATAATATTTGCCTGACAGAATGAGTTTGGAAATGTTCCCTCCTCCTGTACTTTTTGGAATAATTTGAGTAGGATTCGTATTAGTTCTTTTTTAAATGTTTGGCATAATTCAGCAGTGAAGCCATCAGGTCCTAGGCTTTTCTTTGCTAGGAGAGGTTTTATTATGGCTTCAGTCTTGTTACTTGTCATTGATCTTTTCAGGTTTTTAATTTCTTCATAGTTCAATCTTGGTGCATTATATGCGTCTAGGAATTTATCAATTTCTTCTAGATTTTCCAATTTGTTAACATGTGGTTACTCCTAGTGGCCACTAATGATCTAGTGAATTTCTACACTATGTGTTGTAACGTCTTCTTTTTCATGTTCTATTTTATTTTGGGGGGGTCTATTTTTTTTTCTTAGTCTGGCTAAAAGTTTGTCAATTTTGTTTATCTTCAAAACCCACAACTTTTTGCTTGATCAATTCTGCTATTAAGAGACACTGATATATTCTTCAGTATGTCAACTGCATTTTCTAACTCCAGAAATTTTTATTGGTTCTATTGAAATATTTCTACATATTTGTTAAATTTATCTGATAGGATTCTGAATTCCTTCTCTGAGTTATCTTGAATTTCTTTGAGTTGCTTCAAAGAGCTATTCTGAAGTCTCTTTCTGAAAGTCATGTATCTCTTTTTGCCCAGGATTGGTCCCTAGTGCCTTATTTAGTTCATTTGTTAAGGCCATGTTTTCCTGGATGATCTGAAGGCTTGTGAATATTTGTCGATGTCTGGGCACTTAAGGTATTTATTGTTGCCTTCTCAATCTAGGCTTGTTTGTCCTTGTCCTTCTTGGGAACACTTTCTAGGCACTCAGAAGAACTTGAGTGTTTCTATTTAAGCTGTGTATGCATTAGGGGACACCCCAAGCCCAGTAACACTAGGGTTTTTGTAGACTCATAGAAGAAAGCCTTTCAATTTTTCTGAAATCTGGGGCCACTTTGATGGTGTTGGTGAAGATCAGGAGAAATTCTCAGGATTACCAGGCAAAGACTCTTGTTCTCTTCCCCTATTTTCTCCCAAACAAATGGAATCTTTTTCTGTGCTAAGCCATCTGGATCTCGGGGTGAGGTGACATAAGCACCCCTATGGCCATCACCACTGGGACTGCACTGGGTCATACCTCAAGCCAGCACAGCCATGGGTCTTGCCCAAGGTCTGCTATAATATCTGTCTGGCTACTGCCTATGTTTGCTCAAGGCCCTGGGTCTCTACAATCAACAGGTGGTGAAGCTAGCCAGGCTTGTGCCCTTCTTTTCAGGGCAGCAAGTTCCCCCAGGCCCCAGGTGGGACAAGACATGCCGTCTGGGAGCCAAGGACTAGAGTCAAAAACCTTAGAAATCTACATGGCATTTGATTGTACCGCAGCTGATCTGGCACTCAAATCACAAGACGCAGTCCTTCTCACTCTTTCCTCCCCTTTCCACAGGCAGAGCAGATTCACCCTGTGGCCATCTACCACAGGTCCGTGGGAAGTATTGCTGGACTACTGCCCATGTTCCCTAAGGCCTAAGGGCTCTTCAGTCAGCTTGTAGTGAATGCTGCATGGCTTGGGACTCACCCTTCAGGGCAGTGGGGTGCAGGTTGAAAAATGTTATTCAAGAGCCAAGTCCTAGGATTGCATACCCCAAGTGCCTGGTTGGTGCTCTGCCCTCCTATGGCTGAGCTGGTACCTAAGGTGAAAGACAGAGTTCCCTTTGCTTTTCCCTCTGCCTTTCTCAAGCAGAAGGAGTCTCCCTATAGCCTCCTTAGCTAGGAAGGTACTGAGTCTAATTTGAAGCCAGCAAGTGTCAGAGTCTCACCCAAGGTCCACGATATACTATCTGGATATACTGCTGGTTATACAGGGCCAAAGGATTATTTAGTCTGCAGGCAATGGCTTCTGCCAGCACTGGGGCCTTCCATCCAAGGCAGTGGGTTCTCTTCTGGCGTCTAAAAATGGGTGTGTCTAACAATGTTGTCTAGGATCTAGCGTCTAGAAAGGGGGCCTCACGACTCTGACTGGTACCCTATCCTGCTGTGGCTGAGCTGATATCCAAGATGCAAGACAAAGTCCTCTTTTCTCTCTCCTCTCCCCTCAAGCAGAAGAAAGGGATCTCCTTTGGAGCCACAAGCTGTGCAGCCTAAGGTTGGGGGAGGGGTGACACAAGTAATCCCTTAGCCACCTGGCTGGTGTCCTATTAGATCACCTGCCCCCCAAGTCCGCTGGCTCTGAGGCTAGCTCAGAACTAGGACTCACCTAACAGCTGCATTCCTTGTGGCCTAGACTGCCTTCCAAGTTTGTGTAGCATCCCAAAATACTTTAGCCTGAGTTGGTGATGCTTGCCAGAACTCAAGTTTCAATTGCTGGGATGGTCTTGTGTAAATGTTCCCTTCACAGGCAGGTGTCGACAAGTTCAGCCAGGTGTTGCTTTCTGCTGTGACAGGGCAACAGTGAGTTTAATGCAAAGTCTCACAATTGCTGCAGTCTCCCTCTCCCAACCCACAGATTCTCCGTCTGTGCCATGTGACTGCTGCCAGGGGATGGTGGAGGGGTGGCATTTGCAATTCAAGGCTGTCTTTCCCACCCTCTTCTGTGCCTCTTTCAGTGATATGAAGTTAAAATCGGGTACTGTGAATGCTGACCTGATTTTTGGTTCTTATGAGGGTGCTTTTTATTTGTAGATAGTTGTTAAATCTGGTACTCCTGGATGGGGAAGATTGGTAGAGCCTTCCATTTGGCCATCTTGCCCTGCCCCTCCTCTCTATGGATCCTTTTACAAACAAAATTGATGGCTTGTCTTAGTTGCTAAAGGAGAGCATATCAAAATTAAGAGATATCCAGCTTCTGATCTCAAGAAAAAGGTGGAAATCTCTAGAGGATAATATTTCCTTTGCATACTTGTACAAATAAATTTAGCCTTTCTGTGGAAAAGTCCTCAAAGTGAGGAAAAAAATGAAAATAAACATGTTGTCTGTTATCAGCTATCTGATAACTGTGTCTAAACAAATAATATATGATAAATAGAATTTGGAGAATATTTTACAAGTACAGAACCCATGCAGGAAATGTGGTTTTTAAAATTAGTTTATAACCAATGTCAATTTTTTCCCCATTCAACTTCATTTCTTTTTTGCAAAAGCAGTCATTTCCTGTTCTTTAGTGGACTCTTTTGAGAAGTTTAACTCAAGGATTGAAAAGCATCTTAGATATTTATGTCTCTGACAAATAACATTTCTAACTGTTTTGGGCTGGGAGTCATGATTGGATAAGTAAATAAAAAACCAAATAAATTTGGAATTATGGATTTGATTCAATATTTATCTCCCTTTTGTTATTTAATATGCTGGTGTAAAATGGGCTATAGCCACAGACGAAGACATAGTAATAGATGGCTTGATATAGGGAGGCTCTTACATGAGCAGTTTACCTTTACAGAGTTCTGGGAGCTAATGTGAACTTCTAAGTATGTTAACTTATGTAGCAAGAGGAAAAACAAAGCCATCCTTAAGAATATCCAAGGGAGATGGCTTTATGAATCCAGATATCAAGGGAAAGGGAACAGATAATGATACATCAAGCAGAGATTAGTCCTTGGGAAAAAAAAGAAAGAAGATATAAAACTGGAGTTAAGTCCACAAATAACAAATGTGAAAGGATACACAGAAGTCATGGGGACTGTTAGGTACTTTTATGTGTGCTAGGCATATATCCCTATTTTTGTGCACAAGGTACTTACACTTGTAATCATCAAGAGTAGAAAACTTAGTAATGGAGCAGAGAGGATTTAGAATCTTCAACTCCAATTCAAAGTCCATGATCTTTAAAATCTCCTGCTAAAACAGGACCAGCTGTTTGAAACAAAATCAAAGTCAAAGAGCAGATTGATAAACCACTGATTAGAAATCTTGCCTTAGTCTTACCAAGTCTCTAGGATAATGAGAAAGACAATTTCTGAGGAAAAGCATCAGTTATTATACTGAGATGTTCTAGATTTTAAGACTTGTTTTATTCTTGATTTTGGTAATGGTAGTTGAGAGACAGACACTACTAATTAGAGAAGCTTTATTTATTGTTGTTTTTCCTCATGTGTTTTTAAATATATAAACATATATTTTACTATTAAAGTTTCTCACTTGTGTTTTCTAATCTCCAGGGAAACATCTCTCATTTTTCACTATTTAGCACCATCCTTCTTTTTAGAAATGGCAGCTCGCCCATTCAATATGACTCTATTGGGACTACCGATCATAATATTGCACTCATTTGGTAACAGGAATGGGTGTGTGATCTAGACAATAATTTTTTTAACTCCCTTGCTATTGTTGATTGATTCAAAGGTAAGCAAGTGACCAAACGCAGGCCATCAGGGTTCTCTAAGAATCTTTATGTTGGAGCTAGGAGAAGATTCTTGCCCTTTTGGATAATAATGTTTAAAGGGTATGGCATTTGTTAGACTATGATTCAGCTGATGTGACAAAGACCTCAAGTTAGCATTAGCTTAAATAAGATAGAAGCTCATTAATGTGTCATGTAAAAGTCTGAGCTGCATGGTAGCTCTCCTCAACCAAGTCATTAAGAGCTCAAGCTCTTTTTGTCGTGTTACCCTGAAATGTTAAACATACAGCTTCTGTCTCATGGTCTAAGATAATTGTTCCAGCTTCTCCCATATGTCTGCATGACAGCTAGTGTGAAGGAAGAGAACAAAAGGAGGATACACCCCATCCCTTCAAAGGCATAAATAGGAGATGTACATGTTACTACTGCTCAGATCATATTGGCTATTGTTTACTTACACAGTTACTCTAAGCTGCAAGAGAGGCTTTGGAAAGTAGCCCTTACATGGAAAACCATATGCATAGTTAAAAATTCTATTATTATGGGAGAAGTGGAGGATGGAAATTTAAGGAAGCATATCTGTTTTCACCAAAGATAAGTATCAGGGTTTCCTGAAAGCTACTCCTTTTACTATATGAAGTCTTCTTGTAGTTAATAAGAGTTAGTTTAAGTATTTGAGGGCACTTAAACTCTTGAATATAGTTGTGGTACTTTCTGACTTTCTAGTTAAGTAGACAAAAACCTTTGTGGGTGTGTGTGTGTGTTTACACACATGTCTGTGTTTTGCTACATAAATTTAAGTCAAGCTGTTGCCCTTTGTGGTCTAAAGAGTCCTCAGTCCTACAGTGCTGCAAAGAGTGAGGGGAAGTTAATTCTTCATCAGCAAGAATGAATAAGGGAGGGAGAACAAGATGGCCAACTAGATGCATCCAGGAAGCACCCGTCCCACTGAGAGAGACCAAATATGGAGTTAAAAGACATAATTTGAGCAGATCTTTTGACAGAAAACACTGAGAGTGGATGGAGAGGTAACATAGACTCCCAAGTTGAAGAGGGAGGAATCTGGGAACCTTGCACAGGGTGCCCAAATGCTAGGGCTAGATCCCAGCCCCAAATTGGCTCCAGGAAAAAAAGGTGGGTAAACTACTGAGGCACAGCCTGCTCTTGCCATGGATCTCTGGGATACTATCTATAGGGCACCTCACATCTCCCACGGACTTTTGAGCAGGCAGAGGGATCTTCCCAGAGAGTAGGGAGAGACAGGGTTTCAGCTGGCGTGGAGCCCATGGGCTTTTGTGCTCAGAGAAGCTTGCGTAAGTGTGGTTATAGGTGCCCATCCCCCAGGGTTCTCCATCTCCCTTTGAGAAGGATTAGCCCCAGCTGACTTTTGGGCCAGGAGAAGGCAGGGCCAGCTTCCCTGCAGGACTAGGGCATGTCTGTTCTGGAGGGCCCACTCAAACCTCTGAGGGCCCCTTCCTTGCTAACCTGCAGTAGCATGTGCACAGCACAGCTTCTGCTGCCCAGTCTCAGTGCTTTGCTCCACCTGAGTACTTTCCCAGCATCTGGGGAGCAGTTCAGATCCCCAGTGAAGCTGGAGCCCAACTCAAAATGCAGGCCAGTCCCAGTGCCCAAGGGATGTGGTGCACAGCTTGAGAGTGCTAAGCCTAGATCTGTGGCTGGCACTGAATTCGGGGAGGAGTGCCCACCCTCAGAACACTGAGAAAGATGAGACACACAGGTTTGTGTACCTGTGTGGGAATGGGGCATACCTCCCTCTGCAGGGCCAGTTCAAAAAGGATATGGCCTATTTAGGAGCGCTTGTGGCCTGGAACACCTAAAAAAAGAATGTGTGTGTAACACCAGTGATGGGGGGATTCCCCCAAGGCCCAGAAGTAGACCTGGTGAGAAAGTTGTCTCTTCCCCCACCACTAAGAAGCATGCCTGCAAATGCAAGGAAATAAAGAGCCACATGACTAAGAGCTTTTCTACCAGCTGTTACTCTTCCATGCCATCTACTGGATCTCAGACCAGACTACAACATCAAAAAATATTCTGCTAACATTCACCCCTGTGAAAGCAAAGGCAAGAATCCAGCGACAAATAAAAATCCTGTACAGAGCCTTGGCCCTGTGAAAGCATTGAGAAATGAAGCCAACTGACTATACTCAACTTAAACACCAGACCTCCTAGATGAGAAAGAACCAGCACAAGAACTCTGATAATTAAAAAAGCCAGAGTGTTCCCTTACCTTCAAATGAGCCCAATCGCTCCCCAGCAATGGTTCTTAACTAGACTGAAATGACAGACATAGAACTTGGAATGGCAAAGAAACTCATCAAGACTCAGGAGAAAGTTGAAACTCAATCCAAGGAATACAAGGAATTCAACAAAATGATCCAAGATCTGAAAGATGAAATAGCCATTTTAAGAAAGAACCAAGGCCTGGCACCATGGCTCATGCCTGTAATCCTAGCACTTTGAGAGGCTGAGGCAGATGGGTCACCTAAGGTCAGGAGTTCAAGACCAGCCTGACCAACATGAAGAAACCCTGTCTCTACTAAAAATACAAAATTAGCCAGAGTGGTGGTGCATGCCTGTAATCCCAGCTACTGGGGAGGCTGAGGCAGGAGAATCACTTGAACTGGGGAGGTGGAGGTTGTGGTGAGCCGAGATTGTGCCATTGCACTCCAGCCTGGGCAACAAGAGCAAAAACTCCGTCTCAAAGAAAAAGAACCAAAGTGAATTTCTGGAACTGAAAGAAATCACTAAAAGAGTGTCCTCACTTCGGCAGGCTGAGGTGGGCGGATCACGAGGTCAGGAGATCAAGACCATCCTGGCTAACACGGTGAAACCCTGTCTCTACTAAAAATAGAAAAAATTAGCCAGGTATGGTGGCAGGTGCCTGTAGTCCCAGCTCCTCGGGAGGCTGAGGCAGGAGAATGGCGTGAACCCGGGAGGCGGAGCTTGCAGTGAGCCGAGACTGTGCCACTGCACGCCAGCCTGGGTGACAGAGGGAGACTCCATCTCAAAAAAAAAAAAAAAAAAAGAATGTCCTAACAATCAGAAGTGTTAACAGCAGCATAGACCAAGGTGAGAAAAAAATCTGAGTTCAAAGACCAGTTTCTTCAAATCAATTTAATTAGATAAAAATTAAGAAAAACAGAATTTTTAAAAGTGAACAAAACCTCTGAGAAATATGAGATTATGTAAAGAAACAAAACCTACAGCTTATTGGCATCCCTGAAAGAAGGAGAGAGAGTAAGCAACTTGGAAAATATATATTTGAGGATATAGTTCACAAAAATGTTTCTAATCTTGCTAGAGAGGTTGACATTCGAATACAAGAAATACTGAGAACACCAGCTAGATACTATCTAAGACAACCATTCTCAAAACACATGGTCATTAGATTCACCAACATCAAAAGAAAAAAAAATCTTAAAGACAGAGAGAAGGGTTAGAGAAGGGTCAGGTCACGTATAAAGGGAACCCCACTAGAGTGGCAGTTCATTGAGAAATGAAGCCAACTGACTATACTCACAGTAAGAACCTCACAGGCCAAAAGAGATTGGGAACCTATTTTTAGCATACACACACACACACACACACATTTCAGTGAAGAATTTTACCTTCCACCAAAATAAGCTTCACAAGTGAAAGAGAAATAAAAGCCTACTCAGGCAAGCAAACATGAATAAAATTTGTTACCACTAGAGCAGCCTTACAAGAGGTCATTAAGGGAGTGCTAAACATGGAATCAAAAGAACATCTACTGCCACAAAAACACACTTAAGCAAAGAGCCCACAGACAGTATTAAGCAACTACAGCATCAAGTCTACATAACAACCAGCTAACAACAACTTTGTCCAGATCCATCAGAGAAATCATGCTCTACGGCACCTACAGATTCACAAAATATATTTCTTAAATAATACTTGAAAATTGGAATTACTCCTTGATCCATGGCCTTCAGAATGGATGTCTTCTTATCAGGAAAACACACACACACACACATTAATCTCCTTGTAAGTCTCCATCAGAGCTCTTGGGTGACCGAGTGCATTGTCAATGAGCAGTAATCTTTTGCAAGAAACCTTTTGTTCCTGAGCAGTAGGTTTCAACAGCGGGCTTAGTATACTTAGTAAACCATGCTGTAAACAGCTATTCTGTCATCCAAGCTTTGTTGTTTCATTTACAGATCTCAGGCAGAGTAGATATAGCATAATTCTTAAGAGCCCTAGTATTTTTGGAATGGTATATGAACATTGGCTTCAAATTAAAATCACCAGCCACATTAGCCCCTAATACGAGTGTCAGACTGTCCTTTGGAGCATCGAAGCCAGGCATTGACTCCTAGCTATGATAATCCTGGATGGCATCATCTTCCACTAGAAGGCTATTCCTTCCACACTGAAAATCTGTTGGTTAGTATAGCAATCTTCATCAACTATCTTAGCTAGATCTTCTAGATAACTTAAAAAAAAAAAAACCCTTTCATTTTAAGTTCAGGGGTACATACGCAGGTTTGCTATATAGGTAAATTATATGCTGTGGGGTTTGGTGTACAAATTATTTTGTCACCGCAGTAATAAGCATAATACCCAATAGGTAGTTTTTTTATTCTTATCCTCCTCCCACCCTCCACCCTCAAGTAGGCCCCAGTCTCTGTCGTTCCCTTCTTTGTGTCCATTTGTACTCACTGTTTAGCTTCCACTTACAACTGAGAATATGTGGAATTTGGTTTTCTGTTCCTTTATTAGTTTGCTTAAAATAATGGCCTTCAGCTTCATCCATGTTGCTGCAAAGGAAATGATCCCATTCTTTTTACGGCTACGTAGTATTCCATGGTGTATATGTAACACATTTTCTTTAACCAGTCTTTCATTGATGGGCATTTAGGTTGATTCCACATCTTTGTTTCTGTGGTTAGTGCTGCAGTGAACATAGACGTGCTTGTGTCTTTATGGTAGAATGATTTATATTTCTTCTGGTATATACCCAATGATGAGATTGCTGGGTCAAATGGTAATTCTGTTTTAAGTTCTTTGAGAAATTGCCAAACTGCTGAACCAGTTTACATTCCCACCAGGAGTGCGTGTTTCCTTTTCTCCATAGCCTCACCAGCATCCTTTATTTTATTTTATTTTTTTGACTTTCTAATCATAGTTGTTATGACTGGTGTGAGATGTTATCTCATTGTGGTTTTTGAATTGCATTTATCTAATGATTAGTAATGTTGAGCATTTTTTCATATTCTTGTTAGCCACGTGAATTTCTTCTTTTGAAAAGTGTCTTTTTATGTCCTTTGTCCACTTTTTTATTTTATTTATTTATTTATTGAGACAGAGTGTCGCTCTGTCACCAGGCTGGAGTGCAGTGGCCCAATCTCGAATTGTTTGTTTTTTGCTTATTGGATTGTTTCAGTTTTTATAGATTCGGGATATTAGACCTTGTCAGATGCACACTTTGTAAATATTTTCTCCCATTCTGTAAGTTGTCTGTTTACTCTGTCGATCGTTTCTTTTGCTGTGCAGAATCTCTTTAGTTTAATTAGTTCCAATTTGTCAATTTTTGTATTTGTTGCAATTGCTTTTGGAGTCTTTGTCATGAAGTCTTTGTGGGGTCCTATGTCCAGAATGACATCTCCTAAGTTATATTCCAGAGTTTTTATAGTTTTTGGTTTTATATATAAGTTTTTAATTCATCTTGAGTTAATTTTTGCATATGGTGTAAGAAAGCTGTCCAGTTTCCATCTTGTGCATATGGCTAGTTAGTTATCCCAGCACCATTTATTGGTGGAATGGAGAATCCTATCCCCATTGGTTGTTTTTGTGGCTTTTGTCAAGGATAGGATAGTTATAGGTGTGCAGCATTATTTCTGGGCTCTCTCTTATGTTCCATTCGTCTATGTGTCTGTTTTTGTACCAGTACCATGCTGTTTTGGTTACTGTGGCCCTGCTTTATAGTTTGAAGTTGGGTAATGTGATGCCTCCAGCTTTGTTCTTTTTGTTTAGTATTGCCTTGGCTATTTGAGCTCTATTTTAGTTCTATATGAATTTTAAAATAGTTTTTTCTAATTCTGTGAAGAATGTCATTGGTAGCTGAATAGGAATAGCATTGAATCTGTAAATTGCTTTGAGTAGTCTGGCCATTTTGACAATATTGATTCTTCCGATCTATGAGCATAGAATGTTTTTCCATTTGTTTGTGTCATCTCTGATTTCTTTGAGCAGTGTTTTGTAATTCTCATTGTAGAGGTCTTTCACCTCCTTGGTTAGCTATTTTCCTAGGTATTTTATTCTTTTTTGTGGCTACTGTGAATGGGATTGTGTTCTTGATTTGGCTATTCGCTTGAATATTGTTTATGTATAGAGATGTTACTGATTTTTGTACATTGACTTTGCATACTGAAACTTTGCTGAAGTTGTGTATCAGATCAAGGAGCTTTTGGGCAGAGACTACGGGGGTCTTCTAGGTACAGAATCATATCATCTGCAAACAGGGTTAGTTTGACTCCCTCTCTTCCTGTTTAGATGCCTTTCATTTCTTTCTTTTGTCTTCTAGATAACTTGCTGCAGCTTCTACATTAGTACTTGCTGCCTCATCTTAGACGTTTATGTTATAAAGACAGCTTCTTTTCTTAAGCCTCATGGACCAATCACTCTTGGATTTCAGCATTTCTTCTGCACTTCCCTTGCCTCTCTTAACCTACATAGGCTTGAAGAGTTAGTGCCTTGCTCTGGATTAGGCTTTGGCTTAAGGGAACATTGTGGCTCATTCGATCTTTTATCCAGATCACTCAGACTTTCTCTATAGCAGCAATAAAGCTGTTTTGTTTACTTACCATTCATGTTTTCACTGAGTAACACTTTTTTATTTTCTTCAAGATCTTTTTCTTTGCATTCAAACCTTGGCAAACTATTTGGAGCAAGAGGATTAACTTTCGGTCTCTCTTGGCTTTTGACATGCCTTTCTCAGTAAGCTTAATCATTTCTAGCTTTTGATTTAAAGCGAGAAACATGCATCTTTTTCTTTCATTTGAACACTTGGAGGACACTGTAGGGTTATTAATTGGTCTAATTTCAATATTGTCTCAGGGAATAGGAAAGCCTGACTAAAGGGAGAAAGACAGGGAAGTGACTGGTCAGTGGAGCAGTCAGAATACATACATTTATTACTGAAGTTTGACATTTTTTATGGGTACAGTTCACAGTATCCCAAAACAATTTCAATAGAAAAATCAAATATCGTTAATCATGGAAGTTTTTGAAATATTGTGAGAATTACCAAAATGGGACATTGATACACCAAGTGAGGATGGGCTGTTGAAAAATAACCCTGATAGATTTGCCTGATGCAAGATTGCCACAAAACTTTAATTTGTGAAATAATCCCACAATATATGTGGAATGCAATCAAGTGATGCGCAATAAAATGAGGTATGTCTGTTATGAAACTAGAGGAATTTAAGAGACTTTTCATATGTTTCATAATAAGCAATGGGCACAGCCAAAATTGGAATTTTTTTATTTATCCTCCCTTTCTGCTGGTTATTCTATAATTCTCACTGAATATTATATTTTAAAGTATTCCTGAAAGAAATCTGCTGGTAGTGTTTTTGTTGACCCAAAATGGGTGTAAATTTACCTCATGACAAAGATTACAATGTTAAAATGGATTTAAACCAAATATCAATAACAGCAGAACTCACATCTAAGAGCTGAAAGAAAATACTCCCAAGTCTGTCTGCTGAAATGTAACCTTTTACTACTCCTTATGGAATGGTGGAACTTAGGTACTGGATGAATCTGCATTTAACAACGTCCAAGAAGCATTAGGAATGAGAGGCTCTATGCTTAATGGAAATTTCATTTAAAGTAGCCCCCCCAACCACAAAAAACTCATTAAACTTGTTTATTATAAATTTTGTACCAGTATTTATTTTCTCTTAGGAAGAGAGTGTTGTGAATGAATTATCTCACATAAGATTGAGAAACGTGAAATTTGGAGATAGTAAGTTTAGGGTACACACGTGATAAAACACTCTTACAGAAAATTAAGTGACTGTCAGCGTTAAAAAAAAAAAAAAAAGAATCACCAGAGCATGTGTTTTTAGTCATTTGATGAAAATACACAAAGTTTTAGAAAAGAGAAAGAGAGTACACTCCTCAGAGGTATTTACAGAATTCTTGGCTTGTGTCATTTCTAGATGAGCTGATGGCTCCATGTGGCCAAGGTAATGTTAGCTCAAATCAGCATTCTAGTTAAAACCTCTCAGAGAGTTGTGGCAAGAGTCAATGACAGTTGTCCTTAATGCTTCCTTATAACTCTGTCATTTAAAGTGATGTATAATATTTTATAATTAGGAATTACATTTGTTCAGTATTTTTCATGTGCCTTAAAAAGTTTCAAGTGGTTAGCATGTATTAAATTATTTAATCTTCTAAACGAACTTCTAAAATAGGCATTATAATAACTTCCATTTTTCAGATGAGAAGACTGTAGAGTGGTTATGTAGCTTGTCAAAAAATTGCCACTGGTCAACTAAATGCTGCCATGATTCATTTAGTTTCTTATCAAATTAGTGAGCATAGAATACTTAACTATATTCTAAAACTTCTGTAAATGAATTGATTAATTCATGCTTTGGTTGCTGTTATTTCTTAGCTCAATGATCTCTTCTACAAATACTGACTAACATATTCCACATCTATTTCAGAAATACTGATTGCCTAATCTGATGCCTCAGTATAAATTCATATTGAATGCTAAGTGTATTTCTATTTTTCATACTGTTGAACAGATAGGAATTGTATAATTTTTCAGGTTATTATTATTTATAAATAATGCAAGTTTGCTGTGAAAATCAATGACAATTATCTTGAAATTACTGACATGGTTTTTATTTTCCCTATAACTTAGAAAGCATGTCATTTAGGCTGAGGTGAAAGGGTCACTTGAGCCTAGGAGGTGAAGGTTGGAGTGAGCCAAGATCGCACCACTGCACTCCAGCGATAGAGGAAGACCCTGTCTCAAAAAACAAGAAGCCTTTCACTTAATTTTAAAATATGTCTTAAAGATACATCACACAATTTCATAATTAAAAATTTGATTTTAAAGTTTTTAACAAATTGAGTAAAAAAGTATAATAATATCAAATTTGTTGTGAAAACCTTGTACAATATTTCTTTAGGAGAACTCTGTAATTTCAGAGTTAGAATATAATATTTAAACTGCTCTTCAGTATCTACATAGTTTATAAAATAATCTATTATTTATAGGGTTATTCTTAATTTCATTAATAGCACTCATAATAATATTCGTTATTTTGGAGACTCTTTCACAAAGATTCTTGCAGACCAATTGTTGCTATGTATAATGCAATGAATTGGGAAAACATCTGTTTATACTTTTTTTAAGTTGACCATATACATAAATTGCATGTCAACCATAGCTTGGGCTCTATTTGTTATTGCAAAATGTATGCCATTGGGAAATGGATTCTTTTTCCAGGAATTAATTTTTAAGGCTTTCAAACATAAGTGACCCTTTTGTATACATTGTATGTAATTTTCAACATAACATAACCACTAATACTTTTGCATTCCTTAACAGTCTTTACATTATGAGTAATAAAACATCATTATCAAACAGGATAGTTTCATCTGTTATAATCAAAAGTTGACTGTAGTTTATTGCTCAGCTGGTTTTCTACCTCTTTCTCAATGTTGTTGACGTTTCTTCAAAAAGAACCATGGCTTGCTGAACAGAAGAAATTTTTTGTGATTATTACTTATAAACTCTTACTCATATGATAATATTAATTTTAGTTTAGTGTTGTGAGACCCATCATATTTTGTAATTATTTATATTCTTGTGTAAGAAACAACTTATTAAAAGCGTTTTAATCAATTCAGTGTTAGTATTATAATATTCATTCTTTTTCTCTGAATCTCGGTAATGTAATACACATTTGCCAATTTTATCCTTTATACTCTTCCTCTTACTACTTGCTCACCCTTCTCCCCTTCCTTCCTTCCTTCCTCCCTCCCTCCCTTCCTCCCTCCCTCCATTCTTTTCTTCCTTCCTTCCTTCTTTGCTTCCTTCCTTCCTTCCTTCCCTTCCACTCTCCTTCCCTTCTTCCCTTCCTCTCTCTCTCTTTCCATCTCTTTCTCCATATCCCTCTCTTTCAAGCTCTGTATATAGGTGAGCTGTATTTTATTAAACACATTCCCAACAATGTTCATTTAAATTTGCCCAATTTTTGCTGCAAAAAAATTAATATCTTAAATATGACTTTGCAAACTTATTTATACAAAATTTTTATAAATAGAATTGTTGGAACAAAGGGCTTAGACATTTCTTTGTGTTTCAGAGGAAGAACTGGAATTGTGTTCTCATTGGTGATCAGATTTCTATTTTTGTATTTTCTTCCATCTTTCACATTCTTTGTAGGCTGTTAAAATGCTATTTTTAATTATATAAATGATACATGAATTTATATTTGATGAATAATTACCTGGAGAAAATTTTTTATTCCCTTTTTACTCTCTGACAAATGTCCTGTGGAGAGGACATGCATTTATACACAGATACCAATTTTTTTCTCTTTATGTAAAGTGGGCTATACTATTCATATTATTCTATGAATATGTCAGATCATTAAGTCAAATTTTTATGTTTTCCCTTTTAAGTAGACTTTAAGGAGGGATAAATAAAATAAAATAAAATAAAATAAAATACATTCATTTAAAAGGTACAGGCCAGGCGTGGTGGCTCACGCCTGTAATCCCAGCACTTTAGGCAGCTGAGGCAGGTGGATGGCTTGAGCTCAGAAGTTTGAAACCAGCCTGAGCAACACGGCAAAATCCTATCTCTATAATAAATACATAGTATAGTTTATTGAGTTTTAACAAATGCTTACATCCACGTAGCCACAACCACAATCAAGATGTGAAACATTTTCATTATCCTACAAAGTTGTCTTGTGCTCCTTTGCAGGCAATCTCATTCCCAAATCTGGTTCTAGGCCACCATTAATCTGATTTCTATCATTTTAGATTAGTTTTACCAGATTTAAAAATTTATAAAAGTAGAATTATACAGTAAACAGCCTCTTGTGTCTGACATCTTTTTTGATAGCAGGCATTCATTTTTTGAGAGTCATTCATGTTGAATGTATTAGTCATTTGTTCCTTTCATTACTGAGTATATATATGGATTTGTTTATGCACTTACCTCTAATATACATTTGGGTTGTTTCTACCTTTTTACTATTATGAACAAAGCTGTTGTGCATACATGCACACACACACACACACATACACACATGTCTTTTTAGAGACATATAATATCATTTATTTGGGGTAAATACCAAGAAATGGAATTATTGTGCTAAATATAGCAGGCACATCTTTGATTTTATACAATTTTATATAGACCAATTTATTAACATTTTTAAACAGTCTCTGAATTTAGTTTCTTTCTTTTTTTTTTTTCCTTTATTATTATACTTTAAGTTTTAGGGTACATGTGCACATTGTGCAGGTTAGTTACATATGTATACATGTGCCACGCTGGTGCGCTGCACCTACTAACTCATCATCTAGCATTAGGTATATCTCCCAATGCTATCCCTCCCCCCTCCCCACACCCCCCAACAGTCCCCAGAGTGTGATGTTCCCCTTCCTGTGTCCATGTGATCTCATTGTTCAATTCCCACCTATGAGTGAGAATATGCGGTGTTTGGTTTTTTGTTCTTGCGATAGTTTACTGAGAATGATGATTTCCAATTTCATCCATGTCCCTACAAAGGACATGAACTCATCATTCTTTATGGCTGCATAGTATGCCATGGTGTATATGTGCCACATTTTCTTAATCCAGTCTATCATTGTTGGACATTTGGGTTGGTTCCAAGTCTTTGCTATTGTGAATAGTGCCGCAATCGACATACGTGTGCATGTGACTTTATAGCAGCATGATTTATAGTCCTTTGGGTATATACCCAGTAATGGGATGGCTGGGTCAAATGGTATTTCTAGTTCTAGATCCCTGAGGAATCGCCACACTGACTTCCACAATGGTTGAACTAGTTTACAGTCCCACCAACAGTGTAAAAGTGTTCCTATTTCTCCACATCCTCTCCAGCACCTGTTGTTTCCTGACTTTTTAATGATTGCCATTCTAACTGGTGTGAGATGATATCTCATTGTGGTTTTGATTTGCATTTCTCTGATGGCCAGTGATGATGAGCATTTTTTCATGTGTTTTTTGGATGCATAAATGTCTTCTTTTGAGAAGTGTCTGTTCATGTCCTTTGCCCACTTTTTGATGGGGTTGTTTGTTTTTTTCTTGTAAGTTTGTTTGGGTTCATTGTAGATTCTGGATATTAGCCCTTTGTCAGATGAGTAGGTTGCGAAAATTTTCTCCCATTTTGTAGGTTGCCTGTTCACTCTGATGGTAGTTTCTTTTGCTGTACAGAAGCTCTTTAGTTTAATTAGATCCCATTTGTCTATTTTGTCTTTTGTTGCCATTGCTTTTGGTGTTTTAGACATGAAGTCCTTGCCCATGCCTATGTCCTGAATGGTAATGCCTAGGTTTTCTTCTAGGGTTTTTATGGTTTTAGGTCTAACGTTTAAGTCTTTAATCCATCTTGAATTGATTTTTGTATAAGGTATAAGGAAGGGATCCAGTTTCAGCTTTCTACATATGGCTAGCCAGTTTTCCCAGCACCATTTATTAAATAGGGAATCCTTTCTGCATTGCTTGTTTTTCTCAGGTTTGTCAAAGATCAGATAGTTGTAGATGTGCGGCATTATTTCTGAGGGCTCTGTTCTGTTCCATTGATCTATATCTCTGTTTTGGTACCAGTACCATGCTGTTTTGGTTACTGTAGCCTTGTAGTATAGTTTGAAGTCAGGTAGTGTGATGCCTCCAGCTTTGTTCTTTTGGCTTAGGATTGACTTGGCGATGCGGGCTCTTTTTTGGTTCCATATGAACTTTAAAGTAGTTTTTTCCAATTCTGTGAAGAAAGGCATTGGTAGCTTGATGGGGATGGCATTGAATCTGTAAATTACCTTGGGCAGTATGGCCATTTTCACGATATTGATTCTTCCTACCCATGAGCATGGAATGTTCTTCCATTTGTTTGTATCCTCTTTTATTTCATTGAGCAGTGGTTTGTAGTTCTCCTTGAAGAGGTCCTTCACATCCCTTGTAAGTTGGATTCCTAGGTATTTTATTCTCTTTGAAGCAATTGTGAATGGGAGTTCACTCATGATTTGGCTCTCTGTTTGTCTGTTGTTGGTGTATAAGAATGCTTGTGATTTTTGTACATTGATTTTGTATCCTGAGACTTTGCTGAAGTTGCTTATCAGCTTAAGGAGATTTTGGGCTGAGACAATGGGGTTTTCTAGATATACAGTCATGTCATCTGCAAACAGGGACAATTTGACTTCCTCTTTTCCTAATTGAATACCCTTTATTTCCTTCTCCTGCCTAATTGCCCTGGCCAGAACTTCCAACACTATGTTGAATAGGAGTGGTGAGAGAGGGCATCCCTGTCTTGTGCCAGTTTTCAAAGGGAATGCTTCCAGTTTTTGCCCATTCAGTATGATATTGGCTGTGGGTTTGTCATGGATAGCTCTTATTATTTTGAAATACGTCCCATCAATACCTAATTTATTGAGAGTTTTTAGCATGAAGCGTTGTTGAATTTTGTCAAAGGCCTTTTCTGCATCTATTGAGATAATCATGTGGTTTTTGTCTTTGGCTGTGTTTATATGCTGGATTACATTTATTGATTTGCGTATATTGAGCCAGCCTTGCATCCCAGGGATGAAGTCCCCTTTCTTTACTAAAGAATCTTTGCCTGTCCTAAATGACTGAGCATTTTCTCCTATGATTTCTTCTAGAAGTTCGGTAGTTTTAGCTTTAACTTTTAGGTTTAAGATAATTCCAAGTTCATTTTAGTGTATGTTATAAAGTAAATGTCATTTTTTCCCATGGGAATATCCAACTTTTTTTTTTTTTTTTTTTTTTTTAAGGCAGAGTCTTGCTCTGTCGCCCAGGCTAGAGTGCAGTGATGCGATCTCGGCTCACTGCAAGCTGCGCCTCCCGGGTTCACGCCATTCTCCTGCCTCAGCCTCACATGTGGCTGGGACTACAGGTGCCCACCACCATGCCTGGCTAATTTTTTTGTATTTTTAGTAGAGATGTGGTTTCACCGTGTTAGCCAGGGTGGTCTCAATCTCCTGATCTGCCCGCCTTGGCCTCCCAAAGTGCTGGGATTACAGGCATGAGCCACCGCACCCAGCCTGGGATGTCCAACTTTTTAACACTATTTTTTTAAAGACTGTACTTTTCCAATTGACCTACCTTGGCACCTTTGTTGAAAATTAATTGACCAAATATGTGTGGGTTCATTTCTGCACTGTGTTCAGTTCCATTGATCTATGTGTGTATTCTTAGAGTAGCACTATACTGTCTTATTGTACCTTTAAAATAATCCCTGAAGCCAGATAATCTGTCTTCCAATTTTATTTTTTGTTCAAAATTGTTTTGGCTATCCTGGAATTTTTAACTCTTCATATATCAACGTATATGATATGATCTTCATATCAATTTGTCAATTTTCAAAAAAAACCTTTCTGAATGAAATTTGGTTTTCAGAACTGAACTTCTCTAGTTTTCAGAAATTTTATGATCATGTGCCTCAGTGTTGTTTGTATGAGTGTGTGTAAGTGTGTATGTGGTATCTGTGTATTTGTGCATGGGTATATATGTGTGCATTGTGTATATGAGCGTATGTGTATATATGTCTGTATATGTATGTATGCATGTGTATGTATACATGTGTGCATGTGTATGTGCCTGTGTGTATGTTTGCAGGTGTCTGTATGTGTGTATTTGTATGTACATATGTGTATGTGCATATATGTGCATGTGTCTGTGTATATATGTATATATAGATGTGTTTAAGTGTGTGCATATGCATGCATGCACTTTTATCTTGCTTTGGATTCCTTGTATTCCTTGGATCTATGGTTAATACTTTTCATCAAATTTGGTAAGTTTTTGGTCATAATGTCTTCAAATATATTTCCTGGCCAAGCATCCTGGGATGTCTAATTGAACATTTTAAGACCATTTGATATTGCCTCAGATGTTCCTAAAGTTCTTTTCATTTTTTTACAGTCTCCCCTCTACCTCCCCATCAATTAATTTTAATGGTTTCTATTGAAGTTTATTAATATCTTTTTTCTTCCAGTGTCAAATCTGATGTTTAGTCTATCTAACAAATTTTTTATTTCAAGTTTTTTTTTGGTTATGGAAGTGTCATTTGATTTTTAACAACAGTTTATGTCCTCATTATATTCATGTTTTCCTTTAAATCTTTGAACATATTATAATAGTTATTTAAAGATCATTTTTGCTAATTCCATCATCTGTATTATTTTTCAGTCTGATTCTATTACTGATTTTTCTTCTGGTTTAGGTTACTTTTTTTCTGTTTTTTGTCATTCAGTAATTTTTTAATTGAATACTGGTGATTGTAAGTTATATTATTGAGAATTTGGATTTTTGTGTCTTCCTTTAAAGAATGTATACTTTGTTCAGGCAAGCAGACAAATTACTTACAGATCAACTTGTTTCTTTCAAGTCTCGTTTTTCTCTTCTAGAGCTAGTTCAGCCTTTCTACTAAGATATGTCACTTCCAGGGTTCCTGCTGAATGTCTTGAGTATTCAACATGCTCTCCACAATGTGGCTTATCCACATTTGAACATCTCTCAGCCCTGCGTACCTGGAGGCCTTTTTGCCTGGCTTCTCTAGAGTTTCACTCCATCATACACAGGTTTACATTCATCCAAAGACTCAAGGAGACCCATACTCAGACATCTGAAGCTGTTTTTCTGGCTAGCACCCTTCTTTTCAGTGCTCTGCCTCACAAATTCCAGCCATCTCAGCTTCCCCCAAATGGACATCTCTCTTTCACTCAAAATATCACTATGTTCTTCCTCTACCAAGACCCAGAAAAATACCTACAGACCAAAATCCAGGTGGTTAAACTGATCACTTTTTTGGTTTCCTTTTACCAAGGATCACTCTCCCATATTATCTCCTGCCCAGTATCTAAAAATGCCTGTTTAATATATTTTGTACAGTTTCTATTAGTTTCACTGTGAAAGCCAGTCCAGTACCAGTTACTCCATCACTGCTAGAAGTAGAATGGTAGGGACATTTTACTTTGGTAAATTTTGCTGAATTTCCCTTCAAAGAGATTGTACAAATTATCACCTCCACCAACTCTGTATGATAGTGGGTACGTACTTTTCTAGCCATTGTCAAAACTGAGTTTCACTAACTATTTTAACAGTTGTCCACATTGTCCATTTGGAGGGTGACAGCACTTTATTTTTATAATTCTTTGACTATGAGCTAGGTTTGATCTATTTACAAATGTTATCAGTTATTTGCATTTATTTTTCTTTGCCTATTTATGGCTCTTGGATATTTTTCCATTATATTAGAAATTTTAAAAAAATTTATATATTATATATTTTAAATATTTATTTATATTTATATTTTTCATATATTTTTTATGAAAAATGTATTTTTATATGTATTTTAATATTTATTCAACTATTCATTCATTCAATCATTAAGTAAATATTTATTGTATACTGGCAATGTTCCAGGCCCTGTTTTGAGTGTTGAGGACACAGCAGCATGTTGACTACACACTGATGAATTTTATATTATAATGAGTAAGGAGGAGAGAAAAAAATTAATATAAACACATTTGCTACATCGCGTAGTGATAAGCAAGTATGAAGAAAAATAAAGTAGGGTATGGGAAATTCAGTACAATGAAAAGATATTATGAGGGGAGGCTTCTGTTTTATATAAGATCCGAGAAAAGTTCTTTGATAGGTGATATTTAAGTGAAGACTTGAATAAACAGAAGGAATGTGGCTATCTGGAGGAAGAGCATCCAGTTGGATGAAACAGCCTGAACAAAGGTTATGAGATGTTGTTGCTAATCCCACTGAAATAATTGCAGAGAGGGTACTATGGCTGACAGGGAAACAGAGGAGAGGTGGCGTAGCTGTTGTGGGTCCATCAGTTAGCAGGGGAAGGTGTCTAGGTTACATATAACTTGGTGGGAAATTGTGAATTTGTTGTTAATTCATTGATTGGGTTAAAATGGGAAGCCATTGGAGGATAATGTGCAGAAGATGGGCAGAACTCACTTTCATTTATAAAGGATCTCTCTGGTATCTGTGTGGAGAAGATACTGTAAGGGATCAAGAAAGAAACAGGAACAGTGGACATGTGTCTCAACACATTATTGAAAAACCTAATATTAATTGCGTTGTGCTGTAGTGTTACTGTTATTATATACTAAATTCTCAGATGCATTTGGATTTTTCAGTTCTTTCCATTTGGATCTCTCAGTTCTTTGCCTTTGTTTGTCTTATTGTTAATGTTAATCTTCATCTCAATATCTAGTAGGTCTATAATTAGGGTGACCATACTGTTCAGTTCACTGAAACAGTCCTGGCTTATGCCTGTTGTGAATCAACTAATATTGTTAATTACTTTTAATTTGCTTTTCCCATAAAGTGTCCTGGTTTGGATAATAAGTTACATGGTCACTCCATTTTTAACGTTATCACTATGCTTTTATTCCTAATTTTCTGGGTATTCTTGCATATTTATTTACTTTTCAACTATGGTTTGCTTTCTATCAGGCTTCAGTGAAAATCTAGCTGGCATTTTGTTTGGGATAAAATTGAGTTTTTAAATTAGTTTTTATTTTTTGAGATGTCACTCTTGTTGCCCAGGCTGGAGTGTAATGGCATGGTCTTGGGTCACTGCAACCTCTGCCTCCCAGGTTCAAGTGATTCTCCTGCCTCATCCTCCCAGGTAGCTGAGATTACAGGCACCCACTACCACACCTGACTATATTTTGTATTTTTAGTAGAGAGGGGTTTCACCATGTTGGCCAGGCTGGTCTCAAACTCCTGCCCTCAGGTCATCTGCCTGCCTTGGCCTCCCAAAGTGCTGGTATTAAAGACGTGAGCCATAACTTTCCTAACTACAATAGAGTTTTGCATTTTTAAATATTGAAGTATTCTATATACTTGAATATATTTTAAAGCTTTTAAAATATAGTTATTGCACAATTTTTAATTCTCATATTTATTTAACAAAATATTTTTTATGGAATGTTTCAAATATGCAAAACTAGAGTATAGGATGATAGCCTCATATAATCATCAGCTAGCTTCAATTACTATAATCATTTTCATAATTTTTTAGTAATTTTCTTGCTATTGTTATATTTCTCCTGCTGTATTTTCTGAATAATTGTTGTTTATTTATTATTGTTAATTGTCACCTTTCTGAATACTTTTTTTCCTTAAATCTTTATTCTCATTAGTTTGCCAAGTATAAAACCCTGTCAGCTGCAAATGATAATTTTGGTTCCCTTCTCTCATTATTTACAGCAGTTTTGTGGCATTCTTATGCTAACTAATCTCTTATTAACTAGCATAAATTTAAAATAGCATCATAATAGTTACGCTTATAACAAAATGATAGAAAATATGGTGACAGAAACTTTAATACTTTGTCTTTCTAAGAATCACAACTTGTTTTGCAGAAATTATTTGTCCACATTATTAGAGATTTCTTTTTGTAAACATTGTCAATATTATCTACTTATTGTGCAAATGTTAAAAAATATAGAAAATTATTTTAAACATTGATTCATTCAAAATGTCAACACCAACCTATAAGTTTTGGTATTTCTCTTCGGTAGTCATTTTTCTAAGAATTAAAAAATGTGTATTTAATATAATATTTAATACATGATCATTCAAATCCAGATTTTGCATCCTTAATTTTACAAGCTATGCAGTGGCAAACTTTTAAAGAAATCTTCATAAACATCATATTCAATGGATGCTACAATATTCCATTGACTCTGTACATCCCATCTGGTGGCAGACTATAAGCTCTCAGGCTGTGCAATACCCCCTTGGGAAGTACTGTACTCAGTTTCTGTGTGTGCAGCTGGACCATGAAGCCAAACCACAGCAAGCCACAAACCATTTGAGTAGTTTCTACGTGTCTGACCTTCTCCATATCGCATTCTATTCCATCACTTACAGTCAAACTGCCCGCCAATCTCCTACTTTTGACCTTCAAGCAGTCTCATTTTTCCTATTATAAACAACACTGTGCTGAACAACTTCGACTTAAAAAGAATGAAGGATCATCTTTTCATAAATGGTCTCAATATCCCTATATGAATATTTGAAATACTTCCCCAGTTTTATCTAGGGCTAAAGTCTTTGTAATACTTCCCCAGCAATATCTAGCCTAACATGGTAGGCTGTCTTTAAAGAACTTCTTGAGTTGTGAGCATATCACCACCTAGGCCAGAAAATACAGCCCAGAACCTGAGCTAATCCATAGCTGCAAAGGCTCAATCTTCACCATTTTTTCTAACTGCAGCACTGAGTTCAGAAGGGTGAATGTGTGTTATGTTGCTTATGTTGTGATATAACGTTTTATATTCTCCAGAGGCACTGACAGAGGTGGCAGAATAAAGCAATCTATAATCTTGAATGTCTATTTTCTCACTGTTGCAATTTTCAATATTAGAAGCAGAGTTTAATAAAGATATTTTTGCTTCATCTTTTATGTGGTAAGAACATCAAAACAATTTTTTACATGATCTATGCACATGTCTGATTATTTTCCCAATATAAATTTTTAGAATTCAAAGGGCTAGAGTAAAATGTATAGTGAACTTTATTATGATGCACACTTCCATATTTGCTTTCAGAAATGCTGTATCCATTTATGTTTTTACTAACAATGTTTGAGAACCCCTATTTCCTCACTTACCAGCCTACATGTGTATTATTAATCTTTTGAACTTTGGGTATCTGATGGGCAAAATATGATATCTCATTACTGCTTAAATGTGCATCTCTTTGATTAGACATATTTTCTGGCCACTTTTTTTTAAATTATACTTTAAGTTCTGGGATAATGTGCAGAATGTATAGGTTTGCTACATAGGTATACGCGTGCCATGGTGGTTTGCTGCACCCATCAACCCGTCATCTACATTAGGTATTTCTCCTAATGCTATCCCTCCCCTAGGCCCCCAGCCCCTGATAGGCCCTGGTGTGTGATGTTCCCCTCCCTGTGTCCATGTGTTCTCATTGTTCAACTCCCACTTATGAGTGAGAACATGCAGTGTTTGGTTTTCTGTTCCTGTGTTAGTTTGCTGAGAATGATGGTTTCCAGATTCATCCATGTCCCTGCAAAGGACCTGACCTCATCCTTTTTTATTGCTGTGTAGTATTCCATGGTGTGTATGTCTCACATTTTCTTTATCCAATCTATTATTGATGGGCATTTGGGTTGGTTCCAAGTCTTTGCTATTGTGAATAGTGCTGCAATAAACATACGTGTGCATGTGTCTTTATAGTAGGATGATTTATAATTCTTTGGGTATATACTCAGTAATGGGATTGTTGGGTCAAATGGTATTTCTGCTTCTAGATCCTTGAGAAATTGCCACACTTTCTTCTACAATGGTTGAACTAATTTACACTCCCACCAACAGTGTAAAAGCATTCCTATTTCTCCACATCCTCTCCAGCATCTATTGTTTCCTGACTTTTTAATGATTGCCATTCTAACTGGTGTGAGATGGTATCTCATCGTGGTTTTGATTAGCATTTCTCTCATGACCAGTGATGATGAGCTTTTTTTCCTATGTTTGTTGGCTGCATAAATGTCTTCTTTTGAGAAGTGTCTGTTCATATCCTTTGCTGACTTTTTGATGGGGTCGTTGTTTTTTTCTTGTAAATTTGTTTAAGTTCTTTATAGATTCTGGATATTAGCCCTTTGTCAGATGGATAGACTGCAAAAATTTTCTCCCATTCTGTAGGTTGCCTGTTCACTCTGATGATAGTTTCTTTTGCTGTGCAGAAGCTCTTTAGTTTAATTAGATCCCATTTGTCAATTTTGGCTTTTGTTGCCATTGCTTTTGGTGTTTTAGTCATGAAGTCTTTGGCCATGCCTATGTACTGAATGGTATTGCCTAGGTTTTCTTCTAGAGTTTTTACAGTTTTGGGTCTTATGTTTAAGTCTTTAATACATCTTGAGTTAATTTTATCTCCATTATTAATCACTTTACATAGCCGCAGTCTCTTTGGGTGTTTATATTTTTCTTATTGATTTGTAGAAGCATAGTTTTGAATAGGGATATCACCCATGTGACTGATATATATTATCCCTCCAAATGGCCTTGTTTTACTCTTTAGAAATTGTATAATAATAAGTTGATGAATATTTTCCTGTATTAAAATTTTCTTTAAAAATATTTCTAATGTTTCTCACTCCAGTTCTTAAGCAGAGAGGCAGTGAAGTACAGGGCCAGGCCACCTGTATTCAAACACTCACTCTGTCCCTTACTAGTTTCATGTCCTGTGGGAGTTTATGTAACTCCTGAGGTTCCTTCTTGTCAATCCTGAGTTCATCTCTCACCTCTTTCTTCCTTATACTCTGTGCTTAGGCATCCTTTAATGATGTTAAGCTCTCACTTGCCATGAGGCTTTTGTACATTATAGAACACTCCCCTCTGACTTTTCACCCTATGATTCCTCAAGTCTTCATGTAAATGTACTTTTTTTATTTCACAAACAAAGGGTAAGTTTTAGGGGCAGACACTGCAGGTTGAGTCAAAAACGATTTCCAACAAATCAGACACAGAAAAACAAATATTACATGGTCTCACTCCTAAGTGGCAGCTAAATAACATGTACACATGGACATAGAGTGTGGAGTGATAGACAGTGGAGACCTGAAGGGGTGAGGCAATTGGAAGGGGGTGGATGATGAGAAATTGTGTCCAGAATTGGTGGGTTCTTGGTCTCACTGACTTCAAGAATGAAGCCATGGACCTTCACAGTGAGTGTTACAGTTCTTAAAGGCAGCATGTCTGGAGTTTGTTCCTTCTGATGTTAGGATGTGTTCGGAGTTTCTTCCTTCTGGTGGGTTCGTGGTCTCGCTGGCTTCAAGACTGAAGCTGCAGACCTTCGCGGTGAGTGTTACAGCTCTTAGGGTGGCGCGTCTGGAGTTGTTCTTTTTTTCCAGTGGGTTTGTGGTCTCGCTGGCTTCAGAAGTGAAGCTGCAGACCTTCACGGTGAGTGTTACAGTTCATAAAGGCAGTGTGAACCCAAAAAGTGAGCAACAGCAAGATTTATTGCAAAAAGCAAAAAAGTAAAGCTACCACAGTATGGAAGGGTACCCAACCTCGGTACCAGTGCTGGCTCAGGCAGCCTGCTTTTATTCCCTTATCTGGTCCCACCCACATCCTGCTGATTGGCCCATTTTACAGAGAACCAATTGGTCTGTTTTACAGAGAGCTCATTGGTCCGTTTTGACAGGGTGCTGATTGGTGTATTTACAATCCCTGAGCTAGACACAAAAGTTCTCCAAGTCCCCACTAGATTAGCTAGACACAGAGCACCGATTGGTGCGTTTACAAACCTTGAGCTAGACACAGGGTGCTGATCGGTGTATTTACAATCCCTTAGGTAGACATAAAGATTCTCCAAGTCCTCACCAGATTAGCTAGATACAGAGTGCTGATTGGTGCATTTACAAACCTTGAGCTAGACACAGGGTGCTGATTGGTGTGGTTACAAACCTTGAGCTAGACACAGAGTGCTGATTGGTGTATTTACAATCCCTTAGCTAGACACAAAGGTTCTCTAAGTCCCCACTAGACTCAGGAGCCCAGCTGGCTTCATCCGGTGGATCCCTCACCAGGGATGCAGGTGGAGCTGCCTGCCAGTTCCGCGCCATGCGCCCTCACTCCTCAGCCCTTGGGTGGTCAATGGGACGGGCACCATGGAGCAGGGGGTAGCGCTCCTCGGGGAGGCTCGGGTCGCGCGGGCCAGGGTGGGGGGAGGGGGAGTGGTGGTGGGGAGGGGGATTGGTGGGGGTGGGGGGGAGGGGGATTGGTAGGGGTGGGGGGGAGGGGGATTGGTAGGGGTGAGGGGGAGGGGGGAGGGGAGGCTTAGGCATGGCGGGCTGCAGGTCCTGAGTCCTGCCCCCCACAGAGGCAGCTGAGGCCTGGCGAGAATTCGAGCACAGCACTGGTGGGCCAGCACTGCTGGGGGACCCAGTGCACTCTCCGCAGCTGCTGGCCCGGGTGCTAAGCCCCTCACTGCCGGGCGGGCTGTGCTGGCCGCCGCTCAGAGTGCGGGGGCCACCAAGCCCACTCCCACCCCGAACTCACGCTGGCCTGCAAGTGCCACGTGTAGCCCTGGTTCCCGCCCACACCTCTCCCTCCACACCTCCCCACAACCTGAGGGAGCCGGCTTCCGCCTTGGCCAGCCCAGAAAGGGGCTCCCACAGTGCAGCGGCAGGCTGAAGGGTTCCTCAAGCGTGTCCAGAGTGGGTGCAGAGGCTGAGGAGGCGCCAAGCGTGAGCGAGGGCTGCAAGGGCTGCCAGCATGCTGTCACCTCTCAAAATTACCTTAGGAATAAAATGTACATTATTTGGATGATGGATGCTCCAAAGCCCTAACTTCACCACTATGGAATCTTTGCACATAACTAAATTGCCCTTGTTCCCCAAGCATTTATACAAATAATTTTAAAACACCTGCACTAAAGCAAACAAACAAACATAAAACTATTTCCAAATCCCCTCACATTTTCTTTCTTTACTGTAGAGCAGAGAATATCAAAGTGTGGCCCTAGGATCCACAGCATCAGCTTTATCTGAAAACTTGTTAAAATCGTTAAAACCTACTGTATTAGAACTCTGCAAGTGGGGTCCAGCAATGTTTTAATAAGTTCTCCAGGTGATTATGAAACATACTAGAGTTTGAGAACCTCTGCTATTGAAAGCAGAATAAGTAGAATGCCAATACTCATTCCCCAGCTTCCCTTGATGCTAGAAGTGGTCACGTGGCATAATTCTGGCTGATGAAAATTAAGTGACCTTTGCTGGTAAGGGTCCTGAGAAAGATTTTTCTGTCTTCAAAAGAAAAAAATAAAAAAGACAGATGCAGTGGGATGGCTCTTTGCCTTTCTCCCTTCTTGCTGTCTACAGTATAAGAAATGCTCGGAGGTGCAGCAAGCATTTCACAATACCTGAATACCTGATAGCTTTGTTAAGCAGCTGAGCTAATTAGAAGAAATTAACACCTTTTTTCTTTTGTATCCTGAATTTTACATTATATATATATATAATATATATATATTAGTTAAAAAAGTTGAAAAATATAAATGCATTTATCTTTTTTTGTTGTTGTTGTTTTGAGATAGAGTCTTGCTCTGTCACCCATCCTGGAGTGTAGTGGCACGATCTCAGCTCACTGCAGCCGCTGCCCCCCGGGTTCCAGCAATTCTCCTGCCTCAGCCTCCTGGGTAGCTGAGATTACAGGCACACTCCACCACACCTGGCTAATTTTTGTATTCTTAGTAGAGACGAGGTTTCTCCATGTTGGCCAGGCTGGTCTCAAACTCCTGACCTCAGGTGATCCAGCTGCCTCTGCATCCCAAAGTGCCGGGATTACAGGTGTGAGCCACCGCATCAGACCATATAAATGCATTTCTATTTACAGTCATATGCTCTAGGAATTACCCTGAGAAACCCTCTTGTTACCATCTTTAGACATGTTCAATTGAATATAAAATACCTTATTTAAATGTAAGCTACATAAACCAAGAGAGAACTGAAGCCAGAGAGGTAAGTGGGAGTGTAGGCAATGATATTTCAGGAATGGACAGTTGGAGACAACTGGGAGTTAAGGTTTAAAGAGCCATGCAGGGGAAGTAGAGAAGACCTACCTACCCAACTGTGGATTCAGGCTGAGATCATAGCATTAAGTGGGGTAAGGGTGATAAAGGGAAAAAAGTTTCCCACCAGCAAAGGTAGATAGCAAGAAAACTTGATCATCATAGCCTAGATTCTGGAAAGAAAAACAAAATCTCTCTTGACAGTACTTATCTATGACTCATCTACAAATAAGCTAGGTGTTTTAATTTCCTGTGCAATCTTGAAATTAACATAAAAAGTGGTCTCAAGTTACTTACACATTTAGAGCACCTGGCTAAAACAAAAACAAAACTTCCCTAAAGGGATATACCCTCAATGCAGATGGTACTTCCAGAGATAAAGTCTCACAGAACATGAGGTCATAATCTAAATTTATAATGAACACAAGAATATAATTCACTACAAACAGCACATGACACAAGAGCAGAATCAGACCCTGCAGAATGTCAGATTCCTTAGACTTAAAAGACAGAGAATATAAAATAATATGCTTAAATCGTAAAACATTTACCATTTACATAACATAAAGAAAAAATCTGAGACTTGGACTTCTTGGTAGCAGTGAAAGGGATAAGAAGTTCTGGATATGTTTTGAAGGTAGAGTTGGCAGCATTTGCTAATGAATGAGGTGTGAATATATGAGGATATGAGGTGTGAAAAAAATTTCAGGTTTGGGGCATGGTTTTTGATCTAAATAATTGGAATAATATACACTAAAGCTAAAACAGTATTACAGTTAAAGAAGATAAGATGATTTCTTCATTAGGAAGACACGAGTTCTCTACACTTACGTGTACTGAAGAAAAGAGCCTCTGAGTATGTGATAAAATTGACAGAATTACAAGGAGTTATTGAGAAACCCACTATCATAGTGGAAAATGTTTAAGAAACTTCCCATAGTAATTAAAAGAGCAAAGAGAAAAAAGTAGAAATATAAATTATTTTAACAGCACATTTAAAATTTGATCTAATGGACATATATTAAGCTCCTATACTCAATAATGAGTGAATACACACTTTTACACATGTATGGTATTTACAAATATTGAAGTCATATTGAGCAATGAAACAAGGGTCAGCAAATGCCAAAACATCAAGATCACAAAGACAACATTTTCTGACCACAATGTTGTAGAGTTAGATATTAATGACAAAACATAATTAACTCCCTCAATGTATTTAAACATTCTAAAACATGTTCTAAATAATTTATGGATCAAAAAATCAATAAAAATAACAAAATATTTATTTCTTATTTAAAACATTTTATCTATCAAACTTTGTGAGTGGCAATTAAATTAGTATTTGAGAAAATGTGTAGTATCAAAAGCTCATATAATAAAATACAAATTTTATTTTCATCACATATGTAAGTGCTTTAAATTGCTGTTGAAAATGTTGTCTAGGACATAACCTAGTGCTGAGACCTCCTTCCATGTTAATGTAGACAGTCATCTTTTTATATGGTTTTAACACCAAGTGTGAATACACCTATGTGTATTATAAAAAAGAACGCTTTTATGCACAGTTGATTATGTCAATTTCTAAAGTTTCCATCAATACTTGCCTTTATCTTATGATCCATCTGAACCACTTAGGTGTTCCAAGCACATTGTTCCCTCTGTTTGGAATACCCTTCTCCTTTTATTTTCCTGGAAAATCCTCACCTTTTATTCACCTCCTATCAAGATATTCTTTTTGTGATTGTGGTCTTTAGCTTTACTCTCAACTCATCACTCTCTCCTCTGTACCATATCAGTTTCATATACTTTTATCTATTTCATAGATAGAATTGTATTGCAATGACTTTCATATACCTATCTTTTCTACTGACCTAAACATTTTGAGGGAAAATACCATATCTTAATCAGCATTAGCATAGTGCCTGACATATAGTATGTGCTCAGTGAATAGCTATTAAAGTCAAGCAAAGGTAAATTATGCAATCCTTCTGCCTTCTTTCTTCATGCATAAAGTAAAATGAATGATGTCTAAAATTTTCTTTTACTCTAATATAATTATTCTATATAGCTACTAGTCTATCTCTCTAGGGTATTATCAGAAAAGACTTTAAGAAAATATAAGAAGGGAGAGAAAGAGAGTCAGAGACAGAGAGAGAGAGAGGAAATAAAGATCAATATGCTTACAGAGCTTAAACTTTGCAGATAAATTCAACAAAATTCATAAAGGGAGGAAAGGAGAGAGTTGGACAGAAAGATGGGAAGCATTAATATTTAGGAAGTGTGAGAAATAAGGTCAATTCATGAAAGATTTAGATAAGAATCTACATAGGGAGCGGAGCCAGGACACTGAGTCAGAGAAGCCAAAGGAAAGACTGAGTGGGTGTCACTGAGAGGAGTGCGGATGTTGTAAGTGAAACAAAGTGGTTAAGAAGATGAGAAGTGAGAAAGGAGCTCTAGTTGAACCTTGAGCAACATAGGTTTGAACTATATGGCTCCACTTACACGTAGATTATTTTCAACCAAACTAGGGTCAAAAATACAGTATTTGTGCAATGAGAAATCTGCATATATGGAGGGTCAGCTTTTCCTGTATGTGGGTCCACAGGACCCACTGAGTATGCGTGATTTTAGTATACGCAAGGGTACTGGAACCTACCCTCCCATATACGGAGGGACAACTGTGTGTATTTGGCTGTCGGCTGGTAAAGGATTATATTTTTGTACTGGGCCATAGTAGATGTCATTAGAACTAAATGAGGGTTAAATATTTGGGGGTTTGGGGTGGACAGGGAATTTTTATAATTTAGAATAATTACAAAGAAAAAGAGCTCTGGAAAACCTTTCTTTTTTTGTTTTAGAAAAAGCCATTTATTTTTAAAGGAGGCACTTTCAAAATCTTTATCCAAAGTAAAAAAAAATTCATACTTTACCATAATTTCTCTAATTATCTACATGACTTTATATATTTTCTTTCTGTTTATTCAGGATAAATCTTCATTCTCTTTGGAGAAAAGTGTAAACACAACATATGTTACATTATTTCAAAGTTATCAACTGTACTTTCAGAATACACTTAGTTATGTTATATGTTACACTCCCTAACACTAAATTCTGATGGTTTCATTGTATCACAATGAAAGTCAGGGTGGGCTTAAGAAAAAAAGTGAAACTTTCAGAATGCACATTTGCTATTGATTATGAGAATGTGTCAGATTTGTGTGGGGGGAAGAGGGAAGGGTGAATTGTGCATGATCTATTAATAAGAAACAGTTTAATGCAGTAGATCACTAAAGCATGGCTAATTCTGAAGCCAAAAGCCACACATTCTTAACTTTCCCCCCTAGCTTTAGAACCAGTCTCCACACACTCCCTACAGGAACTGGAACATTACTCTTTGAAAGCAAAGCCGGTGTTTAGAAAATCTGAAATTGAACTAACAGCACAGCATATAGAAGTCACACAGGATGTTATTTTAAACTGTAATGCAGAAATGTCAGTTCCTTTGATATCTTTATTTGTTACATGTGGGCTTGAAGAAAGTGTGTTATGTACGCTTTAGCTTTACATAAACTGTGTTACAGGGTATTTTCAACTGTCAGGGAAGTTTGAGACCCATCAAAAAACAAGATCTTTGCTAATAGTTTTAAAAACTTGGAGAAAAGAACATACAATGATTTCTCTCATTTATTCCACTTGTAAAGATTATATTTAAAAATATCACTCAGGAGTGATTCAGAAAGGATGTCTAACTGGAAAAAATCATACAGCGTTTTAATTGATTTAAATCAATTTAAATGGCTACATAATTTAAACATCTAACTCATGTTCTATCAACCTGCCCCCTCTCCATTGCACACAAGTCAAAGATTTAAACACACAATTGGATCTAAAGGAAGAGTCGTGCAATATCCAGAGGTGGTGAATATCACGTTTAATTGGTCATATTTAATTGATGAATGCTTATGCTACTCTCCAAGCACTAAGGTTGAAATGTCTTATGTAGTACACACTCTGCACTTAGATTTTCTCCCTTTATTTCATTACCAATTTGTTTGACTTCTCCAAAAATGTTAAATAGGGTAGTTGATTGATGACCTTCTACTAATTGATTAGCTACTATAAGAGGAAAAAATGGAACATGAGGTTTTAAATCAATAACACATGCTTTCATGTTCACAATAATCTGCAGATTATTATGATAATCTGCACAATATATCTGCACAATATATACCTCTGTTCTGCGTAAAATATATAAAAATGATTTAAAAATCAATCTGAATTTTTATGTCTCCATACTATAGATAAGCAGAAAACTCTATTAGATATATCAGTAAAATAAAGTAATTCTTGGTAACTTTGTTGAAAATGTTTCCAAAATAAAAGAGAGAGAGAAAAGAGCAAAGTTATTTTTCTTTAACCAGGATGTAAAGAAAGAAAAATGTAAAGTAAAAAAGGACCTGAATTTTATCACCTTAAAAATTTAGAAATGGAGGTCTGTAAGCTATGCCTATATGTTATAGCTGTGTGGATAGTGTCTTAGTCTGTTCATGCTGCTATAACAAAGCACTGTAGAGTAGGTAATTTTCAAAGAACAGAAATTTATTTCCCACAATTCTGGAGGGCTGGAAATCCAAGTTCAAGACACCAGCAGATTCAGTATCTGGTGAGGTGTTCCGTCTCTCTTTCCAACATGCTGCTGCCTTGTTATATTTTCCAGAGGTGAAAAATGCTGTGTCCTCACATGGTGGAAGGGACAGAAGAGCAAAAAAGGGCCTAAGCTACTTCCCTCCAGCTCTTTTATAAGGCACTAATACACTCCTGATGGCAGAGACCTCATGACTTGACCACTTCCTAAAAGGCCTCAATACCACCACAGAGGATTAGGTTTCAACATATGAATTTTGAGAGACATTCAGATGATAACATATAGAAAAATTATACAATTTAGAAAAGGGTCCACCAAGGTGTGGTGGTGGTTTTGCATCTTGATTGAGGCCACAGTGTCTGAACAGCCAGAACATGTTGGAGATAATGTACTATAACTTCCTCTCCACTACAATTTAATCTAAAAGAACCACCTGTCAGTATAGATATTTCTAAACAGATGAAGGGATATATAAAATATTATATGATTTTAAAATTTTATCACCTTCAACAAAATATTTTGATAGGACCACATCTCTTTCAAAATTGTGAAATTAAGCAGAAACATATTTAATGTGGATTTTATAACCAAGTGTGCTCAAAAAACTAAAGCATACCTCTTTTGAAATAACTGAATTGAAAAATTTAAAAATAAGGAAAGCTAAAATTACTGAACACATTTTATTTAAAAATATTTATTTCAAGCTGCTTAATTAGGAGAGGACTCCACAGTTGCATGTCTGCCCCTGCCACCCCACAAAAAAGGTAACTATGCAGCAATCAAGAACACTTACGTTGACAGCCATTGGATTCCTTGAATGTTTTCATTGTTGTTGTTTTATATTTTTATGTTTTTACTTATATCCAATTAAATTAAAGGTTATTATTTTAGTGCAGTGGTTGATATTTTATTATGATTTAAATAACAGTAGTCAGTACAAATCCACTGTCAAGAATAACTTTTGGACAGTGAATACCTATAAAATAATTTTGTTTATTCATTCACTTATACATCCAGCAAATATATTTTGAATGACATTTCTTTAGTAGGCATCATTTAGGCACAGATGACATAGCACATAATAGTTCACTTCTTAATGTATTTTTGATAAGTTTGTCGTCAGTGTATTCCCTGGGATTCATTTCTTGATTGGAGGATCTCAAACTATTTTGAAGAAAATAAAAAGAAGAGATTGATGAGAGAGATCACTGAACAACTACATGTTTCTAGTTGTCAATTTTTAGATAGTTTGTGAGTTCCTCATGTTGTCAATGTTAAAATCACTTCCTTTTTTTTCTTCATGTGAGAAATATCCATCAATGAATGTGTTTACTTTGAGTTGACAAGACTGAGTTTTCCATCTTCAATGGACATGGGGGCACAGGAATTAAATTCACAAAGGGGATTGAAAAACTCAATTTCTGCATAGGTGAACTTGTGATGATAAACTATATAGCTATTATATACACATTGCAAAGGATTTTGTGGCATGTATAAATAAATTATTTATAAATCTTTACTTATTAGTATCTTCCTCATTTTTAGAAGGGAACATTTTTGAAATTCTGGCCTTGCTCAACCCAAGAAATCATGATGTTATTAACCACATATGCAGCTATTTATGGACTTTTCCAGTACATGGAGACACAGAGAGAGAGACAGAAAGAAAGAGGAAGGGAAAGAGAAAAATTTTAAATCCCACATTTAGTGACATGGTAAATAAAATATAATACACTGTGCTACTTTTGAGAATTTTGTACATAAAAACATAAGATAAAGAAATTCTACTAGAAAAATAGAGGTGGACAAATACATGTTGAAGGAATAATACTTTACAGCTTCAGGAAACATCAACTTGTTTCAATACATCAAATTCAGTGTGAAAAGAGAATTTACAGGAGAGAACTCGAAGAGTCACTCCAGATTGTGTTGGCACTGGCAGAGCAGACAGACCCACCACACATCTAAAATCTCCAATCTCACCAGGACTCAGCACCGTGGCTTGGCTGATCAATTCTGTTGCTCACAACAGAGTGACCAGCATGCAGACTCTGGAACCACACTGTATGGATTTTGACCTTTGTTATGAACTGTGAGACTTCAGGAAAACTAATTAACTTTATACTCTCTAAATTCCCCAAGGTAGTACTGATAAAATTCTCTAATTCATACAGCTGCTCTAAGTTAATAAAACTAGACCCTTTAAACAATCTTTGGTGCCCAATAGTTATCTGCTATTATTATTTTTGTTTGCATTAGTGTCTACTCCAAGTATTACCATTCTCCTGAGATCCATTAATAACTCCACCCATCTCATTCTCAACTGACAATCTCAACGTCCAATTTAACCGAGATTATTGAATTCCTTGGGTGTTATCTCTCTCTACTTCCCACTTCTATTAATTAGATTATCTATAAATTAACAAGTGTCTTAACTGTCAGTTTTCTAAGCTTAGAGATATGGTGTCTGCCCTATTGTGGGCCAGCCTATCTATATTCTTAAAGTCATTCTGTCTTTTTCATCTTTGTTACATTTGTTCTACTTAGAGTGAACTTTTCAAGTTAGTTTTGGTCAACTTGTTCCTCTCTGTAAATCCTTTTAATGGGATTCCTGGGTCCTTAGAATAAGTTGCTAATCAGACAACATGGCCTCCATGATCTGGCTTCTGTCTACATCTTCACTCACACTACCCATCACACTTCGCGTCTTGGCTTTTTGTGGTTTCAGCAACCTCATTTTTCTCTAGTCACACTAACAGAATAAGCTCCTTCCCACTGTAAAACTCTGCTCATGTGATCTCACTTGCATGGAGTGTCCTTCTACCATGCAAGCATCTTATTAAGCCTAACTTGATGCTACACCTCTTATTCCAACTTCAATATTACTTTATCAAGTAGAACTTCTCCATCATTCCAAAGTTGCTGATTTTAACCTCCTTTAAAGTATCCTAAAATTTCTCTACCATCTCTGAAGTGTTCTGACACTTCCCTTGATACGATCTAAACTGTAGACTTCATAATTACTTGTTCAATTCTTTGAAATCTCAAGCAAAACTTCAACAAAGTCTACAACTATGCCTTCTTGCTCATTGTTATATTTCTGGCACTAAGTGACTATTTTTTAATAAATAAACAAATGCTGGTGTTATCACTAGAAATTTTAATGTTAGAAAACTTTCTTCATCCTCCTCTTTAGGCTATTAAATTTCACTACATGATTTATGAGATTCACCTAAGCTTTAAAGTCTATGTAACCAGCAGAGAAACTGATGAGGAATGTTAATTATTTCACAGCAAATTATGATGAGTTGATTTTCTTACCCCTCTAAAATCATTTTATGGATTACTTATGAATGTTTATTAATGGCTTTTATTGCATTAGTTATAGCCATCTTGTAATTTTGTGCTGAAGAGGTGAAACTTTGGCAGGTTAGTTAATCTGTGTTTGACTTAATTTTCTAATTTTAAGTGCGAAAATATATTTGGTTATCTCTAAAGTTTTGTGTTTTTTTTTGTTTTTTTTGAGATGGAGTCTCTCTCTGTCACCCAGGCTGGAGTCCAGTGGCACGATCTCGGCTCACTGCAAGCTCTGCCTCCCGGGTTCAGGACATTCTCCTGCCTCAGCCTCCGAAGTAGCTGGGACTACAGGTGCCCGCCACCAAGCCCGGCTAATTTTTTGTATTTTTAATAGAGACGGGGTTTCACCGTGTTAGCCAGGATGGTCTCGATCTCCTGACCTCGTGATCCACCTGCCTCGGCCTCCCAAAGTGCTGGGATTACAGGCGAGAGCCACTGCACCTGGCCCCATCTCTAAAGTTTTTAAAGACATTGTTCTTGGAATATGATATCTACTCAATAAATGATAGAAGCTCCTTGTGATTCTTATGATTAATATTAAAGTCAGATATAAAAACTACAGCTTCAATCTATTATGTCTGTGTGTATGTGTGTGTGTGTGTGTGTATGTGTATATATATATATTTGAAAAACCTATAAAGCAAAGTATAGCTTACCTGGTTGCAACCCACCAAAAAGCAAAGAAGAAACTATTCCATGAGGAAGGACCAAGAACAGAATTTGTTGTGTACAGTAGTGTAAAGTATATGTTTGTTGAAAGAATAATAACAATTATAGTATTATAACATAACTTTCATTTTTTAGAAATACAGGAAAAATAGAAGTTCTTTCAAACTAGAGGGTTAATTTAACGAAATTAGGATATTTTAACATCCTATATGTCCATGTTGGTAGATAAATTTACTTTTTGATGTATTACTCTGGGTTTTTAAGTGTAATTTAAGGTAGTTAAACATTTAAATGTAGGACGCTTAAATTTGGAGTGAAAAGGAACCTTGATAAAATGCAATATGAATTCTTATTAATTTTTTAAAATTATCTAATACTTTCTAGTTATGGTAGAATCCTTCTTAAAAGGTTTGAAGTCATATATTATCATTTCTGACAATGGAGCCCGCATAGGATATTTTAAAAATCTCTATAATTTTCTTATCTTGGAGGTTGATTATGAGTGTCTGTTTATGGCAGATGTTGCAGGAGTAATTATAAACAGTAAAATGATTCTGTAAGATTTACATGTAGTAGTTGGCATTCTAGGTCTATCCTGCACCTTCAGAGGCAACTGTATTCTCCACTATTATTAGGAAAGACTCAACTAAGACTAACTAATAATTGATAAATATTGCCTTCCTTAACAAAGTCATGTAGCCCATAATAATACGGGCCCTGCTTCTCTGGATTTGTCTTGAAAGTAATAAGCAGGTGAAGGGTAAGCCCCTACTTCCGATGTCACCATGTTAGGAGTTGCAGGAGTTGCAAACATTGAGAACCTATTTTCGTTTTTCATTTTTTTTTTTTTTGAAACAGAGTCTTGCTCTGTTGTCCAAGCTGGAGTGCAGTGGTGCGGTCTCAGCTCACTGAAACCTCTGCCTCCACAGGTTCACGTGATTCTCCTGCCTCAGCCTCCTGAGCCTGAGGTTACAGGTGTCCACCATCACGCCTGGCTAATTTTTGTATTTTTAGTAGGGACAGGGTTTCACCGTGTTGGCCAGGCTGGTCTTGAACTCCTGGCCTCAAGTGATCCACCCACTTCAGGCTCCCAAAGTTCTGGATTGCAAATGTGAGCCACCTCGTCCAGCCTTAATAACCTATTTTCTTGTAAATGAACCATAGTTGAGGTCAGAGTGGGAGGTAGCTCTGTGGAGCCTCTGGGCCCTGTTCACAAACCAGGGCAGCTACAAAGACTTTCTAGCTCATTCCTATTAGGGTGGCACTCCATGAGGAAACCCTACTCTCTCTTCCATCTTTGTGCAGGAGCAAAGAGGACAAATACACCCAAACATGGCTAAAAAAAGACAATCACATCACATAAGTCAAAAGTTACATTTATTCTTAGGAAGAATACCTAGAGCTGTCCCTTGGATAGGGCCTTGAGACAGAAAGGGAAAACGGGGGTAGGTATGACTTGCATTTGCATTCACTACATGCCCTTCCATTCAGAAAATAAAAATCTACAAAACCTATTTCCTAAATTTCTAGGATTGAGAGCTCAATTCATTCAAACTATCAAGATAATTTTGGGAGTAATTATCTTTAAAATTATTTAGGTTTGTTGGGAGCCATTCTGAAACTTCAGTTGAATAAATGAAAATGTTAGACTGGAAACATATAAACCTAAAGAATGTTGCAGAAGTCTAAGTGTTCACTGGAGTGGAGAGTTGGAGGTAATGCAAATGATACTTGTCCGGTTTCTTACTCCTAAATAAGTTCTACTGATGGAGCTCCAAGTGTCTTAGCGGCACAGCACAGCCATTAATGAAACTTACAAGACAGACAATGCAATTGTTACAAAAAGCCTGGGACTTGGGAAATGGTTATGCCAGACCTTCCAAACCTGACTCTACCGGTTAGAATTTTATGTTGATTTAAGACAATATAAATGAAAGTTTAAGTAAAAAAACATTGAGATTGGTGGGAAGAGATGAGAGGCATCTTTTATAAAATAATTTATAACTTCATAAAATATGTGACTAAAGAATTCTTGCTAATAGAGAGTTCAATAACATGAAATTAGAAATACTGAGCTTTTCAGTATTGAATCTACTGTCTTGTGCAATTCTTTTTCTTGTGCAAAAGTATACATCTCCCTGTAAAATTAAAAATGTAATAATTCCAGACAAAAATTTCAAATTGTGTTCTATGAAATCCTGGAGTTGGAGCAATAGTTTAAAGAGGTTCATTGAAATACAGCGTGGTCACGAAAGACATGCTTTAACACCACCACCTTGGGGACCTGATGCTGACACGGAAAGTTATGTTGGGAATAGAAAATAAAACTGTCTTCTCTGGTTTGGGGAATTTAGAGTTGCTTTAGGGAAACAGTGACTAATTTATGACGAATATTTGGAGACGAGATAGTCTGTCAAAATAAACGTATCTTTCTTATTTGCTTGAGAGGAAGCAAGCTGCTTTGTGGAGTTCCTTGGAATCCTTAAAAATAGCAGTAAGATAACTGTTTCCATTATTCATGGAATGTTTTATTCTTGCAGGCTAAACATGTCAAATATTTGTGCTTATATAGGTGAAACTGAAAAACTCCACAAAATGTTGATTACTGAGCTCTTTAGGCATGATCCATGCCCATGGCTTGTACCTGTGTTCTGTTCCTCGGGCTTCCTCAGTCTAGGAACCAGTACCTGACTTTAGCCACACACAGATTCTGAAGATTATGTAGGTCAAACAGTGGGCAGGAGAGCACTGTATAGGGTAATAGGACTATAGTTGGAATTGAGTGCTTGTTTTCTTCCCGTGCATAAACAAGGCAGAATTTACACTGCAAATTCTTCAATCCCCCTGCTTCTATGCATCATCAAGACTATTTATTCTACCTGAAAAGCCCCTCATGTCTTCTTTCCCCCATCCCCCTTAAATTTAATGCTTTACTTTTGGGAAGCTTCTAAAAACAGGTATATCTGAGTTCAAAGCTCATTCTCATCTGTCAATTGGATGTAATATCAATTACTTGCAGGGATATGGTAAAGACAAGGTGAGAAAATATACATGCAGCACTTAATCAAATGACTGAGACATAAGGGACACTTCAAAAATGACAGCCTAAAGTCAAAGATACTGAGATCTGAATCTATTTGCTTTAAATATTGTCCATATCAATACTATCCCAATGTGCTCTTTCTCTTATTTTCAGTTTCTTCAGTGAGTACTACCTGTACTCTTCTTTGTATGATCATAGATAACCTATAAAATGATATTACCTTGTATTTTTTCTATAATCATACAACATTTTTTTCTATTATGGTTATAAGCTTACTCAGGTTGAGAAATAATTAACCAACTTCCTTAGATTTTATCCTTAGAGGCTATTTTAGGCACACAGTAGGGAGCACATAGAAGGTTTTGATAAATGATACGGAAAATGAATTTTAAATATGTAAAGGCCCCTGACCACATATCAAAAGTGGGACAGCTTAAGTAAACAATTTTTACTCTCTACTAGAAACAAATGTGCAAGATAAGTTGGTGGATGGTATTTGGCAGATTTGGATCATTTTGGAAGATATAGAGGAAAATAATACTTCATAATGATTCTAAATTTAATTTAAAATTGATTCAAAAGTGCTTCTTTTTGGTTATTACAATTGTTTAGGTTCTGGACCTCCTCCTCTAATTACCATGATTTCGGGCCCCTTGTATTTCTCCTTTATTTATTGCCAAGGAATAAAATCAAACCCTGCTGTGATTAGCTTTTTTAGTTTTTTTCAACCAAGCCGTTTTCTTTTCAGGAATATAGAGAGTAAAGCAGGGGAAATAAAGTTCTGTTTGAACTGTTCATCTCTGAATTCTCCTCCTCTGGGAAACTTTTTTTCTACATCTTCCCTCCCCTGAATCTCTGTAGATGCTATGACTCATAATTATTCACTTTTCTCACTAGCTTTGCACCCTGTACACATTGGTACTCTTTCACTTTACCACATTGTACTATAACTTATTTCTTTGTATACCTGACTCCCTTCTGAGACTGAGAGTTGCTTGAAGGTAAAGACTGTGCTATAGTAACTATCCTGAACTCCTGTTTCAATATATGTTTGGCAATTATCTATTGAAATTAATTGTTGTGTTCTTAGGTCATTACTGTTACTTTTAGTTAACACATTTTAAAAACATGTCTACAGTTTGCTTTCACAAGTGATCAGTGATAACTATTTGGCTAAGCCATAATTTTGAAAAATTGTCTACTTTTAAAAGTCGTTGTGATGTTTTGTAATCTCCAGACTCTTGGCAATGAATTACTTCTGCTTCACATGCAGCTTCAAGCTCGTGGTGAAAAGTTTCATGCCTGTTCTGCCTTTTCTGATTAATGTTTTCCTGGTGGGTGTGTATAAGTTACTTACTTTTCCTATAATGGCACATTCTGTCCAACTATATAGTGCCTTTTACCTATGTTGTTATATAAATATCTCAGATTTAATTGTCCCTAAGGAAATAATCTGATATTTAAAAGATTTATATTCTCCCTGTTGCTCCTCTGATAAGTTCAGCAAATACAGAAAGGATGTTCAATGGGATATTATGTAATATATCTTTAACTGGTTTAATTTTATTGCTGTGGGGGAGATAAACATGAGACTATATAAATTAATAAGTGAATTCTGTTTATCTCTCTTCTGTATTTTCAACTTTTATACTTTAATTTTTCACTGTATAAACTTCTAAATACAACAGCATTGTAATGTTAATACTAAAATTTTTCTCTCCTCATAAGAGGGAGAATAAAGCAAGATATATGTACATAGATAGAAATAGATATTGATATGGTTTGGCTGTGTCCCCACCCAAATCTCAACTTGAATTGTATCTCCCAGAATTCCCATGTGTTGTGGGAGGGACCCAGGGAGAGCTAATTGAATCATGGGGGCCAGTCTTTCCTGTGCTATTCTCAAAATAATGAATAAGTCTCACCAGATCTGATGGGTTTATCAGGGTTTCCGCTTTGTTTCTTCCTCATTTTCTCTTGCTGCCACCATATAAGAAGTGCCTTTCGCCTCCCACCATGATTCTGAGGCCTCCCCAGCCATGTGGAACTGTAAGTCCAATTAAAACTCTTTTTCCTCCCAGTCTTGGGTATGTCTTTATCAGCAGTGTGAAAACAAACTAATACAGATATACATATATTTTACATCAAAATGATTACTGATATTAGCACATATTAATAACAGTAAAATTATTTTCTACATGCAGTCAGGGCCGAAAGGGCAAAAATTAATTTTGTCATATAGAATTAAATTATTTTATGAATAATAGCAAATCAAATGTTTTTTAAAATATTTTAAATTATATTTGAAGTAAAATGATCTCACATTAGCTTTTTACTGTTTAACTGCTATGATATTTTACATTATTTTATAAAATCATAACATTAATAAGTTTAAAGAGACCTTAATGTGAGTTGTCATTTTGAAGATGAGGTTAAGTTACTTGCCCAAGGTCACACATCCAGCTATTGGCAGAGTTCTCTTGACGTGAAGGCTAAAGTCCTCTTACTTTTAGGCAAATACATCAAGAATACACATTAAACCATGAATTATACATGTATTCAGTTCTCTCTTTATCAACTATAAGACTTTTTATAATGGGCTGTATGTTTGGTGACAAATTTTCATTATCTATCAATGCAAGACCTGCTATAAATATGTAGAAAGCTATTGCTTAGTATTTGTCTCTTTATTTATTCAATAAACGTGTATTTAGTACCTACAATATGCTGCATGGTGCTAGGCATGCCAAAGTGGATGAGGCATTCCCACTGCCTGGGAAGGCATGGATTTAGTAGGAGAGCTAGCCATGTAAACTTATATTCTGAACAGCAAAGTCTCTTTGAATGTTCGATGAAGAGTGCATTTGAGTAAGGGCAGATTTCATTCTTGGAGTTGTCCAGGTTTAAGAAGCTAAAACTTTTAGAAGAATATAATTACACATATTGAAACTGTGAAATAAGTCAATGGGGCTCTCTTGTACCTAACTGAAAAACTGTTTTCCTGGCATTGTTACTTTTACAGTCTCATCTTGTTTGTCCTCAGGAGTTTCTATGCTCCACTTTTTCAGGACTGCTTGTTATTTCTTAAACTCCTGCCATGCATCTTTGCAGCTCAATGTCTTTTCACTTTTCTTGGGATCTGTTACCTTCCTCCAGGTCACTATTACCCATTCATTCCTTAAACCTCTGTTCAAACATCGTTTCTTATTGGAAGCATTTCTTGGCCTCTAAAAGCTGAATTTATTATTGAGTCATTCCAAATGCAATATATTTTTGAAGTGACTGCTATTATAAAATTCTGCTATACCTACTTTATTTTATTGTGACTTCACACTTTATTAATTAATTTAAGTGAGTGACTCCTAATATCTTCCTAGTCTTAATAGGCATATGCGGCTCTCATTAGAAGAAATATGTCTCCTTCCTCAAAACTGTATTGATGTAATTTAAAGACAACCTCCATCATTTACAACAATGATTGTTTTAATATTCACCTCATAGTATAGAGATAGGTTGACAGGAGTTTTCTTCTGAGGTTCCTTAACTTTCTGACTTATAATTGTAAGAGCAAGTCAGATGTTTCTGGGTGAGCTTTGAAAACCTTGATTTTGTACCACTGAAGAAATTAAACAAACTAAAAACTGCAGGTAGAGAACAGAGTGTGTGCCTCAAATAATAAAAAGTTTGAAGCTTCTTTAATGTGTTATCCAACATTTTTTTCTGTCTTTAAACATAAGAAAAATGCTTTCATGTTCAAAAACTGCCCAATTGGTTTATTAATAAAATATTATAATAATCACACCTTTATGAGTTTGAAATACCAAGCAATATAAGAACATTAACAGTTATAACAAGTATCATACACTATTTTATATTGTTCATATTAATGACTCTTTAATGTCATTTGCCTCTTTCATCTTCTAAACTAATATCATTTACTCAATTCCTTCATCAGTACTGTTTTGTTTTATTTTGTTTTGTTTTTGAGATGGAGTCTTGCTCTGTCACCCAGGCTGGAGTGCAGTGGCGCGATCTCTGCTCACTGCATCCTCTGCCTCCCGGGTTCAAACGATTCTCCTGCCTCATCCTCCCGGTAGCTGGGATTACAGGCACCTGCCACCATGTCTGGCTTTTTTTTTTTTTTTTTGAATTTTTTAGTAAGGACGGGGTTTCACCATGTTGGTCAGGCTGGTCTCGACCCCTGAGCTAAAATGATTCGCCTTCCTCGGCCTCCCAAAGTGCTGGGATTACAGGCATGAGCCACTGTGTCCAGCCCAGTACTCTTTTTAGTAGAGATTATTTCAATATGTCACTTTAGAAAAAATATCAGATCTTGGAAAGCCTGAATTTTTTGCTTTAGTTTCCTCCTAAATTGCTTTGTATATTAGGTCATTAAGATTTCCTAAAACTAAATCAGACAGATTCAATTTGTATGGTTATACTTTCTTTGTTTTAGATAAATATTATCTATTACAATAGAAATATGTTTTAAATTATTTTATGATGTCTTGAAAAATTATGTTCACTGTAACATCAGAAACAATTTTGAATTTTTCAATTGATCTTATGAATTAGTCATTGATGTTTTTCTATTTCCCTTTTTTCCCCTGAACTGTCCAGTAAAATCAACATTGCTAAACAATTATCAGAGTGAATGTAATGTTGATTTGTTTCTAAAATCTGTTTTGAGTCCTGAAGTATATATATATATACAAAAAAAATCTATAGAGATAATGCCATTAATTTGAAATGTCATAAGACATAATGGATAGAATAAATTTGAACATGTCTAATGAATTTTTTGAGATACTTATATTTTAATTTGTTCTTTAATACAAACAAGCCAGACTCTTTCGTATGGAGCAAAAATCATTCAATAGTACTTTTAAAGTATAAATTAATTATCTGAAACATTATGATTTGTTTTTAATACCATCTGTTATGATTTTATCCTGCATCCCCAGTGAGAAGAAATGCATAAGTACCCCTGTGGTAATCAGAATAGTTTTTACATTACTTTCTGTGGTAGAAAATGTAATCATTGCCTTCCTGCTCACGTCCTTTTTGAAAAGGCCCTTTCTCTACTTGAAGCCATGGGGGGATGGTGAACCAATGTAGGCTGTTTGTACCAGGTGATCCTACCCCTAAAATGACCTAAAATGATTCTCTTAGCCAGGTATTTGGAATTTAAAACCATCAAACTGAGTGGATCATCTAGCAGAGATAACTGAGTTCCAAGATCATAAAGAGTTGTGACTAGAGTTGGCTCTAAAGAAAGCCAAATGCAGTTGAAAGCCAAAGTTCCATAGCGAAGAGAGCCACAAGTCAGCAAACCAAAAGAGTAGTAGTAGAATCAAGCAGAAGCGCACAGCTAGGCAGTATCAGGAGACCAGATGTCTCACGAAAAGCAGAGGGAGTGGTCTTATTCTGGGCTCCCAGGTCTGGATCCCATGCTACCAAGCTGAGCTTTTGTTTTATCCTCAGATGCTTGGGTGCTCTTAATTGGGAGCCTGTTGTGCTCTTACTATCAAGTTTCTTCTACTGCTTACTTCAAAATTTCCATGCACATTTGAGCAAATTCTTGTTAGTTTCAAACTAATAATCCCAAGAGAGGTATTTATAAATCAAAAGTGTAAGAGATTCTTCTTACAGTTCCATTTCATAAAATTAGCAGATCCAAAGTATATGAATAATAAAATACATTTCAATCTTAAAATAAATTTTCAATCGTAATGTGTATACCCATATTGGAAAATCATAAGCACTTGTTTTCATATAATATCTATCACCAAAAACAGTTGTGTCAGATGTTCTCTAATAAATTCTGAAACATCTTTTTGCTTCCATTCAAACCCAAACTCTAGCATGTGTTAAGCTTGAACTTAAAGGAAAATAATACTTATGTGTTCAAGAGCTTCAGTAATGAATTTCCTCTATTTGTTTCTAGGTTGGAATTTTCCAAAGTAGAGCTTTGATTCATTCCAAATTCAGTGTATTTTTAATCTATTAGAATTCTTTTAATTATAAATGATGAAAACCCAGGCTTGAAGTAGCTTAAGTAAAAAGGGAAATTTATTGGTTTTAATAGGAATGTCTAACACTGGACTTCAGGTATGGCTCAAATCATCATCAGTAATTTTTCTCTCTTCATTTTGCTTTCCCTTGTATGACATACTTTCTCAGGTAAATTATCTTCTACCTTACATCCTGCTAGTTAATAAACCTTGACAAAAGGAGAACTTCTTATTTCCGATGCTTCCAGCAAGTGTCTGACCTTGCTGCTAAGAATCAACTTTTGTGGCCAGGGATAAAATACTCCAAGTTGCTAGGTCTGGATTCTCGGTTCACTGTTACAGCCACGTGAAGTAAGAATAGGGCAAGGGGAGTGGGGTAGTTCTACAGAGGAAAACCAGGATGCTCTTACTATAAGAAGGAAGATAGATGGTGGTGGGAGGCATAAGCAAAGATATCCCTTATATCCACCCACCACTTCACCTATTTCTGTATTCATTCTGACTTCACATGCCCACCTCAACTCTTATGGTTTTGTTGTTGTTGTCGTTGTCAGCTATGGGTTGTTGACCTACTCCTTCTCATGCACTGATAGTGCATTGTCTTTCAAATGGCATCCACTAATTCAAAAATTATTTATCCAATAAGAATCTTAGGATTTGAGATCTCTTACGTGATACAATTCAAAGAGTGCCTGGAGATTTCGTTTCCAAATATTTCCTCCCACTATGTGACACTATCACACTTTTTGAGGTCTTATGGGTCTTGGAATTTTATAGTTTTATTTAAACACAAATGTTCCCCTGGAGCAGTAGTGCCCTAAGCTACTCAGAGTTGGTGCAAAGGCAGGAATTTCATCATGGCCACTAATACAGTAGTTTTCTTAGGAGCAGTGTGTAAGGGAGACCAAATATTAGATGATTTTCATTGGCACAGCATCAAAGATTTATTTGATCTAACTTCACAATTTTGCTTAGAGTTATTCCTGCCTTAAGATATATTTTATGTCTTAAATTCCAATGGAAAAATACAGATTAATTACAACGGATATAAGATCGAGAAAAAAACTAAGAGAAATGAGAAAAAAACTAAGAGAAATGACAAAAAGGTGTATTATTCACAGATGTTGAGAAAAATGAAGAAATTTCAAGTGCCTAACCACAAGAAACACAAGATATGGGCCAGACACAGTGAATCACACCTGAAATCCCAACATTTTGGGAGGCCAAGGTGAGGGGGTCGCCTGAGGCCAGGAATTTGAGACCAGCCTGGCTAACATGGCGAAACCCTGTCTCTACTAAAAGTACAAACATTAGCTGGGCATGGTGGCACTCACCTGTAGTCCCAGCTACTTGGGAAGCTGAGTTGGGAGAATCACTTGAACCCAGGAGACAGAGGTTGCAGTGAGCCGAGATCACACCACTGCACTCCAGCCTGGGTGACAGTGTGGTGAGAATACATCTCAAAAAAAAAAAAAAAAAAAGACAAGATAATGATAGCAATGCATCAGTGTTTGCAGGCTGTTCAGACTAAGTAACAAAAAGATAATGCCATCTTTGAATGTTTTTCTGGTAAGAAAAACTTATTTCAAAATAACAAATATTGAGAGCATGAAAATATTATGAAATACAAGTACAGAGCAGTAATGTTTTATTGAGTTGAACTGAAGAGGATTTAATTAAGTCTTTTATTAAGTGCCTTCTTTTTTTATTTTCATTTCTTATTATACTTTAGTTCTAGGGTACATGTGCACAACGTGCAGGTTTGTTACATATGTATGCATGTGCCATGCTGGTGTGCTGCACCCATTATTAAGTGCCTTCTGCATGCCAGGCACTGACCTAGGTGTTTGGCATTCATCCATATGTAAAGTAGACTAAAATCCTCACTCTCACTGAGCTTACAGTGGAGGATGTATATAATAATCAACATAATAAATAAGTAAAATATGTAGAATTATACAATTTATAAATGCCATAGGGAAATATATACAGCAAGTTAACAGAGATAAGCACTATGGAGTGGTAATGGTGCAATTTTAAGTAGGGTAGACTTGATTGAGAAGATGATATTTGGGCCAAGATTTAAAACTGGCGAGGGAGTGGGCCACACAGCTGTTGGCAGAGGTGCCAGCTAGGGCAAAGTTCCCAAATGAGAATGGATCTCGAAGGTTCAGAAGCAGCAAGAAGGCTGGTGTGTTGGGATTTAATGAACAAGGAGGAAACATGAGAACAGAGAGAATGTCATATATTCTATAACAAAATATCTTATTACAAAGGTTGCATCCTCTGAGGTTTTAGAAGTGTAGCTATTACATTTTTTAAAATGTGTTCTGCTTTGTGAATATGACTAGGTTAACAAGATCTGTGCTATGGTCTACTTTGGTTAGATGTGGTTTTACCTATTTTGAAGTCAAAGTTCCATAGAGAAGAGAGCCACAAGTCCACAAACCAAGAGAGTAGCAGTAGAATGAGGCAGAACCACACAACTAGGCAGTATCAGGAGACCAGCAGTCTCATGAAAAGCAGAGGGAGTGGTCTTATTCTGGACTCCCAGGTCTGGACCCCACGCTACCAAGCTGAGCTCATTCCTCAATTTGGGATCTCATTTTATAAATAGATGTATAAAATCTCATTTTATAAATAGATGTGAATTACAGTCATGTGTCCACCACAACATTTTGGTCAACAATGAACCACATATACCACAGTGGTCCTATAAGATTATAATACTATATTTTTACTATCCCTTTTCTATTAATATGTTTAGATACACAGATATGTATCATTGTATTACAGTTGCCTACAGTATTCAGAAAGCTACATGCTGTATGGATTTGTAGCCCAGGAATAATATACCCTAGGTGTGTAGTAGGCTATACCATCTAGGTTTGTGTAAATACACTCTATGATGTTCACACAATGATGAAATCTCCCTAGGACGTATTCCTCACAATGTATCCCCATCCTTAAGTGATACATCACTGTATTTCCTAGATAGATGTTTCTCCCATGTATATTATCAATAAAAGAGTGCTCATAAAAATGTGTTTTCTTGATAGAACCTAAGGATGCAAAGTGGCTTTATGGAACTGTATGCAGCCATAGACATGACAATGATAAAAGGACATCACCTTGCTGCAAAATAGGCCCAAGAATGGATAACTGCAAACAATCTCCCTCTAGCGTCCAACAGGGAAACATGTGTAAATCCCACTAAAGTGGAATTTGTGCTGAAATGAAAAGTCACAGGGGGAGTTCACTTTGGGCTTTGCTACCTATACTCTGAGTGACTATGGGCCAGTTATTCATCAGAATCTTCGGTAAACAAAGAGGTTTGATTGCATCATTGTAAAGTAACTGAACCAGAGGTTAAATTGATCTGAGATCAGTTTTTACTATATGTATTTGTCAATTTGTAATTAAATTATATGTATAATCATTTGTTTCATAAACATTTTTAAGTATCAAACTCTGTGAGTGGAGCTAAAGTATTTTGAAAGAAAAATTACACAAAAAGAGAAAATCAGAATCCCTATTCTTAACTATAATATATTTTGGATTTTCTGTCCCAAATATTTATCCCTATCCCCATCTCTGCCACTAAGTGACACAATTTATGGCTTCTTTCTTTCACAAAATGTGATTACTTAGGGAATTGCAATTCATTTAATGTTAGACTAAGTAAAATAGAAGACATCTGGTTTGTAAAAGGAAATAAAATATGGAATTCCAAAAATGGGTCTTTTAATGGTAAATTGAGAATTGATAGAATTTTTTAATTGATCTTCTTTTACTGCTTTTTAGATCTTCTTTTACTAATTGTCTTGAAGTTGGTTTTGCCTTTCACTCTAGGTCTTTTATTGCTGTATTTCCTGGATATTAACATTTTTAAATTTTGTGGGTTTTTTTTTACCTATTCAAGTAATATAACACTTGAATATAGGTATATCTTAATATTTACATCATTTAAACAAAAATAGAAATGAACTATAAAATATTTAAATAATACTGAAATGTATAAAATTAAGTTACTTTTTACCAATCCCCCTTTTCTCAATTTTTGTCTCCTTCTTTGTTCTCTGGAAGAGATTCCTAAGAGTGGGATTTCTTACTGAGTCAAAGATCAAATGCATGTATAACTTCATTAGATAGTCAAATTCCTCTCCATACAAAGTGATACCATTTTGTATTCTCACCAGAATGTACAAGGGTGCTTGTTTTCTCACAGCCTTGCTGCAGAGATATGGTCAAAAATCCAAAAAAAAAAAAAATGGATTTTTGCAATCTGATAGGTAAGAAATGGTATATTGGTATAATTTGAATTTGCATTTCTCTTATTATGTACCAACATTTTTTTTCTTTTTTAAAGAGATACTTAGTTTTTTTCTCAAAACTTTCTGTTCACCTTTCCAGGCTATTTTCTCTGTAAAGTTGTTTAACTTTTCCTTTTTCATTTTTAGAAGCTCTTCATATATTAAAGATATTCACTATTTTTTCTTGGTATAAAATGCACATATTTTTCCTTTTGTCATTAATCTTTTAGCTTTGCTTGTAGTGATTTTTGCCATGAAAAAGCCATCTTTATGACATCAAATTTTCCAGTCTTTTTCTTTATTACTATTGTATTTAAGCCAAAAGTAAAAGTGTTCTGGTTATGGAGGAATTGAATTTATAAAGGAATTCATCTGTGTTTTCTTTTTATCTCTTGCATTGTTTTATTTCTTTTACATTTAAGTTCTTTATTCATTTGGAATGTGTCATGTTGCAGTGTGAGGAATAGATCCAGTTTTAACTTTCTTCATATGTCTATCTAGTTAAACCAATACTTCAAAAAAATAAGTAACTATGTGACATGACAGGTATGTCAATTTGTTTCATTATTTTAACCATTTTACTATCTATATGTATCCCGTAACAACATGTTGTAAACCTCATATGTACACAGTAAGATTTGTTTTTTAAAAATCCATCTTTTTCCTCTATGTATTTGAGATGCTGCTTCTATCTTATACTAAATGTTCATATGCAATTGACTCTACTTCTGAATTTTCTATTGTATCATATTGGTCTGTGTGTCTGTTTATGTGACAGTAACAAAGTAACCTCTTTTCCAGAGGCTTTAATTTCTGGTAAGTGTATCTCCAGTCCTCTGACCAATACTTTTCTTTTTCAGAGTTTTCCTGATCCTTCTTGTTTACTCTCCCAAAAGACGTTTATTCAATACATTAATTTTAAATAAACTTTCCCAGTTTAGAGAAAAAAGAAATATGATGTATTTTTATTGAGATTATATTAAATTTATAAATTAACTCAGGAATAATGGATATCTTTATGATCTTGAGTCTTCCACTTAAAGAACATTGTATAACTTTATGTTCACCTTAGGCTTCTTAAAATTTTTTTTCAGAAGTCTAGTATTACAGTTACATTCACATAGATTCACATAGATTTTCTATACTGTGGGTTATGTTGCATTATTACATTATTAGCTTTTGGCAATTGACATGGGGTCTTCTCTTCCATTATAATTTCTAATTTTGGGTTTTTTTTCTTTCTTTCTTTCTTTCTTTCTTTCTTTCTTTCTTTTTTTTTTTTGAGATGGTGTCTTGCTCTGTCACCAGGCTGGAGTGCAGTGGCATGATCTCGGCTCACTGCAACCTCCACCTTGGGGGTTCAAGAGATTCTCCTGCCTCAGCCTCCCGAGTAGCTGGGACTACAGGTGTGCGCTACCACACCCAGCTAATTTTTGTATTTTTAGTAGAGACGGGGTTTCACCACGTTGGCCAGGATGGTCTCGATCTCCTGACTTCATGATCTGCCCGCCTCAGCCTCCCAAAGTGCTGGGATTACAGGCATGAGCCACTGCGCCTGGCCTAATTTCTAAATTTTTAAAAATACCTAAAGGCTAATAATTATTGGATATTAAGCTTTAAAACTGCTTCTTTAGTAAGTGCTGTTCTTTGAATTTTTCAGATATATAATTATGTCAAATGTATTTTCCACATTTATACTTATGTTAGATATATACTTACGCAAATAGAAATTGTTTACTTTATACTTTCTAATTCTTATGGTTGTTACTTTTCTCTTGCTTAATTGAATGACTATTACCTCTAACACAGTGCTCACAGAAGTGGAGATTGTGGACATTCTTGTCTGAGTTTCCCATTTAAACATCAAGTGATTTGCTATTAAGTGAAGATGCTAACTTTTGTAATGAGGTGCATGTATACATGCATTCATAGATTCCCATTTTATTGATTAATTTTTTAACATGAATAGCATTGGTTGAGTGTTGCCAAATGCTTTTTTTGCATCTGTGAAAATGATCATATATAATTTTTCTCCTTAGCTCTATTATACTGATGGAGCATATTAGTGTATTGTCTAAACTTATATTTCTAAATAAGCCCCATTTAGTCATGGTTTATTATTTAAAAAGGCTTTTGGATCTTCTTTACTACTATTTTACTTAAAATTACCTGACATCAATATTCACAAGCAGATTAGTCTGTTAGTCTCTCTCATATAACTTGTTGCTGCATTTAGCCATTAGATAATACTGTGTTTTTCTCTGAAGAACATCATATAGTCTTAGTTCTACAGGTGATTTCATATTTATCATAGTCCCTATTCTCAACTATAATATATTTTGGATTTTCTGTCCTGAATTTATCCCTAGCCCTATCTCTGCCAATAAGTGACATGATTTATGGCTTCTTTCTTTCAAAAAATGTGACTACTTAGGGAATTGTAATTCATTTAATGTTAGACTAAGTAAAATACAAGACAGCAGGTCTATAAAAGGAAATAAAATATGACCTTCCAAAAATGGGTCTTTTCGTGGTAAATTGAGCATTGACAGAATTTTTTTAATTGATAAAATTTTAGATCTTCTTTTACTAATTGTCTTAAAGTCAGTTTTTTCCCCCCTCTAGGTCTTTAGTTGCTCAGTGTCTTTCATATCAGTCCATATTTCAATCTTGCCAATCATTGTAGTTGTTTTAATACTGTTTTCTGGTAAATTTCCAAGGTGGGGCTTATGTAATAATGTTTTCTGACTTCTTGCATTCGTAAACCATTTTGTCTGAAAACTGTTATGTGAAGCTCAGTTTAGCTGGATTTAAAATTATTAGTTCACATTTTCATCTCTTGGGTATCCTAAATATGTTACTTAATTGTCTTCTGATATAAAACGTGTCTGTTGAAATGTTCTTTGTAAGTGACATGATGTTTTTGCCCACTGGCCAAAGGTTGTTTTTTTCAAGGTCAGTAGTTTTACTAGAATATGTCATGGTGTTGTCCATCCTGGATTTATTTTCCCCTAAGAAAGTATATAGGTAGTTTGAAATCTTTTTGGTTTTGTTCTCATTATTTTAGAAAAAAAATTGATTATTGTTTTTAGTATTTGACTTGTTTCATTGCTTGTGTTTCTTATTTGGTGAAAACTATTATAAGTATGTTGGATCTTCTTTATCTATCGCATCTATATTATTCTGTTGAATTTTTTATCTCTTTACTTATT